>NC_000007.14:108131779-108756779 GCF_000001405.40 Homo sapiens
CTTGTTGCATTCTTGAGTGATTTGATTATATCTTGAGGGGTTTTCCTGTTATATGTGTCTCCAGTTTTATGACGAGAATCAAAGTTACATGGTTCAAATTTCAAAAATTTCCCTTTAAATAATCATGAATAGGTTATCGTAGGCTGTTTTCCTGTAAACTGATGGCATGTCTTGGGGTATCTGCTTTCATCTCAATGAGTTAACTATTTACCTCTTAAGATTAGGTGTAGAGTTAGAAGCTGTCAGGCAGGATATATTTTCAAGAAAAATAATTTTCCCATGCAACTAAAAGATCAGTCTATCAGTTAATCAGAAGCAGTCTTTCAGTATAGCTCTCCTTAAAGTGTTGATATCTTTTTTATTAAAAGGAAAATAGCTTTATTGCTTTTCCTGGAGAGTAGTATATGCTCTTTTACCCAAAATCGGACAATATAAAAATTCAAAGGAAAAAGAAAGTAAAAATCCTTGAAAGCCTCAAATTTTTTGGTAACTATCTTTCCAGATCCCTCCTCCTCATTCTCTGGTTCTTTTCTTTAGTCTATATACGCCTGTAATTTTTCTTTAGTCTCTATTTCTTCAGTCACAGAACCTTAAAAACCAACAGATTCCATTAGGTAAAATTGACCTATCAGAATTCATTTGTTGCAAGTATACATGTTAATGCCTTCGGTTGAACTAAAGTTAAATGTGAGAGAGGTGAATATTTCATCTCTTCCTTAAGACGAGGTATTTCCTCAGAAGTCAGCCTGGGAAGAAATTCCTGGCGCAGCCTCATCTCAACCAGAACTGCTTGGTGAGCCTTCTCTCGCTGTGGCCTTGCCCGTCATTCCCGCGCGGTGGCCCACCTAACTGCAGGGCTGAGGAGGTTGTTCCTAAAAAGACTTGCCCACAGTCGGGATTCCATGAGGGCTAAGGAGTCTTCACTGGGCACAGCGAGGCTTGCAAGTCCTGACAGGAAGTGTGGAGGATTACTCAGTCACAGAAAACCTTGAAACAGCTAATCAGCCTTTAATTAGATTCAGTGAACCTGAATGAAGCTAAGATCCCAGGGCTTGAGGCAGCTGACGTACTCTGCCAAAGCTCTGAAAGGACAGAAGGGAGCGGACTGCCTACAACGCCCTCAGGCAGCGAGGAAGTGGCAAAACCCTCCCTGACAGAACCCTTGTCAACCCCCTTTGTATTGTCTCAGAGTGACCCCAGACAGAGGGCTCATTGGCACCTGGAGAGAACCCCAATGGACTTACCATTTGGCTTCTCTTATAACCAACTCTCCCAGTTCTTCCCCTAACAGGAAGACCCATCCAGCCTGCAGTGGCCTGGGCCTGAGGTTATCCTGGCATCTTCCACCTCAGAATCTGCCTTGGCGTGCTCTAATTACAGAGACTGAGGTAGATGGAGCTCGCAGGGCATTTAGGAGAGAGGAGGAGAGGAGACTCAGGTCCATTGATTGTTCTTATAATCCCTGCAACAATCTAAAAATACATTGCAACATTTATAGGTAAGTGTTAAAATGTACCAAATTTTACAGTTGTTGATAAATGTGTAAAAGCTGTGTCATTTCTTTCTTTCTTTCTTTTTCTTTGAGATGGAGTCCCACTCTGTCGCCCAGGCTGGAGTGCAGTGGCGCGATCCCGGCTCACTGCAAGCTCCGCCTCCCAGGTTCACGCCATTCTCCTGCCCCAGCCTCCCGAGTAGCTGGAACTACAGGCACACGCTACCATGCCCGGCTAATTTTTTTGTATTTTTTTAGTAGAAACGGGGTTTCACCGTGTTAGCCAGGATGGTCTTGATCTCCTGACCTCGTGATCTGCCTGCCTCGGCCTCCCGAAGTGCTGGGATTACAGGCGTGAGCCAGCGCGCCCGGCCAAAAGCTGTGTCATTTCTAAGCAAAAATTAACCAGTCTTACAGTGTGAGACCCAGCTAGGACTTTAGAGATAATTATAGTTCTCTTTGTCCTTGAGAAAAAATGAAAATCTAGAGAGTTAAATGACTCAGCTAAAGCCACACATTAGTCCACGGCCACCTCACTGTAACAGCCCACAGTGGACGCCATGTTTCTTTTGTTGTTTGGCGTGGTAGCTTTGTGGCATAGTCACACTAGCACTCTTGAAGATTTCAGTGAATCTGGGGGAATGGGAATGTTTTGTAAGAGAATAAGTTGTACTAAATAATTTAATCCCCTCATCAACCTGTGAGGTAGACACTAAATTATTCTCATTTTATAAATGAGGAAACTGAGGCACAAAGAAGTTAAGTAACTTGCCTATCATCACACAGATATCAACATTTCTTTTAATTCCCCCGAGATGAACTGAAATAGCAAGAAAGCAGGGGAAGTAGAGTAGTAAAGATCAGGTTGTTGGGGGCCAGTCTCAGGTATCAAATGGCAGAACCAATCCTCCCAGGGACCTTCCCTTCCATCACGCTGAACTGTGCCAGGAAAAATTGTGAAAATCTTTGAAATGAACAAAAATATTACTTGGTATCTTATGTAGTATATCTTTCCTGTTTATTTCTGTGTTTGAGCTACTTTACAACTCTGTACTCTTAGAATACTGATAGTAGTACAAACGACTCTTGTCCATGGAAATGCCAGTCGTGTCCTGTAGAGATGCAGTTCATTATTGCCATATAGATATTGATAGATACAGATACCAGCCAATTGATTTCAGCATTTCTGATGGCCTATACATGTGTGTTTTTTAAAAACTTCTCCTTTGAACTGGTCATAACATTCTCTTGTTTCTCTCATTAATGAACAAATTGAATAGAATCTTTGGTATATATTTGCTTTATATTTGTATAAGAGTCATGATTTTGCCTTTAAAAATATTAACCCTTAACATCTGCTTGGCATTCCTAAGTGTGCCTGTGTGGTGTATGTGGTTTCTCCTGCATGGAATGTTTTGCCTACTTTATCTAGATCAAGGATCAGCACTCTACAACCCACAGGTCCATGCTGGCCACTGCCTGCTTTTATGGGGCCTGCAAACTAAGAACGGCTTTTACATTTTTAGATATTAAGAAAAATTTTAAAAAATAGTATTTTGTGACATATAGCAATGATATGAAATACAAATTTTTGCACTCACAAATAGTTTAATTAGAACTGTCCAATTGATTATCTACATATTGTCTACAGCTGCCTTGTTTATGCTACAATGGCAGAGTTGAGTAGTTGTGAGAGACCATACCACCTGCAAAGCCAAAAACTCCTACTAGCTGACACTTTACAGAAAAATTTGTTAAGCAATGATCTACTTCATGCTGCTAGAGTCTCAGTATCACCTCCAGGTCATTTTCTCTACTCCTCCATTCTGGGCTGTGTTTCCATTTCCTGATGCATGTAATCCCCCGTGTGTGTGTCTACTTTAGCAGTTGCCATCCCTGCTGTGTGGCTGACTCTCTCCTTATACCTCCACATCTAGTCTGTAAAGCCTTCAAGGACATGGGTTTTGTCTTATTTACCCTTCCATCCCCAATGCCTAAGATAGTGACTGGCACGTAATTTGCACTCAAAATTTGTTGAATAAATGCTTCTTATCCTGTACTGGGTAACAAGGGCATTTGCATAGCATGGTATTCCGAACAAGTATTTAACAACTGGCTAGCTATCAACCTTATTTTTAAGATAAGATGACAGAAATCAGTTTTTATCTTAATCCCCAGAAATGAAATGATACAGCAAGGAAGTGTTCGGGTAGAGGCAGTGAAGACAAGCTTGCTGGGGCTTGGCAAGAGTGGCTGTGCTCTGAGAAGGTGGAATGTGCCTGGATGAGAGCACATGTTTAAAACATCTTAAGGAGACTGCCCAGTTCTAACCAGTGTCCAACCTGGGCAGAGATCGGAACAGCTTCTGGGAGTAGCTTTCTCATTGTTTTTCACCTGCCTACTTATCTGTGGGTTTCAGAGTCCCTTCTGCTTGTCTTTCCATCTCCATTAATTCTTTGGTTTTTCTGCTTTGCCCTTCTTGTCATGTCAAGAAACTTTCACCTTGGTCTTGTGGCTTCCTGTATCACTCAGTGTGTCTTACCCAAGCACGTCTCCGGAGGCCAGTTCTGCTTTCTCAGGCAGCTCTTTGTGCTGCTCCAAATTTTCACTTCCGGAAGGTATCATTGGTGAGGAAAGCCAAGGGGTCACGTCACATTCAGTAATCAATATGGGATTTAGGTGATTAAAATAGCTTAGAGAATGAAAATATGGTTAGGAACAAGATTTTCAGAAAACTCTAAGCACTCTTTCAGAACTAAGCATTGTACGATTACAACTGCTCCCCAAATTGGCATCAGTTCTTTTCTGAATCTGTTGATTCTCTTCCTCAGTCTTCAGGTGTGCTTCTCTGCCTTGTCCTGCTACAGGATTTGTCATCACTTGGATGATCTAGGAATTCAGGTCCCAGACTTGAAATCATGTGGAGTCTTATATCTCCTCCGCCTACCATAGGCCTAAGCACAAATGTCAGTTCCTCAAAGGCAGTGACCTTCTGTTTCCTTTGCAACCCTCCCACATCTGGCATATTATAGAAGCTACAGGAGGTATTGGCATTGATAAGATCATATTTCCATTTCCCACATGTTATGGGTTGAATTGTGTACTGTACCCCTCCCTCTAAATTCATATGTGGAAGTCCTAATTCCTAGTACCTCAGAGTGTGAACTTATCTAAGAAGGGGGTCATTGTAGATGTAATTAAAGTTAAGATGAGGTCATACTGGAGTGGGGTGGGCCCCTAATCCAATATGACTCGTATCCCCTTTCACATACAAAAAGGGAAATTTGGAAATACAGAGACGTGTATATAAGAAAAACACCACGTGAAGACTAGAGTTCTGCTGCCACAAGCCCAGGAACCAGAAGCTAGGAGAGAGGCCTGGAACAGCTCTTTTTCCAGCACCTTCAGAGGAAGCATGGCCCTGCTGGCACCTTGATCTTGGACTTCTAGCCTCCAAAACTGTGAGAAGATAAAATTCTATTTTTTTTTTTTTTTTTTATTGAGACAGTCTTGCTCTGTTGCCCAGGCTGGAGTGCAGTGCCATGATCTCGACTCACTGTAACCTCCGCCACCTGAGTTCAAGAAATTCTCCTGCCTCAGCCTCTCGAGTAGCTGGGACTACCAGCGTGCGCCACCAGGCCCGGCTAATTTTTTTGTATTTTTAGTAGAGACGGTTTTGCCACATTGGCCGGGCTGGTCTTGAACTCCTGACCTCAGGTGATCCACCTGCCTCAGCCTCCCAAAGTGCTGGGATTACAGGCGTGAGCCACCGTGCCTGGGAAAGTTCTATTGTTTAAACTACTCGGTTCATGGTACTTTGTTACAGAAGTCCTTGCACCCATCTTTCTTCTTCCTAACCCCAGTACTGGGATTGTGGGTCTGTTATCACTTAGAAGCCATTGCCATTTGAGTTTGTTGAACTTTTGCTTTTCCAAACTAAATGTTTCCCCTTGTATTAGTTCCCTCTTGCTGCTGTAACAAAACTACCGCAAACTTGGTGACTGAAAACAACACAAATTTATTATCTTACAGTTAAGAAGTCAGAAGTTTGGAATCAGTCTCACTAAGCTAAAGCCAAGGGTTGGCAGGTCTGGTTCCTTCTGGAGGCTCTGAGGGGAGAATCCATTCTCTTGCCTTTTTCAGCTTCCAGAAGCTTCTGTGGCTCCTTCTTTGTGTCACACAAACCTCTTGCTTCCATTGTCATGTCTCTTGTTACTAAGGTGGATTCTCCTGCCTTCCTTTTACAGGGACCACTGTGACTTTATTGTGCCCACTAGGATCATCCAGGATATCCGTCTCTATATTCTTAATCACATTTTTGAAGTCACTATTGCCATGTCATATATTCACAGGTTCCAGGGATTAATTAGGCTATGCACATCTTGGTGGGGGGCATTATTCTTTCTGCTCTACCCTCTTTCCATCTATTTCCTTTCCAAATTTCATTCATTTTCCAGGGTCCTCTTCTAGGATTCCTCTATTTCAGCCCACAGTGGCATCTGTCTTTGTAATTATAGTCTATAGACCACCACAGGGCTTGGTCCTAGATCTCTAATTGTTGGGTATGAAGTCACCTGGTCCGCCACATGCCCTGAAGGGAAGGTGCCTGAAGTGCAGAGATCATTGTTTTCATTCTTCCATCTCTCTTGAAATCTGTGACATTAGCTATGGGCCCAAAGATGTAAAAAATTGCTTGATGGAAGGATTTGCTTTTTTTTGGAGTAACTAGATGCAGAGGGGTAAATCTAGACCTCTAGATTTGCCCTCTCTTCCTCCTTTGTCCACGTGCTATGGAAGTAAGACTGAGCTTGGCTAAACAGAGTAGAGAGCCAAGATCCCTAGTCATTGTCTACCCATGAGCAAGCTCTCCTGAATACAACTGGTTAAGCGGTTAGGCATGACTTTCATATTCTTACTGTGTCCTTCCCATCTCTATGGAAAATAATTATCATGACACAACCCTGACAACCTCTAACCAGTCCCAACAAGGTTTAGGGGACTTTATGAAACAACCTATAAGAAGAGAGAAAGTCAAGGAAGTCTTGGCTCTGCCTTCTGAAGCATCTGGCAGCTTCACGACCATCAGAGCTTAGATGATTCTTGAAAGCTGGCTGCCCTCGTGCCATGCTCTATATGCAAAAATCCAAAGAGAAAGATATGGGTCTCTGCTCTTCTACAAAAGTGGGTCCAAGCCTAGGTAGTCAGCTCCAAACCTGCATAGCCAGGAACAGCCATGTCTTTCCTTTTCATAGCTTTTGGACTAGGGGGCTCCTGGCCTTTAAAAACAATAGGCTTGTTTTTCATTTTTAAATATTAGTCTTTTACAACTGGACAGACTTATAGGCCTACTCTCTTCTCATTTTGGATATCCGACTTTCACTTAGTTTAGATTTAAGGAGAAATAATTTAAAGAAAGAGCTTGTATTCTGGAGTCAGACACACTTGAGTTCATAGACTAGGTCTCTTCTACAGCTGTGTAATCTTTGGAAATAAAAGCAACGCCACCTCACAGGATTGGTGAGAACATTAGATGGGAATGATGTACACATTGCCTTGTATAATACTTGGAATTTAATGGGCAGTGAAGTTGGGTTATCTTCTTCTTCCTCCTCATTTTAATCCAGAAATTCCTTGCTAAATGAAGAGCATTAAATGCTGGAAACACATATAAAGTAGGAAAACACAAGGATTGTTTGTATTTGGGGGACAGGATGTGAAAGAATGTAAAATAATTTGCAAAGGATTATGTCTTAGGCTGCTTGGACTGTCATAACAATACCACAGACTGGGTGGCTGAAACAACAGAAGTTTATTTTCTTACAGTTCTGGAGGCTACATATTCCAGAGCAAGCTGCCAGCCAACTCAATTCCTGGCAAGGATTCCCTTTCTGGTTTGCAGATGACCACCTTCTCTCTGTCCTCACATGGCAGAGAGAGAGAGAGAGAAAGAAAGAGAGAACAAGCTCTGTGTTGTCTCTTACTATAAAGACACTACTCCTATCAGATCAGGACCTCACTGTTATAATTTCATTTAGCCTTAGTTACCTCCAGAAAGACCCCGTCTGTAAACACAGTGACACTGGGAGTTGGGGCTTCAACATATGAATTTGGGGTGGAGGGTGACACAAATATCCAGTCCATACAGATTTCAAGGTCATGTTTACACTTGAAATTTTCTTTCATTTCAGATTTTATCTTGGGCATTTTAATTGCATTAAGATTGAGAAGAATGCTTCTTTCCCTACTTCTGCCTTTTTGGACTGTGGTGGCATCAGCCAGTGCTATGGCCTTTCCCCACAGCAGTGGAGATGAGTGGAGTCTTCTCACAGGTCCCCAGTGCATCTGCCCAGTGAGAGTTCCTGTAGTTCACTGCAGATGAAATGGGCTTCTCATGCTACCTCAGTTACCAGAATCGCCCTCTTTAGAGTCTCCTCCCCTCCAAAGATGATGTGGTCTCTCCACATATCATGCCCTCCCTGTTTCTTATCCTAAGTCAGTTGTTCATTGAGTGCATCAAGATGCCAGTTGCTGCTACATTTTTCATTGCTTATTCTGATATCTCTGTATCTCCACTCAATGCAGCAATGCTTTACTCTGAAAAAGCATTTGGTCACAGTGTTTCTATGCAAAGCTGCTGCATGCCTATATTTTTATTCATAGTATCCGATGGCATTGTATAAAACGGTGTGTTTTCTTTTTAAGGGACTGAGAACATTTTTTTCCCCCAGAGAAAATAGAAAAGAACAGGTCTGAAGGGGAAACCACAAACAGGGGCGACAAAAGCAGGCACTAAGGGAAAGACATCTCATTTGCCTTGGTGGTCTGGGGAAGTTTTTGTCAAAGGAATTGCTTTAAAAATGCTGAATTTGTGGAAAAATGGTTGCATGCATACCCCAGTGAGACTTATATAAAAAGAATCTGGGAATGGTTGCATTCTCTCCTTAATTCACTCCAGCAATATTTATTGATTATCAACTGTGAGCCTATACAGTGTCTGGTACATATGAGGCACTCAGCAAGTATCCTCAAAAGAAGAAGAGAATACACAAGTCTTAGGGATTTGTTTCTAGGAAGGAGGGATACGGCGGTGGACATAAGTCAGTCCCCTGTCTTCTTAGAGCTCTAGTTTGGGAATGCAGACACTCAGTGAGTGAGTAAATAAATACAAAAACAAATTTCAGGCTATGATAACTGCTATAAGGAAAACAAAGCATGACATGTGTGTGAGAAAGAGTAATAGAGGAAGGGAGCTCTTTGTAGACAAGACGTGACAGGAGGCATGATTCTACTGCAGCCTGGAGAATGAGGAGTGAACCATGCAGAGACCTGGAGGAAGAACCTCCAGGTAGACAGAACAGCAAATGCAAAGCCTCTGGGTGGGAAAGGCCACAGTTTCTGTGTGAAGAAAAGAAAGGGGGCCAATGTGGCTAGAGCAGAGTGGGAAGGAGGAAGGGAGCAAGGGGCTCTGGTCAGAAATTTGGATTTTCTTCTAAGTGGAGTAGGAAGTCTTTGAAGTATCTTAGACAGGGAGTTATACAGTCTCTCTTTTGCAGAGATTAGCAAACTATGGCCCATGGGTAAATCTGGCTAGTCATAGTTACACCCATTCATTTAAATATTCTCTAGGGCTGCTTTTGCTGTACAATGACAGAGCTAGCAGTTGCAACACAGAACAAATGGCCTGCAAAGCCTAAGTTATTTACTGTCTAATTTATTATTATCATTATTATTTTTTGAGACAGGGTCTTGCTCTGTCACCCAGGCTGGAGTGCAGTGACATGAATAGTGATCACTGCAGCCTCAACCTCCTGGGCTCAAGTGGTCCTGCTAAGTAACCAGGACCACAAGTCCCAGCCATCACACCTGGCTAACTTTTTAATTTTTTTGTAGAGATGGGGGTCTCACACTGTTGCCCAGGCTGCTGTGAAACTCCTGGGCTCAAGCAATCTTCCTGCCTTGGCCTCCCAAAGTGCTGGAATTAAAGACATGAGCTACTGTGCCTGGCCTATCTGGTTTTTTAAAGAAAAGGACTGCCAACCCTGTTGTGTTGTGTGAAGTATGGCTTACAGGAGGGCAAGAGAAGCAGGCATACAGGTGGGAGGCTGGAGATACAGAATGTGATGTGTTCAACATATATTTTGGAAACAGACTTCTAGAATTGACCAATGGACTTGTTGGGGAGGGGTGGGGAGCTTAAAAGATGACTCCTGGGTGTTTTGCCGTGAGCCAAAGTGGTGCCATTTACTGAGACTGGGCACTACTATAGACTGAATATTTAAGTCCTTCCAAATTCATATATTAAATACTAACCCCCACTGTGATGGTATTAGGAGGTAGGGCCTTTGGGAAATGATTAGGTCATGAGCCCTCATGAATGATATTAGTCCCCTCATAAAAGGGACCTCAGAGGAATCCCTTGCCCCTTGAAAGCTAGGATACAGGATGCTGTTTAAGACCTGGAGAGCAAAAATGAGGGTGGTACCAGGAAGGAGTAAGACAGGTAGTAAAAACTCGGGGGTGGGGGGATAAGAAAGAGAAACAGGATGGCACACGATACTAAGCTGGTGCTACCAAACAGCTAAGGCTTCACTGCTCTTGTGGTGTTTCACTGAGGAAACAGGAGGGCTGGGAGGGGATGTGCCCCACAATATGGTGTAGGCATCATAAGCCTAATTTATGCATAGCCTATTCACTTCTCAGACAAACGTAAGCCTAGTGATGGTTTCTTCTAACAGCTTTGTGGAGGTGTAACTTACATATTGTAAATTCACTTGCTTCAAGTATAAAATGTAATGATTTTTAGTAAATTTACCATTCTGTGCGGTTATCAACACAATCCAGTTTTAGAACATTTCCATCACTCCAGTAAGATGTCGCATGCCAACTTGCAGTTAATCCTTGTTCCCATTCCCAGTCTCAGACAATCACTATTGTCCATTGTCTTTAGAAGTTTGCATTTTCTGAACATTTTAAGGAAATGGAATCATGCAATATGTGGGTTTTTGTGTGTGATGGCTTCTTTAGTTCAGCATAATGTTTTTGACGGTCCTCCACATTTTGGCATGTGTTAGTGCTTTTCAAAAAATTGCCGACGAATAGTATTCCATTTACTTGTATAGATATGCCATTTAGTTGTGTGGCTATGCCACATTTTGTTTATCCATTCATCTGTTGATGGACATTTTTTTTGGGGGGCAATTATGATCAATGCTTCTCTGAACATTACTGTACAAGTCTACGTGTGGACATGTGTTTTCATTTTTCTTGGGCATATACCTAGGGGTGGAATTGCTTGCTAGGTCATATGGTAAACTTTCATTTAACATTTTAAGAAATCACCAAACTGTTATATTCCTACCAGCAATGTATGAGGGGCCTATTTACTCTAGATGTTTCCTATAAGAGGAATATGAGAGAATTTGAGATCAAACATGGGCTGTGGGAAGAAACGTATTCAAAATACTGTTCATTAAATAATTTCACACAATAGGGTGGGAACAAGTTGTTTCTTTACACTAGTTTCAATCTTGGCTGCATATTAGAATCATCTGGGGAGCTTTAACAAGTTGTGATGTCCAAGCCATGTCTCAGACAATTACAATAAAGATGCTGTGAGGGTGGGTGGGCAGGTATTAGGGTTTTGAAACTCCCCAGGTGATTTCAGTGTGCAGGCTGAGACGCTCTTGTGTGAAAAAAAAAAAGTTTGTCAAGTCATTCACCGAGATAATGAGCTAAATAGTTACAGCTGAAGACAGACAGTGTCCATAGGACACGCTGAGTGAGACTGGAAAATTTTTATGGCTATAGAAGGAACAAAGGATGTACTGTCTGGCAAACAGTAGCTTTTGTGATTATCTTCATATACTTTTTCCAGTATTATTTCAGCCATGAAGTGTAGAGAGGATGATAACTGAAGGGGGTAAGTAGGGTGGGAATCAAAGGTTTCAATGGTCCATTTGTTTTATATGGGAGAGACTTGAACGGCGTGAATGTCAACAGACACTCCAGTTAAACAGGAGAAGAAATAACTGATGGGTAAGAACCCACCAAAGAGGAGAGAGATGCCAGCTCAGGTAGAGGGACTGGCCCTCGTTAGGAGGAAGGATGGCTCCTCTGTCTTAACAGGAGGTAGAGGTAGAGAATGAGAAAATATTGAGGCAAACATTTTGGTTTGCTAGCAGGAAGATGAGGAAATTCCCATCTATGCTTCCCACCCCCCTTTTCAGTGAATTATGATGTAAGGTCATTTTGTAGAAAGTGATTTGTGAGGCTGGGCACAGTGCCTCACACCTATAATCCCAGCACTTTGGGAGGCCAAGGCGGGTGGACCACTTGAGGTCAGGAGTTCAAGACCCAGCCTGGCCAACATGGGGAAACCCCGTCTCTACTATTAGCCAGGCATGATGGTGGACACTTGTAATCCCAGCTACTTGGGAGGCCGAGGCAGGAGAATCACTTGAACCTGGAAGGCAGAAGTTGCAGTGAGCTGACATCACACCACTACACTCCCGCCTGGGTGACAGAGTGACAATCTGTCTCAAAAAAAAAAAAAAAGAAAGTGATTTGTGAGAGTAAGTGGAGAGAGAGGACAGGGTTGAATCCTTCAGGAGAGTGAAGATTTGACATAGTCATTGTTGAGTGTGAGAATGTAAGTTCCCCTGAGAAAAATAGCAGGTCTACTAGGCAGTGTTGAGAGTTGAACCATTTGAAGATATTTATAAAACTGTAGTGACACTGATCTTCTCAGCCCCTAGGGGCGGGCAGGAGAAAGCAGACAGTAGACTTGCTCCTGAGTCCCAGTTTCTCTATGGGTGTTTAGAAAAGACAGAAGGCCAAAGGAGTTTAATGTAAAGCAGGAGTGTTTCACACATGGACTATAACATCTGTGCTGGAGGAGGGATGGAGAAAAGGGGTAAGGTGAAGGGTCGATGGAAATCGGAGGGGCAGTGGAGAGGCTGTGGGCAGAGTGAGATGTGTAGACTACATGATCGTGGAGGGAGAGA
Organism: Homo sapiens; assembly: GCF_000001405.40. Taxonomy (NCBI): domain Eukaryota; kingdom Metazoa; phylum Chordata; class Mammalia; order Primates; family Hominidae; genus Homo; species Homo sapiens. The sequence goes on from NC_000007.14 coordinate 108,144,275, forward strand.
TGTCAAGGAACTGTACCTAGGACTGATGGGTTGCCCATATGAGTAATGGCAGAACTTGTCCCCATTTCCTCACCTACTCACTCTTCATCTCATTCCAATCTGAACTACACTCCAGGTGGTTACTTTTACTAAGGTCTTAGATGACCTTTATGTCTTCAAATCCAAGAAATAGTTTTCAGTCCTCATTTTGCTTGATTTTTCAGTATAATGTGACATTATCAACCATTCTCTGGTCTTGAAATGGTCTCTTTCACTGGCTTCCAGGACAACACATTCTCTTTATTTCTTCCTGACTTCGGGCTCCTGTTTACTGGTCTCCTTTAGAGGTCTGTCTTTCTCTTCCTGTCTATTATATTTGGAAGTTTCTGAGTAAGTTGTAGTCCTCAGCCTTCTTGCCTACACTCTTTCCCTAGGCAATCTCATCCATGCCTCATTGTTTAAATTGCTACTTGTCATCTCAGAAGTTTCTTTGGAGCTGTAAGCTCAAATATCCAATTCCTATTAGTTATTTCCACTTGAATGTCTCAGGTTTTCATACTCCTCATTTATTATTCTGAAATTATAATATGCCCCCAAATCTAGTTCTTTTCCGAAGAATGCCTTCCTGACCACCTTGACCAGGCTGGGCTCTGCCATCATTTGCTCTCATGGAATGCTGTGCCTTCCCTTTATAGCTCTTACCTCAGTTTGGAATTACACATTCACTTAGGTGAGTATTTGACAATGTCTGTCTGCTCACACCAGCCTCCAGCCTACATAAGAACAGGAACTACATCTGGTTTTGCTCATCGTGTATCTTCCCAAATTAGCAAAATACTTGGGTCTAGAAGGTGCTCAGATTTGTGTGTGTGTGTGTGTGGGTTTGTTATTAAGAACCATAAGATCTAAGCAGAAAGATACCTTTGAAAACATCTGCTATCTGTCATTTTCAAGTCGAAAAAGCAGAGGCTTGGAGACGTGGGAGATTAGGGGGTTCATTTATATACTGTCACACAGCTAGTTGATGGCAGAGCTGGAATCTGAATCTGTTCCCACCCTCCAGGGAGGCTGGTTGACACTAAGGGGTCATTTTCCTGCCTGGTGCCGTTTCGGCCAATAGAACCAAACCAAGCTTGGTAAAGCAGAGCAGAAACTTTGTTAATAAAGAAATGGAGAAGGGAAGCTCATACTCAAAGCACCTTCTTGCAACGGGGGAGGGGGAGGTGGTGGTGGGGGAAGGAGGGGGGCGGGTAAAGGGGGATGTTAAGAGCTCTTAGGGCAGGTAGGTGGAGACTGGGGCGGGATTCCTGAAAAAAGGTGGGTTCTTCCAGGAGGCGCTACAGTGTGCACAGTCTTGTCTTTTGTACTTGGCACTTTTTGTGCCTAGCAAGGTACATTTCTGGCCCCTGGGCAGAGGTCTTAGCATGGTAATGAAGCAAGAATTCAGGTCGGGGCAGTACTGCTGAGCTACTTCATGGTTACTGGCATCCGGCCTTCCTCTCTGTAAGCAAGCGCAGATGCGAGCACAGGTTAATTTCACAGGTTTGGGGGCTTCCTGAAGTAATTGGGGTTATGTTGCTATGACAAATCCCCATCTCTTTCCGGTCCAGTGAATTTTCCACCTCCACCTAGGAACTATTTATTTATTTAGTATAAATATTCAAGTAGTAGTCTCTCCCTCTCTTGCTTTTTTTTTTTTTTTTTTTTAGTGAAAAGAGCTGTGCTTAAACTGTGCTTTTTTGGGGGGTGCTATACCATCACAAAACATCAAACCATTGGCAGATAAAATAGCATACTCTGGAGAAGAGGGAGATGCCATTTTAATGACGTGCCTCTCCTCATCCCTACCGACTTGCAGCCGTGATAGGGATGCTTAGTAGGACCCAGGAGGCACACTCCTCCTTCCTCTCCCAATACCGAACCTCCCGGGCCACAATCATTAAGAGGAAGAAGCTTAACAAGGCTCACAGGGACACATGCTTCCTCCCTGGATGCTGTGGACTCGTCAGAGAAAGCTGCAAATCCCATTTTCCCCTGTTGCAGCAGGCAATCATTTTTTGCATGATCAGATCACAAGCTGATTATCAAAACTGGTTTGCACTGTGTCCAGAGGCCACTTTTTCCTGCAAGCAGGTTTCTCTCACACTGCATAGAGCAGGGGAGCCCTCTGGTGGTAATCTGTAGGAAAATTTCCTGAGCGGGAGGGATTTGCTTAATTTGGGTAAGAATTCTTCATATTCTTTTCCCTTGCCTCCATAAGCCTTTTCCAAAATTGCGGGGCGCGGTGGCTCATACCTCTAATCCCAGCACTTTGGGAGGCCAAGGTGGGTAGGTCACTTGAGGTCAAGAGTTTGAGACCAGCCTGGCCAACATGGCAAAACCCCTGTCTCTACTAAAAATACAAAAATTAGCCGGGCATGGTGGCACACACCTGTAATCCCAGTTACTTGGGAGGCTGAGACACGAGAATTGCTTGAACCAACCCAGGAGGCAGAGGCTGCAGTGAGTGCCTCTGCTCTCCAGCCTGGGTGAGAGAATGAGACTCTGTCTCAAAACAAAACAAAATCAGCCATTAGAGGTAAACCAGGCCTGTTGTAAGCCATCTGAACAAGAAAGTTCATACCATCAATGGACCAATGCTTTTTGGGGTCAAGATTGCATTTCTCCAGACCCTTTTTGCTAAAGAGCCCCAGGACTGATGATGAGGACAAAGCTATGGACTGTGAATTTGGCGGACGTTGTAGAGGGGAGGAGAGGCCCTGAAGTGCTGTTCTGAAGTGAGTGACAGACATGCCCTCCAGGTGGAAACACCAAGCTCTACATAGCACTTTAAGGTTCACTTATATAACATGTGATGCAAATCACCATGGAGGAGGGCAGCTCTGAGCCAGCAGGAGGTCTTGTCAGTGTGATGCTGGGACTAGGGGGCTGGAGAATAAGGGGCAGGTGGTGGAACATGGGAACACGCCAGGGCTTGGCTGTTTGCCAGAGGGTTTGAGAAGATTAGAAGCATGGGGGTGGAGAGAAGGGAGAGGGTGACATACATTCGATACCTGTAGTGTCCCTCTTCAGACAGGAGAGTTAAGAAATCTAAGTCGCCTGTGATTCGGGAGGGCAGAGTCCAGGCAAGCAGAAGAGAAGCGCCGGGCCCAGGCAGACACCAGGAGCCAGGCTTTGGGAAAGGAGGCACCACCTGATTTCTTGAACTTTTCTCAAAAGGCTGGGAATATCTAGTCCTGTTTTTCATTCAAATGTTTTTGATATGTCCTATTAGATCTGTTTTATATTTTGTTTTAATTTTCTCTGCATAGAACAGCCTTTTGAAAGTAAAAAATAAAATTTTTCACCATTTTAAAACATTAGGCAATATATGTTTGAAAAAGTTAAAAGTCACAAAGAGATCAAGACTGTTTAATAGTTACTTTTTTGAGGGAAATCCAGTCACATTTGCCTGTACCATTACATACACCATTACTTGGACATTCACACTCAATTGGGAACATAAATTACAAAAGAGAGAGGAACTTTTAAAACCACATTTAATTTTTAATACCAAATCTGTTGCACTATTACAGAAGTGACCCTTTCATGCACAGATAAATTTCGCATCTACCAGTATGGAAGAGGAAAAAATGTAGTTTTATTGTTCTCCCAAAATATTGGCAAATTTAAAGTAACTTTTAATCTTTGTGCTCTCTGATGCCAAGGCAAACCTGTTTTGTCTTTTTATATTTTCAAGAGACAGGTGGATCTGTGAAAAATGAATATAGAGACATGAAAGTATTTAGGGCCATCTTTACCTGGGATTACTTTAAATTATGCTTTACCTACATATATCAAACATGCCAGGTTACTAGGCCTACTGTGCCCCATAGGCAAAGCTCTGAAGATTTCATCGAAAAATCTGCTGTCAATACGTAGAAAAGTTCACTATTTCAGTTTCACAGCAAAAAAGGTGGGGGGAGGGGGGAACCCAATAGATATTTAAGTAGATGCTTTCCAATCCCATTCACTGCATTAATTAGCTTACCTCTTATACAGTACAACATAAACATTGCATGTTTATTTGTATGTAACACCTATAAGCATATAGCATCTACATTTTAAGTGTATTTACAAATTCAACAAAATATCTACATATAAAAAGCTTTACTTAAAATTAAACTTGATGCAAGTTATGAGAAACCAATTTATTGGCAAATGAAACTGAGCATTCCTTCAACCATAGGTTGTTATAGATTTTCATATTTGGAGGTAACCCATTTGATAGATATTGTTTATGAATACGATAGAATATATATTTACTTTTTAAACTGCAGATGTAATCCCTTGGACCGTTGGCCTTTTAAGCACTTGCCTGATTTCTTAGATTCTGAAATGTATCCATAACAATTTGCATACACGTTGTTTAATGCTGCAGAGTTTTGAACACTTACATAGGTAAAGTCTTGGAGAATAATATATTACTGTTGGCATGCTGTTGTATGCTTTTAGTGTTGGAATAACTTAGTTTTAAAATTAATTTTCTAGCATGTTGACATCTTTCTTACTGAATGTAATAGAAACCATAAAGGACCACAAAATCATCATGTGCTTCAGTTGGCAACAAAGATTTTCTTTTTATGCTTATGAGGAAATGCTATTTCTAATAAACTGTCTTATTTTTATTTTCATGTTTCCTTCTTTTCCCAGCATTGCAGTTTTCATGAACTCTGCTTTTTAAAAGTTACTTTTAGACAATGACAGTAATCTAGGACCCAGAATGGACTGGACCAGCTGATACAGAATGCACGATGTTGTGGAATGCTTAATATCTGAAGGCACTGTATGTGTCTTGCCCTGTGTTCTCTGAAATAATGTTTGAAATTTAATTTGGATGATTTGTTTTTGATTCTTTCAGTATGGCACAAATGCCGAAATGCACTGCAATACACATTGTTTATGCCTAAAAACAACCGAACATAGAAATGATGTAAAAAGTAGAACACTGTGCTGCTGTAATGCCTGGAAGATTAAGAAGCCTACGGAGTAACAGGAGCCAAGAGTAGGTAATAGTTCTCAGTAAGCATCAGCAATGTGACTGTCATAATGAACTCATTTAGCAAGTATATACTGTACAAACTGTTCCTAACAGTCTCCCAAAAAGACTAACGACAGCTATACATAGTCACCAATTTCACAACAATGTCCACAAAGACATTGAAGTTCTAGAGAATACTACAGTAACATTCTTGACAATGAAAACGGAATTCATATATAGGGGTTCAGCTGAGGGTAGTATAAACAAAGTATCAAACCATGTTTTCATAACATACACGGGTATGTCCTTTAAATGTGGAGCATTTTTCATGCATCATATTGAACTGTATCCTGCAGAGGAAATAACAGGATCTGTTGGTGATGTTGCATTATTTTTTATCAGTTCTGAGGAAATCAAGAATACCCATTTTGAATGAAAAAGTATGCACTTTGCATTCCAGTTCATATTAACATATCATTTGACTGAGTTATGTTTTTGCTGTAACTATTCTCATAATACTAACATACAGCAGAAAATATACTCTCTACCCATATGTTCATAGTATGAGAGGGCTGACAAACAAGTGCTTAGGATAAACATTCTAGAGAAATGGAATATTGGCAAAGAGCTTAAAAATTAAACAAAGGAATTCATGGCGTTGACAGGAGAAGGTGCCTCTGAGCTTTCGTTTCCTTCAGCCGGCTCTTTCTCTTTCTTACCACTGTATTGTCCAATAAAGGAGCCATCCTCATTGAACTGGCCATTAACCCCTTCTCCATAGTCAACTAGGCTGTCGTCACTATCTTCTTTTTTCACAGTCCTGTCTGAAGGAGTTCGACTTCCTTTTTTCAAAGGCTTGTGGTCTTCTGCATCACTGGAAGAAAGAGAAAACATTTTTGTCAAGATTGGCATTTAGGTAACATTTTCTGTTTTTAAAGACCATGCATGCAAATTATGAGAAAGCATTTGGAGTCCTGGGCTTCTCTGGCCAAATCTAATTTTCAGGTTGACTCCAATGACGAGGATGAGTTGGAATGGAAATCAGGAGCAGAAATGGTTGAATCATGAAGTCTTCAGTAGAGTGGATGGCTCCCAATAGTGTTTGTTAATTTCAATGACAAATTCTGATTCCTGAGTTGAAAGCAATCCAGAAATAATCACAAGCATTAAATAAGAAAGAATTCAGAAAAGTAGAAAAATCATCACTATTTTGAATTCAAAAAGGCAAAAGCTTATGGCAAGTAAAGAAGTTAGTATGTTAAACTGCATAATATCTCTGATTCCTTGGTTGTGAATGGAGCATGATTTTGGTTAAGTGTGAAATGTGGATTTTTTTTTTCTGAGCCAGAAGGAGAAGCAAAATCCTGCATTTCAAATAATTTTGTTATCAATGCAGGCCAGACTGTAAACTTCAACCTTACCTTTCAAGAGACCTACAAAATTCCATTAAAAGGATGCAGAAGAAACAAATGAAAACAGCCTAAGAAGAAAAGCAAAATCCTTATACTGATAGTACACAGTATTTTTTTGTTTTTTTGGTAAAAATTTTAGTTAATGAGTAAAGATTTATTAATCTGGAAAGAGACGCACTTTAACTTAAAAGCTCTACATTTGTACTATGAATGGCATGCCAATATATTCTAAAGAATGTGAATGACTCCAAACATGTAATAGCAAATGCTTCCTACACTCATGTTAACCCCCCAGCTCCCTTCTTCCTTGTGTGTTATGCAGCCTGACTATACTGGATGGGAATCTGAGGAGTGTACTTTAATACGACTTTACAAGATTCCATTATTACAATTTTTGCTTATTTCTCTGTTGAACCCGTAAGCACAATTTCTGGAAGACAAAGAGTAATCATTATGTTTTTGAATGTTCACCCATACGGTCAAATACCTAGTTATGCATATTGACCTATTTTTTAATAGGTAACATTTGGGAAAAAAATAGAAAAAGGCAATGACAGGATCTAACATTTTGTTTTCTTTCAAAGAACAAAAATGCAAGGCAAAATAGGAAACATATACATTTTTACTAATGTAAAAATGAAAAAGCCTTAACATACAAAAGGTATCACTGGCTGCAGTATTTAATCTAGCAATTTCTGCTAAGACTTTACTGCTCCCTCTGTTTCAGACAGTGACTTTTTTTTTCAAGCCAAGATACAAACATTTCAAGATGCACAAGTATCCTGGCTCTTTTGACAATAACTTTTACTAGGGATTTCAATTTTTCTCCAAGAAGAAAATCTGAAGACTGGGAAATAATGCTAGCATAATATGACACTGGCATATGCCACTGAAAACAACCTGTTTCAGTAATACACAATTTCTTATTGCAAACTGAATAAACTATATTTTCACCACTGCTAATAAACAACTGGAGAGGTATCATCTTGGGGTGGTCTGTGTTTGTGAGCATTTCAGAGGACATAGCATTGAGTGTCTAACCTGTTATGAAAATAGCCTACACAACATCTCTGGGGTTTAATTATTAAATCCTTCTTGTGAAATATAGTTCATGTTTCAGTGTGACAGTTAATTCAGCTGAAGAGTTCAATAACAGGCAGAATTTGTCACCTGGATTCCAATGACTAGTCTTATTCTGCTCTGTAGAACTAGTGTCCCAAGGAATACACTGCTGGAAATTTGTCATCTGTGGCATTTCTTTGGTCTAGCCATCTATCCACCCATGCCTTCATCCAATAAATGTTTATTGAGTGACTACTCTAAGATAGATTGTTCTCGGCACTGGGAATATAGCAGCAAACAAAACAGACTAAAACCCTCACCTCACTGGCTTTATTTCTAGTGGAAGAAAATACAATTAACAATCAACATAATAAAAAAAATTACATATATATTATGTCAGAAGAGGATTAGCACTATGCAAAGTATAGAGCTGAGTAAAGACTGCAGAAGGTGTTGGAGAAGGGATGGAGAGCTGGCATTTAATAAGATGTCCAGGAAGACCTCATCAAGCAGTAATATCTGGTCAACAACTTTAAAAGAGTTGAGTTAGCAAGGTGAATAGTTGGAGGGAGAGCAGTTCCTGCAGGAGTAACAAGCAGTATAAATGTCTCGGGGTGAGGGGAAGCCTGGCAGGTTCTAGGAACACTAAGGAGCTTGGTGTGGCTGGGGGGAGGGAGAGAGAGAGAGAGAAAAGTAGGAGTTAAGTAAGGGGAGTGGCACGGCTAAATCAGGGCTTGTGGAACATTGTAAGGACGCTGCCTTTAACTCTGAGTGAGACAGGAAGCCCTGGGAGGGTTTCAAAGAATAAGTGACATGCTCTGACTTATATTTTAAAAGCACTACTCTGCCATCAGTGTTGAGAATAGCCTACCTTAGAGGGCTGGGGTTGGTAAACTACAGTAAAATTAGGCCACGCCCATTTATCACATAATGTCTATGGCTGCTTTAGCACTACAATAGCAGAATTGCAGAGTTGCAGCAGAGACCGCGCGGCCTGTAAAGTCTAAAATATTTAGTTGGCCAACCTCTGCTCTATAGAGTCAGGGGAGAATATTACAATAATCCAGGAGTGAGATGACTGTGACTTGGACCAGAGTGGAACACTGGAGGTGGTATAAAATGCTCAGATTATGAACATATTTTGAAGGTAGAGCCAACAGGATTTTCTGATAGGTTAGACATGGAATAACAGAGAAAAAGATGGTGCCAGGATTTTTGGTTTGAGCAACAGGAAGCTTGGAAGTACTGTTACTATGGAGTGGAGCATGTTGGGAGGGGAAAATCAATGGTTCCATTTTGAGATATTAAAGTTTGAATATGTCATGAGAACCACTCCTTTAATCATTTTTTGAGGCTAGTATAACATTGATATCCAAAACCAATAAGAATGCTTTAAGAAAGTCAAACTACAGGCTAATCTCATTCATGAACATAGATGAAAAAACCCCAAACAAACCATGACCAAACCAAATTTAGCAATCTATGAAAAAGATAATATTTCATATCCAGGTTGGGTTTATTCCAAGAATGCAGGCTTATTTTAGCATTAAAACATCAATTCATATAATTCATTATTTTAGCAGAAGAAAATAAAAATATGATAATCTCAGTAAATTTAGAAAGAGGTATATGAAAAAACTCAACACCCATTCATGATAAAAACATTAGGAATAGAATGTATTTTTATTCCTAACATTAGGAATAGAATGTATCTTCATTAACCTGATTAAGGGTAGCAACAAGAAACCTAAAGTAAACATCATCCTTAATGGTGAACACTGAAAACTTTGTTTGAAATCAGAAATAATAATAATGATGGCTGCTATCACCACTTCTAATCAAAACTGAATTAAAAGTCCTAAGCAACTTGATAAGAAAAAGAAATAGATGAAAGGAAGCTATCATTATTCATAACTGATATGATTGTGCATATAAAAAATCCAGAAGAATCTACAGGTAAATGTTAGAATATAAAGAGATTTTAATAATGTTGCTTGATACAAGATTAGCATAAAAGTCAATTCTACTTATGTTCTTGCAAAAAATTAGGAAATAAAATTCAAAATATTATTCCATTTATGAGACCATAAACATGAAGTATATAAAGACAAATCCAACAAAAATATGTGTAAGACCTCCGAAGAAAATAAAACTTTCAGAGTTATTAAAGAAGATCTGAATGAATGGAGGAATGTTCTACATCCATGGATAGAAGACTCAAATATAGTAAATATGTTAACCTTCCCCATATTGCCCTTTAGCTGCAATTTATTTCCAGTAACAGCTCAGCAGGTTTTTATGTGGATCTTGGCAGGCTGATTCTATGATGTACAAATAAATGAAAAGGGCTAAGAATATTTAAAAGGTTCTTGAAGAAGACAACTAAAGTTAGAGAACTGGACCTAGCAGATATCAAGACTTATTAAAACCTATATTATTAAGACATTATAGTCTTGGTGCAGAGATAGACAGATTGACCAATGGAATGGAATATAGGGTCTTGAAACTGGTGGAAGATCTTTTTGTTAGCTTTATTCCTATGTCATATTTTTATGCTATCATAACTAGAATAAGTTTTAAAGTCTTATTTTCCAATTGCTTGCTGATACATAGAAATATAAGACTTTTATGTTAATTTTGTGTCGAGCAACATTACTAAACTCTCTTATTATAATATTTGCTTGTTGATTCATGTGGGTTTTTACATACAAAATCATAACAGTTATCATTAATGACCAGCCAAGAAGGGGCTCCCCCAAAACATCCATTCACGCCAGCTTAACGGCTGTGGTGGAGGAGAGAATCAACAGCAACACGGGCTGTGCTTGAAAGAAGAGAAGGAAGTGGGATTCTCCCTCCTCCAACAGAGTCTTTCCAGGAAAAGCCATTCAAAGGCAGTGAGATCTTTTGAAGACCAGTCTTTAATAAGTGGTGTGATATAATATCATATACTTCAATAATTAGAATCCGGTTAAATGAGAAAAAATTATATAAGTCATACACACAGTGCTGGGTTTGTGTTCAACAAGCATACATGTCCATCTCCCATCACATCTCTTCTCTCCACTCCAGGTCCCTACTTCAGAGAGATTTTTTTTTCCTAAGAAATACCTTGTGCAACACACACGCGGAACTTTCCAGGTGTAGTGAGTGGTTATGACTCTATGAGAAGCACAGTATGAGGGCTTGCCTTTTTCAATTCCAAGATGAATTTTGTAATGAAATAGTAAATAACTTTTTGACATTGTATTCAGTGAAGTTGCCATGTCAAGTTTAAATATGAAAGGAGAGTTTCCCAAATGATATGAATCAAGAAGTCATAGAAGATGATTTAAAAGTCATATATATATATATACACACACACACACACACACACACACACACACACACACACACATATAGCAGACCTTGATTTTAATCAAGTTTTAATGGAGTAGGCAGCAGTAGTATTCAAAGCTTTACAAAACAGGTAAAAATTCATTCACATTTTAATGAGAAAGTTTAAGGATGGTGTGTATCAGACATTAATTATTAGTTTTGGATGTCAAAGGTTGAATGGATTTCAAAATAAAATATATACATATTATATAAATCATATTCACAGTGCTGGCATATATATATATGCACCTACAAAGTATCCAGTATACAAGTATTGATACAATATCAAGTATATTCTTGATACTTAGATTCATGAATCAGGATCATTGTGCAGTGGAAAGAAATGTTCCTATCACAATGCTAAAACTGCATGACTTCCCCTGGGAAGACTCCCTGTACCATCCTCCTCCTATGCTGCCCACCTGGCTTTACCTTCCTGCTTCTGTTCCCTTGGTACCTTAGTTATATCTCTTTCATAGCACTTTTCACACTCTGGTCATTGTTCTTTTACTTCCCTGCATCCATCACTAGGCTATAAACTCCCTGTGTGGGACCAAATTCTATTGGTTTGAATATTCCCAAGGCCTGGCATACAGTAGGCACTCATAAATACTGGCAGAATGAGTTCACTGTAAAATAATAGAGGAGACAGTGGGCATTTTAGAAAATTTTTTTAAAAATTCTAACATAAAACATTTCATTCCCTCAGTTTTATGACGGCAGACAAATCATTGGAATATATCCTTTCCTTTCTCTTTCCCTAAGAATAAATTTTTAGGGAGTTCAAATTGTTTTTCAATAGCACTTTGTTCAGAAGTGTGCACATCTGTTAAATCCTACTGAGTAAAATTCGGCAACAGCAGGTAAATCTGTGATAATTCTGTCTGATTTTCCTGTTGTTACCACCCTCCCATGGCCAAACCACATTGCAGCTCAAGTAACATTCATGACCCAAATACTCTTTCCTACCCACTCGCTAAAAGTCCATTATTATTTTACTCACAAGCCAGTTCACATTTGAGAGCAAAATAACTCTAATGTATATAACGAATGTGACACATCTTGGCATCATTCAAGCCTTATGAGCATGGGTTAGCATGCTTGCCACAAGCCCATGTTCACATGAATGACAAGATTCATGTGGCAAGAGCCACCAATTATGTAGTAAGTTATGAGTTCAAGTAACATGGGCATATGGTTTATGACCTAGGTTTATTCTGGTTTTAAGGAAAATGGATCTAAAGAATAAAAAAATACTTACACTCTTGGTTGCATTGTTTCTCTGATTTTTCTATATGCTAGTAAGGATGCAGATCCTACTGTCTGTATAATTAAAGAAACAAACAAAGAAAGCTGCAGGCTTCCAACAGAGGGTAACTGCTTGGGGGTGGGTGTCAGAGTAGGGGCACAGGGTTATAGCATATAATCACATTTGGCCACCAGTGAGGTTCTATCCCTCTTTGCACTATGAAATATCATCTGGCTTAGAGCCAGCCATGTAGAAACGGTTTCATCATCAAACTGGAGAATGAGCAAATCAGAAATGGAATTAATTTACACCTAGGCAATAGTCCTAATTTTGTATGTGTCTGGTCAGCATAATAATTTATTTTTGGAATGAAAGAGAATAAGAATCAATAAATAATACAGAGCTCAAAACTTCCAGAAAGTGCAAAACAGAGACAGGAACCTGGTGATCTCAGGAAGTGAATGACACTTAAATGTATTAAAAATAAAAGATTCTGTTAATAAACAGTTGGAACTGTTTTCATTAATTACAGCCTCTAAGATAATAAACACTTTTTGGATTTCTTCAAATAGAAAATAAACCAAAGGGAAAACATTCTGAGGTAGTGTCAGGAAATCAAAGGACAAAGCCGTATCTTTGTAAATCAAAGTAAAAAATGTGGTTGGAATTTTGGGGAAGTGATTTTGCTTGTGGGATTGTCCTTATGAACTTTTAGTTTCATTGAAAAAATTACATCATTGAGTTATGTTTCAAGTTGAAGACACCCATCAGAACCTTATTTCCCTTAGCACCTCCCAAATTTATGTCATTACATGTATGACAAATGTACAAGTGTTTTTGTCTTCGTGTCAATTGGGTTTGCACTCAATAAGCCCAAATGCAAAGTCTTTCTTTCCTGAGAAACTAAGGCCTAAAGACAGCTATTTGAAAACACTTTACCAACATAGCACATATAAATTAACACTAAGACAAAGACATATGACCAAATAGATGTAAACACAGTGCTTATGAGGCCAGTAACCAAATACTTGCCACGTACTGCTCCAGACACAAAATTCTATTAAAGTTGTTAGTAGATGGCTCATAGAAGAAAACAGAAATCATAGAACTATGAATCACAGGCAATGGCTGAGTTGAAAGTAAAACTAACAGTCTTTTGATTCCAAGCTAGTTCATAAAACTCAACCTCCATTTTTTAGAACAGATCCAGGGGGTACATGTGCAAGTTTGTTACGTGGATACATTGTATAGTGGTGGGGTTTGGGCTTCCAGTATACCATCACCCAAATATCAACCTTGATTTTAGTCAAGTTTTAATGGAGTAGGCAGCAGTTATCTGGGAAAGTCACATGACCTCAGATCATGGTTTCACATCGCTGTAAGAGCAAGCTGATGTTTGAGACCCAGGTGGTGAGTAGTATGTTGCTAGATTCACTGAGGCATGATAATGTAGAACAGGAACCCATCACCATGTGGAGAATGTATGAAGGACAATGCTTTATTTCCAATTCATGCAAATACATTTTTTTTCAGGGCCACATTAAAGATTTTGCTTCATCACAATACATAAGGGAGTGGTATGCATATCCTGTAGATAATTACAGCCACAAGAACTCTTAGAAATAAGAAGTTATTTAGTAATTGTAAGCTTACCTGCTTTACAGGAGAAACATGTAGAAGGGTGAATTATTTCAGCAAAGTTCTACTCATCCAGATGCCCTAGGCTACGGGCTTCTGTAGGCTGCTCTAATGTGTTACAAAACCCTCTTGGGTGAACTGGGTGTGGACGCTGCATGAGGTTTTCATACACCTTCAGCTCCAGAACCAACTTCTGACATCAAGACAACCCTCACTATGCATTTTTCTGTACCATGAGATACAGAAATTCTGAGAACTTTTTGAAACCATAGTTATCTCTCTTTAAGAGATCACAATATAAAAACTTAGGGGCTGAGATAATAAAGGAAAAACACAGGTATCTGCCTGGAAAATGATATGAAAATGATTTTATTGAAAATATATGTCTTTTTCTCAATCAGTTCTACATTTTTTATCCTTAGGATTATGTCACATGAAATTCTATGATATTGACATGATAGTGACATGGAAAAACCAAAAATGAGCTCTAGAGACAGGTAAAACTTAACATAAATATCTTCTCTACAAATGTTGCCTGGTAATCCCAATAGTGAAATATTTTATTTCACCTAAAAGCCTCTTCATCTTGCAAACAATGTCTCAAAATGGGCTTAATGCATATTTAAAAGGTATTTTATATAAGCAAGGGGCTTCTAAAAAGAAAAAAACAAGGTACAAAAGGTATTTTAAAAAGGTATACTTTTAGAATAACAGAATGCCCACATTTTATTTAAATAAATACGTACTTTGTTTCTGTTTAATTTAAACAAATCTAAAGTAATCTTTTCCTTCTCTTGAAAAGATTTATCTTTGTTTAAAGAGAAGATTTTTAAAAAATTTAGCACATAGGTTATATTAACATTTTCCCTTAATGATGGAGTCAAGCCAAGAATGTATTATCAAAGTTCTGTGAGTAACACATTGCCTAGAGGGCTACGACATTTCTTAATAAGTAACAGCTTGTAAAACAATCTAGTCACCATTTCATGATTAAAGGGCAAGGGTATGGGTATTGTTTAGGAAAACTAGTTTCAAATTCTAGATGAAAAAGTGTGTTTACACTGGTTTTATTACAGCATGTTTAGAAGATAACAAGTATAGCTTTCTTTACAATGCAGGCATTGGAGGTTCTTTTTTGTTGTTTTAATGCTCATAGTAGCATATTGGCTTTGCTAGATTGATCAATACAGCATGGTCCCATGGAAAATATGACAAAGTGGGAGACATTCCATCTCCAAAATTATGACTAAAATCAAAATTTAGTTTTTCAATGAAAAATGAAAATGTTTGACCATGAGGGACATGTAAACACTGATACATGGAAGTATCCCTAAACTTCTATTTGAGGAAAATATGAGATGCCAGGCAGAGCATATTCTGGCTGAGTTCTATTCTCGGGACTGTGTTCATGTGGGCAGAGAAGATGAAGAGCAGAGAAGCAGGGGCTCACCTGTATTCTCCAAATGTCCCATCATCTTCCTTCATAGGCTGGATTTCAGGGTCAGCATGGGCATCTTCCTTTTCTTTAACTAAAAAATGCCAAAATGGTATTATTATCTGTTGATCCTGTTCTTTCTTATTCAAAGTCCATGAAAGCATTCTTTGAGATATACAGCAGTGAAAAATAATTCCATACACAAGTAGATGTTGTATAACCATATATATGGTGGCCATGCATATATTTTGGTATTTTAGTTATTTTTGAGGCAACCCAATAGAATGTACATTTTTTAACACATAAAGTTGACTAGTTTCTCACCTGATAAATAATTTTTAAGTTTCTAAGATTTCCCCCTATTTTACCAATCTATTTGTTAACTATATTAATGGTTGAAAATTGTTTTTGTAAGAGTATTCTCTCACAGATTTTTTTTTTCTTGTCACTGAAGGGAAAATGGTCAGGTAAAGAAAATATAAATTTAATGGGCCCACTAAATTGAATAAACCATTACCTTATAGGGAAAGCAATGTTACACATCACAATATGAAGACTTAGTTCATGCATTACTTCCTTTGAAAAACTCCATGAACCTTCCCTGCAACTCTCTCCTTGCCAGTTGGTTTTAGGTGTTACTTCAGCATCCATAACCTATGTGGAGTCTAAGAAAGTAGGCTCACTAATGTTTTCAGAGAACTGATTGATTTACTCCTCCAAATGCCTTATGATCATTGACAATGTTTAGATTGCCATTATATAAAAAGGGATCAAAAGTCATTTGAAGAGAAAGTCCAAACTCATGGCTCTGGGAAGACAAAATATTACAATCTACATGATTTCCCCCATGATCTTTTTAGTTTAATGGATTATTATGTAGCATTATAAAGCAATTTTAATCTTTCTTTCTTACCTGGATATTTACCACCCTTGTTTCTTCTGATGAAGCAAACAATCAGCAAAATTAAGATAAGGAGAGCAACAGCACACATCAGACCAATGAACCAGCCCTGAGTTGCAATATCCACCTGCCGGCTTGCCATCGCTGGAAAACAAATCAATGGTGTTGGTGGCAATAGGTTAAGGGGAGATGGGAACTGCTGCAGTCTCTCAGAGTAAAAAATTGCCACGTTATGTGAGCTTTCATATATTTTACATGTGGCCCCAAATTAGGATCTGTCAATTATTAATCAGGAATTATATGAATAATTAACTTTGAAAAATCTTCATTCATTAAAAAATTCAAGTAGAGAAATCTGAATAATCATCACATTAAATGCTAAAAACCCCTGGTGAACACTGTGTTCACAGTTATTTTCACTATATATTCTCAATAAAAACAAATTCCCAAACCAATTAAAGTATTCACTGTTAACAGGATACATTTTACATTAAGTATAATGAGAAAAATACAAAACTGAGTTTTAAACAGAACAGAATGTATACATCTAATTGAGTATTTTCTCTTCAAAGGAACTGCTTTTAGAGGCTAAACTGTCCTTGCAAGGCTGTTGCCATTTTCAGTATTTTTTAGAAATCTGTTAAAAAAGAAAACGGTCCACACAAGAAACCTTTCCAGATCAGGAAAACAGCCATATTGTTTTATATAACATCTCAATTTGCACCCAAAATATTACTTAGATTTGTTATTCATCTCATTCACAAGAGTTGGTTCTGAGTGGAAATTTCTGAAAAACCAAATCCACCCTCAAAGAATCAATATTCGTTATTGCTAAGGATCCATTCAAAAGACCGGAATATCTCTCAGTCAGTGAACTCATTATTTGCCTACATGACCAGTTTGAAAAGAAAGTACTCACTTAGGTGTATACATATCCTTTCAGTTTGCATCTATTCTGTTTAATAAATGTGAAACCCCTTATTCCATCAGTCATAATATGCAAAATTTCTAAGAAAACCACAGAATAATGAGCATTTCGGGTATTATTTTAAAGTATCAATCTTATGGGAAAAAGTGCAGCATCAATGGCTATTCAGACATGCCCATGCAGATTTGCTTAATTAACTAGTATAAATTCTTTTTTAAAAGACCTTTATTTTCTCTCTTTTGACCATAATCAAGATAAAACATTTTCTTCTTTTGACTCTATAAGCATGCTTATATCATGCTTTTAATTTGACTGAATTTCTTCCGAATATATTTTACACAGTTGAGTTAGGTGTGTGTGATCTCTGGATGCAGAAATAAACATGACTACGCATATCCCAGGTTCAGCTAATGTTGCAAAAATAGCATCTCATTGCCTCTTTTTCTCCATACAAAGTTTAGGGAGAAAAAGGAAATGCTAAAAATCAAGTGTGAAGAGGAAGGTTAAAAAAAATATGGACATATGTAGAAGAAATAAAATGAGAAGCAAAAATACCTTATTTGAAATACAAGTCAAAGGCTGGTAGCCTTTTCCCAATAGGCCCTCGTGCCTTATTAGAGAAGTTTTGAGCTGTATCATAGCCACACACAAGTAAAGCATCAGTTTAGGCAGTTTCCCCTTTCCATACACATACCATAGTCATGATGATGAAGATGAGGACAATGGTAATAGCACTGATGGCTAACAGTTTTGGACCCTTACCATAGGCTAGGCACTGTGCTGAAGGCACATCTCATTTAATCTTTACAACAATTCTCTGAGGTAGGCATCAGAAATAAATCCATGCCCAGAGAAGGTTAAGAACTTGCCCAAGAGTTGGAGCAACCTGTGTCTGACTCCAGAAAATATGCTACTAGCCATTATATTATACTGCTGTAATGCATTCCTAAAAACAATCCAGATACCAAATCTGCAAAAATCTTAAGTTAAAGAATAAAATGCTATAGGCACTTCCTATTCTGAGACAGGCAAAAAGGTATTAAAAGTCCATCATTACATCCTCTTTGGCAACATATTTCTTTCAATTAATGCCTGGTCTGTGCTTTTTCTTCAAAACTGAACCAAAAACCAAATGGCATTAAGTCTCTTAAGCATTTGACTATAGTTCTTGTTTTCAGTGTGCTGATTTACAGCCTTGTCATAAATACATTCAGCATTTACATTTTTCATCTAATTAAATGCAACTAAAAAGGGAAAAACAAGATACTCAGGTACTAGCAGAGATATTGTTCTACAAGGATGGTGACTGCCAAAATCGAACTACTGACTGGCAGTTTGCTGCTATGCAACCATGGAAAAACTGGATGGATGTTTGATGGGTGGTACACAAACATCCACATTCACTGACTTTGAATTTCTGCCTCTGTGTCTAAAGAAAAAAGTATCGAATATTTCACTGCCCTATTATTTAAAATAGGCAGACACAATATGGTAATAGGTGCATGTGTGCACACACACAGTCACATTCACACACACACAAGTACACCAGAAATTGATATAAAACAGAAACTGTGTAAATGGAATAAAAATTTCTATTGACTTTCCATCCATAAAAGAAAAGATTTAAATTCCAGAATGATTAAAATAGGCATGAAGCCTTTTCAGGACAATCTAAAATCACCTGGGACATACAAATCCAAGCCATAACCATGATCATGCATCACACACACATACACACACATGCGCATACACACACATATACCCCACAGAGAGAGAATTAAACCTATGGGAGTTTTCCTTCTAGAATCAGTTTCAGTGGGTGGATATCACCCATTGAAGGGCTGGGTAGCGGAGTAAAAGAGAATCTTCATTACTTGATTTTTTTTAACAATAAAATTATATTCATGTATTATTTGAGTAATCCACAAAATGATAAATTAAACACATATAAAGAACATGAAAACAGAAAATATGGCAGGAGAATGAGATTTGCTTTGTTTTCTGGAAGTCAGCTTTACAACAGTCTTCTGCTCTGGCGTTGCTTGCTGTCATGGATATCTGTGCTCTGTGGTAGGAGGTCTCTGAGGAAAATGCTCTTGAGTCCTCAGAACCATAGAATCAACACAGAAGAGAGACAGGGTGAGGGAAATGGTTATTTGTTCTCTACTATTTATGAAGAATGCACTATGGATGAAAATGTCCTGTTCAAATGCTTAGACATCAAACGCTTAGATGTGTTTAGGAAGAGCAAAATGTGACCTTAACCAAAGTTTGGAGACAACTGACAAAAAAGCTGTTGGGCCTCGTGAAAACAAATCTGTTTTAAATCCTTTGTGATGATAAGAAAGACTGGGTAATTGAGGGACAGAGGTAAAAGAGGAAGGGGAGGTGGATGGCATTAATGAGAGGTCACGTCTGGTCATACCAGATGGGGTGGCACTAAAGAGAGGTCAAACGGGGGCAGGGAGTGGCGCTAATGAGCAGTCATACCAGGTGGGGTGGCGGTAATGAGAGGTCATACCGGGTGGGGTGGCGGTAATGAGAGGTCATACCGGGTGGGGTGGCGGTAATGAGAGGTCATACTGGGTGGGGTGGCGGTAATGAGAGGTCATACCGGGTGGGGTGGGGTAGTGAGAGGTCATACCGGGTGGGGTGGCGGTAATGAGAGGTCATACCGGGTGGGGTGGGGTAGTGAGAGGTCATACCGGGTGGGGTGGCGGTAATGAGAGGTCATACCAGGTGGGGTGGGGTAGTGAGAGGTCATACCGGGTGGGGTGGCGGTAATGAGAGGTCATACCAGGTGGGGTGGGGTAGTGAGAGGTCATACCGGGTGGGGTGGGGTAATGAGAGGTCATACCGGGTGGGGTGGCGGTAATGAGAGGTCATACCGGGTGGGGTGGGGTAATGAGAGGTCATACCAGGTGGGGTGGGGTAGTGAGAGGTCATACCAGGTGGGGTGGGGTAATGAGAGGTCATACCAGTAGTACGGGGAAGAAGCGCAGCATCAGGACACCGCCTATCTCGTCTGTTTTTCAGTTTGTGCCATAGGAAAAAAATTAAGAAATATACCTTAGAAATCCAGGGTATAAAAGGGAGAGATGGTGTAATGGTAGGAAGATTGATGAAATAACTATAGATAAAGTTGAGTCCAGTGTCCTAAAATTAGCAGAAATCAGAGAAAGAGAGAGAAGTAGATCATGAATGCAGAGTTTAAAAATTAGCCAATGATAGGCTTTCATGCCAAATATTGACATCCTTACACCGCGGAACCGAGAGGAGAGGAGAGGAGAGGAGAGGAGGAGCAGGAGCAGGAGCAGGGGCAGTGGAAGACGGTGCTTTCACACTGGAGTTAACCCAGCAGCCCCAAAGGATGAAGCATTGTGAACTGGGAAAAGGGAGGCAGCGTAATGGTAAACTGAGGCATTCTAGAATGCTGGCAGCATTTGCTCTTACAGGCGATGTGTTAACTAAGGTCACTAGAGGTGAATCAATATTTGTTCTTTTTAATACATTTATATGTAAAAAGTGACAAGAACTGGTTGTGACCTTGTCCTGTCTCTCCATCACTGGCACACAAGAAGGCCCACCTATCACGATTCCTCACCTCAAACTATCTGGCAGTTGCTGCTGGAACTGTAGGCATTACACTGCTGAGTGAAAAATAATTTTCTAAAGGAGTTGTCTTTTGTCCTATAGAAGGACAACAAATGCTACAACTTGATTTTGAGGGTGAATCTAACTTTGGATAAAGTCACTTTTTCCTTTCCTAAACATTTCTAACAATTTTAACAACAGGTCATTTTTATACATAGTAGATTCTTCATAAATAATCCAGAACCAGTAACCACATGCAGCCTGCAGGGGTCCAGAATCACTGATTGGATATACCAAGTGTTGACCGAAGCTGCCCTTTCTGAGACAGCCTGTCCTCCTTGGCCTGTGGACCTTTGTGACCCTGCAGTGGGGGTATAGTGAGGCCTTTCTTCTGGAGACGGAACGACAAGCTTCTAATCCCAGCTCTGTCACGTTCCTACTGGGCGACCTGGCAGGTACTCGACCTCTCTGACTTGAGGGGTAAGTGGAGTAATAATGGTGCCTACATCATAGGATTGTTGTAAGGACTGAATGAGAAAACCACTTCCTGCTGTATAGGAGAGCTGACTAAATGCTAGTCCCATTACTATTATTAGCATTCCAGCTATATATGAAGATAATATCTACTTGACTTTTAGTATTTTGAAAATAAAAGTTATCAATAACAAACAAAAACCTTGTAAACTAGCTATGAATTGATTAGATATTCCCCTTTTAAGCTTAACACACTGGTTTCCCAGGACTATATACATAAATGGATATGAAATACAAAGAACAGAATAAAATGTGTGGTTTTCTTAAAACATTATGATTTTAGCAAATGAATATCTTTAAAATATAGTTTAATACATTATTGTTGTTTCTTTTTAAAAACCACTTATGATTTATATTTTTCTAAATTGTAAAAACTGACTTTAAAAATCATAATGCTTTGTTAATGAAAGTCACAAAAAATACATTGTGTAATGTATTCTACAGGATATGCACATTTCTTTAAGAATGCATGGAGTGAATGAAAATAACATGGGGGTATGAACCACAGAGTGAACATGTACCACAAACAACTCTTGTTGAAATGTAAGTAAGCAGGGATTGTTCTCCATCTAGCGAGCAAATACGAATGCTCTCATGTTTCACATGAACATTTTTCTTTATTTTAGAAACTTCACTTTTTACTTGCATATTTTGTTAATATTCACATAAGTAAATATATACAGGCAGTAAAATTTGGTGTGATAAAAAATGTAGCATATGAATTGTACAAGTTCTTGTTCCATACAAATGTAATAATATCTGTATCAGTTGTCTAAGCTGACTGCAGGGTTCTGCTGGGTTGTAGGCCATTTTGAAATAAAGAATTGTGACTTTCTTTCTTTTCTTTTTTTTTTTTTTTTTGAGACGGAGTCTTACTCTGTCACCCAGGCTAGAGAGCAATGGCGCAATCTTGGCTCACCGCAACCTCTGCCTCCCGGGTTCAAGTGATTCTCCTGCCTCAGCCTCCTGAGTAGCTGGGATTACAGGCGCCCACCACCATGCCCAGCTAATTATTGTATTTTTAGTAGAGACGGGGTTTCATCATGTTGGCCAGGCTGGTCTCGAACTCCTGACCTCAGGTGATCCGCCTGCCTCGGCCTCCCTAAGTGCTAGGATTACAGGCGTGAGCTACCGCGCCCGGCCAGAATTGTGACTTTCTTATAAGTTCTTTCATCTTCAAAAGCACTTAAAAAATTTCAGTTTAACACTGAGGGAAAGTTTATACATGTGATATGAACAATTGAATTCTTTAAATAATATAAGTTAAAATCATATTTAAGTCTATTTTTCTGATGGTTTTTGGTAATAATGTGGCTAGATGATTTGCTAAATTCCGTAATTCATTTGATATAAAGAACCAAAGACAAAAACCAAAACTCCCAACCCAACAGGGCCCCATAGAAAGACATTCATGCCCTACCCATAACACAGCTCCACCAGCCCCCATCTCCAGCTGGAGCACCTGGCGGCCTCCACCTCTGAGCGGGAGCCAGAACAGGTGTGGTGTGAGCCTCACCTGGGCCTGTCTCAAACACATCCTCTGAACTCACAAAACCAGAGTCCCCCACAGCACCAACTCGAACTTTGTATGCTGTTCCTGGCATTAGACCCTTTAACCCAAAGAAGCTCCGAGAACCATTTACAATTTCTTTTCTCCATTCTTCTTTGCCTATGGAAATTTTGCAAAAACAACACATTTGAATATTTTAAGGGACCAGAAGTCACTTAATGCTTCAAGAAAGGAAAATTCTTTATAAGCTAAAGACAAGATGTAGGATGCTTAGGTTTACCATTTTAGATTATTATAAATGTAGTCATGTCAAACAAATCAATTAAAATGACCTACAGGAAAATATCCTCAAAGAAAAATAGACTGGGTATCTAGCTTGCTTATTAATTGTATATATTCCCATTGTATTAATTCTCCTCTTTAATACAAAGGAAGGTTCTTTATCTGCACCTTGCCTTATGAAACTGTTGAGTTTCTCTAAAGATGTTTCTCAAAAGAACTGATACACATTAATTAGCTTAAGTGAACTATGGGAAGAATTGTTTTTTTATGATTCACAAGATGAATCTTTTAGTAAACTTAAATGCCTTCCAACGTATCCAATTAATCGATTCAACCTTTCCCAAGTACCGGTTTTTCTAAAGGGATCGTCATTTCTAAAAACATTTACTTGCATGATAAAGGCTTAAACAGAAAGTTGGACTCTGTTCAACATTTTGTCACAAACATTTATTGGCCACCTCATTTGTTCTATGTAAGCACACTGCACTTAGGAGGGGGGTACTGGCTTTTCATAAACTGCTGAAAGTGAAAGCTGCCCCATCTCCCAGTAGATGTGGCCAGGATCTACGAAGAGTGCCTGACTTGAGAATACATCAAACGTTAAAACATAATGAATGCTCTCCCAAAGTATTAATTTTCTGCGGTTTCTTATAAAATTCTGTTGGGCTAGTCAGGGCAAAATGAATACTTTCAAGTCAGTTTGATTTCTGTTACTTCAAGATCCAATTTGAAAAAAAAACCTTTTCTTCTTTTCTATTGTACTTGCAAATATAATTATTCCTTCTTACTCTTGTTTATGTGTTGTGGGCACAGAACTAGTTTCAAGTACTATGATATGAAAATAACATACGTAATGGAACATATGCCCTCTGTTATTAATAACATAAAAAAGCAATTCCTAGTCGTGCATATAATATGTGGTAGGCTGATGGTTCACTATAATTTTTTTAGATAACTCATTCATTTAATTGGATCAAGTTATTTTTCAAGATGATCCATAGTAAATTCTTAAGAATGTTTTTAATCTTTTAAAAAATGCATCCCCCAAATTAAAAATCGGGTAATGAAATTGTTTCTTACTGCCTGCTACACCATATTCAACATAAAAGTTCACATGCTCTGGTCCCTCATATTCCCAACTGATATTGGCATAGGTCTCAGCAGCTGCAGCAGTAAGATTGCTGATCCTGGGATTTACTGCTTGAACTAAACATACAATAGAAAAATAAAACAAACAATCATATTGCAACACCATACACACGAATATAAAATAAGTTTAAATACTCTGAAATTGTGCAAATAGAATTAAATAGAATTTACTGCTAAAATTTAGGGTTCACTCATGCTTTGCTTTCATTACAGAAAGGTTTTTGTTTCTTAAATTCAGCACTAGGAAATTAATAATCAGAAATAATGACGCATAATATTAAAATTTGTGAGTTCTATTATATGGGTTCTGAACAATGTTAACTGTTGTCCATTAGATACAGTCCCGGGAAATGTCACCGTCTTCATTTACTAAAGTGTGATGGAGAGGGGGATTGCTGAACAATCCCAGGGACAGACGTCATCATGGAATGTCAGAGACGCCAAGGTAAAACCCAATACTATGTGGCTACTTTTCAAACCTATTTGTCATCTCAATGCAGGTCTTTAAAAAATCTGTGTTGGTGTGACAGAGAATGCCCCTTTGAACAGCGTTTTTGATCTGTTTTAAAAAACAGACTTCTTTGAGTATCACTGGGAAACTCAGGGACCCCAGGTAAGAAATCCCTGCTTTAGAGAATGATGGATGGTAAGGGTATGTTGGAAGAGAAGCTGCAAAAGGAATTTCCAGATGTGTTCTATCAGAAGTTAAGAAAGAATAAATAAAAGGAGTAAAAACTATTTCATGTAACATTTCCTAGAGAGCAAGACAATCTTACCTGTTAACTGTTTGTTACAAAGCATTTTCTGAAAAATCATAGTGCAACCTAAATAGCTTCTTAAAAATCCAAATTATGGAGACCAGATGATGCTACATGCTTGCTACTGGGTAAAGACAACATCTAAAGTCATTAAAAAATGTTATTTGAATACCTGAGGCAGGCAATTCTATCAGTCCTACCTCAATAGCTTAAACTAAAAATGAAACATTTACAGATGTGTTAATTTGGGTAGTTAAAAAAGAAGATCAATTTATTATCTCACATAAAATTTACTAGGATAGTCAATCAGACAGCATCAATAGGTTTACCAAGACACTAAAATTATATTCTAAGATATGTTTATAAAATGTAGACGCTCAAGACCTTTGTTCAAATAAATGTAATAAAATTACATTTCTTAGAATTAAGAAAAGAAAGATATTAAAGCAGTTAAATAATGCTTTTGACTTCTGAAATATAATTCAACAACACATGCAAATTTTGTATCTCTTTGTGCTAAGCATGGGGAAACAGCAGAGGGCAAAACTGATTACTGAATTATGCAGAGTCCTTCTGTGGACCTAATTAATTTTAGTTTTCCGAGATTTTCTTCTTATAGGTAAAATAATAGGAATATGATCAATCAATGACAGTAAATATGCACACATGTGTAAAACATCAATGGCAACCCAGGAAAAACATTAATTTTCTTAAAAAATTTTGGAATATTGAAACAGGAATTTAATCTTGGAGTAATATGGAAGATGTTCAAGGCAGAAACATAATACTTCTAACACAAGAGCATTTACTAACAGAAGAGCAAAATACTTCTAACGGAAAAGCATTTAGTTTCTTCTTATATTTTACATTGGTTTCTATGGGTGCTCCCTTCTCAGAGTTTCTTCTCTAAACTGTTCATTATTATTATTTTGTTTCTAGTTTTATTGAAATGAAATCATTATCTCTACGAGTATCGACTCTCCTAAATTCATTGCAGCATTATTCACAATAGTCAAGACATGAAAACAACCTAAATATCCATTGACAGATGAATGGATAAAGAAATTACCATATATATATATATTTACACAATGGAATATTATTCCGACTTTAAAAAAAAAGGAAATCCTGCCATTTGCAACAACATGGATGAACCTGGAGGATACTATGCTAAGTAAAATAATCCAGACACAGAAAGGCAAATATTGCGTGATCTCACTTAAATGTGTGTGAAAGGAAAATAAATCTTTGGGCCCCAGAATCACTAAGCTAAAGGGAAAAGTCAATCTGGGAACTGCTTAGGACAAACCTGCCTCCCATTCTTTTCAAAGTCATCCCTCTGCTCACTGAGATAAATGCGTATCTGATTGCCTCCTTCGGAGAGTCTCATCAGAAACTCAAAAAGAATGCAACCGTTTGTCTCTCACCTACCTATGACCTAGAAACTCCCTGCTTCGAGTTGTCCCTCCTTTCCAGACCAAACCAATGTTCATCTCACATGTGTTGATTGATGTGTCATAACTCCCTAAAGTGTATAAAACCAAACTGTGCTCTGGCCACCTTGGGCACATGTCTTCAGGGTCTCCTGAGCTATGGGTATGTCACGGGCATATGTTCTCAACCTGGGCAAATAAACTTTCTAAATTAACTGAAACCTGTCTCAGATTTTCGGGGTTCACATGTGGAATCTAAAAAAGTTGTACTTAGAGAACGAGTGTAGAATAGTGGTTGCCAGGGGCTAGAGGTGGGGTGGGGGTTGGGGAAATGGGAGATGTTGGTCAAAGGGTACAAACTTTCAGTTATAAGATGAACAAGTTCTAGAGATCTAATGTACAGCATTATATTACTAATTATAGTTAATAATAAAGTATTATACACTGGAAATTTGCATTTAGCTTATTCTTAAAGATACCCAGAAAAGATACCACAATTTCCTAAGGCATGCTGTTTAGCCACTTTTACCATAGGGAATTCGAACTCTCCTTCCTTTTAATCCCCACTCATCCACCTTCTCACTCACAGAGCACCTATTTTGTACCATACAAGGGAGCTGTAGTGTCCCCTTTCTCTGGGCTTTCCCAACGGACTGCTTCCGGTGTGCCTCGCCCAACTGTAAGTCTTCCTCTGTAGATACCGCCAGTGTAGTTACCTACATTTTAGCTGCTGAAACTACAACTCTTATCTAGCCACTTCTCTGTTTAAAACTCTGCCTACAGGTAAATACAAATTCCTTAGCAAAGCATTCATGGCCCTTCAGAGCTGTTACCATCTGGCCCCGCCCACTGCTCCAGTCCCATCTCAGGGTCTTCTCTTTTCCACACACTCTCTACAAGTCAGCCTAAGTGGACCGCTTGGTATAACCCAGACATCCGGTATGTTTTCAAACGCCATGTGCTTATGACCCCTACCAAGACTTTACACACTGCAACTCCCTGACTCATCTGACAAAAATAAAACAAAAACTGGGCTTCAAGGCCCAGTTCAATATTATTTTCTTTGTGAAGCTTTTCCTGATCCTGCTTGGCAAAAAAAATGGTTCACACCTCTATATTCAGATAACATTTTGCTCCAATTTCTAGTTTAGCGTCAATTTATTACTCTTTCTATACGTTGGTCTTACCTGCCAGATTTCAAGCATGTCAAGGCCAGGGTTTGTCTTACTGTCTTTATACACAGCTTCTTAAACAAACACGGGTGCATTTTATGTGCCAGAGAGACATTCACTGTTGAACTGATTGAAACTTCTATGCTTCTAGATGTCTTGTTTTGTTTTCGTATAGGCCAAAAAAGGAATTTTATTTTTTATTTACTGGTTCTTTAGTAAAATAATGTAGTGAGAGTCAGATCACAGAAGGGATTCACCACTAGCTGATCCTCAATGCTCTTCTCTGCTCACTCCTAATTGGTTGACCATAGTAGGCTGCAAGTTAGGTCAAGAATGCAGATTCCTGCTTTGCCAGTTAGTTTATCCCTGTTTCTGTATTCCAACTAATTACCCTATAAAAGTATTTTGATGCTTGGTCCTCAGAGCGCCAGATTACATGCAATGGATATGGCATTGTGGATCATCAGCAATACTGGGAACATAAATCTTTTTGAGCCTGCACATTTTTGGTTCATTTCTATACATGCCTTCACAGTCTACTTCCTAGAATTCCAGACCCTGAAATCATTTATTTATTTATTTATTTATGAAATGGAGTCTCGTTCTGTCGCCCAGGCTGGGGTGCAGTGGTGCAATCTTGGCTCAGTGCAGCCTCCAGCTCACTGCAGCCTCTGCCTCCTGGGTTAAAACAATTCTCCTGCCTCCGCCTCCCGGGCAGCTAGGACTACAGGTGTGTACTACCACGCCTGGCTAATTTTGGTATTTTTAGTAGAGATGGGGTTTCACCATGTTGGCCAGGCTGGTCTCGAATTCCTGACCTCAAGTGATCTGCCTGCCTCAGCTTCCCAAAGTGCTGGGATTACAGGCATGAGCCACCACACCCAGCCTCATTTAAAGAGACATAGAAATTGAAAAAATATGCCAATCAACTATAATTCCTACACAAATATTGAGAGCTTTAATCCAACAAAGAAAAGGACAAAAATAAATGACTCAAAGGTCTCGCGTATGTAATTATCTTGAGGAGAATGGTAAGAAGAAGGGTTAGTATGGCATCATATAGTTAATTGAATTATCCTGGGTTTTCCTTCAGGTTTATAATCCTTTTGTAATTATACATTTGAAAACTTAGGTTTCATTAACATCTCTTAAAATCTGTAAGAAAGTTTAAAAATGTAAACTCAGATGCATTTCTTTTCCCCTCTTTGACCAGAAATGAATTAAAACCACTTTTCATGAAATCATAATTCATAATAAAATCTTATGAGATGTTGATTTTTTTTTTTTTTTTTTTTTGAGATGGAGTTTTGCTCGTTGCCCAGGCTGGAGTGCAATGGTGCAATCTCAGCTCACTGCAACCTCTACCTCCTGAGTTCAAACAGTTTTCCTGCCTCAGCCTCCTGAGTAGCTGGGATTACAGGCGCCCAACAACACGCCCAGCTAATTTTTATATTTTTAGTAGAGATGGGGTTTCATCATGCTGGCCAGGCTGGTCTTGAACTCCTGACCTCACGTGATCTGCCCGCCTCAGCCTCCCAAACTGTTGGGATTACAGGTGTGAGCCACCACGCCCGGCCATATTGATGCTTCTATAGCTAAGGATATCACATGTTTCCTCTTTATTCATCTCTTATTTATTCCCTATTGTCCTGATTTAAATAAAAATGTAAAAGATACATTTAAAAAATTAAAATTTGGGAGGATAGTGGAGAACTTCAATTTTTCTCCTGTCACAGAGCAGTTAAATTCCATATGGAGAAGGGAAATAGTGAAGAGGATAGAATTCATTTTCAGATTGAAAAAAAGAAGTATTTTTAAGGAAGGAAAACCCAGGATCACAAATTATGCTTGAGCAGTTTAAAGTCTTACTGGCAAAATATCCTCTTATGTAAGCCATACTTAACTACTGCTATACTATTAAAATAAACCATATTAAAATTAAGGTCAGAGTTAGCTTTTTTCCCCCTTATTTAAACGCTATTCTTTTCTTATCTAAGATCCATCAGATTTTAATACTGGGGGCTTAATGAACTTTCAGACACTCCATTTTTGCTTGTCTCTCTAATCATAAGTAGCTCACAATTCAAATTAGTAACATCAAATGGTAAAACCAAAACTCTTTAAATATAGAATTTAGTTTTAATTTATTAAAAACAGAGGGGTGATGTTTTTCCAGTGGAGTGCATATCTACTTCTAACGTGACAAGTCCACTGAGAATTCAGACTTGCTTCACAGACAGTCCTGCTGAAGCACAATTTCTCTGCTATCAGCTCTAGGCACAGCCACAGTGACATGTCCACTGCATAGGAAACAAGGCCAGGCTTTTAGTGAAATGCTCCAATTGAAGTTATAAAGCAATATATTATTGTAAAACTACTAATGATTTTAATTGATATCTAATTATCATAGGAAGGAAGTATACAAATAAATAGAAGTAAGTTTACATCGCTCTGTGATATAGAAATTTTGAATTTTTACAACTTCGTCAAGTCTAAAAACACAAATATAATACTCTTAAGATTACTGAAAATGGCTACAGTCCTTATTCAATAACTCCAAAATCTATCTGATCGATATTTTGTAATTTACCAAAGCTCTGAATATAAGCAAATTTCTAAGCAAATAGAATAAATCTATCAAGTCTAAGCTCACAGGAGTTGAATAACATAGGGCAAAGCACATTTTTCTCTTGGTCTTCCTTTTCTTCATTCCTGTTTATACTCACCTGATGTGCGAAAGCCCCTGACCATGGGCATGCCACGTGAAAACAGTGCCCAGTGGCAGGTACTCCACTGCTCTCTAAAAAGCTGACTGGTCAACCAGCAGCCAGGGGTCAAAGACTGGGGCATCTTTGGCATTGCCACTAATGGAAGACATATTACAACTTATTCAAGCACCATTCTCCCAACAAATCTTTCTGACCCAGAGAGCTGTCAGAAATAAAGGAGAACAAAATCCATTGTGGATTGTTGGCTATTACTCAGGAGGAAGAGACTTAGGCAGTTGGGTGAAGACAGGATGGGTGGGATAACACATTTGAGAAGAGCATATGGGTCACCTGGAAGACTCACTTGCAGGGGACCCTAAGCTCGGGGAGACTTAGTCCCAAACCAGTTGGAGGGCATTGCTACGCTGTAATTCCAAATGGACGGTTTTGTGCAATGGCAGCCGAGTGTACACTGTGTCTACAAGGAGAGCAGCTAAATCAGAATAGAACAGGAAGCTTGGTTGATCTGATTTCTACCAGGCTGTTTTCATCACAGGGCTAATATTTCTGAACCCCAAATAATGTGGCATGGCCATATAGAGGATCTGTGACAAATACACAGTTTTGGTCCTGTCTGATCCAGCCAAAATCATAGTATTAGAAGCTAAGATTAGGATTTGTACCAGGGATAAGTCTCAAGAAAAAATGTTTTGAGAATTCAATATGTGGCTTTCTACTTGTAAAGAAAGGACTAGAAATTAATTTTAAAGCCAAGATTGGATGAGATCTTCTCTTCTTTTGGTGGTTCAAAGCATATTTTCTCTGTTTTACCCATGCTGCACTTCCCCATGTTTCACATTGCAAATTTCACACATGTATAAAGTCATGCAGATGAATTATTTTACCTTTGCCTGCACCTACATCAGGTGGAAGAATACCAGCTTTAATGAAGGGAAACAGAAATAGGACACTATATAGTTAGATGTAACACACCCATGAGCATGTATAGCGATACAAAAACACTTATTAAAATGCTAAAGCATGCAAGAAGAATGAAGTGTACCACATCAGGTATAGGGGACAAAGATATGTTGGTGTCCCCAAACTTATCTAGTATTCAAATCCAGTACCAACATTTTATCAGGATACCCAGTTTGAATACCCAGTATTCAAACACATTACTTAAGGTGCATTATTCATACTTGTTGATTATGTATGAAGGCTTAGGATATTTCAAACCAATTTTTGGATAGAAATTGTCAATTTTTTATGCTATCAAAGATAGTCAAATGAATAATCCTTAAGCAACTCTACAATTTAGAGACATGCAAAACTAGAAAACCTTTTATAATATTTTTGATAATTTTCATTGAATCTCAAGATTTCAGAATAACTTTTTAAAGTATGAAAAGAAGTGTTAATTCCTTTTCTAAATACTATAATGGGCTATTTTGCTTTCTTTGTACATACCAAAATGCAAAATCTTTTGCTCAAACACAAAATAAATGCACTCTTTAATAACTGTTTCGATTTCCTTGCTAGAAAATGTAAATTGATATGTGAACTAGAAAATTTTTTCCAGTAAATCAGGACCAGAACTCGAATTACATATATTTGTGTGTATATAGATGTGTATGTCTGTGTATGCATATGTGTGTATTATGTGTATGTGTACATATGTATGTTTGTGCATGAATATATATAATATATAAAGTTGTAAACAGGAAACAACATTCCCCTGAACTTCAAATTCAAGTGTGGCAAATATTATGCTTACTCACTCCCACACTAAGATTTTAATGTAAGTTTAAGAAAGTTTCACATGGAGTTGAAAAATATCAGTCCAATATGAACTAAATAGCTGATTATATATCAGAATGAGAAATTACAAATAAGTGTTTGCGTTAATCAGGTAAGACAGACGTTCCATAGCAAGAAGGAAAAAGCATAAACTTAAAGATTTTTATTTCATGATGCTTATAATTATATGGATTTTATACATACCCATCTTACCTTCATCCACAGTTGTTACTGCTTCCTCTGTAATTTGACTTCCTGATCCTGCTGATGTTTGTGCATAGAAATAAAACTTATATCGAGTGCTGAAATTTAAATTTTTTAAAGTCCACCGTGTCTTGTTGGCAGGAATTTTCAAATCTACCAGAGGGCCTAATTCATGTGTGCTGTTAACTGTCAATAAGAAATAATGAACAAGTGCATTCTCCATTAACTGCTATAGGAATACTATTATAAATAAATACGTCAACTAAAAATGTTCAACCTGGCTTACATTGACTTTTATAATCCCACTCACTCTTTCCCCAGCATAACTAAGTGATAACCTTTTAACAGCTCCTATGCTATGTTCTATCATATCGTATCATATCATATCATATCATATATCACAAGGGGGTAGTATGTTCTCTATTGGCTAATAAACTAGAAGAATGTTGTGGTTGAATCACAATAGAATTTTTTCCCCTGTGTTCTTGCAGGTGGAGTTGTATTGTTAAATAACCCCAAACATTTTTCTTCAGAGGACTTTTGCCAAAGGAACCATTTTCTATTTGTAGAAAATGCATATGTGATTTAATGACAGGACTCACCTAAACCCCACTCCTAAAGGTCTGTATTATTCTACAGATTACTTAATTTTTAATAACATAGACATCATTTTTCTTTAAAAAGTAAGATTTGAAGTTCTTTCTGAAACAACACTTGAAGTTATATGTATATATTCTACAGATATAAAGAAAAACTAGCTTGTATTTTTTGATAACAGTTAAGTTAAACACCACATGTTCTCACTCATAGGTGAAAGCTAAAAAAAGTTCATGTCACAGAAGTAAAAAGTAGAACACAGCATCCCAGAAATAAAGGAAGGACAGAGGGAAGGCGAGATAGGGAGATATCAGTTAAAGGGAAGGCTGGGCGCAGTGGCTCACGCCTGTAATCCCAGCACTTTGGGAGGCTGAGGTGGGCAGATCACGAGGTCAGGAGATCAAGACCATCCTGGCTAACATGGTGAAACCCCGTCTCTACTAAAAATACAAAAAATTTGCCGGGCATGGTGGTGGGCGTCTGTAGTCCCAGCTACTCGGGAGGCTGACGGAGGAGAATGGTGTGAACTCGGGAGATGGAGCTTGCAGTGAGCCAAGATCTCACCACTGCACTCCAGCCTGGGTGACAGAGCGAGACTCCATCTCAAATATATATATATATATATATATATATATATATATATGTATATACGTGTATATATATACGTGTATATATATATACACGTATATATATATATACGTGTGTATATATATATATGATACAAAATGATAGCTAGATACAAAGACTAAGTTCTGGTGTTCCTTACACAGCTAGAGGGAGGATATTAAATGTTTCCAACACAAATAAATGATAAATATTTGAGAAGATGAATATGCGAATTCCCCTGATCTGATCACTATATGTATCGAAACATCACTACGTACCCCATGAGGAGGTATAATTATTTGTCAATTAAAATAATAAATAAAATAAAAAAACATATTTCCCCTTCTCTTCCTCCCAACAGCTTACTTGGCTGATACTTTAAGGTGTACTCTGTCAAAATGCCATTCGGGTGGCTCGGTGGATCCCATTCCAAAGTGAGAGAGTCCAGTGTTGGATTCACAATCTTCAAAGACGAGGGAGCACTGGGGACTTACAGTGAGAACTTACAGTCAACACAAAGATTTCTGAATGTTTCAACATGTATTAAATTGACATTTCACCGTGCTCGCACGATTCAAGGTTTTGAGTTTCAGTAACTCATTCCTGATTCAGCTGAAAATACATTAGTACAAACCTGTGACAGGCACCCATTTAGTTATTCTCTTCCTTTTTCTCTCTTGTCATTTACATTTATATTTAATAAAACCATCCTCTCAAAACACATAATGACTTTGCCTTTAGATGGACTCAAACCTAATATTTTAAAAAGAGGCAGTACTTGTTTGACGCATGAATGGTGTCTTAATAGAAGCAAACTAGCTACCAAGTGAAACTATTCTAACTGGATCTGAGTGGAAGCAGCTGTGTTCTGGACCATTAAGGACTGTTTTCTCTAACAAACCAGGTGTCTCCAAACAGTCAGAATGCCCTGCCTGCTGGGCTTTGGGCCAGCATGCCCAGGTGCAGAAACGTTCTTATCCTGAGAGCTGACAGCTGCCCAGGATCTGGTGGTGAATGGACAAAAGCCCAACCTTGGCACACCCCCAGCCCTGGGGAAGGCCCGAGGGGTCTCAGGTTCTCTGTGGCAGAGGCTGGCAAATCACCAGAGGAAACATGTCTGCTCATCTTTTATTCACTTCCTCATGAGGATGATGGCTGGTGGCAGCTCTCTCTCACAATGGTTACCTCCCCTACCACTGCCCCTGGAAACTAACTAATGGAACCACTCTCCCTATTGTCACTCTAGCCAAAAACCAGAGTCAACCTGAACTTCCCTATCTGCCTCATTTCCACCCTCTCCTCAGACACTAACTCCACTTCCTTAATCTAAATCATATCCATTTCTTCCTATCCCCATCTTCTTTGTCATTTCCCTGCTTTAGGCCCCTAGATGTCTTTGTCTGGTCCTAAAACCATGCCTGGCACATAGTTCTAGGCTTCTAAGCTTCCCCAACCCAATAAGTGGTTCTTTACTTTAGGGGATCACAGACCCTTTTGAGAATCTGATGACAGCCATAAACACTCCCTGGAAAAATATACATTTATCTTGCATACAATTTTAGGAGGCTCATGGAGCTCATTAAACCCATTCATTGTCTCCCTAAGGGACTACAGTCCCCAGCTTGTGAAAACATCGAGGAGGAAGAGCCCTGACTCTCTAAGGGACAGTGAGATTGACGACAAAAACTTACAATGAGATGGGAGCTGGGATGCAGGGTGGTTCTCAGAGGCTGCTGGGCAGCTGCCTGCATCATGAATCTTTCAATCAGCAGCCAGGGTGGGGTCCATCTTCTGTGAACTTCTTTTATCAAAAAGAGCTAAGCAAGCTACAGAAGCTATCTGGCCATTGTCATAGTGGCATATTGTTGCAAAATTTAAAATAGGTAAAACCCATTTTATTTCCTTTTCAAATCCTCATCCTTTTTACTACATGGGCCCCTCTTTCCCTCACCCACAAGGCTCCCTTGTCCCTGTGTCCAAATTCCTTCTCCCCTGACTCCTGGATCAATATATATTTGGTCCTTCCTTACTCTCTCCCTTGCAGTTGCCCATATCTGCAATGACTTTTCCCTCCTCTTCCCAATCCACTTGGTCAAGACTTGCAACCTTCTAACTCGGTTCAACTTTCTAATAAATTAGAAAAGAGCACTAAGAAAGAAACTATAGAAGTAAACTATAACTTATAGAAATATTTTCCTTTCCAGGTGTTTTTGTTAGGTTATCTAATTTGGTTCTCATGCTTTTCAGATGAGGCTACTGACATTCAGAGAAGTTATGGAACCTCTTTCAGGTCAGAAAGTTAATGATCCAAATAAATGTCAAAGTAACAAGGTTTCAGACAGTGTGTGTGGAGAAAAATTTTAAGTCACGGGAGAGGGCATTTCAGAGCAGCATTTTGGGTTCTGAAGCCTTCTATGTACACTTAGGCCCACATATGATCTGACATTTTGGTAGCTTTGTGTGTGCTGTATTCATCTATAGAAATTTCAATCACATTTGGCTTCCAGAATATACTTTGATCAGTAGCCCTTCTGTCAGGCAAAACCTCTCAGGCCATGCCATATGTTCCTGAGATCTTAGAGACACGTCCATTCCATACCTCCTTCTGGAGTATTAAAGACTCTGTCAGGGCTGGCTGGGCCCTCCCCTTTCCCATTGACCACTCGGACATTCAGTGTGTAGTGGCTAAAGGGCTCTAGCCCCGGCAACATGCCATGAGTCTTGCTGCCTTGGAAGGTGAGGATCTTTTTCTCAATGTGACGTCTGTTTCTTTTAGATGAACTCTGGGTCTTCCAATAGTAAATCTGAAACAGCAAGAACGAAAGTCAGGAATGCAGAAAGGAGCAAACAAGATTCCTTATGCTCACAAAATTGAAACTGTTGTTTTTCCAGAAAATTCCGTTGGTATATTTTAGAAGAAAATTACTAGCAAAACTGATGGATATTGATTCTGAGGCAAGAGGAATAGAAGCCCATAGATCATGAGGGAAATTAAATTACAGCCACATGACAAAGCTGGGCTACACTACTTTGTCGTAGGAGTCTAAGGAAAATGAAAACAGCACGAGACCCATGTGGTTTTCTCTAGAACATGAGGCAAATGGAGGACAATAGGATTTAAGTCTTTTACTTGTATAAAATATTCTAAAAATAAAAATTACTGCCCAATGTTTACATATTTTTCCAGAATTAATACATGTTCACGTACAACCTATCATGTAGTGATTGTAAACACCACAGTGAGGCTTTTATTACTGTTATTCATATGGTGCAGATGAACGTGTGGGCTACTAAGTGACTTTCACAGCCACAGAGGTATCAAGAGCCACAGGGGATCCTCCACTGAAAGTCTAGAATTTTTCCACTAAATCAAACTGTATCACTTAGTTTAAAATACTTTTTTTTGTATTCGATTGCAGGCACAGGTTTTGGAGAGATGGATAAGAAAGTACTGATTAATTTTGGTCACAAATCCAGAATTGTTGTTTACTAAGTCTTCTTAAATTCTTATGAATTTAAAGGCATTTTCAGGAGAAGTCAACATTTACATGGAATCTGGCAATGCTAGGGGGAAAAAAAAAAAGTTGAATGTGATGTAGTACAAAAAGTGACCTCTAGGGGTCAGGCTTAACAAATCAAAGTAGTGACTGTACGCTTGGCTGCCTATCAGTAAAAAATATGAAATCAGTGCCTCTCAAGAACAAAGATAATGGATATTTATCTTTCAGTACTTCTCAAGAACAAAGATAATGGATATTTATAAGAATGACCTAGCTAAGAGTATATGGTCTTAAAGTATATTCTGAATTATTTTAAAAATGCCTAAATGATTATCAGGATAATTTTGTGTGTTCAACACATGTGGTCCATATTGCTTTAAAGCTAGCTAGAGTTGGTAATATTCTAGGTCTTTAAAAAATTAATTTTCCCCATTTTGTATACATACTTAGTTGGTAGAATGTTAGATCATCAGTGGGAAAAATGGAGAAAACTTTTTTTTTTTTTAATTTTGGATGCAGTGAGATTTCAAGTCAACTCTGGCAGTGGCTACCTGAGGCAATGAGCGAAATGAACTCTTCAGTCCACAAGTTCACAAAGCAATGAAACAAATAAGCCCCACCTCCTGTGGTATGCATGACAAGTGGCATTCGCTGCAGCCCTTACTAAATAAAGCCACAAAAGGTCCCCTTTCACTTGCCCGATAGCCTTGTAGGTGTCCTCGGATGCTTTTCAGAGGTACTGGGTCCCAGTGCACCTCGGCTAAGGTACTGTTCACCACATTCACACGCACGTTCCCAGGAGCCACCATTGGGACTAGGAAAAGGACAGGGAAGTGGTAGAAGTATCAATGTTATTTTTAATTTCATCCATAAATATGACTCTCTCTAATAATTTTGGCTTGAAGCATACTGCAGACCTATTCTATGGATTATTAAGGCTTGAACACAGATTTTGGGGTATCTGTTTGACTTTGTGAGAGATTTTTTTTTTTTAAGAGATGGCATCTTGCTATGTTGCCCAGGCTAGACTCAAATTCCTTGACTCAAGGGATCCTCCCACCATCAGTGAGTAGGAAAACACGATTTTTTAAAAAGTACAATTGACCCTTGAACAACACGGGTTTGAACTGCATGGGTCCACTTACACTTGGATTTTTTTTTCCCCCCAAAATACAGTCAGCCCTCTACATCTGCAGGTTCTGCATCTACAGCCAAAGAAGATGGAAAACACAGTATTCCTGGGTGCAAAACCCACGGACATGGAGGGCTGATATTTCATATAGGAGGGTTCCATAGGGCTATCTGTGGGACTTGAGTATTTGCAGATTTGGGTATCCAAGGCAGGGCATCCTGGAACCAATCCCCTGTGGATACCAAGGGACAACTATACTGCAATCACCTTGAACGTTCTGAACTTCTCTTTCTTACACAGCAGGCTGTTTAAATTCAGAGAAGTCGTGCAAAATAATTGCCACCTCCCTCCCTTGCAACCTGAGCAAGGAGAAATGGCCTTGGCTTGCACCTTGGTAAGTCTGTTTTGCTGGGGAAAAGTAGGAAATGGCATCACTTACGGTCTTCTCCAGAATGTCCCATGACTACAGCTGGCTCGGGGGCAAACCCCATGTCATTCAGGGCCTGAACTTTGATCAGGTATGGAACAAAGGTTGGCGTGCCTGAGACAATATATTTGGATACATTTGCCACAACCACAGATGTCCATTCATCATCACCATCTTTCTGGCGCCAGCTAACTTTGTACTGAAGGCCTGGCCCATTAGATTCGAAACCATTCAAGGGCTACAAGGAAAGCCAAATAACCAGAGCTTATAACACAAATCAACTGCACAATCTTTTACAGGAACAGCAAATTCAATTCCCAGACCTACAGAAAGTGATCATTGAAATACTAAAACACAAGCTATTAACCATTTTCTCCAGGGACCTTCTATCAATTGTGCATTTGCAATGAGATTCAAAGCTTGTTTGGGATCAACATTTCAAAGGTTGTAAACTACTATCTTGATGCAATAAATATCACATAAACCTTTCAAACTCTGGCTCTACCGTCAAGGATGGTGATTCTTTAGACATTTCGGTCACATAGAATCCTTTTTATATTCCTGTTTGTGCAATAGTACATCATTGTCCATTTTATTTGCAGATGGAAACTTAGACTGTTTTCCTCTTTATTAAAAAAAGGCTAGCCTGTCATTCTGTTGTTTCTACATGTTTGTATAAATATAAGTATGTACATATATGTATACATGTCTAAGTATGCATGTATGGCTCTAAAATAGGTTTTGAATTATGAGTAAATATATGTTAATTTTCCAAATCCAGAAAACACAGATAAGCTTTCCCCACTAAAGAAGTTGACTGCTGGGAATGGCTTGGTGCATGTCTTCCAGGTGGCTCTTTTTTTTTCTTTTTGGAGATGGAATCTTGCTCTGTCACCCAGGCTGGAGTGCAGTGGTGTAATCTCGGCGCACTGCAACCTCCGCCTCCTGGGTTCAAGCGATTCTCCTGCCTCAGCCTCCTGAGTAGCTGGGATTACAGGCATGCAGCACTACACCCGGCTAATTTTTGTATTTTTAGTAGAGACGGGGTTTCACCATGTTGGTCAGGCTGGTCTCAAACTCCTGACCTCATGATCTGCCCGCCTCGGCCTCCCAAAGTGCTGGGATTATAGGCGTGAGCTACTGGCCCCAGGTGGTTCTTTATGATAACACTAGCTAGCATTTTTTTGAGCATGTGTATATGCTAGGCACTGTTCTAGGTGCTTTATATGTATTAGCTCCTTTAATACTGTGAAATTGGTTCTATTATTACTCCCATCATACAGCTGCCTAACAGACATGTTAAACAACTGGCCTAAGATCACAGAGTTAGTGGCAGAGCTGGGATTTGCACCAAATCATTTTGACTCCAGAGCTCAAGCTTTTAGCAACTATATAATACTGCCTCTTAAGTAAAGATATATATGTATCTTTATATATATATATATATTTTTTTTCCCCAGAAATAGGTGAAATGAGATTCTAATGTAGATATTATTTTCAAACAACTTTTTTTTCACTCTAAAAAATAGCGAATAAATTTGAAGGCATCATAGCTCACCTTCCACGTAATCACCAAATTATCAGGCTCTGATCCCAGTCCTTCCACAGCTGTGGGGTTTTTATCTGGTTCTGGAAGTTAAGCAGCCACACATGTGTAAGCTTTGGCCTTTTGCGAAGAGTGGAAAACTTTTTTATTATATTTCGTACCCTAGAAGTCCCGCTTTCCCGCTTTACCTGAGGCTTTCGTCAAATACTGCTCAGACGCCTCGCTGGGCAAGCTCTTCCCAATGCTGTTCACTGCCATCACGCGGAAGGAGTAGTTCACGTAAGGAGACAGCTTCAGCTGGGCTGTGGTCTGTGTTCCAGAAACTTCAGTTTGGTGGTGCCACAGCCCTGGCTTGTGCATTGCATCTTCATATTCGATGATGAATTCTGGTCACGACACACACACACCAAACCCAAGACCGTGAATTCAGTCAACTCAGGGGTAGCTGCCAGCAATAACTAACAGGGCAACCCAACACAAGCAACCAAACATGAATTATTTTACTTTCAAGAAAAATGCCATTAAAATATTTTGATTTCAGAGTTGTCATTATCCTCAACATATAAACACACATGATAACATTTTAGTGGAAAAATGGCATCTCACTGTATTTAATTTAATTTCTCCTATTACAAAAAAAATTTGACCACCTTTTCATATATTTAAACTTTTTAGGGATATATGGATTAATTCTAAACAGTTTTAGATTTTACCAAATCTGGTATTCTTTCTCTAGCATGCTGAATTTAGTTACTTAAAACTGTTTAGAATTAATCCATATATCCCTAAAAAGTTTAAATATATGAAAAGATGATCAAATTTTTTTCATAATAGGATAAATTAAATATAGTGAGTGCCATTTTCCACTAAACATATTGGCAATAATCAAAGGTTTAACACACTTCGTTGACTATGACACAAGGAATCAAGCATTCTCTGACTTTGTAGGAAGTGTAAGTTGGGACAACTTCTATATAAGACAGTTTAGAAAATCTGTCAATATTTAAGGCGCATACTAAATTTCACTTCTGGCAATTTATTTTGAATAAATGGGCTCACACAAATGGCTCAAACACACATGAGAAATAATTTACATTGTAGTATTATTTGCAATTGAAACAACCTAATTGCAAACAACCTAAACATCCATCAACAGGACACTGACTAAACAAATTACACTAGGTCCACACAATGGAATACTCTGAAGCTGTTAAAAATGACTGTCAGCCAAGTGCGGTGGCTCACACCTGTAATCTCAGCACTTTGGGAGACCCAGGTGGATGGAGTCCAGGAGTCTGAGACAACCTGGGCAACCTAGCAAAACCCCGTCTCTACAGAAAGTTAACTGGGTGTGGTGGCGTGCACCTATAGTTCCAGCTATGGGGGAGGCTGAGCTAGGAGGATCACCTGAGCCCAGAAAGTCAAGGCTGCAGTGAACCATGATCAAGCCACTGCACTCCAGCCTGGACAGAGTGAAACCCTGTCTCAAAAAAGAGAGAGAGAGAGGAAAAAAAAAAAAAAAGAATAGGGCTGTTCCATACGTACTGAAATGGAATGATTTCTAAAGTGTATTATTAAGTGAAACCAAGCAGCCAAGCAGGGTATAGAATCGTGTGTGCTGGATACTATGCTTGTGTAAATGTAAAACGAAATTACTACAACAAATAAACAGACATATTCACTTGCATATAAATGCATATTACCTCTCAGAGAATATAAACCTATAACATTGGTGTGGCCAGAGGAGCTGGGAGACAGGGGCGGGAGGAAGACATATTTTTCAGTGCATACCCTCTGCGTCCACTAAAATTCTGTGGTGTGTACACACTTTACCCTTGTAAAATAATAGGTATTTGGATATTCACTGATTGCCTACTATGTGCCAGGTACCATGATATGCACTATAAACACAAAGATGAACTAAAAATATTATATGTCTTGCAGTGGTTCAAAACTAAGTCCTTGGAGTTCTCCTTTCAATCCACATTCATCTTTGGATGATCTCCAGTCCTATAAATGGATGACTTTCATGTTTACATCTGTAGCCCAGACCTCTTCCCTGAACTGCAGACTCAGGAAGTCCAACTGTCTGCTCGACAATTCCACTTGGTTGTCCATGACAGCATCTCAAACTGGATAGTACCAAAACTAATTCTAATCTTCCTCTCCAATTGATAGTGACAGCCCAGGTCAAAATCTGGAATCCTTCTTATTTCCCTACTTCTTCCACACTCTCTGTAGTACAATGGCCTGTACCATTAAAATATATCCAAAATCTGACCATTTCTCAGCCTATTCCAGGCCACCCTCATCTCTTGTGTGAGTTATCACATAACCTCCTAACTCAGTAGTTCCCAAACTTTCTCGGTTCATGGTGTACTTAGTGTCTCCATAATTTATTTTTCATGGCTCCCTTAGGCCAAAAGAATTACCTAATGTTTTCAGGTATTAAGTAGCTAGGTTCATACATCTTTATATGTATTTATATCTTAAATAAATGTAAGCAATTTAATTTTAAACAATTTTAAATCTATTTATATCTTAACATTGTAAAGCTTCTCTTATATAAGTTCTCAAACCTTGTAAACAGATTGGACACCACCTTCCACATTTCCTATTCCCCACTGATTTCCATGTGGCACTTGCTTTTTATCACAGCAAACGCTTTGCAGAGATATAACATTATCACAAAATGACATGGGATATAAAGTTGAACCTGTAATCTGCCTCAAGCTAATTTCATGTGACGTTTGACAGATGTCACTGTGTTTTTTTAATATCAGAATTTAAAAGTTAAAACTTTAAAATTATTCCAAGGAAGGTACCCTGTGAATTCACTGAAGTACCACAGGGCACTTCAGTGCACAGTTTGGGAACCATGGTCTTACCCAGTCTGTCTGCTTCCCCTCTTGTTCTTCTATACACTATTTTCAATAGACAAGCCAGAGTTATTCATTCATCACTCCTCTGTTAAAACCCTCCAAGGGCTTTCCCATCTTCACAGTGGCCTACAGGACCTTGCACAATTCCCACTCTACACACCCACCACCGAACTCTTCAGCTCTTTGACCTTCTCTCCGCCCTCACTTTCCCTTTTTCATTTCACTGCAGCCACACTGGCATCCTAGCAGACATGCCCTGTCTTAGGGCCTTTGCTCTTTTCCTTTGCTCTTGCTGGAAAGTTCTTCCCCTAGACAACTGCATAGTGTGCTCACTGACCTCCCTCCCCTGTCTTGATTGACACATTCAAATGTTCTTTTAGTGTGGCCTTTCCTATTCACACTATTCACAATTATACCCCTAGCTCCACATGTCTTTCTGCTGATTTGTTTTTTGCATGCCCTAAACACATATAAACACAGTCATATGTATTAATAGATATATATGAGTTTGAGTCCTCTAGGGAGCAAAGGCTAAGACAGAATTAGAAGTGCAAGAGGTGGCCGGGCGCAGTGGCTCACGCCTGTAATCCCAGCACTTTGGGAGGCCGAGGCGGGTGGATCACGAGGTCGGGAGATTGAGACCATTCTGGCTAGTACGGCAAAACCCCATCTCTACTAAAAATA
The DNA here is from genome assembly GCF_000001405.40 of Homo sapiens. Lineage (NCBI taxonomy): Eukaryota > Metazoa > Chordata > Mammalia > Primates > Hominidae > Homo > Homo sapiens. Next base: position 108,187,795 of record NC_000007.14, read on the forward strand.
CAAAAAAAAAAGTAGCCGGGTGTGGTGGCGGGCGCCTGTAGTCCCAGCTACTCGGGAAGCTGAGGCAGGAGAATGGCGTGAACCCGGGAGGCAGAGCTTGCAGTGAGCCGAGATCGCGCCACTGCACTCCAGCCTGGGCAACAAAGCGAGACTCCGTCTCAAAAAAAAAAGAAGTGCAAGAGGTCTATTTGGGAAAATGTCCATGGAAGAAAAAAGGGAGAGGAAGCAAGGAAGCCTGAAGGAGGGAAGACCTTCAGACCACAATGCTGGTCTGACATCTGTAACAGGAAGTGGGGGAGGGAAGGAGGAGTGAGTAGAAGAAGCCTCAGACTACAGTATAGTATAGCTCTGGGATAGTCTCAGCCAGGTCAACCAGGAGCCCAGAGTACAGTCTACACAGGAGGAGTTCTGCATTAGGCACGTGTGACTTCTGGGACCTTTGCTGTGCCCAGTCACTGGAGCACCCCAAGGAGCATGGCCTCACGTGAACTCTGCAGTGGAGCCTTAGAGAAGGAGAAGCAGATGGAGGCTGTGGGTTAACACTCCTTACAGCAGGTTCGCCCTTGAAGGTAGATCTGAGTCCTCTGTGTGTGTGTGTGTGTGTGTATATATACATATGTTTACATGCAGATATAATGAAATTATGCTTAATAATGTATTATTAATTTTATCTTATTTATATCCTCATCTAAAATATAAGCTCCATTACCACAGAGATTTTTGACTATTTTGTTTTAGAACAATGTCTGGCACACAGTAGGCACTCAAAAATATCTGTTGAATGAATGAGTAAATGAATGAAAGAGTAGAAATGCCTTGAAATCTAATGGTATTATTTTAATATAGGAAAAAAGAGTCTCCAAGCCATCTAACCAGCTAACTCTGGCTAATGTACCCAATGAGCTAGAAGACTGGGCCTGGATGAATTTGTGTTCTGATCAAGGACATTGAACACTCAAGTAGGGAAAAGAGCACCATTAAACAACACAAGATAGAGGAGGGGCTTTTGTTAAATTTTAGTGGAAATATTCTACTTTACCAGGAGGTGCAATAAATCAACACACCTATCATTTCAGAATCATCTTAGGTAGTCATCAGAAAGGAATTGTCTTCCTGCGGTATATGCCTGAAGGTAATAATGTATTTCAGGCATGTGACCTGATTGTGTCTGCCTCTTAAGTATCTCTTTGGTTTTACAATTCAACTTCGAAGCTTACCTATAGTCTAATTTTATTATGCTCTTCTAGTATCCTTATGACATTGTCCTTCCTTATCTTATTTCCTAGGCCCTAGGCTTGTGTCACCAACGTGAGAAGCTCACATTGTTGAATGGGCAACTTTGTAGCAGGGACTAATGGAAAGAAAGAGACCTAGGTTGGAAGTTAAGGTAGAACCTGTTATCTACGCCCAGTTCTGTTACCAACAGGGGGTTGAAAAGTTACTTTACTCATCAAGTATCAGTTTCCTAATAGGAAGACAGAGCTATTCAGCACTTGCTCCTCCTAACATTTTCTCCCAGAAGAAATGGGCAAAATAAACAACTAACTTAAGGTGTATCTTCCTACATGGTAGATATTTAAAGTGATTTTTATGGATCTTAAACACAAATGACAGTGTATTTGATTAGTCAACATCTTCAGCAATTAAGGGGTGTCCTATTCTAGAAGGTGTAACCAGGAATAGTTTCAGCTCTGAAGAGAGGAAGGACATAAATAAATATTTTTATTCTATCAGTAATGAAGCAGAGAATCCCAGTAAATACCTTTGTGAGGAAATTCAGCTGACTGTTACAAAGTGCTTCAAACATGGCCATTTAGTTGATCGGAAATAGAGCAAATAATACCACATACTTGTAATGGGGCTATTGTTGTCATCGCCTGGGGTCCATGACAGCTGAACACTTTTGTCAAGTTGATCTGTCAGTTCTAAGTCAAAGGGAGGATTTGGGACATCTGTAGACCAAACATACACACATCATGGTCACGCATCCATCTTTAAGAGGCTCTCCTTTACTCGTGATACTATTCACAGAGGGGACATCTTAAAGACACAGCACACTTGATAGTCAATGAGCATGCAACTGAAAGGAAATGTGCACAGCTGAGGCTGCTGGGAACACACGAACACACACAAGATAACCCATCAATGAGTTCTGCTCACTTGTTTTTCAAAGGAAACGAAAGCATTTGTAACCAAACCCAGTGAAGCAGACACATGTGGTTCATCAGCACTCTCAGCGTTTCTTCTCATAAACATGAATGGGCACAAACATGAAAAATAATAAGCTTAATTTCTAATACATGGGAAATAGAGAAAGCAACTGCTGAAAAAAGAAATACAGGCAAATAAAAGGTGCTGTTTAAAGAAAATTCAAATGTTCTTTCTAAAAAAAATGCTGAATAACAGATTTTGGGGCTCTGAAAGAATATTTATATTTGCGAAAGAATGCTGAAATAGATGCTATGGAGGTAGCCCTCAGCATGCATAAGTGTGTTTACTCCCAGAGGACAACAGTGTATAGACAGACACATGTCGAGATGAAGGTGTCCTAGAAGCATGTCTGCCTCTTCTAATGGTGCTTCTGAGATCCAGAGAGTTACTGTTCCCCCCAGGCCTTTATTTGACCTTGCTCCTAGGAGTATCTCTGGCTCTTAGGGGACCAGAGACCATACAAATATATGTGCTTTTTTTTCTTATCAGTCATAAAGCAGTAAATGTCTACAAAGCACAGGTTTTATATTGGATAATTAGACACAATATTAATAATATTGTGCAAAATCAGCTGAGATGCCAAAAATTGATTTTTGTATTGACGTACTGAATAAAGATGAAGGTTCTCTAAATAAAAAGATTTCTGGAAATGATTTCTGACTTATTTTCCAGATTCTAAAAAGCCACACAACATAAATGTGCCCCTCCTTTTGGTCTTTCTTGAGTGATTTGTCTTTTGTTAACACATGGTGAGTCGGTTTTCTCTGATATAAAAGTTAAATGTTGTTCTAAACATCTATTTTTCCCCATATACATTTCTTGAAAATGGAATCCCAAAACAAGATTTTTCCCAAACAACTTTTAATAAATTGAGATGAAAGCCTAATTTGTAGAATGATATTAGAAATAGCTTTTTCATTCTGTAAAATGTGGATGATGGCTTTTGAAAAAGCACTATGCTACTTTAAAAGGAAATTGCATCAAAGAGGGACTTTTATCAAACGAAGTGATTTTATAATAGCACATGAACTATTTAGAAAGAACTGGCAACGAACTTGGTGAAAAATCTGTGGTTATGATGAAGAAATGATTCATTGTCAGTAAATGGGTGACACAACATAACAACTGACAGAGACCTTTTCCTTAAGAAACACAATTATGTGACATAGAAAAGAAAGTTATGAATACTTTCTGCAAATGTGAAATTGTTTGACAGAAAACAGAGAAAGAAGACTCATATTAGTTTACCGTAAACGGGAGCTGGAGTTGGAGTAGGAGCTAGAAAGGACATTAATATAAAGGATTTTAATCAAAATTAGTAATGGAAAGATACAAGATAGCACAAGATGACAAAGACTGTACATTATTCAAGGTTATAAAATTAAGCCCTATGCTTAGCTGTGAGACACAGCATTGATAAACATGCAGTAACAATTTAGGAAAAAAAACCTTCAATTTTAGATACAAGTAGATCATTTCTCCTTATTTTATTACAAAAAAGGTTACTAATGTGCATATCCACCATTTCACCCAGTGCTGCTACACAGTCTATTTATACTGAAATTATTGCCTCCAAGGCATCTTTCAAAGAAGAAAAACATGGGTATGAACTCACCCATGCATATTAACAAGCAAATATTTGATATTTATAATTTTTATCTTATTTTTTCTTTTCAACCAAATGCAGGGAAGCCAGTTGTGCTATTTTTGTTTTCGTTCTTACCAACAACGCTAAGCACAGCGCTGGCGGAGACGCTGTCCAGAGTGGTGTTGGCCACACACGTGTAGGTCCCGCTGTCATCGTCACTGACATCAGCTACCACTAGATGATCCTTGTCAACAGTGAACCTGTGGATAGAATGCATTCAGAGCAGCTGAAATGGACATGCAGCCGTACCCTATAATTGCTTCACTGGCAGGAAAAAAACTGTAAATTTGATAAAGGAGAAAGATGGTAAACACTTTCAAAAGTTAGAGCAAAATACATATCACTTTAAGAATGATTAAAGTTGAAAAACAATGAGAATCAATTAGAATATTGGGTTAGAAGGGATATGTCCTCTGGCACAGTATTTTTCAACCAGGCCTCTAGAGCACGGGTCCCCAAACCCTGGGCCAAGAACTGGGTACTGTCCTGTTAGGAACTGGGCTGCAGAGGGGACCGCTGCTCTAGAGGGTGTGGTAGGAGTTTCCTTAGGCCCCAGGGGAATGGGGCGAGTGAAGCTGAGCTCCGCCTCCTGTCAGATTAGTGGCAGCATTAGATTCTCACAGGAAGGTGAACCCTATTGTGAACTGTGCAAGTGAGAGATCTAGATCTAGACTGTGCTCTCCTATGACAATCTAATGCCTGATGATCTGTCACTGTATATATTACATGTAATAATATATATATGTATATACATATTACAACATAATAATAATAGAAATAAAGTGCACAGTAAATGTAATGTGCTTGAATCATCCTGAAGCCATTGTGCCCCCACCCTGTCCGTGGAAAAACTGTCTTCCATGAAACCAGTCCCTGGTGCCAAAAAGGTTGGGGACCACTGCTCTAGAGGGAGAGGAAGGAGCTTCCTTAAGTTCCCAGGGGAAGGAGGCGAAGAATAGTTCCAGCATTAGCCTTACTAAAGGGCTTTACTAAGGCTTTTGCTGCCAAGAAACATTGGAAAACCACTCATTCAGTTCAATTTCTATCAAAGTATATATTTTAAATACTTTATTATTTACTGCAGAAAATCATGTCATTTTCTTACATGTATAAACTCTCATAGGAGAAATTAAATGCAAAGAATAATAATTTGCTTTATCACTAGAAACAGGAAGATTTAGATGAACAATCTCTCTAAGACTTTTCTAGAGGGAACTTGTGGGCATGAAAAATTGCTCAGTAGATCAAAAAATTAATGTATAGAGAATTAGTGTATTATTTTAATGAAACTGCCTAAGTCATAAACTGTCTTCTCAGTTAATTTCCAAGTAAAAGCTTCAGCCACCTTAACCTGATGGTCATTTCTTTATGTTTCCTTTTAATCTTAAAGACAGGGTCTCACTCTGTCACCCAGGCTGGAGTGCAGTGGTACAGTCATGGCTCACTGGAGTCTCAACCTTCTGGGCCCAGGTAATTCTCCCACCTCAGCCTCCCAGGTAGCTGGGACCACAGGTGTGAGACCACCACACCTTTTCATCTTTATCAACTCAACAAATAAAATTGACTAGTTCAAGCATAAAATTAGATGGAGACTCTAGGCACATAAAAGAGAAGGCCACAGAGTTCTTCCAGGGTCATTGACAAGCAACAGGGCAATATTTAGGCACCACAATTTTAGGTCAGCTGTAGGTGAACCACACAAATGATTTCGACCAGAATACAGCATTCCTTCTAATAGAGAGTGAGGCCTATAGCCACTTTGCTAAAACTAACACATATCTACTCTGTACTACTATGTCAAATTGAGGGTCTCATCTGGAAAATGCCATGACCTTTCTTCCATTCTTAATGAAATCTGCAGCATGCTTGGGCTCTTTTAAATGCTCTACCTGTTTTTGTTTTTCCTTCCCCTTTCACTGGCTTTAGGTAAAATCAAAAGAAAAACTCCCTATCCAAATAAAAACGAGTGTCTTAAAATACTGACAAGGATTTGAGCAGTCTTTGGTGATTAAAGAGGTCATATTTCTGCTTATTTGTAGAAAGGTAATGAAAACATCTGTTGAGACTTCGCTGTTCAAGGTATAAAACAATGGATGCTGTCCAGGCCTGAGGGTTTTTTCCCATCCTGAATTACACAAGAGACCAGCACGCAAAGATAGACAAACATTCTCAGGGTCCTATTTCAATCACCTGATACCTTCTTGGGTGCATATATTTTACAGTAGGGAGAAAATGCTTATCTCTCTATTTTGGAGACAGCAGACTTCAGAAACTAAAAACATCACCATAATTGACTACATAGTAGACCTTTAGTTCAAGAATAGCTTAAAGAAAGAATGAAGAGAAAGTAAAGAAATCGTCTTCAAATACCTTTCATCACTGGGCAGTTCCCTGTTGTCCTTCAGCCACAGGACAGTGAGGGATAAGGTGTGATCATGTTTCACTTTGCATTCAAAGGACACCATGCTCCCTCTTTGCACAACTGCATATTCGGGCTGTTTAACGATCCATGTAGGATCTGAAATGTAGAGTCATCGTTATCCATTTGGCAAAGCTGGAGAATTTGTTCAAAGTCATTTAAAAATTAAACACATTACCTCTGCCTTACCTTTGATTTCTAAGTGAACTTCATTCTTCGCCATCCCTAATTTATTCCTTGCAACACACGTATAAGTTCCTGTACTGTCCTTTTGGGCCACAGGAATTTCCAAAGTTCCATTTTCATGTAAAACATAAATATCTTCATGAAGAGCACTTCCTTTAGCTCCTTTAAACCTTCATTACAGAAATTATCACAATGAGAATAAAAACACATTATATTTTGAAGTCAGACATAAAATGCCATGTTCAAGGTCAACATGACCATGATGAATGTGAAAGTTGCAAGGCTAGAAGGATTGTACTTTTGAAAGTATCAATAGGAAAATAACCAGGGAAGAAAAAAAGGCATGTATGTCAGAGAGGAGAAGTGAAACGGATGAAACAAAGTGAGTGTGAATCTGTTACCTTCACTAGGAAAATCATCTGCATAAGCATCCATTTTTCTTCTCTGGGGTTAAGGTAGGGGCCAAGGGAAATTTTCCTTTAATCTTAACCCTGCATATATTCTGACCTCAGTAGTTGGAACTTAGCACAGCATCTAGGACCTGACAGATGATCAGTAAAGAATGTTCCAGTTTTCTTTCATTCATTCCTTCTGAGCCATTGCTCATCCATCCTAGCCTTGTCTCTTTCAGCTAAAGTAAACAAGCTAGGAGGAGGTAGAGGACTTAAACCTCGGGTGGCATATGAAAGGGGATGGTCTGAAGTGGGGAGTAAAAGAACATGGGAGAGCTTGGCTGGATCCAAGTCAGGAAGACCTGGTGCAACAAGTACTCAAGAGAAACAATGGTAAGAACAAATTCTGCTTTGGAGCTTATAGAACCCCCCCACTATACCACAGAATATTTTATTATCAAGGAATATCCCCTAACTAGTCCCTCCAGCCACTACTCACAAAATCCCAGGGGATGTCCATGGCATTGTGAAATACAGCAGCCTTAAATTTAAAAAAAAATCATTTACATGTAGATCTGTGCTTGATAGAGTGTGCTGCTAAATAGATTATACACATGAAAGTATTTAACACAGAGCCAGTAGTTAATAAATATTTGTGAAATAATGAATGAATTTAATAATTAACAGTGTAGGCCAAGCACAGTGGCTCATACCTATAATCCCAGCACTTTGGGAGGCTGAGGCGGGCGGATAATCTGAGGTTACGAGTTTGAGATTAGCCTGGCCAACATGGTGAAACCCTAAAAATACAAAAAATTAGCCAGGTGTGGTGGTAGGCGGCTGTAGGCCCAGATACTCTAGAGGCTGAGGCAGGAGATATGCTTGAACCCAGGAGGCAGAGGCTGCAGTGAGCTGTGATTGTGCCACTGCACTCCAGCCTGGGTAATGAAGTGAGACTCTGTCTCACAAGAAAAAAAAATATATTAACAGTGTAATGGATTGTGTGGTGCCTTTCCCTGTTTGTTTTTTGAATAAAACCCAACATATTTAGAATATGAAGCCTTTAGCAAACATTTTAAGTATTGAAAAACACACAGAGCTGCTACTTACCACTCGATGGTTGGGAGAGGAGACCCAAAGAAGGCACAGTCTAGTAAAGCAGGCCTGTTTGCAATGACCTGGTAGAGTGTGTTTGCAGGTGTGAGGATTCGTGGTGGCTCAGCTACAAATATTTTTAAAAGGTAAAGTAAATATTAGAATACATTTTAGGACTATCGTTTATTTATTGTATTTTGTTTTAAGGTCATTAAAGTTTATGGTAAAGCACAAGCAATCTATCTCTCTCCTTATGTTCTCTATCAGGCATAATGCTGCCAGTCACTCAAGGCAGAAAAATACATTTTTCCTCCCTCTACCTCCTGCCCTACTACTTGCTCAGACATCATTTTGGTTGTTGATTTACTGTGAGTCCACTGCAGTCAGGGAATGAGACTTTTGTCTTATCCCCAGCACAGTGTCTGGCACAAAAATAACAGCCAAGTATATTTTTGTTGAATGACTCACTCATCATAACCCTAGTGGGTAGGAACGGTGGGGAACACATAAGCTGGCAGAAAAAAGCAGAGTGATGAGTGTGATGGCTGAATAAATGGAACCACAGCAACAAAAACAAAAATAGACAAATGGGATTACACCAGACTAAAAAGCTTGCACAGCCAAAGAGATAGTCAACAAAGTGAAGAAACAACCTATGGAAGGGGAGAAAACATTTGCAAACCATGTATCTGGTAAGGGGTTAATACCAAAATATATAAAGAACTCAAATAATTCAATAGTAAGAAAATGAATAACCTGGTTAAAAATGGGCAAGGCATTGGACTAGACAGTTCTCAAAAGAAGATATACAAACAGCCAACAGGTATATGGGAAAATGCCCAATTATCACCAATCGCCAGATAAATGTAAATTAAAACCACAATGAGATATTATATCACACTTATTAGAATGGCTATTATCAAAAAGAGGAGATCTAAGTGTTGGCAAGAATGTAGAGAAAAGGGGACACTTAAACATTGTGGGAGGGAATATAAGTTAGTACAGCCATTATGGAAAATACTATAAAGATTATTTATACTGTTTATACTCAAAACATTAAAAATACAACTACCATATGATCCAACAATGCCATTAATGGGTATATATCCAAAGGAAATGAAATCAGTATGTCGAGATATTTGAACTCCCTTGTTCATTGCAGTATTATTCACAATAGCCAAGATATGGAATCAACCTAAGTGCCCACCAATGAATGAATGGAATAAAGAAACTGTGGCATATACACACAATGGAATACTATCCAGCCTTAAAAAAGAAGGAAATTCTATCATTTCCTTCATGTCGTTCATGTCATGACCACATGGATGAACCTGGAGGATGTTGTGTTAAGTGCAACAGGCCAGATACAGAAAGACAAACTTGGCATGATCTCCCTTAAATGTAAAATCTAAAAATGCTGAACTCATAAAAGTAGAGATGAAAAAGGAATCAGCAGCCAAAAGTGCTTTCTCAACATCCACCAATATCTTAACTGCTTAGCTCTTCATAGGATTAGTGACCTTCATTTCAAGCATGAAAGGAAAATACCAAGTATTGGTTGGCTTACTGATGGTAATTTTGTTTGAAAAGGAAGCATACTAATTTTAAAGGGCTGAAGTATAATTCCCAGGCACCATGAAAACAATTCTCACAAAAATTTTAACAAATGTGGTATTTTGGTAGTTTTGTCCAATATAAGAAATACAATGTTCACATAAGCCAATTATTTGAGAATATGTTTCAGTATATCACACTTTTTAAAATATGTTTTTACAAATAAAATAAATGTACATCTGTGACATGGATAAAGGCCAAGCATTATGATTCATGCATTAGTTTTTAAAAATCAGAATCATTGTTATTCAACTTGTCAGTGTCTTACAACGAAGAGCAATAATATTCAGTTGCTAATAGCAGACAAATGCTATTTTCCTTTTGAGGGTTTGACACTTAGTCTAACCATCTGTAAGTAGAACAGCTTATTTGACTAGTTCTACAATGAAGAATTTGCCATTGTAAAAACTGTGTTATGGAAGAACATTAAGACTGCCATATTCTTTGGGGCAAGGTTTATATCTTATCCATCCCTTATAGCTCCAAGTACTGTGCATTGCACATAGTAGATGCTCAATATATTTTTGCTGATTGAACAGAAAATAACAGCAGTCATTAATTTAATTTGCCATGTCTTTAATAAAATGAGAGCTTACCCAGCACATTTACAAATGCGTTTGCCAGTAAATATCCATATTCATTAGAGGCATTGCACTGATAGACTGCACTTGATCTTTCTTGAACATTTGAAAAAATAATGGTATCGCCATCTATTTTTCTGCTGGGGTCATCAGGGGCAACTGTTTGGATGTAAAAATAGAAAGTATTTATTCCTATTTGCTTAAAAGATGTATATTAAGCTTGTAAAGTCAGTAGGACATAAATAAAGACTGCTCTAAGTACATGCAGTAAGAATAAGACTAGAATTTAGGCAGAAACCAGAACATTTTCCTTCTCAGAATTGAGTTATATATTAGCAAGGGTATGTGCTCAATATTCATTTAGTCTTAAGTCGATTGATTCTGTAACACTAAGTATTATTTATTTTTATTTTTATTTTTTTAAAGACCTTTCCATTCACTTGCCCCTTGTATCTTTTTTTTAATTATACTTTAAGTTTTAGGGTACATGTGCACAATGTGCAGGTTTGTTACATATGTATACATGTGCCATGTTGAACACCAAGTATTATTTTGAGAGATGCAGAAAAAAAACTCTTACAAGTTTAGGTGAAAATTGCATTACAAATTCAGGAAAACATTGCCGTGTTCAAGAGATTGTGGTTATTTAGGAGAAAAAAAGTTAACGATCAAGAGGAAATAGCAAAAGCTAGTAAAAAATATAGAAACACTCCAGCTTGTTCAAACCTGTTCCTTTTAGGAGCCTCTTCTTGACATAAATAAATCAACAAATACATAAACACTACGGGGCTAATAACCAAATGTGAAAATATTTAATTTTCTGCTGTGGATATTCTTGAAGCTGAAGTATAAATAAATTGTGTAAATTCCTCTTGAAGACAATGTTTTCAGCTAAATCTCTCAAGTATTAAAACGTTAGGAACAGGCTTGATCCTTACTGAAGTGGAATAGAACTGGCTGGGTAACACAGTATGTGAGGATTTAGTCCCGGGCATGCCCAGCAATTTGGAACTTCTGTGAGATTGGAGATGAATTCCTTTCTGTGAACGATACACTTTAGGCTTTGAGCTTATATTGCTTTAGAAGTACACTAAGAGGGATTTAGGTCTCTGTCTCAGCACGATGATCAAAATCAAAACTAAATAACAGCACCTTTTCTCTTAAACTGCTCCTGCAACTTGAAGCATTTAAGAAGACTTTATGTTCTTTCTAAGCACCATTTCTTTTTCCTTGGTGAAAGGAAAAGGATGTGCATCTAAGACACACTCATCACTGTATTTAGACTCTTTTATCACTTTTAAAATAAAAAAAAATTTGTTTCATCTGTGGTTTATTAACCCACTGTAATAAAAATCAACCAAACCATAGTACATCCTTGTTTTATGACCCAAACTCGAAGTATTTGGCTCCCTCATTCTGTAATAGTTTTCCACGGTTGCTGTAACAACTTACCACAAATGTAGTGGCTTAGAACAACACAAATTTACTGTCATACAGTTCTGTAGGTTAGAAGTCTGACATGGGTCACACTGCTCTAAAACCAATGCGTGAGCAGAGCTGCGTCGCTTTCTGAAGGTTCTAGGGGAGAATCCATGTCCTTGCCTTTTCCAGCCTCTGGAGGCTGCCCACATTCCTTGGCCCATGGTCCTCTTCCTCCATTTTCAAAGCTGTCGATGTTGCATCTCTCTGATCATTCTTCCATAGTCACCTTTCTTTCCAACCAAAGCCGGAAAAGGCACTCTGCTTTTGGGGGCTCATGTAATTAAATTGGGCCCAAATTAGATAGTCCAGGATAACCTCCCCATCTCAAGGCCCTTAACCTTAATCACATGTGCAAATTCCCTTTTGCCATGTAAGGTGACATATTCATAGTTTCTAGGGATTGGGATGTAGACATCATGGCGGGGTGGGGTAGAAGGAGGGATTATTCTGTCTACCACATACTGTATCACATTTATAGCCTAAAAGTCTTTTAGATGTTTTAGACTAGAATATTTTAAAAATTCGCCATACATTTAAGTTCAGAATAAGTTTTTAGCATCCAAGGATTATTAAAACTCTAACTTACAAGTTACTCCTCATGGACTGATTAACGTCTTCATTCCCAAGGAAAAATGTAACAAAAAAGCAGTTGTTCAACACTCTGATTACCATCAGTAACTCATTTATGAAATCATCTTAGATACTCCAGGTTGTTCAACTAGTTATGTGGGGGTGTCGAGATACTTTGAATTGACTTCTTAGCTTACATCTCCTATTTATGACTCTAATAATTTCAAAATTGCCTTAAGGAACATGTTCTTCCAAATCAAAGACAAATACAAGTCATAATTCCTTCAACAGGGTATATAGATTCGTTGATAAAAGACAGCAGAGGATGGATATGACACACTGGCCTAGAAAGGGAACTGTAGCTGTGGCAGGCAGCCATGGATCCTGAAAACACAGTGTACCTTAGGGCAGCCATGGACCCTGAAAACACAGTGTACCTTAGGGCAGCCATGGACCCTGAAAATGCAGTGTAACTTAGGGCAGCCCATGTGTCCCAGATCCCAAGTCTTGTATGACTGGGGCCTGACTCACACAGTCTCAGTGATGCTCACCTACTGCCTCATCAAGGGGTGCTGGAACACAAAGCAGCATTTCTGGAGACTTGTTCTCTGTCAGTGATTCTTAGCACTTCTGGTCATTATATAAAAAAGATACTTGCACACACATGTTGATAGCAGCACAATTCGCAATTGCAAAAATATGGAACCAGCCCAAATGCCATCAATCAATGAGTGGATAAAGAAATACACACACACACACACACACACACACACACACACACACACACACACACTATGAAATACTACTCAGCCATACAAAGAAATGAAATAATGGCATTCACAGCAACCTAGATGGAATTGGAGATCATTATTCTAAGTGAAGTAACTCAGGAATGGAAAACCAAACATTATATGTTCTCACTCATAAGTGGGAGCTAAGCTATGAGGACACAAAGGCATAAGAATGATATATTGAACTTTGGGGTCTCAAAGGAAAGTGTGGGGGGCAGCGAGGCATAAAAGACTATATATTGGGTACAGTGTGTACACTGCTCGGGTGGCCGGTGCACCAAAATCTCAGAACTTATTCATGTAACCAAATGCCACCTGTTGCCCAAAAATCTATGGAAATAAAAAATAATACAAGAATAAAGTAGAGAAACAAACTAAATTTTTAAGGTCGGTAAAAAAAAAAAAAAAAGAAAAAGATTCTTAGCACTTCTGGACCCAGCACTTGGGCTCTCAGTGCTGGGACTCTTCAGGGCACTCTCGGTGCCCACCATGTGCCCACCCTGACCGCATCTCTGTGGATGTTCCAGGCAGTGGAATAGAGTGGCTGTGTATTTTAGACTGTGATGAATCCCAGGCAGAGCTCTGGGCCGAATCTCTCTGGATGGGTGGCAGACTACATAAGAGTTCCTCAAATTCCTTAAATGTATTGAGTTTTTAAAAGTTACACCACCACGCGATATTTAATGGCTAAAGGGCTCTAGTTCTGAAGATCTGTTGCACAATGTGAAAATGCTTAACACTACTGAACTGTACACTTAAAATGGTTAAGATGGTAAATTTTGTTATGTGTTTTTACCACAATAATAATAATAATGTTACACGACCATGAACTTGGAGGGCAAAGCTCAACAATGTCAGTAGGACAATTTTCCCCAAGTGGAGACTCATCAGTCACAAACAAACCATGTCAGAAAGCTTTTCTGTTGCTCTCAGTTGCACTTTTCTTTGCTATCAACTCTTTGGGAAGGTATTTTTTTACCTGAAAGGCATCTGACTGTATCTGCCTTATATATGCTAAATAGAGCAGTCTTCAAATATTTATTTTTGGCAAGGTATTTAGGAACAAAATAAACCCTTTAGGTAATAACAATGAGTAAGCAGACCTCTCTCCATGGGAGTTTTCCTTAAGTACTTGTTTAAAAAATGCAAACAAACCCAGGAACTGTCACGGTGACATATGGAGGCTCGGTTGGTAGCTGGACACAGAGTAAAATCACTAATGTAGAGACATTTGGAGCCTTTGGATGGGCTGGCTAGTGGGTAGAGTAACTCTCTAGCATGCAAATCCAAATTATCCAGAGGAATAATCATTAATTCTAGGAATAACCAACTTCATCTGCTGTCAATAAACACTGGAGAAAGAAATTTAAAAGCACAGAATCCCTACAAATAACTTAAAGCCACAAAGATAAGGTCCAGAACTGGGGTGATGGCCTTCAGAAAATACTTATAACCCAACTCTCCTGATGTTGGTAGGTAAAAATATAAACACTTTCAACATATAGATAATGAGAATAATAATAATAATCATGCCATCTTACATGAACAGAGTACGATCAATCTTTAAAATGCTTTTACATTTACTGCATAATTTCATTTTAAAAAGAACTTTGTGAAACAGGCTAATCATATAGTATTTTATGCATTTTGGAGATGAGAGACTACAAATGGCAGCATGTACTGGTTTGTTCAAATGAGGTTACTGCTCAGGTTTTCTCAGTTAGTCAACTTTGTAAACATTTCCTGGAACGTGAACATTTGGGCATAATGTAGAACACATTTCTGGGAGAAGAGTTAAATTTCCCTCTTCATTTACTTATTCCATCCCTACAAGAGGATGCCACTGAGCCCCTTAGTTTTGTGAAAAGGAAGAAGGGAGGATGCCTTGATGAAATCCCAGGAATATCCTGGACCAGTCCTCCATTCTCCTGGTGCTTATCTTACATTCCTGGCTTTCAACATCTTTCATTGTGAGAAAAATATGTCACAGTGCCAGGAAGAGGTCTTCTGCCCATTCTCATTCTCTTAGTTCTTTTCCCTCCTCATCCCTGAGAGGACAGGGGCCTTTTAACACAATAACGGTGTGATCTTATCCACGTTTCATGCAGAAGAGTCTGACAGACCTAATACAACGCACGCTGGAAACTATCAAGGATCTGCAAGTGTTAGACTCTCCTGCAGAGATAGGAATCACAGTGGCCACAGCCTTGGGCACCACCACCAGAATGGCACAGGCTCTCCAGTGGGGAAGACCAAGAGGAAGAAAAAGGAACTCAAAAACACCCCCCTCAGTGTGGCTTTGAAGTCCTGAAAAGCAACCTCCTAGGGTAGAGCAGGGAAATGCTTTGCCCCATCCTGCCAATAGCAAGTTCATTTTCTTTCTGGTCCTGGGTTCTATTTTCACACCCTCCCATTACACAATAAAATTAAAGCTCTCTTTCAGCACTAGTTCTCTGCAGCTGTGTTCTTTTATCTGACTTCTGTAGATTGTTTTAAAACTATTTTAGGTGGTTTTGGGAAATTTCCACATTTATTTAATACAGCCTGTAATTTTTGCTTCAAGGAAAGCTTTAAGTAATCTGGCCAGTCCTGGGGATGGGGGAAGGGTAAAGCTTTAGGAGACAATGAAATAAAAGCCCAGACACTTTTGGAGTTAATTTTTCCAGTTTTTTTTTTTTAAAACAACAGCTTTCAGGTCTTAAATGCAGTCACAGATCAATAACATTGCATTTTGCTAAAAGAACCCTTCTTACCATTCCCCTCCCTGAACCAGCTTCTCCTTTTACAGTATTTATGTGCACTCGGCAGCCAGAGCCTGCAGAGGCGAAAGGAGACAGTCAGTGTCCTTAGGTGCTCGCCTGCAAGTCAGGAGTGGGGAGGCTGTGTACCTGGCAGTATGGTCCCCTGACTGTATCTCTGTTGTGTGGCACAGGAGACAAACTTCAGGCACCTGGAGGGGACACTGCACAGCCCCTGACAACAGTAGTTCAGAAGCACAGCTGTTTCCTGTGCCTCACCCGCAGCAGCTGGTCCACCTGCAATTTCTGCAGTCTCTTGGATAGAAAGTGCTGTCAGCAAGCCAGCTTGTGCTCCCAGCTCACTTCTGGCGCCTATGCTAGGACCCCATGATGAAGGCAAGGAGTCTTCATTGTGCTAATTCAGCCCTGTCACACATGGTGGCAGACTGTGCCCTCAGTTCCTACCTTCACCTCTCTGCATCTCCCTGTCATCCTTCCCCCGTCTCCCAGCCGTGCTAGATGTGGGGTGCACAAGTCAGCAAACTCCAGATGGGAAGCAAGCACTGGTGCTCCGTTTCCAGGATGGTCCCTAACCCTCAAAGGCAATTCCCTTCAGGGGCCTCTAAATTCATGGGACAATTACCAAGAAGGGGATGAAAAAGAGAGCGGCACAGGGCTCCTTAAATGTCTATTAATGTTTTGGATAGTTTCTGCACCCCCCTCATTCTCTCATTATTTTGGATCAGGGGAGATCAACACACAGTGGGGGCATGCAGGGTTCACTTTGAACTTAGCTGTTGAAGACTTAGCATCCACCCATGTGGCCACTCAGCAGAAGCTGCAGATGGGCCAGCTGCAGAAGGCCAGGGGCAGGGCACAGCTGTACCTTTGCAGGGTCATCGTGCAGAAAGCTGTGCAGAGGCCCCGCTGGCTCATCATCTTTTAGTTATGAGATGTCCAAATGGTAATCCACTTTCAGCTTGGCCACCAGATGTCGAGAAAGACCCCTTCCAGGGAAGCTTCACAGTACCTTGGTATAAACATGCAGCACCTGCTACCAGCACCACGGAGCGGCCTGGTGGTGCCGGGCTCCTTGCTTTGCTGCCACACCATGTGGTATTCCTCTCCCTGCACGTCCACTAGAGTGACTGCTCTGAGGCACACCAGAGGGTGAGCGACCCTGGATCTATAGGAGCTATGGAATTCCAGCCTTGTCTTCTCAGTCTCCTTTTTTCTGTCTCAGGGGGCCTTAAAGAAGACTTTTGGGATGGAAGAGATGAGCTGATCTGATTTGAGACATTTAGTCCTAACTCTTTCTTCTCTACCTACTCAGACAATTTAGGGTTACAAGAGGAACTACTCTTTCTGCTATTACTACTCTGTACCCCCAAAGCAGGCCTTTTATGGTTGATTCTCCCCACAAAAATGTAATTTAAAAGGGGAGTGTTATTATGTTATGAGTGTATTTTCAAAGCTGTTAAGATGACTGGATTTACAAGGTTCCCTCAGAGGCACTGCATACTCTGGTACTATGGTCTGAATATTTGTGTCCCTCCAAAATTCATGTTGAAACCTAACTCCAAGGTTAAGAGGTGGGGTCTCTGGGAGGTGATCAGGAAATGAGGGTTTCCCCCTCATGAATGAGATTGGTGCTGTTCTAAAGGTCTTGAGGGAGCCCGTATGCTCCTTCTACCATGTGAGGACACATAGCAGCATCTGTGAGGAACAGGCCATCACCAGACATGAAATCTGCTGGTTCTTTGATCTTGGACTTTCCAGCCTCCAGAACTGTGAGCAATATATTTCTGTTGTTTATAAATTACCCAGTCTAAGGCATTTTGTTATAGCAGCAGGAATGGACTAAGATGGCTGGTTTGGAAGGACAACAAGCTGAGCAAATCAAGAAGAAAAATCAGCTTCATTATTTAATCCTCCCCTGCTTATGTCATCCACCCACATCTCAATTTTCCTTGCATAGTATTGCACTCTGGCTGCCAAGCTTGAGGGTTTATCCCCTAGCTTCCCCATTTTCCCTGCTGAAGGGCTAGATGGATGGTTCCTTCCACTTGTCAGTTTCACTGAGTCTAGATCTCAGGGACACTTTTAAACTTCCATAAATGGACACAAAAACTCTGAGCTGCAAAACATGGTGCAAAAGTATCAAGCATGTATCATCATTTATTGCCATTTTGTATGCATTCCTGAGAAAATCATACATTGTACCAGCTAATTTTTTGTTGATTTTTTTGTAGAAGCAGGATTTTGCCCTGTTGCCCAGGCTGGTCTCTAACTCCTGTACTCAAGAAATCCGCCCGCCATAGCCTCTGAAAGTGCTGGGATTACAGGCTCACATGAGCCACCATAAAACTTTTTTAGTTCTAGGCTTTCTTCTACTTTTTCCTCTCAGTTTTCACTCATATTCCCCTGAGAGTAGCAAGAGCTTCCTGAAACACAACCACAAAGTACTCTCTGCCATTTCTCTGGATCCTGATCCTGGTTAAAATTGGGAATGGAAATACCCAAACCCTATTTGCTGGCCTCTAGCATCTGTTTTCTCCCAGGAATACACTTCCTTCTACAGTGAAGACAGTCTGCCTGTTTCAAAGTATCTGACAGCTACTGTACTACGAGACACAAGTGAACTTCCAATAAATATTCATGGGGCAGGCTACAACGACTCAGTCACCCTGCAGTTGTCAGACCTTGATGGTAAGAAACAGAGACTTGTGCCACTTTAAATCTGCCAGCAGGTTTTTGGAACCATCTTAGGGGAAGTGTGTGTGTTACTTTGGGAAAGTCAATTCGGCAGACCTTTTGGTTATGTAAATGTAGAACCAATATTGGATTCTGACTTGGAGGCAGTCAAAGCCAATCTGTCCTGTATCATAAGCCTGAGGGCTATCTTTATTGTGAGTAAAGAATACCTTTGCAGGTAATCATGTTATTGACTGGGAGAGTGAACCTAAGGCTGGGTTTGATGCTGAAACTGACTTTCTCTGTCTTGGTGTCTAAGAGGAGGTCTGAACTCCAAGAAGGGGAAAATGTTGAAAGATGCTCCTCTCGGCAGTAGCTGGTGGTGGGTGGGGTAGAGGAAGAGGAGAGTCTAGTGGGTTCTCTGTTCATGGCCATGGCTTAGGAATTAAGGAGCAGTGAGGTGCAACATCCATTTAAAGATTTTTTCTTTGCTATAATTCCCTTGACTCTCCCCAAGCCTTTAGCCAAGTTTTGTAAAGCTGGCCTTTGCTATGATTTAGCAGATTAATGGGAGGGCCTGAAGCCACACGCTGGGAAGCATAGTGGTAGCTTGGAGATATTGGCTAATGAAGTGGAAGGAGTGGAGCATCGGAGCAGGGAGGCTGCTGAACGGGGCAACAAGTATAGCCAGGATGCCCAGGTGCTGCTCAAGGATGATAGCAGCAGCTCTCAGGGAGGGAGCACTAGTCAAAGGTAAAGCATCCTGCATACGATCAGGGTCAGAGGATGTGTTCTTCTTTGGGTATCAAATGGGACGGTGACCTTGGAAGACAGTGAGAACACCTGGGCTATACTTGCTATACTTATGACTGAAAACTCTTTATATTAAGACAGCTGGGTTTCTTATGCTTGTCATATCCATTGGCTCTATGCCGAGTCTCCCCACCTATCTCCTCTAGTGCCTGTGACATTTCTACAAATCACTTGATGTTTTGCACAAAGAAGATCATCTAAACTTTGAAGTGATATTTATTTCTGACCCTGTCATTCTTCCCATTATCCATGTAAAAAGCAGACGAAATATTGCCAAGTACCAGTCATCACATGCCATTATGTTAACAGCATAAACTATTCACATTCATAATAAATATCTAATGGTAATAAAATGCAAAGGTAATTTGGTGCCTGTGTTTAACATACATGTGGCTTCCTTCCTTAACCTGAGTTATTTTTTTATCACCATTTATTCACTGTCGGGATGTATATATGCTCTGAAAATATACTGCAATTAGAACCACTCAAGGCAACTTACTTTCTATTGGGACTCCATTTGTTAACCAGCTAATTCTGGGTTTGGGGTTGCCATTAGCTCTGCAGATCAAGGTCCCATCCTCTCCTGGGGACAGCACAAGATTTTGAGGGGCTGTGATCCAGTATGGAGCCGCTTTATAGGAGGAAGAAAAAAGACCAAAAATCTGAATCAAATAAGCATTTTAGCAAAAGAACATATTGAACTATTTTAATAATACAAGCAAGTACTTCACACTAAATTAGTCTCATTTTTTTTGAGCGAATAGATTTATAAACAATGCTTCAAAGAACACTTAAGATTTTCAAAGAATGTTTAAAGAGACTCACTGACGTATATGTATTATTTCTAGACCTGTTTGATACAAATTTCATTTTCTCATTTTATATTAAAATTAATCAGACATCAAAGAGGTGACAGATTTATCTAAGCATACAGAGAAAATTACATGTACAGGTAGGGCTAAGAAACACAAATTTAAATTCTGGACCAGGCATGGTGGCTCATGCCTGTAATCCCAACACTTTGGGAAGCCAAAGTGGCTGGATCACTTGAGGTCAGGAGTTCGAAACCAGCCTGGCCGACATGGTAAAACCCTGTTGCTATTAAAAATACAAAAAAAAAAAAAAAAATTAGCCAGGTGTGGTGGTGGGCACCTGTAATCCCACCTACTTGGGAGGCTGAGGCAGGAGAATTGCTTGAACCCGGGAGGTGGAGGTTGCAGTGAGCCAAGATAGCCCATTACACTCCAGCCTGGGCAACAGAGCGAGACTCCAACTCAAAATAATAAATAAATAAATAAAATAAATTCTGAGCCCTGTAGAATATATATAATTAGGAAGCAACTTAAAAACATCATTTTTGAAAAGTTGCAAAGGTATTATAGAGCATTTCCATACCTCCTTCCCTCAGCTTCCTCTAATGTTAACATCTTATGTGACCATGGTCTAGTTACCTAACGAAAAGTTAACAATGGTACTTAACTAAACTACACATTCTGTTAGGATTTCCGTTTTTGCATTAATGTCTTGTTTCTGTCCCAGGATCCTGTCCTAGACACCGTATTTACTTGTAACGTCTTTTGCATTTACTTGTCATCATCTCCAATCTGACAATTTCTTGGTCTTTCCTTGTCTTTTGTGACCTTGACACTTTTGAAGAGTACTGGTCAGTTATTTCGTAGACTGTCTTACGGCTTAGGTTTGTCTGATGTTTTCTCATGATTACCCTGAGGTTTTGGGCTTTTGAGAATATCCCAAAGGTAATGAACCCTTCTACTTGTACCATATGGGGGAATATATGATATCAAACATGACTTATTATTATTGACGTTAACATTCATCACTTGGTTAAGACAGTGTCTGCCAGGTTTCTCCACTCCAAAGTTACTATTTCCCTGGATTCCATACTCTGTTCATTAGTGTCCAGCATACACTCAAGAAGAGGGAAAGTAAGCTCCATCTTCTAAAGAAAGGAGTAATAAAGTATTTGTGGACACGCTAAAACTTCCCCAGTAATTAATTTCTGCGGGATAGAAACACTTTGAAGCTATGCAAATATCCTGTTTCTCCTTAAAGTTTCACCCACTAATTTTAGCATTCATTGTTTGATCTTGCCGGCTCTAGTTATTACTGTGGGATTCTAATATTGACTTTTCTATTTCCTTCATTATTCCTATATTCATTAACTGGGATTCTTTTGTGAGGAAGATTTGAACAAGTAAATTTTTAACCTGATTTAGATGCACTACCAATAGCAATGAGAAGAGAGTCAAGGTACCATGAATGTTGACATAACTTTACATTTACCATTACTAAAAATGTAATGAAAACCACATTTAATTAAAGTTTCAGGGTCTCTCATGAAGGCAAGAAGAATGGATTTTAAACAATATACCTTTAACTCTAACAGAAATGGTATGGTGGATGGCTCCTAATGCGTTTTTTGCTATACATTGGTAATTTCCAGAGTCTGCTTCTGAAACATGAATGATCTGCAAGGTTTTCTCAAAGTTCTTATAAACTGTCCTGTTTTTGGGTAGCATTCCATCTTCCTTTGCCCAGTAAATAATTGGGGTAGGCCTGATAGGATAAATAAATAATGATGTTACAAAAAAGGAATCCACCTATGACTACTTTTGAGGATGAATTTTCATGCAACTTTGTAACAAATCTTTATTAAAAAATCATAAGAAATACATAGATATTTTAATTAGCACCACACTTTTATAAATAATGCTCACAGTTTTACGTTTTCACATAATCAGAACTATACTAATTGATGGCACACCATAAACTTCGATGTCAATGATACAGTATGAATGCCAGCATGAGTTGCTTTACTGATGGGGCCTAATTATTTTTTTCAACGTTGTGACTAATAAGGAACTCTTGGAAATTTTTACATGAAGCTACTATGTTAATCAAAAGAATTACTATTATATTAATGATACTGAATTATAATTTTTCATCAGCTGGGATTAAACATGTACAGAGAAAAACTCATAAACATATCTATGACCATAAACCTTTGTATACATTTCCATATCAAATGGAATAATTTTCCTATTTTACAGCAGTCTATCTGATGATGTTAACTAAGTAATAAGGGAAAGAGCTTTTTTTCCTTAGTTTCATTATTAGTGACATTTAAAAATATTATTACACTAATTAAGAATAGATCAAACTTAGGTATTACTCATACCATTTGTCACCCAATGTTTTGTTTTGTTTTTTTTTTTGAGATGGAGTCTTGCTCTGTCACCCAGGCTGGAGTGCAGTGGCACGATCTGAGCTCACTGCAAGCTCCGCCTCCCAGGTTCACGCCATTCTCCTGCCTCAGCCTCCCGAGTAGCTGGGACTACAGGTGCCCGCCACCATGCCTAGCTAATTTTTTGTATTTTTAGTAGAGATGGGGTTTCATTGTTTTAGTCAGTATGGTCTCGATCTCCTGATCTTGTGATCCACCCGCCTCAGCCTCCCAAAGTGCTGGGATTATAGGCGTGAGCCACCGCGCCTGGTCCCAACTGTGTTTTTTATTGTCATGGAATATGGAGACAGATGAAAAGTCAGAATATAGGCTTGGAGTTAGAAGATCTTTAGAATTCCAACCCTGTCCCTGGATTTCTGATCTTTTTGAGGCTTAGTTTCCTTAGTTGCCTTAATAGGGATAATAATGCTTGACTTGAACTAATGACTTTAGAAAGTTTTCATGAAGGTAAAATAAAAATCCATTCAACACAAAAATTTCCTAAGTACTGAACTATACACCAAGCACTGAGCTGTGTGTTGGGAAGATGATGAAGAAAATATGGTCCAGGCCCTCAGGAAGATAACAATATTTGTCAATAGAAATGCAAGTGACTCTGAATAAGAACAGCTCAGCCCAGAAGGGATCATCATGGCAGATGGGAGGCAGAACTACATTGCAGCTCTGATGCGGATGGACAGAGCAGCATGTGGAGGCTTGCATCGTGAATTTTAGCTCCAGAATAACTGCAAGAACAAACCTGCTGAAAGGACTCACAGACTCTCTGAAGGAATTGGACTGCTCCTGCAGGACCCGGGAGATATCCCAAATACTGTGAGTGCCCAAACTGCAGAAGTGAAAAACTGGTTTGTGGGAGAAGTTTCTGACTTTACCTGGAGCTGAGTCAATTTAGAGAGCTGAGTGAAATACAGGGGTAGAGGAAGCAGCAGGAAAGGCCTTGGGAGCTCGCTGGGTCCCCAAGCAGGCCATTCCTGCCTGGCACCACAGAGATCCTTCAGGAGGGCAGCCAGAGGTGTGGGGAAAATGCCACAGGGAGAAGGAAGTCTCCAGCTGAACTTTATAACAATTTGAACCAGACGAGAAACCTCCTGGCCAGAACTCGGGAAAGGGCATGAATCCAGCATGCAGACTCCATAGGCTGGGGAAGAACTAAGCCCTTTTCTTTTGCCGCTGGGAGGTGGATAGTCTGGGGCAAGTTCTCAAGCCCCGCTCACCCACTGCCTGGAAACAGACTTGGGGCTGTTAGGGTAGGCACTGTGGGAGTGAGACTGGCCTTTTGGTTTGCGTGGGAGCTGGGTGAGGCCTGTGACTGCTGGATTTCCCTCGCTTCCCCAACAACCTGCATGACTCAGCAGAGGGACAACTTGCATGACTCAGCAGAGGCAGCCTTAATCCTCCTAGGTACACAACTCCATTGATCTGGGAACCTCACCCCCTCCCCCACAGCAGCCACAGCAAGACCCAAAGAGAGTCTGAGCTCAGACACACCTAGCCCTACCCCCACCTGAGGGGCCTTCTCTACCAACTCTGGTAGCTGAAGACAAAGGGCATATAATCTTGGGAGTTCTAGTGCTCCACTCACCACCAGTTCCTCTCCATACTACCAGAACTGATACTCTCTGGAAAGCACCTGGCAGGAGGCCAACCAGCACAAAAATAGAACATTAAACCACCAAACCTAAGAACCCTCACAGAGTCCATTTCAACCCCCTGCCACCTCCACCAGAACAGGTGCTGGTATCTATGGTGGAGAGGCCGATGGTTCACATCACAGGACTCTGTGCAAACAAACTCCAATAGCAGCCTGGAGATGGGTAGACTTGCCAGGTGGCTAGACCCAGAAGAGAGATAACAATCACTGCAGCTTGGCTCATAGGAAGCCACATCCATAGGAAAACGGGGAGAGTACTACATCAAGGGAAAACCCCATGGGACAAAAGAATCTGAACAACAGACTTCAGCCCTAGACCTTCCCTCTGACAGAATCTACCCAAATGAGAAGGAACCAGAAAACCAACTCTGGTAATATGACTAAACAAGGATTTTTAACACCCACCAAAGAATCACACTAGCTCACCAGCAATGGATCCAAACCAAGAAGAAATCCCTGATTTACCTGAAAAAGAATTCAGAAGGTTAGTTATTAAGCTTATCAGAGAGGCACCAGAGAAAGGCAAAGCCCAATGTAAGGAAATCCAAAAAACAATACAAGAAGCAAAGGGAGAAATAGTCTAGGAAATAGACACTATAAAGAAAAAACAATCAAAACTTCAGGAAACATTGGACACACTTATAGAAATGCAAAATGCTCTGAAAAATCTCAGCAATAGAACTGAACAAGTAGAAGAGAGAAATTAAGAGCTTGAAGACAAAGTCTTTCAATGAACCCAATCCAACAAATACAAAGAGAAAAGAATAGGAAAATATGAACAAAGCCTCCAAGAAGTCTGGGATTATGTTAAATGACCAAACCTAAGAATACTCAGTGTTCCTGAGGAATAAGAGAAATCTAAAAGTTTGGAAAACACATTTGGAGGAATAATCGAGGAAAACTTTTCTGGCCTTGCTAGGGACCTAGACATTCAAATACAGGAAGCACAAAGAACACCTGGAAAACTCATCTCAAAAAGATGTCCAGGCACATTGTCATCAGGTTATCCAAAGTTAAGATGACGGAAATAATCTAAAGAGCTGTGAGACAAAAGCATGAGGTAACCTATAAAGGAACACCTATCAGATTAACAGCAGAGTTCTCAGCAGAAATCCTACAAGCTAGAAGGGATTGGGGCCCTATCTTCAGCCTCCACAAACAAAACAATTATCAGTCAAGAATTTTGTATCCAGCGAAACTAAGCATCATATTTGAAGGAAAGATACAGTCTTTTTCAGACAAACAAATGCTGAGAGAATTTGCCATTACCAAACCACCACTACAAGAACTGCTAAAAGGAGTTCTAAATCTTAAAACAAATCCTGGAAACACATCAAAACAGAACCTCTTTAAAGCATAAATCACACAGGACCTATAAAACAAAAATATAATTCAAAAAGCAAAAACAAAAAATAAAAAACCCAAGGTACACAGGCAACAAATAGCACAATGAATGCAAGGGTATCTCACATCTCAATATTAACATTGAATGTAAATGGCCTGAGTGCTCCACTTAAAAGATACAGAACTGCAGAATGGATAAGAACTCACCACCAACTATCTGCTGCCTTCAGGAGACTCACCTAACACATAAGGACTCACATAAACTTAAAATAAAGGAGTGGAAAAAGTTATTTCATGCAAATGGACACCAAAAGCAAGCAGGGGTAGCTATTTTTGTATCAGACAAAACAAACTTTAAAGCAACAGCAGTTAAAAGAGACAAAGAAGGACATTATATAATGGTAAAAGGCCTTGTCGAACAGGAAAATATCACAATCCTAAACATATATACACCTAACAATGGAGCTCCTAAATTTATAAAACAATTACTAATAGTCCTGAGAGTTTTTAGCATGAAGGGCTGTTGAATTTTGTCGAAGGCCTTTTCTGCATCTATTAAGATGATCATGTGGTTTTTGTCACTGGTTCTCTTTATGTGATAGATTATGTTTATTGATTTGCATATGTTGAACCAGCCTTGCATCCCAGGGATGAAGCCGAATTGATTGTGGTGGATAAGCTTTTTGATGTGCTGCTGGATTCAGTTTGCCAGTATTTTATTGAGGATTTTTGCATCAATGTTCATCAGGGATATTGGCCTGAAATTTTCTACTTTCGTTGTGTCTCTGCCAGGTTTTGGTATCAGGATGATGCTGGCCTCACAAAATGAGTTAGGGAGGATACCCTCTTTTTCTGTTGCTTGGAATAGCTTCAGAAGGAATGGTACCAGCTCCTTTTTGTACCTCTGGTAGAATTTGGCTGTAAATCCATCTGGTCCTGGGCTTTTTTTGGTTGGTAGGCTATTAATTACTGCCTCAATTTCAGAACTTCTTATTGGTCTATTCAGGGATTTGACTTCTTCCTAGTTTAGTCTTGGGAGGGTGAATGTGTCCAGGAATTTATCCATCTCTTCTAGATTTTCTAGTTTATTTGCGTAGAGGTGTTTATAGTATTCTCTATACTCTATATGGTGGTAGTTTGTATTTCTGTGGGATCAGTGGTGATATCCCTTTTATCATTTTTTATTGTGTCTATTTGACTCTTCTCTCTTTCTTCTTTATTAGTCTGGCTAGTGGTCTATTTTGTTAATCTTTTCAAAAAACCAGCTCCTGGATTTATTGATTTTTTGAAGGGTTTTTCATGTCTCTATCGCCTTTAGTTCTGCTCTGATCTTAGTTATTTCTTGTTTTCTGCTAGCTTTTGAATTTGTTTCGGTTGCTTCTCTAGTTCTTTTAATTGTGATGTTAGGGTATCAAATTTAGATCTTTCCCACTTTGTCCTGTAGACATTAGTGTATAAATTTCCCTCTAAACACTGCTTTAGCTGTACATTGTGATCCTGGTACATTGTGTCTTTGTTCTCATTGGTTTCAAAGAACTTATTTATTTCTGCCTTAATTTCGTTATTTACCCAGTAGTCACTCAGGAGCAGGTTGATCAGTTTCCATGTAGTTGTGTGGTTTTGAATGAGTTTCTCAATCCTGAGTTCTAATTTGATTGCAGTGTGGTCTGACAGACTGTTATGATTTCTGTTCTTCTGCATTTGGTGAGGAGTGTTTTACTTCCAATTATGTGGTCAATTTTAGAATAAGTGTGATGTGGTGCTGGAAAGAATGTATATTCTGTTGATTTGGGGTGGAGAGTTCTGTAGATGTCTATCAGGTCTGCTTGGTCCAGAGCTGAGTTCAAGTCCTAAATATCCCTGTTAATTTTCTGTCTCACTGATCTGTCTAATATTGACAGCAGGGTGTTAAAGTGTCCCACTATTTTTTTTTTTTTTTTTTGAGATGGAGTCTTGCTCTGTCACCCAGGCTGGAGTGCAGTGGTGCGATCTCGGCTCACTGCAAGCTCCGCATCCTGGGTTCACGCCATTCTCCTGCCTCAGCCTCCCAAGTAGCTGGGACTACAGGTGCCTGCCACCATGCCTAGCTAATTTTTTGTATTTTTTTTAGTACAGATGGGGTTTCACCATGTTAGCCAGGATGGTCTCGATCTCCTGACCTCATGATCCACCCGCCTCAGCCTCCCAAAGTGCTGGGATTACAAGCATGAGCCACCGCGCCTGGCCATCTCCCACTATTTTTGTGTGGGAGTCTAAGTGTCTTTGTATGTCTCTAAGAACTTGCTTTATGAATCTGGGTGCTTCTGTATTGGCTCCATATATTTTTGGGATAGTTAGCTCTTCTTGTTGCATTGATCCCTTTACCATTATGTAATACCCTTGTCTTTTTTGATCTTTGCTGGTTTAAAGTCTGTTTTATCAGACTACAACTGCAACCCCTGCCTTTTTTTTTTTTTTTTGCTTTTCATTTGCTTGGTAAATATTCCTCCATCCCTTTATTTTGAGCCTATGTGTGTATTTGCACATGAGGCTGGTCTCCTGAATACAGCACACTGATGGGTCTTGATTCGTTATCCAATTTGCCAGCCTGCGTCTTTTAATTTGGGCATTTAGCCCTTTACATTTAAGGTTAATATTGTTATGTGTGAATTTGATCCTGTCATTATGATGCTAGCTGGTTATTCTGCGCGTTAGTTGATGCAGTTTCTTCATAGTGTCGATGGTGTTTACAATTCGTTATGTTTTTGCAGTGGCTGGTTCTGGTTTTTCCTTTCCATATTTAGTGCTTCCTTCAGGAGATCTTGTAAGGCAGGCCTGGTGGTGACAAAACCCCTCAGGATTTGCTTGTCTGTAAAGGATTTTTATTTCTCCTTTACTTACGAAGCTTAGTTTGGCTGGATATGAAATTCTGGGTTGAAAATTCTTTTCTTTAAGAATGTTGAATATTGGCCCCCACTTTCTTCTGGCTTGTAGGGTTTCTGCCAAAAGATCCGCTGTTAGTCTGATGGGCTTTCCTTTGTGGAGAACCCAACCTTTCTCTCTGGTTGTCCTTAACATTTTTTCCTTCATTGCAACCTTGGTGAATCTGATGATTATTTGTCTTGGGGTTGCTCTTCTTGAGGAGTATCTTTGTGGTGTTCTCTGTATTTCCTGAATTTGAATGTTGGCCTCTCTTGCTAGGTTGGGGAAGTTCTCCTGGATAATATCCTGAAAAGTGTTTTCCAACTTGGTTCCATTCTCCCTGTCACTTTCAGGTACACCAATCAAACGTAGGTTTGGTCTTTTCACATAGTCCCATATTTCTTGGAGACTTCATTCATTCTTTTTCATTCTTTTTTCTCTAATCTTGTCTTCACACTTTATTTCATTAAGTTGATCTTCTATCTCTGTTATCCTTTCTTCCACTTGTTTGATTCAGCTATCAATACTTGTGTATGCGTCACGAAGTTCTCGTGCTGTGTTTTTCAGCTCCATCCGGTCATTTATGTTCTTCTCTAAACTGGTTATTCTAATTAGCAATTCCTCTAACCTTTTTTCAAGGTTCTTAGCTTCCTTGCATTGGGTTAGAATAAGCTCCTTTAGCTCAGAGGAGTTTACTATTACCCACCTTCTGAAGCCCACTTCTGTCAATTCGTCAAACTCATTTTCTGTCCAGTTTTGTTCCCTTGCTGGTGAGTAGTTGTGATCCTTTGGAGGAGAAGAGGCATTCTCGTTTTTGGAACTTTCAGACCTTTTGTACTGGTTTTTCCTCATCTTTGTGGATTTATCTACCTTTGGTCTTTGATGTTGGTGACCCCTTCATATGGGTTTTTTGTGTGGACGCCCTTTTTGTTGATGCTGATGCTATTTCTTTCTGTTTGTTAGTTTTTGTTCTAACAGTCAGGGCCCTCTGCTGCAGGTCTGCTGGAGTTTGCTGGAGGTCCACTCCAGACACTGTTTGCTTGGGTATCACCAGCGAAGGCTGCAGAACAGCAAAGGTTGCTGCCTGTTCCCTCCTCTGGATGCTTCATCCCAGAAGGGCACCTGCCAGATGTCAGCCGGAGCTCTCCTGTATGAGGTGTCTGTCGACCCCTGCTGGGAGGTGTCTCCCAGTCAGGAGGCACGGGGGTCAGGGACCCACTTGAGGAGGCAGTCTCTCCCTTAGCAGAGCTCGAGCACTGTGCTGGGAGATCTGCTGCTCTTTTCAGAGCCAGCAGCAGGAATGTTTAAATCTGCTGAAGCTGCGCCCACAGCTGCCCCTTCCCCCAGGTGCTCTGTCCCAGAGAGATGGGACTTTGATCTATAAGCCTTTGACTGGGGCTGCTGCCTTTCTTTCAGTGATGCCCTGCCCAGAGAGGAGGAATCTAGAGAGGCAGTCTGGGTACAGAGGCTTTGCTGAGCTGTGGTAGGCTCTGCCCAGTTCAAACTTCCTGGTGGGTTTGTTTACACTGTGAAGGGAAAACCACCTACCCAAGCCTCAGTAATGGCAGATGCCCATACCCCACCAACTTAGAGCATCCCAGGTCGACTTCAGACTGCAGTGTTGGCAGCCAGAATTTCAAATCAGTGGATCTTAGCTTGCTGGGCTTCATGGGGGTGGGATCCGCTGAGCTAGATCACTTGGCTCCCTGGCTTCAGCTCCCTTTCCAGGGGAGTGAATGGTTCTGTCTCACTGGCGTTCCAGGCACCACTGGGGTATGAAAAAAAACTCCTGCAGCTAGCTCGGTGTCTGCCCAAATGGTCGCCCAGTTTTTTGCTTGAAACCCAGTGCCCTGGTGGTGTAGGCACCCCAGGGAATCTCCTGGTCTGTGGATTGCAAAGACCATGGGCAAAGCATACTATCTGGGCCGGAATGCACTGTTCCTCCTGTTCCTCATGGCACAGTCCCTCACGGCTTCCCTTGGCTGGGGGGGGGGGGGAGTTCCCCGACCCCTTGCACTTCCTGAGTGAGGTGACACCCCCACCCTGCTTCGGCTCGCCCTCTGTGGGCTGCTTCCACTGTCTAACCAGTCCCAATGAGATGAACCAGGTACCTCAGCTGGGAATGCAGAAATCACCCACCTTCTGCATCGATCTTGCTGGGAGCTGCAGATTGGAGCTGCTCCTATTCAGCCATCTTTCTAGCCACCCAGAATACACATTCTATTCAACAGCACATGGAACTTTCTTGAAGATGGACCATATGATAGGCCACAAAATGAGCCTCAATAAATTTAAGAAAATTGAAATTATATCAAGCACTCTCTCAGACCACAGTGGAATAAAAGTGGAAATCAACTCCAAAAGGAACCTTCAAAGCCATGCAAAAACACGGAAATTAAATAACCTGCTCCTGAATGATCATTGGGTAGAAAACGAAATCAAGATGGAAATTAAAAAATTCTTCGAACTGAACGACAATAGTGACACAACCTATCAAAACCTCTGGGATACAGCAGAGGCGGTGCTAAGAGGAAAGTTCATAGCTCTAAACGCCTACATCGAAAAGACTGAAAGGGCACAAACTGACATTCTAAGGTCACACCTCAAGGAACTAGAGAAACAAGAACAAACCAAACCCAAACCCAGCAGAAGAAAGGAGATAAGATCACAGCAGAACTAAATGAAATTGAAACAAACAACAAAAAATACAAAAGATAAATGAAACAAACAGCTGGTTCTTCGAAAAGATAAATACAATTGATAGACCATTAGCAAGATTAACCAAGAAAAGAAGAGAGAAAATCCAAATAACCTCATCAAGAAATGAAAAGGGAGATATTACAACTGACATCACCAAAATACAAAAGCTCACTCAAGGCTGCTATGAACACCCTTACACACATAAACTAGAAAACCTAAAAGAGATGGATAAATTCCTGGAAAAATACAACCCTCCTAGCTTAAATCAGGAAAAGTTAGATACCTTAAACAGACCAATAATAAGCAGCAAGATCAAAATAGTAATTAAAAAATTACCAAAAAAAAGTCCATGACCACATGGATTCACAGCAGAATTCTACCAGACATTCAAAGAAGAATTGGTACCAATCCTTTTGACACTATTCCACCAGAAAGAGAGAACCCTCCCCAATTCATTCTATGAAGCCAGTATCACCCTAATACCAAAACCAGGAAAGGACATAACCAAAAAAAGAAACTATGGACTGATATCCCTGAGGAACATAGATGCTAAAATCCTTAACAAAATACTAGGTAACTGAATCCAGCAACATATCAAAAAGATAATCCACCATGATCAAGTGGGTTGTATACTAGGGATGCAGGGATGGTTTAACATACACAAGTCAATAAATGTGATACACCACATAAACAGAATTAAAAACAAAAATCGCACGATCATCTCAATAGATGCAGAAAAAGTATCTGATAAAATCCAGCATCCCTTTATTATTAAAACTTTCAGCAAAATCAGCATGTAATGAACATACCTCAATGTAATAAAAGCCATCTATGTCAAACCCACAGCCAACATAATACTGAGTGGGGAAAAGTTGAAAGCATTCCCTCTGAGAAATGGAATAAGACAAGAATGCCCACTCTTACCACTCCTCTTCAACATAGTACTGGAAGTCCTAGCCAGAGCAATCAGACAAGAGAAAGAAATAAAGGGTATCCAAATTCGTAAAGAGGAAGTCAAACTGTCACTGTTTGCTGATGATATGATCATTTACCTTGAAAACCTTAAAGACTTCTCCAGAAAGGCCCTAGAACTCATAAAAGAATTCAGCAAAGTTTCCAGATACAAGATTAATGTACACAAATCAGTAGCTCTTCTATACACCAACAGCAACCAAGTAGAGAGTCAAATCAAGAACTCAACCCCCTTTATAATAGCTGCCAAAAAAAAAAAAATCCTTAGGAATATACCTAACCAAGGAGGCAAAAGACCTCTACAAGGAAAACTACAAAACACTACAAAAAGAAATCACAGACGACACAAATGAAAACACATCCCATGCTCATGGAAGAGTAGAATCAATATTGTGAAAATGACATACTGCCAAAAGCAATCTACAAATTCAATGCAATCCCCATCAAAATACCACCATTATTCTTTACAGAATTAGAAAAAAACATTCTAAAATTCATATGGAACCAAAGAAGACCCCACACAGCCAAAGCAAGACTAAGCAAAAAGAACAAATCTGGAGGCCTCACACTACCTGATTTCAAACTATACTATAAGGCCATGGTCACCAAAACAGCTTGATACTGGTATAAAAATACGCACAAAGACCAGTGGAACAGAATAGAGAACCCAGAGATAAACCCAAATACTTACAGCCAACTGATCTTCGACAAAGCAAACAAAAACATAAAGTGGGGAAAGGACACCCTTTTCAATAATTGGTGTTGGGATAATTGGCTAGCCACATGTAGGAGAATGAAACTGGATGTTCATCTCTCACCTTATATAAAAACCAACTCAAGATGAATTAAGAACTTAAATCTAAGACCTGAAATTATAAAAATTCTAGAAAATATCATAGGAAAACCCCTTCTAGATATTGGATTAGGCAAGGAATTCATGACCAAGAACCTGAAAGCAAATGCAATAAAAACAAAGATAAATACCTGGGACTTAATTAAATTAAAGAGCTTTTGCATGGCAAAAACAACAGTCAGCAGAGTAAACAGACAACCCACAGAGTGGGAGGAAATCTTCACAATCTATACATCTGACAAAGGACTAATATCCAGAATCTACAACAAACTCAAACAAATCAGCAAGAAAAAAACAGACAATCCCATCAAAAACTGGGCTAAGGACATGAATAGACAGTTTTCAAAAGAAGATACACAAATGGCCAACAAACATGAAAAAATGCTCAACATCACTAATGATCAGGGAAATGCAAATCAAAACCGCAATGCAATACCACCTTACTCCTGCAAGAATGGCCATAACCAAAAAATCAAAAAAACAGTAGATGTTGGCATGGATGCGGTTATCAGGGAACACTTCTACAGTGCTGGTGGGAATGTAAACTAGTACAGCCCCTATGGAAAACAGTGTGGAGATTCCTTAAAGTACCAAAAGTAGAACTGCCATTTCATCCAGGAATCCCACCACTGGGTATCTACCCAGAGGAAAAGAAGTCATTATACAGAAAAGATACTTGCACACGCATGTTTATAGCATCACAGTTTGCAACTGCAAAATCAGGGAACCAACCCAAATGCCCATCAATCAACAAGTGGATAAAGAAACTGTGGTATATATATATGTGATGGAATACTACTCAGCCATAAAAAGGAATGAATTAATGGCATTTGCGGTGACCTGGATGAGAATGGAGACTATTATTCTAAGTGAAGTAACTCAGGAATGGAAAACCAAACACTGTATGTTCTCACTGATATGTGGGAGCTAAGCTACGAGGACACAAAGGCATAAGAATAACACAATGGACTTTGGGGACTTCAGGGGAAGGGTGGAGGAGTGTTGAGGGACAAAAGACTACAAATAGAGTACAGCGTATATTGTTCGGGTGATGGGTGCACCAAAATCTCACAAATCACCACTAAATAACTTACTCCACTAAATAACTTACTCATGTAACCAAACACCACCTGTACCCCAATAACCTATGGAAAATAAAAAATAATTTAAAAAAGCTTAGCCCAGTCATCACATGGAACCATGAGAAATAATAAATTATGGTTCAAGCAAAAAAAAAAAAAGAAATGCAAGTGGTATTAATTGATTATAATATTGGTTTGGCTTGTTTGGTTAAGTAAGAAATAAACTGAGCATATGTATCTGATGAAATAGCTTCTAGAATTAAAACATGCTGTAAGTATAAAAATAAGTAGATTTTGAAAATCTATATACATGTGGAATCTGATAACATATTGATATTTCCTTATAGTCAGACTAATCTGCATCTCAGATGATATGAAGGTAAGAAGGAGATGGAGATGAAAGCATAGTTTCATAGTTTGAAATTATGAAAAAGCCATGAATTGTTTTGGAGGCCAGCTACTGTATTGAGCCATTGTCAGGAATTGGAAATATTTTGATTCTATAAGTCTGATGGCTGGTTGGTAAGTGATAGAGTCCCAATCTTGGTCTTACAACACTCCAAAGTTTTAAAAATTCTTTTGGGAGTATTGTGAAATTTCCAAATACCAACCATATTTTAGTTTTTTATGAAATATGTCATTTGTGGGAAAAGAAGTCATTAAATTGTGAGAATAGATACCTTCTGCTCCCAAAGGTTGGAGGCTGGCAGACTATGCCACTCTCTTACACCATAACGATGGAAACTGGGAGGATTTTTTTTTCTTAATTCTAGCAGAAGATATAGGGTTTTAACATATCTTTAAAAGGGGGTTTTGCTAGTTTTCCGTAGCTTGAGGAGCTGAGTAATGCATAGTATGATTTCCTGCCTCGGCCAGCGGAGGCCTCCACGTGCCTCCTGAAGTCAAGTTTTCCTGGATTCAGGAAGGAATGTGAAACCAATGAGTTGCCTGTCAAGGACAGCAGGGATCACATGTGAGGGCAGCACGTTTCTGAGATTCTATTCCAGGTTTTCAGCAGATGCGCCCATACCAATGGTGTTTGCTCTGTGTCAGGCAGAAGACAGGGACTATATAGAAATTCCTTGTAACACAGAGCTAACATCACAGTTGCTTTTGTATTTGGGCAAGGCCTCCCTGCAACTCCTGTCAAAGGCGCGTCAGTTCTGGGGTAGCTTCAATTTTGAAGTGTGCACAACTAAGTTATTTCAAAGAATCTAGGCTTGGCCTTGTGACCTGCCAATAGGAAGTAGGTGAAGGGACAGTGTGCTAGTTCTGAGGCTAGGATTTAAGAGGCAGGCCCTGTGCATGATGTCTGTTGTTAGGAGAATAAGCCAGGACAAGACTGCAAGAGAGATGTTAGCAACTTATGGCCATCAACTCAGATGCCCCAGTTAACAGCCAGTAGACCCCAAGAGCACTGCTGAGCCACCTAACAGATACATGAGCATGCTTAACTGAAATTAGCCGAACCTTGCTGGTTAGAGGACAACTGCTCTGTAGACCTCTTGACAAGTGATCAGTAATCAATAGCTATTATTTTTAAGCCACTAAATTTGAGGTGGCTGGTTACAAACTAGCAAAATAATATACTCTAATTATAATCATAGCAGTCACAAGGTGATTACTGATACTTATTTTAAGATACTACTACTATATTAACAAAATATTTTAACAATGAGACCTAATATTTCAACAATCATAAGGTGATTACTGATACTTATTTCAATAAGATTACTATTACATTAAAAAAATTATAACAATAATATGAGATTCATATGCCTACTTTGGAAATAATTACCAAATTTTTCTTGATGCTTGCTAGAATTAGTAGAAGACAATGACTCCTCCTATGATATTATTAACCTCTCTCTACCAACCTACTATATTTTTATAAGAAATGTACTTCAGGACAGAAAGTGTTAACTCACAGTCCTTCTGCAATGCACTCCAGTGAAAGCACATTTCCTCTTAATTCCTCTTTGTTACTTGCATTGCCTTCTGGAGTTAAAAATGTTGGTGGCCTCTCTCTACTTGATTTAGCTGCAAACAAGAAAATCAGTATGCATTACAACTTATAAATATGTATTTCTATAAACACTTCATTGTCAAAAAAGCTGTCTAAAATTCCAATCCCTTTTTAAGCTATTTAACATTAATTGTGAAATTTGTTAAGCTACATACACATACACACTCTCTGCGTTATAAGTAGTCATCACTTACTCAGTTACCCAGGAACAGAAACAATTTTGGTGGCATAAGCACTAATAATAAGGACTGTTTTCCTTTTGTATACTCCCTTAATTTGGGTTAGGTTTTTACAAATTTTCTGTGGGTTAGAAAATTTTCAATATGTTGACATGGAGAGGAAAATCATGTTATCAAACTACATTTCCCTTAGGATTAGTGCTTAGGTCGAAGCAAAAATTAACTGTCTATCTTCTGGAAGATGTTAGATTTTTATAAAGATATGGTTATAGAAGGGGTATTCTGGTTTACAGTGGGGACAACATTATAGCCAATACCACTGATTAATCATATTAAGATCCTCAAACTGTGAGGTTTATGGAAAACAAAAGTAGAGAGTTACTGACAGAGGTCTTGCAAATATTATGCCACAAAATAAGAATAATGGTGGAGTTAAATAAATGGAAATCATTTTCCTCAATAAAAAAATAAAGAGGATCCAAGTCAAAGATCTTAGGGATAGTTACACAGGCCATCTTCTTTTTTATGGAGGCCTTTCCAAAACATAGCCTTATCTTCTGAAGGTTTCTTAGAAAAACTTGGAGCAGAAATTACATCATCTTAAGGTTTTATAGCCCTTGAAGGTTTTCAACTCTTTAATGCATTATCTACTTGATGCTTATAAAAATTTAATGAAAAGGTCATATACTATGAATTATTCTCATTTCTCAGAAGAAAAAATTCAATGCCAGAAGATATATTACTTGAGAAAAATTAGTTTTCCTAAGAATTTAGAGATTGTAGCGGGGAAACTTACTCCTCTAAAATCACTTTGGGAATGGTCTTGGGGCCCATATTTTTCAGGAGTATATTCAAATAAAATAACAGAAAGCAGCAGTTGTGGAGTGTCTATCTTGGTCACTGATGAGACCTTAATGTCTTTTACTTATATCTCAAGGGTGAAAAATTAATACAGCAGAAATTCTACCTTATGGATAATTAAGAGGACCCTTTATCCAAAACCCATTATTTTCATTCATAGACTCTACTTGAGAACATTTCCCTTAAGGGAATCAAATTCATTTCTATCTAAAATAATGAAGGTAAATGCTCTACTTTTAAAAAGATTACTTCCATTGAAGACAGTGACTTGGTTTGACTTACTTTTAAACAAAACTAAGAGAGAAATCTCATTGCTAATTATATTGATAATGTCACATGAAAACAGATGACAAGTGTGATGATTTACTATGAAATCCCCTTAATGTTAGTTGCTAAAAGCTTTGATGAGTCAGTATTCTAGCAAGTTAATGCACCCTGCCAACTCTTACTTAGTTCACAAGAAAAGTTTGGAACAGAACAAAACATGGAAAACATAATTCTGAACGTACGTGAAAGGTTTTTCCAAATCAGTGAAATGGTTCTTTACACGCAAACAGTTACAACAGGTTTCATTATTACACATACATCATGGAAAATGCTCTAGTGGCATGCTTCAAAGTTTATAGGTAAATTTCATAAGAAACATACATTTATACTAGTGGTATTTAACATATAACTAGAAATCTCATAAAGAAATAAGGTTAAATAGTCATGGAGGTGAAGTTAGTGAACTAAATTCTACAATGAAGGAGAGAATATCAGTTACAATCACCATAACTCACCACCATAAAACTCAGTGTCACTCAAATTAGCAGCTATAGTGTCATTCAATTCATCCACTGAAATAAACAGAATATTATGAAGAGGGCATAAAAGTGGGGGAGAAGGGTCAAAAAGTATTGGGCAATAAAAGCAAACATATGCAGCTATCCTGACCGAGTGCTGTTCCTATCAAGTAAAAACAGTGCTTTACATTGTACATGACTAACTCATTAATTTACTCAGCCACCCCCACCAGGAATATGCAGACATTTAACTTAAGCTGCAGGACCGCCAATAAGAGGCACTGTGGAGCATAAAGCACACATAAATGCTCAGAACACCAGGTGGTTCAGAAGGTTATCATGGAACCAGTCATGACAATAAAAGCAAAAAATGTAAAATCCAATATTAAGGGTATGCACAATCTTTATAACATATATGCCAACACTTTAGTGAGCATTCATGGGTGGCTTCCTGATAATGAACCTGTTTACTTCAAAGTCAGTAGTATATAATAGTTTCTATATTTTGCACATATTTGTAAATGTCATTGAAGGGGAGATTTGGGAAGCTGAACTCTTACCTGAAATCACCTTCACAGAAATAGGTTGCTTCTGCTGTATGGTTTGAGTATGATTAAATCTAGCATAACAGATATAGTCTTCGCGGGTGTCCTCTGGGAGGACATTGGAAAAATAAAGGTCCCCATTCAAACCTTGAGAAACTCTCTCACTTTGTGGAAGTCTTTGAAAGGCTGGAGAAAGGCAGAGAGATATCAAGATTATTCCATCATAAAGTGGCTACCCTCCAAATTAGCAAGATAAATGTACCTACTAATAGGTCTGTGAACTTCATTTGAATATATTTTTTCTCTATATAGCTCTTTGGGTAAAAGCAAATAACTGTAAAAAAAAAAAAAAAAATACGTAACACACTAAAACTCTAACTCTACTTCCCTGACAGTAACTTCTCTGGGGTGGGGGCAGAGGTGAGATTAGAGTTATACAGTGAAATCTTTTTTTAAGCAAAAGTGAACAAAATATGTTTTATAAAAAGTTGGCGTGACTTTTCCTAATATCTGAGTCCCTAACTGTTAAGTACACATACACATATATCTTAGAAAATCATTAAGGAAGCTTCTAAAATTGTTAACATGGGTTGCATCTACACACAACATTCAGAAACTAAATACGTGGAGACCATCTAACAATGAGCTGGGTCCTGTGCTAGGCACTGGGCATGCCAGAGTCCCAGCCCTGTCTGAGCTCATCATCCAGTTGAAGAATCAGGCAGCAAATGGC
Organism: Homo sapiens; assembly: GCF_000001405.40. Taxonomy (NCBI): domain Eukaryota; kingdom Metazoa; phylum Chordata; class Mammalia; order Primates; family Hominidae; genus Homo; species Homo sapiens. The sequence goes on from NC_000007.14 coordinate 108,226,926, forward strand.
CAGCTGACAGTAACTGGGTGTGATGATGACACTATTTATTTAATGCTGCAACCTGCCCCTCACAAGCCTCCCAAGCCCAGTTCCTCCACCTCCTCTACAATTCTTTTCTGAATTAATTATCACCTTCTGGCATACTACATATCTACTCATCATACATATGACTTATTGCCTATTTCCTGCACTAGAATTTAAGCTCCAGGACGGTGAACACTTTCATCTGTTTTGTCCACTGGAACAGTGCCTGGCCCTTCACGGGGCTCCTTTAAATGTGCACTGAAGGATTAAGTGAGTAACCATCAGCACTCTGACTTTCCAGTGTCAAGCATAATAATTTATTAGTACTTCCCCTTAGGTCCAGTTAAGGAACTATCTTGCCTTAGGTAGGAGGATTTTCTTTATCTTTTATGGACACATAATAAACTGTACATATTTGTGGGGTACAATGTGATATTTCAATACACATATACATTGTGTAATGATCAAATCATGGTAATTAGCATACCCATCACCTTAGACAGTTACGATTTCTTTGTTGTGAAAACGTTCAAAATCCTCTCTTCTAGCTATTTGAAATATGCAATGCATTACTGTTACCCACAGTCACCCTACTGTGCAATAGTATCAGAAGTTATTTAGAGGGAAGATTTTCTAAGTGGATGAAGGATGCAGGGAGGTGGAACGATTGATCTGTGTGTGAGTTCACACTTAGCCAGCTAATGGACATCCTGAAGCTCCTGACTTAGTCCACAGAGCCTTAACTGTGAGAGTTCTTCAGTTCTGTGAGGTGACAGAACTGAAAAAAGTCACACATCCCAGTGGCCTCAGGCCACTATGTCTCCTGACAGGGTTTTTGCAGTGTAAGTCAAGCAGGTCTGCTCCTCCTATAGCAGGTGCTTGATCTAACATTTCATGAAATGCAAAATTATGGTTAAAAGTCTGGAGCTCCCTCAGGCAGAAAAAGGCAGGAAAATGTGGAGGCAGAGCTTCAAAGAAAGAACATCGGTTCATCATGTTAATCAAATTATTGGTTAAGATGGGGGTTTGGTTGGTGGTTGCAAATTTATGGTTTTAAGCCATTAGTTCCCGGGAAAAGGACTGTTTAAACAATAACCCAAGCCGGGCTTGGTGGCTCATGTCTGTAATCCCAGCACTTTGGGAGGCCAAGGTGGGTGGATCACCTGAGGTGAGGAGTTCAAGACCAGTCTGGCCAACATGGCAAAACCCTGTCTCTACTAAAAATACGAAAATTAGCCAGGCGTGGTGGTTTGCACCTGTAATCTCAGTTACTCGGGAAGCTGAGGCAGGAGAATCACCTGAACCCGGGAGGCAGAGGCTGCAGTGAGCTGAGATTGTGCCACTGCACTCCAGCCTGGGTGACAGAGCGAGACTCCATCTAAAACAAAAAAAAAAACCCTCAGAAGAATTAGGTACATTTTGTTTAACAAAGAGTTTAAGACAAAAACATTTCTTGTCCTCTGTTTCTCCTGCTGTAGCAATAAAATAATAAATTGAAGGGTGTTGGCAGACCAAATGTTAGGCGATGGGACTTCATGAGGGTGGTGGCATTTTGCATTGCACTTGAAAAAAAATGTATGCAGATAGGAATAACTTAATGTCATCTTGCAAGAAGTATGCTATATAAATTTTTTTCTCATATTGCAGGTGCAATTCCATTTGAAAGGTCAGATGCTTCACCAACAGCCTAGAATGCATGTGAGTGGAAAAATTAGTTATGTATTCAGATGACTCTGAGACTTTACATGTGATATGTCTCTTTATTAAGCAAAAAGGTCATTATTTCTGAATAAGAACCAAGTACCAAATATTGAGCCTTATTTTGGCAGTGGTATTCGGAGAGCATTATTCTTAAAGCCATAAGTCACTTATTTACATTTGGCTTACTACTTATTTTTGCAAAATCTGTAAAAGACTAGATTTACTTAGCTATATATTTGTTTTTTATTTCTTTGTGTTACTTTACTTTCTCTGAGTGCTTTCATATAAGGAGAGCCAAAATGCATCCCAGAACTTAAAGTAAAATAAAAAAAAATTAAATTAAAAAATTAAAATGCAGATTAAATGTTAGAGGCAAATTTTCTCTTTAGTAATGTATATGTCTTGTGAGTGCACAGACAATCAGGTCACTGAAAATAGAACGTATTTCCTACAGATACTTTTAATTCATTCCCACCATTCCACCTAAAAGACTATTAACAGGGTTACCAAGAACCTCCAAGATGTCAAATTCAGTAGTCATTTTTTAGTTCTCATATTATCTGATCTCTCAGCAGCATTTGAAATAGCTAATAATTGTGTCTTTCAAAAATATTTTCTAAAATTATTATCATTATTTTAGGGATGGTGTCTCACTCTGCTGCTGAGGCTGAACTACAGTGATGTGATTGTAGCTCACTGCAGCCTTGAACTCCTGAGCTGAAGCAATCCTCCCATCCCAGCCTCTCGATTAGCTGGGATTACAGTGTCAGCCACCCTGCCTGGTTAATCCATCTTTTTGACACACATTCTTCACCTTGTCCCTGGGGACACCACTCTCTTTGTTCCTTTTTTCCTTCAGTGACTGCTTCTTCTCATCTGCTTTGCTGATTTCTCCATGAGTTCTTCACCTCTGGAGGGCTCCTGGTCTCAGTCTCCCAGACTCTGCTTTCCTGCTTCCCAGATCCTCTCATCTAGCCCAGGCCTCTAGGCAGGACTTACGCACTAAGGTTTCAAACATTGCTGATCATAGCCTGGAATCCTCCTTCTGACTCAGGTATCTCTGACTCTTGCTGGTGTCTTGCCATGAAATATCTTACAGGCCTCTCACATCCCAAACTCTGGTTTCTTAGTCTCCAAGCAGAACCATGTACTCCCTCTAAGGTAACACGCTGACCTATTGGCACAGGAAATTTTGGAAGGTGGAAGAGGCAGAGCAACAAACATGCCCTTGAGGACAGAAACAGGGGTAGACAAGTTTGAAATTGCCTAATGAATAGCTTCATTATATCTGCCTCAGTTTCCTCATCTGGAAAGTGGAAAAAATAATTGGACATGCCTCATAGGGTTGTTGTAAAAATTAATGAAATAACCCATGTTAAGCCCTTAGTAAAAGGCCTGACACTTGGTAAAGGCCCAATAACTATTAGCTATTGCTGGGGATTAAAAAAACTAACAGAAACATAACATATCCCCAACAGCTTGACTTCCTCCCCGCCATGGGTTTCTGGGAATGGCAATTCCATTTTATCATTTTGGAGTTGTTCAATCTCCAAAGGTAGTTATCCTTGATTCCTCTCTCTCATGCTCCCACCCCCACCCCAGTAAATCCTGGAGGCTTGACCCTCAAAATATATCCAGAATCTTACCATTTCTTACCCATTCTACTGCTACCACTCAAGTCCAAGTCACCAACAAATTTCATCTAGATTACAGCAGTGGCCCCAACAGTCTCTCTACTCTCTCTTTTGCCCGCTATATTCTCTACATATCAACTGAAGTGATACTGTTACTACTTATTTTATTTCAGATAAAGTCACTCCTTCAACATTTCCCTACTTCATTCCAAGCTAAAGCCAAAGTCCTTTCCATTGAGTCCTGTGACCTTTCTCACCTTCTCCATCACCCTCCCGCTCGGCTCCTTCATTAGTTCATTAGTCTGGCCACCTTGTCCTCCTTGCTTTTATTTTTACACACAGCAGAGATGCTCCTTCCTTAGGGGCTAGCACTAGTTTTCCCTTTCTACTCAGATATTTAGGGGCATGGCTTGCTCTCTCATTTCCTTAGGTCTCTGCTCAAAACTCTGCTTTTTTTTTTTCATAGAACTTATTGCCAACAAACACAGATTTTCTAAATGTACTTATTGCATTTATCATCTGCCTCCTTCCCCACTCCTATCTCCTCCCACTGCAAAGAATATAAGCAAGATACATAGTAAATGTCCAATAAAATTGAGTGAGTGAATGAGATGACATGTTATTTATTTTGAAGAGCAGCTGTTTTCCTGAGCATCTCTAAAACATTTTATGAATCATAAGAGGTAATAATGTATTATGACTGTAAACAATCCTAAGACTTTTAAAGAAAGAAAGTTCATATTATCAAAACTTACAATTATCCATCCAAAATATTATAGGTGGTGGTAATCCAATTGGGGGTCTGCAGGGAAGTACTAAAGACTGACCACTTTGAAGTGTGATTGGTTCAAGTTTTTCTTTGGTCCACAATGGTGATCCTATTAAATAAAAAAATAACTTCTCAGTTATTTCTGCATTGAAAAGTACAAAAAGAAAGCCCTACAAATAAAGGCAAACTGAAGTTTTGGAGAAATAATTTGTAATTTATGTACACTAAATTAATGAGAAAATATTTTTAAATACAATGTTAAAAGAAAAAAGTAAAAATTTAAAAAATGACAATTCTCATGCATTGCCACTGATAGTATAAATTCTCAGTCAGTGATTCCACAGCTGAGAATTTATACTACATACATCATCAGGAAGACAAACAGTTTTGACACAAGCATGTTCTTCACAAAAGAATGGAAAACATTTAAATGTAAAAAGATTTGCTAAATAAAGAATTACACATCTACACCTCTGAATACCATAGAGTATTATATAAGTACACTTATTTATAAGATCGCTATGGGAATATACACGATATGTCAATAAGTCAGAAAAGGTTGTAAGATAGTATTTCAGAAAATGAGCTGGTTTTAAACACATACATACATATCTGCCTAGGAAAAAATAGAAAGAATATTTCAGCAGTAGTTATTTCCTTGAATGGAAGGATTCATGAACAGTTTTTAAATTTCTTTTTTGTTTAATTAGTTTTTCTACAACGAACATGTATTATACATGTAATTTTTTTTAAATGACCAGAACTGAAAAATGTGACTGTTATTTAAATACATGCTCTTAAGGTTTTTGAGAGGATTTTGGTACTAACCATTGCAAAAAGAGCCTTAATAATATCAAGGTAGTGAGGACACTCCACTTCCAGTAAAATTTTGAAACAAAAATGTTTAAAGAAATAGCATTTAGACCTTGATCACCCATATCATACTGAATTTATTTCCATTTGGCTGTAGGAATTTCACTTTCACAGGAGATACATGAGAAATAAATAATTAGATGAACTCAGGGAAGAAACACTTTTTTTTTTTAACCCCAATGTCTTACACAGGACTTCTGTAAAAGATATATTGGATTGGTAAAGCATTGGACTAAGGAGCTTCCTAGGGTAAGGTGGAAAGGAGCAATAACTTTCATGCAAAACAAAGTCAGAATATTGGAAGCAATGCCACTGCTTTGTTGAATAGTATTTGGATGATGTCACAGAAGCTGAGTCTTGGAGCAATACTTTAAAAAGGGTCATGTTGGTTGACAAGTTTCCACTTACTGGATGGGCGGACAACAATGTTATTAGAAACTGCAGCTCCGCGTTCGTTCCTTGCTGTACACTGATAGACTCCTTCATAGGTCTCAGCTTTCCCTTCGCTCATGATGTTAATTATGAGCGTTCCTGTGCCAGGCTTCATGGTGACCAGAGGGTCTTTATCGATGTCAAAATGAGTCCCATTACGGGTCCAGGAAAAGCTGCCCAACACACGAAGTGTTAAGTGTATTAATGGTCCAGAAAAATGGGATTACCTTAACAAATTCCTAGCAGTTTTATGGGTTTCTAGAAATAATTACCAGATTTTAATATTCAGTAAGAGAGCAATAAGCCCTCATATCTAAAATGTTTCATTGAATCATGACCTGGGAAAAAAGGGCAGGCTATACATTTTAAGGTACCTGTCTTCTTTAGAACTAGCCCAAATTTGACTCAATAAAGAAATCATGCACACAAATTGCCTGTCATTTTTCTAAGAAAATAGAGGGAGCAGGTCTCCCAGGTACACTCTCTTAGAGCTTTATTAGCATTTTTACTGTAAACTCCATTGTTCACAGAGTTGATAACCTGTCTATAAAAATTTGCTTGGGGCTAAAATGTGACAAGACCTCTGCAAGTACTATTTATATATGATGAAAATTGATCAGACAAATTTCAAGTTACCAAATTGTGAAGTGTAGGTTGGGAGGAGGTTAAGAGACATCAGTTCCAGAGTGTCTTAAATGTTGCTTATTAAAAATAGTAACTCTACATAAAACATTTTGGGAATTTTTAATTCTAGAGATGATTTTGAGAATCCCTTGGGAGGTATGCCCAATTGTCAACTGAGATCCCTCTTTCTCCATTTTATTTTTATAAAAGATTGACTTATATAAAAGTCACAGTGCTCATGTAATTAAATACTTTACAACTAGTCACAAATCAATGATGGCCATGCTCATACAAAGGTACGAATCTCTAAACGTCACAGTGTTTTCTAGGATCACTTGGATTTCCCTTCCCACTGCTTATCTTTATAGCAGTTGTTGTCACAACCAGGGCAGGAACTGGTGGTGTGGATGCTACTGGCATATTGTGGGCAGGGGCCACGGATGCTGCCAAATATCCTACAATGCACAGGACACTTCCATCCCCCAAACAAAATATTATCTATCACACTCCATATATCAACAATGCTGAAGAGGATAAATCCTGTTTTATGGCAAGTTACAGAAGGCATTAATTGTGAAACTGAAAGGAAACCTCATCAAGGGATACCACATCAGGCCTTCTGCGAGAGAGGCTTTCCATTAACATAGCCGAATATATTATTTTGAGGCAAACCTTTGCTGGAAGTTTTGACATAGTACATATTCTGTCCCAGTTAATTTTTTCTCAGGGGCCAGTTTGTGATAATTTAATAAGGTCTGTAATAGACAAACCTGGAAATAAAATAACTGGAAACTTTCACTACTTTATTGCTTAAAAATCCACATTACATTTTAATAACAATAACCCAACTCTCCAAAACTTCCATATATGACTGGACATGTTACAGATCATCCGCTGTGGGGCCTTGAATAAGTTACTTAGCATTACCAGGCATCAGTTTCCCATCTATAAAATGTATTGGTTGGACTGGGTTATCTCTAATATCTCTCCCAACTCTAAAATGCTTTGCAGTGATCTAAAATGCTATGCAAGATCCAAATGGCATGAATTCTCATGACTGAACTCTGCCAAGTTTGGAAAACCATTTTAGACTATTTTATAAACTGTTACAAAGACAGCAGAGATCTTGGAAGTCATCAAATTCAATCTCTTTATAGATGAGGAAATTAAAGCCCAGAGAAAAGGGATTTGCCTGTGCCTTATGGCCATTAGTATCAAAATCAGAATCAAAAGGCTCTTTCCATAACTCCTCACAATTTATAAGCATTTTGCAGAAAAGCATGGGCACAGAAATGCAATAATCTGGGTTTTCAAGAAGAAAAAATGGGCTCTAATTAAGCAGAGAGACAAAACAATACACCTACAGGTGAGACTTTAGGGATATGCAGGACCCAAGAAGTTACCTTCAGTATCTTTGAAGGGCTGAAATGGGCTGGGATAGATGAACCAAAGGGCAATCTAGTGAGTCACAGTGAGAAATATCCAACTGAAAAAGGAAGTGCTCTACATAGTCTGCCTTGTTTGATGGAAATTCCCAAACATATTTCTCTATTCAGAGAGATTTCCTGATTTATTCTCAGTACTATAACAAAGCAGAATGCACACTCACCTTGGGGGCGGTTTCCCTTTGGCTTCACACTGGATTACAATATTCTCCCGAGGGTCAATAATGTAATCTTTTGGAGACTGTTGGGTGATGGTTGGAGGCTGTACCACTTAATTGTAGAAAAAAAAAAATGTAAAAAAACAAATTATTTAAAATCATAATAGTAGCCATTTTTTCCTGTATCAAAATCACTTACCTTAGACTAAATATGCTTCAAGTATTTTTAGTAATTTCTAGTGTAGCAGCATATACTTCAGTAGATTTTTCTGCTAAAGGTCTGCTAAAACTGTGAAGTCAAGGTTTAACTTTCTTTCGGTAACTATGTGTACTTGCAAAGTCCATTTTCTCACACTAAAAGTTTGGGGAAATAATTATCAATACAAACCTAATATTAAGACAGTTTCTTTTCTGATGTAACAATGAGAAATTCTTTTGATTCCTTTGGTTCAAATGATGTTTTTCAAAGGAATTTAAGTTATGATAAATTTGCATCTTTCTTAAGAAAGAGTAACAGACTTAGGTCATTAGTGTGTGCTCATATAAATCAATATATGTTGGGGACAAATACATTTGAGAAGTTAATATTAAACAGACTGTTAAACTGGAGATGTGACATCTCTTATCAGAGCCAGGAGGTAAGTGAATGAGGAACAAAGATAAAAGAGTCTTATTTAGAAGATAAATGGAATTGAGGAAGTTCTCTGTCCTAGGAGACAGTGTTCCCATTTACTCTTCAAAGTGTTATCTGATCTTTTATTATCAAATCCTATGGGGAAACTGTTCTGACCCAGAACAATCTAATCTGAAGAAACCTGTATCTGGACCACTAATGCTCTTCAAATTGTTCTAAAATCACCATGTCCTTCTTCTTGTGAGATCAGAATTAGTGTTATGACAGGAAGTGACTAAAGAATAATTTTTTACAACCTGTTTTTTCTTACTCAGTGCAGCAAAATGGCTTGACTAGGAAGGCACAAAGCAGAGACCTAAACTCTCTCAACTGGCTCCTGGTAAGAAGCCACTGCTTGCACAACTCCATGGAGAGCTGTTTACACAGACCAGTGGTTCTCTACCAGAGGCAATTTGTTTCCACCCTTCCAGGGACATTTGGCCATATCTGGAGGCCATTTCAATGGTCTCGACTGGGGTGGTAGTGATAGTGGTATCTCGTAGATAGAGGCCAGGGATGTTGCTAAACATCTAACAACGTACAGGACAATTCCACACAACAAAGACTTATCTGGTCTCAAACATCCATAGTGCTGAGGCTGAAAAGTTCTGAGGCAGACGACAATGTGCTTGGCACCCCTGGAGCTGTGCAATGCAGTGGCCATACCACAGCACCTTTCCTCTGCATCTGGGAAATTCCCCCAAGGCCCTCTCTTGGATTCTCACTGTTCTTTCCTTTCCTGCTGCATTTGACATTCTGGCTCATTTAAGTTTTTCATCTTCTGGATCTTCCCTTTCCTCTCTGCCCATACCTCTGCTTCCTTTGTGAAACTTCTTCCACTTGCCAACCAAACATTTCTCAAAGCTCAGTAACTGCCCACTGTTCTTGTCTCTCTTGTGGTTAATTGTTGCTAGAGCTAAATGTATCACCTCCACATCTTCAGTCTTATAAATCTATAAACCCGGTTGCGTCCTCTTCTCTTGTCTTCTAGTCTTATTGCCATCCACAAGACATCTTTTACTAAATATTCAAATAACAGCTAAAGTACAAATCAAAAGCTAGCCTCATTACTGTCATCATTTATTGTGTACTATTATATGCAGGGTACTGGGCAGTGTCAGTTTCCCTTCCCTTTGGAATATCCCATCCCCCTCCTTGTCTTTCCAGCTGCCCTTCCCCCCTCCGTCATCCATATGGAATCCTCATTTTTCTAGCCTTGTCAGTTTCCAAGGTGGCCTGATTGTTAAGCACTAGTCTGTTTCTTACTAGCTGTGAGATTTCAAGCCAATTTCTTAACTTCTATAAGTCCTAGTTTCCTGAGAGGGAAAATAAAGTTTAAAAGTAGTATTACCACCTAGGATAGCTAGCAGGATTAAGAAAATAATTACTATAAAATTCTCAGTGTATACCAATGTTATAATGGTTCAATAACATCAGCTATTTTAAAATTATTATCATAATCATTTTTTATTTGGACCAGATTCACCTCTGAATGATCCTTCAGGCTCTGGGAGTATATAGAATTTGGGATAATGGAAGGAAGCCTGGAATTCCACATCCAAGGAATAGTGGCCATAGGGAGTGGGGGAGGGGATTCTTAGGAGTGACTCAGTTCAATTCCTTGTGCTTTTCTGGGAGTGACACAGGTGCAAATCTGGTGGCTTCAGAGGCAGAGCTTCTATTCACAGGTCTGCAGCAGAGCTGGCTCAGATGTCACTCCTAACTGCCAGGAGTTTACTGTCTGGATATACCTCCTTAAACAGTGCTTGGGTCACCTGCTAATTAACAAATGCTTTTCAGTAGTAAGAAAAACAGTGATTTTACATAATTTTCCTGGTTAATCTAACATCAAAGGAAATTATCAAATGCCTGAAAACTGACTATTTTTAAACTAGGTGATAAATGCCACCTGTCAAAGGCAGTGGAAAGTTTTGCTCAGAGCAAGCCATTCAAATACCATGTGAGTGGGAGCTGCTTATCTTTTGTCCACTTCAAGACAAGATTCAAATTCGCTGGGTTAGTCTACTGATGGCACCTAGAAATACTAGTCTACATAGTCACGAAGGCTGAAGAAGCATAAAAGGACATACAGCTGCCATCTTGTGTAAAGCTTTTGCCTGCACCCACCTTCTAAAAGACACAAAAAGACCTATCTTTGTTCCAGAAAGCATTAATTAGCCTTTACAACAGATCAGCATTCTCTCTAAATTTTGAGAATTTTCTCATTGAGTTACATCAGATGTGAATAAAGCTTGGAAGTTAGTAGAGCAGCACACTGGTAAAAGAAAGAGTAATAGCCAAGTTTTCAGAATTCATGCAGATAATACTTTACAACTGCTTCTTGGTATTGAAATACAATGTTTAGCTACAGTAAACACACATGCTTAGAAAGACAAAGGTCACAAAACATGAAATTGTGCATTTAAATCACAATATTAATTCAAAAAGCAAAGACATGGTCACATTTTCACACTGCCTAGTAATTTATAGAAGGACACTTACAGTCTTCAAGAAGTTTTGCTTTTTCCCCATCAATATCAGCAGGTAAGTGGGCAAAGAGGATTAAAGAAAATCAGATGTTAATAATAAGAACGTTAGAACTCTGAAGATAAAGGGGGCATCTTGTCTATTTGATTTGATCTAAGAAAACCTGTATAGTGAAGGTTGAATTTGTGAAGTTGCAAGACGAAGAAATTTGCATTAACGGTTTCCTTTAATCTTGCAGCAGCTTTCCCACATAAACATATGGAAGAACAAAAGCAATGCTGTAGGCAAACGAGTTCTTCCAGGAATAGGAATAGCGAATTCCATTCCATATATGTTGTGTTGGACAAGTAATTATGTTCAATTTGAAAAACAGCTGAAATCTACAATTAATTTGAGTTGTCACATACTGTGTAGTGTCTGGTCATATTATCCCAGACATCACTGTGCATATGGTAATAATACCTAACAATGGGACATTGCTACAGTGATAATGCTCCATGCAAGCCAAGTCCAACACTAATTTTAGATTTTTATATTTCTATGGTTAATCTCCAAAGTCATTAATTGAACTTTTTAGACTGTTAGCAGATTTCTGCTTCATAATTTCTCAATCACTCAGGGGTTGCTGGTGCCCACACCAAGGACTTGTTCATGTAGTAGAGAAACGATGTAAGAAATAGGGGCAGGGAAGAAATTACATTAGCATGCAATTCAAATCATTCCACAGTGCTGTCTGTCGTTACTACTTGCAAAGGTTAATATAGGAGCACCTGGGTTTTTCTGTGACTTTCTTTTCATCATGGTTATGCCTCTTCTCCGTTAGCAGTGATAATTGAGTTAGCCATAGGTGACTGTTTCCCTCTGCTTGACAGATTGAACAGTCAGATTAAGGGGGAATATATTTAATATAAGAGAGAACAAAAGCATTTCTCTCAAATGTTTTCTTTCCCTCCTGTGTATCTGTCAGGGCAAATGCTTACTTAGGCATTCCCACTCCAATGGGCTTAAGCAATTGTATATTTTTTTGAAAATTGAAATTAAGGTCACTGGATGAATTTTTTTTAAATAAGAAAAGCACTGCATTTTATTGAACTTTATAGAAGCACAGCAAAAAGTCAACAAAGTGTGGGACAAACCACATCTCTTCTTAATGTCTTCCCACTGGCAGTTGCAACCTCTATGGTAATAATAAATAATAATAATAATAATAAATAAATAAAAATGACATCCCAACAATTGAATAGCCCCAGGAAAGTGCTATCTTCCTTGCACCTTGGAAAGCTTGCCAAACAGATATTCTATTCAGGAAGCTAATGGCTTCAAAGAGGTCATGCAGATGAGGGATAAAGGAGAAATCGATTCTGAAGTACAGTAATTGTCCAGATTTGAAATTTTGCTTTCCATTTGCAGGAAAAGTGACTGGGTGGAACCTAGCATTATCTTTATTTTTCACAAACAGGCCACCCAGAGCAGGGAGAGCACAGTATATATTTACTACTAGGAAAATGGAGGGCTAATACAGTAGCTGTTGTTTGCTCCATTTTAGTGCTTTGCATATTACTTGTATTTTTAGCAGTTGCATTTTGGCATTTGACCACACTGTTTAAACCAAATAAGACTATTTGTTAGGCTCTAGATAAGATACTTTTCCTAGTTCTAGACTTATATTTAGGATTCAAAATTGGAAAGTGAGATGCGCCTTGTCTGAATCAAGAGAAATGAATTCTGGGGTGGTTTAGGGATTCCGAGGGGCATGGAGTTGGCAGAAGGAGCCTCCCCTCATCTTTGCAGACCACCCTCAGCATATGACGGGAAAGAGTAAAGTGGTGAAGGGATGAGTGGGGAGGTCTCCATGATCATTTTAAAGTGGCTCATATAGTTTTCTTGCAGGACTGCTTCTCTAAAGAGCCGCCTGTTGGGAAGATCAGGCAGCTTGCACAACTCAATCCTTCTCAGGCCATCCCCAGCAGGGCAGACAAAAGGCACCTGAGGGGGAAGAAGGAGAATGACAGGGAGGGAATTGTGAGTCTGACCATTTCAATGGCCACTTCTACAGTGTGAATCTTTATAAACACCAGGTGCTGAAGGTAAAAGCCAAATTAATTTTGATTAGCTTTTCAGTATCACACAGACACCTTCTCCATTCACGCAGTTCAGAGTGATGATAAATGCTGGGAGGCTTTGACTCCTGGGCCTAACAGCTTTAAAACGTTAATACTTACGATCAAGAGGTACTTCCAGTGCACTAATCATCTGGCACAGGAAGAGAATCAGGGGCACTCTGCCCGCAGATAAGCGCTTCTTTTTCGGCATTATTTTAAGCTGCATTAGCTTAACTCCTGCTGAGACTCACACACTGAATTTCCTTTTCTTCTTTCACAAAAGATTTTGTGAAACGTTGTGTGCAACGTTTAAGTAATTTTCATGCGGGAAACTGAAAAAGGATAGAGTAGGAATAATAATTATAATGTATTAAAAAGAAGGAAATGAAGAGCGGAAGTCTGCAGCACAGAGAACTAGCCGTGTATTATACATGAACTCTAAAAGAAAGTTAACTTTTAAATATTTAACTCTCAAAACTGGAGTAATCATTTATTCATAAATCAGCTAAAATCAGTTCAGAGATATTAGTAGTGATATGAAGCATAATCTGTCTACCATCCTTATGATTTTTCCATTTTAAATGGTATTTGTATTATGAGTGTTCAGAGGCTATCGTGTCTTTCCCAACAGATCAGGAAAACTTGGCTTTTAAGCTGGTCAGCAAGCAATCACTTTGTGACTTTAGAGGGGTAGCCTAATGGCTTCTCCATTCTACAGATTATCTCTGGGAAAGTTCAGGGGATTGTTGTAAATTTGCTTCAAAGCCAAAACACTAATTTACCAGATGAGCACTGACTATTCAGGTCTTCCCCATCTCCCACCTAGATTATAGCAACAAACCTAGCTGGGCTCTGAGTTCGGGCCTTCCTCCCTGTAGTCACCCTCCTTCACAGTGCTGATTAATTTTTTCTACAAGGCCTTTTCTGGTTAAATATTGGGAGTAGCCATATGTGATCCCTCAAAGAAAGTCCAATGTATCTTTAAACAAGTACTTAAAAATCTCAGTGATCTGGGCTTAATTTCTCCTACAAACCTGATTTCCTTTTATTTCCATATAACCATTTTTTGGTTTGATGATGCATTTCTGTTTTTCTTTCTTGTGTCAGTCCTTCGATATGCCTCAAATTTTCCTGCCTTCTTGTCTTTGTTTATTCTATTTCATTTGCCTTTATCCACCATATTTTCTTATCAAAGTCCAATTTATTTCTTATGGATCAGTTAAACGGTCACCTCCAGGAAACATCAGCTGATCACCCGAACTAGAAGTTATTTCACCACCACCCCTGAATTCCTGAAATTCCTTGTTGTAAACATCACATACATAGGTAGATATATATTAATAAATAGACTGTGTGTATACACATATTGCATACATGCTCTCTACTCCTCCAGGAAAGGACTGTCTCTCTCATCTTTGTAGCCCTCTCCCAACACCTAATACAGCCTGCCTTGCATATTGGAAGTGTCCATTGCAAAATGGAGAGCATGAGCACAAACATATTAATAGAAGATTGATATCCATCCCACAGTAAACTCCTACCTGAAATGATAGGTTTAATCATGTCCTCTCATTCATGAAGAGAAGTGGGGCAACCAATGACTCTCTCAAGAAGGTGGGAGGGATGTTATTATTATAAACTGCTGTACCTCCCACAAGTTGAAGTACTGAATTATTTATGTAATTTTTATTTGTATGATTGTATATTTTACGATGTCCATCTTTTCCAATAAACTGCAAGTCTCCTCAGGGCAGGGATGGCATCTGTCCTATCCCCCACTGCATCCTCATAGCCCATCACAGTGCCTGGCACATGGTAGGTAGTAAATAAATATTTGGAGGAAAAAAAAAGGAAAGGAGAAAAGGGGAAAGAAAAGACTTTACAATCTTTGAAGCTGAGGTTGCATTTGGATAGTTTGACTATGATCTACCCAAGGCTGTATTTATATTTATACTGCTTGGTTTAAAAACCAACCTCTTGTTAATATGATCAAATTAGTTGTACGATCATGTCTCTGTGTGGAATAGTGCTTAAATGTTAAAAGGAAAATGAAATAATCCTAATAACATATTTTGCTAGCAATCAAGTTCTGATTTGAACATGATTAAAACTGTAGTAGGACACTTCTTGCAAAACAAATTTTAAAAGAATATGCCAGGCCAGGTGCGGTCATGCTTGTAATCCAAGCATTTTGGGAGGCCGAAGCGGGTGGATCACCTAAGGTCAGGAGTTTGAGACCAGCCTGGCTAACATGGTGAAATCCCGTCCCTACTAAAAAATGCAAAAATTAGCCAGGCATGGTGGTGGGTGCCTGTAACCCCAGCTACTTGGGAGGCTGAGGTGGGAAAATTGCTTAGCTGCCGTGAACCGAGATTGTGCCACTATACTCCAGCCTGGGTGACAGAGCAAGACCCCGTCTCAAAAAAAAAAAAAAAAAAAAGAATGTGCTAAACATAAAGATTATACACTTACATAAATATTATTTTGTGAATAAAACATCCATATTATTTGGCTTCATTTGAGATCCAGGAAATGTCTTTCCATATTATAATATCCAAACATTCATATCCATTAAGCATTGAGACACAGGTATAGAAGCTCACTCAACCATTTCTGAACAAATACAAACCAGACTATCTTTCTGTGTGTGCAAAGCACATCTAGATCATTTAGTCAAATTTAATTAGGTCTCTCGTGAGTTTTTGGTTGAAACACTAATTTTGAATTCACATAAGCTTTAGGGAAGTTAAAAATAAACGTCACAAATAGCATTGAAAACATGCGGATCTTACATATTATACATATTGAGATAAAACAAAAGAACCAAACTCTGAAAAGGAAAATGGTTTATTTGTCTGATTTCTGTGTCATGCTAATGGAGATTATTGGACTTAAGTGCCAAGTTCTCCAGACAGAGGCTGGAGAACTAATATACTTTCCAATAGATGTACTAATAAATTGTAACACTTGTAAGATCTTAAACAGCTACATACAATTTCTGTTGTAAGTTCTTCATGTATTTTGTCTGGATGTATTAACTATTCACCCTCCAATATAGAGAAAATCATTAGACAAATTCATATAAAAGAAAGTATCAATCAAACTCTATGCTTTTTCAGAGTATACATGGAGTAAACTATTACACATCAAATCACAGTGTTTTATAAAGAAAAAAATCGCATTTTTAAGAAAAATTGAAAGCACTTACTTAAAGAGACATGAGTTAATAAATCCTCATACTGCTGGGAGGTCATGAACTACGATAACTGAAGATGGGGGTTCTCCTCAGAAGTTTTAAGTTAAACTGCACCATTAGCCACAAATCGTCTCTAGTGTAGATTCTGTTAGAGGAGGACGAAGCAATGGTCCAGCCCGTCCTCTGGCTCCTGCCCATGGAAAATCACCCACTCTTGCAACGTATGCCCTTATAGATGAAAACCCAAATGCCTAAGGACAGCATTAAGTCCCCAGCACTCAATCAAACTGAAAATCAAATAGAGCTACAGAAGACTGAGATTTCTCTCGATGAGAGTAATGTACTCTGCACACTGCACAAAGAAAAACCACCGCTTTGCACTCTTGATATTGACGTCAATTCTTTGACTCAGTAGGAGTCCATCTGCCTTGTACTTTACCTTGGAAAATGATGGTCATTCTTCATTAAGTGAGAATCATGAACTAAAACTAAATTGTTAATGTAATTATACTACAATGAATAAAATCCCAATTTGAAATAGCAGCATGATTTTTAATCAAGGCTAAGGAGTATGTTAGTGCAATATAGCTTACAATGTACAAAAAATATTTGCCAGATATTTTAAAGCAGGATTGAATGAGATAAATGGTAGATTCGTCTTCTGAAAAATAGATCACCCTATTTAAAATCACACATATTGCTAAAAGGACTGAGAGTAATGATAAAGAGCAAAGCCTTTTCATATCTCATTTAATTTAACTCCATTCAAAGCAACTTTTCGTATGTTACCTATAGAACCTGTGAAACAGAAGGGGGAAAAATTCCCTTCTTTGATAAACTTTTCATCATTGAAAAGAAATGCAATTCAAGGTTCCCTTATTTCTTTTGCCTCAAATTCATATTAAATCACAGAGCAAATATTCCCCTGCATTACTTACTATGTATTTCAAAAGAAAACCCTACAGTTTTGACAAAGGATTCACATCAAGCCTGAGAGAAACAGCTCTCCTGTTGCTTACTTAAGAAGTCTTGTCTTTAGAAGGAAAATAAAACCTTTCTTTTTCTCTCAAATGAAGGAGGAAATTATTTTAATGAAAAAAATCAGCTCTCTACCAGAATTTGAAGGCCACGCATTACTCGCCATTTCATTCTCCTCTATTTGGGCTTTTCAGCATCCCAACATGGGTGGGTTCCATGCTGGTTGAACACATAACATGATCTACACTCTCCAAGCAGATAAACAAATATGCTGATGTGACTAGATGCCCTTTGACACACTAACTATTGCTCTGATGCCTCATCAGTGGCTCGCCTCAGTGACTGGATAACTAAGTGGGTAGGACATCATCTTGACTGTGAAAGACATTTTTCAGCAGTCAACTTGGGGATGGTCACTTTTTATATTTTAAATATTTATCTTAAGGAAGAAGTACACAAATGCACATCTCTAGCCATGCTGTGCTTTTCAATCACAGATTTTAAGTCTGAGACTGTGGAGGAAAGGTTAGAGAGAAATGGACAATGACGACTAATAATTAACACATCAACAGAGTCAATTACATCTACACCACTACACAATCATTAATGCACCTCAGAAAAAAGTAGTCCGGGATAATAGGACTATAGAGATGATAATGATCAAACAAGACAAACTGTGAGAAGCTTTAAGGACCACGTTTCTAATTTCCTCCTAGTCCAAAGGAATCTTCCACAGTAGAGGCTCTACCAGGAATGTAGTAACTAGAACCTGGACTAGTACCTAAGGAATGGTGAACAATAAACAGGTGGTTTTTACCCCAATAACAGATAATGGAACAACATCCTGATAATAGCTCAAAATCTCTACTCCTCAGAGCACTATAACTAATGATCTTATTTGATATTCATAAAAACCCCAGAAAACAGAAAAACAGGTATTTCTACCCATTTAACAGACAAGAAAATAATCCAGTCCTAATGGCTACCATTCACTGAGCCTTTTCTATGTGCCAGGCACAGCGATGAGTCTCCTCCAGGCATTAACTTATCTTCCCAACAATTCCAGAAGGTAACTTTTATTACATTTCTTAACTTACTGATAAGGAATTCAAGGTGTAGGATGGTGTCACCTGCTTAAATGTCACGTGATATGTGAAGTACCAGATCTAGAGCTCCAGTTCCGGAAGGTTCTGGAGCTTTTAGCCATCTCACACTGCCTCACCCCGAGAGGTCCCTAGCATTTCCCTCCCTCCTATATCCTCTTATTTTTTAATTAGTCAATAAGCAAACAGAATTACCAAGTTTAGTTACTGATGTTAAAAAAAGAAAACCTCTAACGGTTTCTGAATATCTATAGAAGATCTTCACAGTGTTGCCCATGGCACAACTTTAGGAGCTTCTTCACACCAGATTCTATGTGAATAGGACCCCATGGACTTCTACCACATGCGGGCCCTGGCCTTCTAAAGGAAGAACAATTTAAGACTATGTAGACAAGATGTACTTTAAAAAGTTAATTTTAAAAGTAGGCAGTGTGTGTACATGGTACAATATTCATAAAGTACAAAAGACCACAGAATGCAAAGTAAGCAACCAGCAACCCCCTTTCTCCCTTAGGAAGCAGTCATTATTACCAAGTTTTGTGAATCCTTCCAGAGAGAGTTCAGGCATAAAGAAACATAAAAATATATTAAGCAATAATTTAAGGACATTTTAGATTTAGAAAATTATTAAAAAGCTTTTGGGACACTGACATTAGATTATCAAAGATACCAAGGTCTTTTGGAGTGAAATCCAGTTATTTGCAACACACATGATCATCTGAATACAGGATTTTTCACATCTCTTTTACTTAGCACAGCAGTAACAAGAAAGAAAATAGAACAATATGAGGCAATGATGTAACTGAGAGATCTAAGACAAATGATGAAGCATAGTTAATGAAAAGCTCATGTGTGTGAGACTAATAGCAACCCTGACCAAGGATGGCACCTGTTCCACACTTTCCAGGCTTGTCCAGCCAGCTATCTGATGACAGTTGTCAGGATTGGCTTCTGGGATGAGAGAGCTGATTGGAAAAGGAAAGATGGTTGGGGAAAAAGAGGAACGAACTAGTTCTTTGCAAACGAAAGGGAATTTCCTTCTTTATCCCACCTTCCAATCCAATCACAATTCACTAAACAGAGTGGGGAGGAGACTGCTCCACTCTGAATGCCTGCCATGCTCACAGTCTTTCTTCTGCATTGACCTCATCACTCTGACCAAGGCAAAAAGAATCAGGGTGGGTGTTCAGCCTTTGTCTGAACAAAGGCAGGGAGCCATGTAGAGCCTGTGAGTTGACTTGGCTGCTTGTGAGGCACTGAAGAGTGACCAACTAAGTGGTAACAAATTCCTTTGTCATAGAGAGGGTGAATGTGAGACAGAGAGAGAGTGAGTCAGCGGTTTGGAGCAGGAACAAAAGCCAAAGGTCAAATAGAGGCAAGGCAGTAGGAGCAAGCATGAGTAAGCAAAAGATATGAGGCATCCAGTGCAGAATGAAGCCAGTGGGCAGCAGAGGATCAATAGAAACAGAAACAGAGAAGAGCTGAGTGGCCATGACATCACCAGAACACTGGATAGGTGATAACAAGCACCTACTACTCTTGCATTATAATCACCAGGCCTGTAAATCTCTTGGTACCCCAAACAATGTTCCAATTCTCTGTGAAGTTTGCCACACTAGTGACTGAGGTTGAGACATCTTCCTGTCCTTCTCCAGTCTTGTGTATTCTACAACAAAATTTCATTAATATGGCAGGTAGACTGTTGCATTGGTGGCCCCAGGAAGCACCCTTCCCAGTATCCATGCCCTTGCATAGTCAACTCTCACAATGGCTGTGGGCTTGGCCATGTCACATGCTTTGGCCAGTGGGATTTTTAGCAAGCAATATGTGAAAAGAGGTGTGATGACCATTTGCACACTGCAGCTTATCCTCTTGTAATGTTCCCTCTGGGAAGTATGAGCCATACTACTAGATGATGAGAAGCCAGTGGAAAGAGACCCTGGGAGATGAGAGACCATCCTGGACTCTCTGGCCCCAGCTGAGCTCCCAGCCAAAAATAGCTGAGCCAGTGACTTTTTAAACTACATGCAACAGAAGAACCATCCTGCCAACCCTCAGGATTATAAGAAATAATAAACTGTTGTTGTTTGAAGTCACAAAATTTAGGAATGGTTTATTATATAGCCATAGATATCTGCAATAATGAATTAAGATAAACTGAGATTGGCTCTTTCTTGCAACCAGAAACATACTAACATGCACATTTAGGAGGACTGATGATCCAAATGTGCAGGTCTCCTTACAAGGTCATGGCCGAACCTAAATTAGTAAATAGTGTGGCAATGTAGACTTCTCTTCAAAACTAATCTATCCTTTTTGGTTTTTCTAGATACTTCTCTATATATATGTTGGTGCAGCCAAAGGGCACATACTTAACTTACATTTCTCACACAAAACTTATAGTCAGAATAAATAGAAGGTGGTTAACACTGACCATTATTTTAGCATAAATTTGTTTATGCTAAATTATTTTAGCATAAATTTGTTTATGCTAAATTATTTTAGCATAATTGTAAATTATGCCTAATTTATTGTCTTAGGCATTATACTAATTTATTTCTAATGCAGAATAGCAAAGATTAAGGTAGAGAACAGGATGAGAGAGTCCAATATTGTTAGTCTATCCCTCCTACTTCCCCATCTCCGTGAATCATACTAGAACTCTGGCTGAGGTCAGCCCCAGCTTCTATTCTTCTCACTCTCCCACAAGACAGGTAATCTGGAGAAAGGGAGGAAAGAGGGGCAAGCCAAACCACAGGGATAGGCCTCTTCCTTCCTCACAAAGTCCACTTCTCAGCTGATTCCCTTCACATTAGAAAACAGAAACAAAGTTCCATTTAAAAACAAAAATGGAAAGTAGGAAACTGCTCTAAAAGTGAGGTCTGAGAAATGAAAATTTAATTCTGAATATGGGTCTTCAGAGCAACACATTCAGAAACATTTGTGGAGTCACTGAAACAAGCTCTAGCTCTATTTATCTTCCTGTAAACTGAGATTTCTACAAATAGCACTGAGAAGATGTAAGGATTGGAAACAGTTTATTAAAAACTTCAGCAAAAAAGGCCCTTCAGGATATTGATATTCTAAACATGCTATACCTTATCCACTTGTCAAGAAAGCAACACATGGCAAAATGGCAGCCATTTAATAGTAAAAAATAGCATTTTGAAATGCCAGGCAGGCTAGTCACTTTGAAAAATATTGTGTCACATTTCAAAGGTAAACCCTGCTATGCTTGCTGAATGGTATGAACCAGTTAGGGTAGGGACGCAGTGTACAGGTCAAAATCTCAATGTGTACTCCTTTCCTAATGAGTGTGAAGGGTAGTAATGCAAGGAGAAGAGAGAGCAGGAGAGAGAATTAACCTCATGGTAGAAGTCCATGGGGTACCATTCACATTCTACTCCAGTGAGAAATTAACCTAGAAGTCTCAGTGCTTAACATAATACAATTGATACTTCGCCTGTTCTATCATCCAGTGTGGGTGTGCAGGCACCTCTGCTCGAGGCTGACAGAGGTGCCACCATTTTGTGATGCTGCCAACTCAACAAATGTCTTCCAAAGTCCCCATGCTCTCCTGCTTTTACCTTCCTCCAACCAGAAGTGATGCACACAACTTTTGCTCACAACCCATTGACCAGAAGTAGTCAATGACTCCAATCATCAGAGAGTCTGGGAAATGCTGGGGTGTGGGTGGAATATTTAGTGAGCACTAGTATTTCTGCCACGGGGAGCATGGCCTATTCACAATCAATCTGAAGTGCTTTTTCTGGAAAGAGTTTCAGAAGTGACATCCTAGAGGATGGCCATCTTATTGTTTCATCTCGGCGATTAGTCAGGGAGCAGGATGATGATGATGATGATGGGCTGTGTGGGTGCTAGCTAGTTGAAGCTACCTCCTCTGTCTTCCTCCCAGCTGCATCTATGAATCATTCTTTTCTATAACTTGTGCTCCCCGCAAACAAGGGCCTGAGCATGTGTGTTGGGGAGGCAAAAGGCTCAGATTTACCAAACCCAAAGGGCATCACTCCCAACATGTCACAGATTACTACAATCTTCCCAGCCACATTTCAAAATATATTTTGCCAAGGTATCCAGGCTCTCTGTAATCATAACGGAACCAAGAAAATGAGAAATAGAGATGGACATGACATGAAGAATTGTATATTCCACTTGCTATCAGTGCAGGGGAAGGTATATTATCACAAACCAAACAGCTGAAAATTCTTCATTCCAGCCAGAGGCTGTTTCATATAAAGAACAAATCTCAGTCACTTGCTGACATGCATGTTGTATTATAAAGAACTTAACAGCAAAACAGCAGAGTAATGCATGAAATATTTAACTCCTGGTGCATTTAATTTTCTTTATACAGGCTATGTGAATATCTGCCTTTATAAAAAAAAATAATCAACGAGTGGCCATTTGTTTGCAAGAAAATTTATCAGGTTTACTCCAAAGAGCATCCCTCTCCCAAGCATTTAGAATATAAATCAGTTTCTTGGAAGTTAAATATTAACTCCTCAGGAGACCATGTCCTCTGTGAAAGGTAAGTACACAAAAGCATGAATGTTAGAAACAATGTTCTCTGTACTGTGAGATTTAATCAACCCAACAATTTAAGAGCTTTGGCATATTCTGCTGTCTCTGCTCAATTCTGCTGTCTATGACTTCTCAGGAACCCCTTTTTCTATAAAACCACACTCTCTTTTCAGCATCATTTAAATGGACTCCATAGAAAGAATATATTCCATTGTGATGATTTAAAAGAAATGTCAATTCAAAGAGCACTTTAGGTAGAAATACAGCGACCATACAACCCACAATTCCACTGCTCAGTATATACCCAAAAGAAGGGAAATCAGTGTATTAAAGAGATATCTGCACTCCCATGTTTGTTGCAACAATATTCACAATAGTCAAAATTTGGAAGTCATCTACGTGTCCATCAACCCATAAATGGATAAAGAAAATGTAGTACTTATATATAATGGAGTACTATTTAGCCATAAAAGTGAATGAGGACAGGTCAATAGCTCATGCCTCTAATCCCAGCACTTTGGGAGGCCGAGGCAGGTGGATCACTTGAGCTTAGGAGTTCAAAACCAGCCTGGATAACAAGGCAAAACTCCATCTCCACACACACAAAAAATACACAAAATAAGCTGGGCATGGTGGCGAGCACCTGTAGTCCCAACTACGCAGGAGGCTGAGGTGGGAAGATGGCTTGAGCCTGGGAGGCAAAGGTTGCAGTGAGCCAAGATCGTGCCATGGCACTCCAGTCTGGGCAACAGAGCCACATCTTACCTCAAAAAAAAAAAAAAAAAAAAAAAAAGAAAGAGAGAGATCCTGTCATTTGTAACAACAAAATAAGCCAGGCACGGAAATACACACATCACATGTTCTCACTTATTTGTGGGATCTAAAATTCAAAACAACTGAACTCATGGAGGTAGAGCAGAAGAATGGTCACCCGAGACTCGGAATGGTAGTGGGAGGGTGGTTGGGGTGGAAATGGGGATGGTTATTAGGTACAAAAAAAAAAAATAGAAACAATGACTAAGACCTAGTATTTGATAGCAGAACAGGGTGATTATAGTCAATAATTTAACTGTACATCTTAAAATAACTAAAAGAGTATAATTGGATTGTCTGTAACACAAAGCATAAATGCTTGAGGGGATGGATAACCCATTTTACATGATGTGATTATTACGCATTGGATGCCTCTATCAAATCATCTCACACACCCCATAAATATATACACCTACTATGAACCCACAAAAATTAAAATTAAAAAAATTTTTAAAGTTTTTTAAAAAAGAAAAAATAAAACCAAAGAGCAGTTTGAAATGTCCTCAGGTAGAAGTATTTTCGGCCAAAGTATCTAGCCTCCTAGAAGAGTCAGAACAGAAAAACCTCTGGTTTTTATTAAAGTTGGTTGATAAGAATGTTAAACCTAGAATGACTGCCTCTCTGTGTCTTTTCAGTTTAATTTTCATGGGCAATTTTCTGTGAGTAAACTGAGCATTTATTTTCTAAAGATAAATATTTGTACCCTCCGGAAAGAAATATGGGGAGTAAGAAAAAAGTGAGATAAGGAGGACAAAGAAAAAGCAAGGAAAGAAGAAATGTTGTAGAAGTAATACATTTCCAAGTTATGTTGTGTTTATTCTTATCATTTTTCTTCAGAAATTGTGATAGTTCACAAATAAACTGGGTTAAAATACTTACAAAAATAATTTCTTTAAATATATTAAAGGAATCATAAAGATTTCAAGAAAACTTTACTAGAAGATGCCCTATCAGGGCTTATGCTTTGAAGGTGTCTCAGGTCTGCCTTCCTAGACTCAACAATGAATTATGAGAGCCAAATCTGCTATAATAGAAATGGAGTCAAATAATCCAGCCACCAATAATGATGGTTACTGAGATGCCAGCACAGAGGGAAAAACCAAGACCAGAAATGGGAAGACAGCTAAAAATTAGATCCTTTGAGGCTGCTGGTTGTTGGGTCTAGGCACAAGCAGGCATGGGAAAGTGAGTACCAGCCACATGGTGCTGTCTCAACCAAGGGAAGAATGAGGTGAGCAGGCCATGCAAGTCTGCCCAGTCCCCTCTCAGACAGGAGTGGGCTTGGGCCTCTCAGCTGAAGTTGAGCAGTGGTTTCTGGGTGCCATCACTTGCTGCACCTGTGTCCAGTGGGGCCAAGTTGGATAATATGAGAGGCAACATTTTGGGGAGAAGGTGATTCAAAAGCCTGGCAGAAGTGAGCTATGATTGCATCACTACACTCCAGCGTGGGTGACAGTGCAAGACTGTTTAAAAAAAAATTAAAAACAAACCAGAAAACAGAAAACAAAAGCCTGGCAGAGCATCCAACAGAATTTACAAATGAAAGGATTGGGTAAAGAATGAAATTCAGGGAGGTGGCATCAGAAAGAGTACCAGGGAGACCACTAAGACTAAGATTTGAGACCAAGGGATGTGGGAGATGGAATCTACAGACATCATTAGAGCTGGATAGAATAACTGCATATAATTTTTATGAGGTATTGGGTGTGGGTGTTGCTCAGGAATGGGGAGAATAAATGGCTAAAGGTCCTGCTCCTGCGTGGTCAGCTGGCTGAGGATTAAGCAGGCAAAGTTGGGTGGTTTCTTGCCTGCCAAAGTTGAACGCACCTCACTGAGCAGCTTCTTAAAAATGTCCAGTTAGTCTGTCTGAGGAAGGCTTTCCAAATTTAGGTTTCTGTCTCCTTCGAGAATTTTAAATAAGACTATTGTAGGCCCTTGCTAGAGTATAAAACACTAATTGTTGTTCTCCAACTCCTCTCACAAGCCTTGCAGAGAAAACAGTTTTTATTTTTTGAAAGATCTGAATGTATTCTATTCTATTCACATGTACTCCCAAACCTAAAATAAAAGTTAAAAAAATACCCTTCCAGAAATAGCTGCAGAAGGCCTGTTAATACTCAGCAGGAGCTTGGTTTTAACTTCTGATTTTTATCAAAGTTGGTTATAAGAATAGGAGATAGATAAATCTCAGTGTTTTCTCTGTCCATTTAACTAAATCAAGACACCTAGTTCTTCTGTACAGATTTTATAAATTGGACTAAGCCATCAGACAAGCTATCAAGCAAGATGCAGGAAAAACGGTCACATTTGAAAGAAGTACTTTGGTTTGAACTGAGAGCAAGGGTATGGATGGAGACGAGCTGTTCTCTAAACATTTCTGCGAAAATTTTGCCCAAGATGGGGAAGCAATTGATAATAATCTCTACATTGCATGCTGAACATTTTAAGTGGAAGGCAAGCCTACAAAATTGAGAAGAAAGTGCAGGCTACTCTGCAGAGGCAGGAACGTCTGAGCGGACTTTCAGACCAGGACATATCTAAAATGACAGAACTTAAAGGGAAGAGTTGTCATTTTTACTTAGAAGCTTTAAAGCTGCAGCATTATCTCAGCGTCTAAGGCACTTAGAGTTCTTTGTAGGAATGGCTTCAAACATTTTATTAACAATATTTATTGGACACCCATGAAGTTTTAGATGCTAGGGGGGATTCAAATATGAATTCAACATAATTCACGCCCTTGAAGTGCTCAAAGCTGGGCTTGGGAGCAGGCAGTGAGCTGTATGAGAATATAACTAAATGCAAAACAATGTGGTAAGTGCTCCACCAGAAGCTGGATCTAGGCCCTATGGGAGCAGAAAGTAAGATGTATCCAATTGTGTTCAAGAGGGAAGAGGAAAGACTCTGGGAGGTGAAACCTGAGCTCTACCTTGCCCTGGAAGAGTAACAGTAATACTCCAGGGAGAGAAGAGGGAAGCCATGAGTAAAGTCCAAGCGTATAGTGTGTTTCTGGCAAGTGCCCAGAAGGGGATGAAGGATACTAAGTGAGGGTGATGAGGCAGAAACGTAAAGTTGGTGCCCGTTGTAAGGGGGCATAAATGCTGTTATTGAGTTTTGTTTTTATGCTAATATCAGATGAGTTTCAAAGTGCCAAGCTGGGTAAGTGAGTTAAAGAACTTTTCTTTCAAAAGGATTATCAAGAGTGCCATCTTCTCATGCACAGAGTGAAATGTGCAGGGAATTTTAGAGGATTCAATTAAATTTAACTCAATCACCTGAAAATCAATTATGTACAGATGGATGGATGCCTGAGACTGGGAGTGGTCAGAGAGGAGACTGATGGCAAATAGGCATGGGGGAGTTTTTCTGAGTACTGTGCTCAGCAGCAGGGATGACAGAAGGTTGCTGGGGCCAAGTTACAATTATTTACAATGACAACAATATACTCAGCCTCCTGCTCCTATCACTACCCCAACCACGAAACCACAAAGCTACCAGAGACTGCCAAATCCCTGGCTGTGGCGTCCAGGCGATTGTTAATTATTGTTCTAAAGAATAAAAGTCAATAGTTTTTCAATCCTTGGCATAAAACATAAGAGAATATCTCGCAACCTTAGTTAGGTAAATTTCTTAGCTATGACACCAAAAGAAAAAAACTGATAAACTTAACATAATCAAAATTAAAAACAGTTGCTCTTCAAAAGAAACCAACAAGAAAATGCAAAGACAAGCCACAGACTATTTACAAATCATATATCTAATAAAGGACTTGTATCTACAACATGTAGAAAAACTAAGAAGACAAAACAAGTCAATAAAAAGATGGACAAAAATTTCATTAGAGATTTCTCCAAAGAAGATATACAAATATCTAACAAGCACATGAAAAGATGCTCAATATCATTTATCATTAAGGAAATGCAAATTGAAACCACAATGCGATACTACCACACACCCACTTGAATGGCTGTATTCAAAAAGACTGATGATGTCCAGTGTTGGTGAGGCTGTGGAGAACCTGAAATCCTCACATATTGCTATGGAAACATAAAAACATATAGCCATTCTGAAAAAACAATTTTGCTTTTTTTTTTTTTTTGAGATGGAACTAGCTCTGTTGCCCAGGCTGGAGTATAATAGCGTGATCTCAGCTAAGGGCAACCTCTGTCTCCTGGGCTCAAACCATCCTCCCACCTCAGCCTCCCAAGTAGGTGGGACCACAGGCATATGTTCTACCATACCCACCTAGTTTTTTTTATTACTTGTAGAGACCAGGTTTCACTATATTACCCAGACTGGTCTCGAATTCCTGAGCTTTAGTAATCCACCCACCTGGACCTCCCAAGTGCTTGGATTAAAGGCATGAGCCACCATGCCCAACCTGGCAATTTCTTAAAAGTTAAACACTCACTTACCATACAATCCAGCAATTCTACTCTTTTACCTAAGAGTAATGAAAACATATAACCACACAAAGACTTGTACGCAAATGTATATAGCAGCATTATTTATAATAATGAAAAATTGTAAACAGATCCAATGCCCATTAACGGATGAAAGAATAAGCAAAATGTGGTATATTCATATAATGGAAAAGTATTCAGCAATAACAAAGAATGAACTACTGATATATGCAACAACATGCGGCATGGATGAAACCTCAAAACTATGCTGAGTGAGCCTCTCCCTCTCCCTCTCCCCCTCCCCCCCCTGCCCCTCCCACTTTCCACGGTCTCCCTCTGATGCGGAGCAGAGGCTGGACTGTACTGCCGCCATCTCGGCTCACTGCAAACTCCCTGCCTGATTCTCCTGCCTCAGCCTGCCGAGTGCCTGGGATTGCAGGTGTGCGCCGCCACGCCTGACTCGTTTTTGTATTTTTTGGTGGAGACGGGGTTTCGCCGTGTTGGCTGGGCTGGTCTCCAGCTCCTGACCGCGAGTGATCTGCCCACCTGGGCCTCCCGAGGTGCCGGGATTGCAGACGGAGTCTCGCTCACTCAGTGCTCAATGTTGCCCAGGCTGGAGTGCAGTGGCGTGATCTCGGCTCGCTACAACCTCCACCTCCCAGCAGCCTGCCTTGGCCTCCCAAAGTGCCGAGATTGCAGCCTCTGCCCGGCCGCCACCCCGTCTGGGAAGTGAGGAGCGTCTCTGCCTGGCTGCCCATCGTCTGGGATGTGAGGAGCGTCTCTGCCCGGCCGCCCATCGTCTGAGATGTGGGGAGCGCCTCTACCCCGCTGCCCCATCTGGGATGTGAGGAGCGCCTCTGCCCGGCCACGACCCCGTCTGGGATCTGAGGAGTGTCTCTGCCCGACCGCCACCCCGTCTGGGAGGTGAGGAGCGTCTCTGCCGGGCTGCCCCCTCTGAGAAGTGAGGAGCCCCTCCGCCCGGCAGCCGCCCCGTCTGGGAAGTGAGGAGCGTCTCCGCCCGGCAGCCGCCCCGTCCGGGAGGTGGGGGGCAGCCCCCACCCAGCCAGCCGCCCTGTCCGGGAGGGAGGTGGGGGGCAGCCCCCGCCCGGCCAGCTGCCCCGTCCGGGAGGGAGGTGGGGGCAGCCCCCGCCCGGCCAGCCACCCCGTCCGGGAGGTGGGGGGCGCCTCTGCCCGGCCGCCCCTTCTGGGAAGTGAGGAGCCCCTCTGCCCGGCCGCCACCCCGTCTGGGAGGTGTACCCAACAGCTCATTGAGAACGGGCCATGATGACGGTGGTGGTTTTGTTGAATAGAAAAGGGGGAAATGTGGGGAAAAGAAAGAGAGATCAGATTGTTACTGTGTCTGTGTAGAAAGAAGTAGACATAGGAGACTCCATTTTGTTCTGTACTAAGAAAAATTCTTCTGCCTTGGGATGCTGTTAATCTATAACCTTACCCCCAACCCCGTGCTCTCTGAAACATGTGCTGTGTCCACTCAGGGTTAAATGGATTAAGGGCGGTGCAAGATGTGCTTTGTTAAACAGATGCTTGAAGGCAGCATGCTCGTTAAGAGTCATCACCACTCCCTAATCTCAAGTACCCAGGGACACAAACACTGCGGAAGGCCGCAGGGTCCTCTGCCTAGGAAAACCAGAGACCCTTGTTCACATGTTTATCTGCTGACCTTCCCTCCACTATTGTCCTATGACCCTGCCAAATCCCCCTCTCCGAGAAACACCCAAGAATGATCAATAAATACTAAAAACAAACAACAACAAAAAAAACAACTATGCTGAGTAAAAGGAGCCAGACCCAAAAGACCATCTATGATTCTACTTATATGAAATCTTTAGAAATGCAAAAGTATAGCCAGCATGGTGGTTCATACCTGTAATCCCAGCACCTTGGGAGGCCAAGGCGGGCGGATTACTTGAGATCAGGAGTTTGAGACCAGCCTGGCCAACACGGCAGAACCCAGTCTCTACTAAAAATACAGCCAGGTGTGGTAGTGCACGCCTATAATCCCAGTTACTCTGGTGGCTAAGGCACAAGAATCACTTGAACCCGGGAGGTGGAGGTTGCAGTGAGCCAAGATGATGCCACTGAACTCCAGCCTGGGTGGCAAAGGAAGACTGTCGAAAAAAAAAAAAAAGAAAAAGAAAAAGAAAAAGAAAAGAAGGAAGGGAGGGAGGGAGGGAAAGAAGAAAGAAGGAAGGAAGGAAAGAAGGAAGGAAGGAAAAGAAAAGAAAAGAAGAGAAAGGAAGGAAGGAAGAAAAGGCAAAACTATAGAATCAGAGAACAGATTAGTGGCTGCTGGGGCCTGGGGTAGGAGAGGAGACTGACTATAAACAGGCAGGAGGGAACTTTGTCAGTCGACAGTCATGTTCTGTAGCTAGATTGGGATGAAGTTTGCTGTTAAAAATGCACTAAAACTCACCAAACTACACTTAAGATGGGTAGATTTTGTGGTATATAAGTTATACTTCAAAAAACTATAAATAAGAAAGTTAACTGGAACATCCTGTGCTTTCCAAATCAAGACACCTTTCAGAGGATACATTCATAGCCTTTGCCCCGGGTAAGTGCTTTCAAATATAATACTCTAGTCCCAGTATAAATTCAATATACCTGTTTCTAAACACAGAGTATTAAGCGATACTGAGAGAAATGGCAGATATATTAGCATATGAATCTAAATGTATTATTGAAAGAGTGGTTTTAAGAGAAGTGTAGACAGCAGCCTACTCTAATGAAAATAAATGTCAATGAAAATAAGCTACATTTGTCATTTTCATGAAAAAATTATTTCTATCATCATCTGCAAATCAATTTCCTTAATAAGGGTTCGTGACAATTTTCAGGATTTCTTGAAATGATTTTTATGATATATTAAGACTCATTTCTACATAACCTTGATTTCAAATCAAAATTGCTTTTAACTTCACATTCACAGGTATGTGAGCTATTAAACCTAAGTCAGGCAGAGAGGATCAGTTTCATCAAGCGTCTCAGATGAGAGCGTTCACACCCTTCTCTTCTTCACGTGCCACACTGCCTCCTCTTTGTCTCCACTTCACCGGGCATGCTGAGGATTATGAACACTTTTCAAAGTCAACGCTACTGACTTCTATCTTCCTAAGCAAAAATAAGCCACCAAAAGTAGAGATTTATAAAAGAAAGCAAGCTCAGACTTAGTTTCTGAGAAGTCCATTTCCTCACACAGAGGAGTCTGGGTCTCTGCCTGTTGGAGGAGGTGGCTGTCTGTGTGCTCTGATGGAAATTCTGCCAGTTTCCTTCAGCAGTTAACACCCTCAGCTTCAGGGCCGAAACATGCTCCAGGTTGTCCTTTGGCTGAAAGCCCGCTAAAATGGCAATAATTCCCTCTGACCACAACAGCCTTGCGTGTGGTGCTTTCTCTTAATTATTCCTCCTGCCCCTGGTCCTTCAGCTCCACATTATTCCCACTCTCCAAAAATTCTATTCTTCACTTCCTTCTCTTTCCAGCTTAGGTCCCATGGGCCACCCTTCATTTTTCTGACCAGCCCTCTCAACTCCTTTTCCTCCTTCTTTTTACACCATACATTCTTGTCTAGGGAAAGACCCCAATTCAGAACAGTTTTGCCTATAAGGACATGAAGCCCAAATTTCCCATGTGACAGACCCACGTGGGGGAAAATGATAAAGTAAAAAGAGGATAGGCTGTTGAGTCAGAGCCTAGCTTAAATCCTGGTGCTGTCACCTACAAGCTGTGTTGCATTGGTTATGTTCAACAAGCTCTGTGTGCCTTAGTTTCCTCACCTGTAAAACGGGGCTAATTTACCTACCTCCGGGGCTGTTGAGATAAATATGGAATGAGCATAGCGATGTGGCAGGAGCTTAGTGGACCCTTAGTAAATGGTGACAAAAGCCTAACAAACAAGCACTCTGATGTCCATGTTCACTGTTGTTCTCTCGACCCAGTCTGCTTTCTCCACTTTCTACTTGGTTCCTATCCTCCTTGTGGCCTGGATAACACCTACTTATTCCTGGAGACTCCACTAAAATGTCAACCATTAGAACTGCACTGTCAAAAACAGCAGCCATTAGTCAAATGTGGCTACTTACATTCAAATTAAGATTAATGAATATTAAAAATCCAGTTCCTCAGTCACACTGTCCACAATTTGAGTGCCCAACAGCCACATGGGGCTGGCTAGTGGCTACTGTGTTGGGACAACACAGCGTGGAACATTTTCATCATCACAGAAAATTCTATTGGACAGAGTTTCTCTAGAGGAAAATGTCTTTGTTAACCCTCTCCTAAAGAACTCGTGTACTTTTATAAGCATACTCATCACTTCCTAAAATGAGTGTTGATTCTTTTACTCCATAAATTGTGAACTTCTTGAAGTACCACTTAAATCCATACAAATTTGCTAAATGAACTGTTGAATAATTGGTTAACAAGCCTTTTTAAAAATCAAAGTCAAGTAACAACAGGTGCTGGTGAGGCTGTGGAGAAACAGGAACGCTCTGACACTATTGATGGGAATGTAAATTAGTTCAACCATTGTGCAAGACAGTGTGGTGGTTCCTCAAAGACCTAGAACCAGAAATACCATTTGACCCAGCAATCCCATTATTGGGTATATACCTGAAGAAATAGAAATCATTCTATTATAAAGATACATGCATGTGTATGTTTGTTGCAGCACTATTCACAATAGCAAGGAGATGGAATCAACCCAAATGTCCATCAGTGATAGATCGGATAAAGAAAATGTGGTACATATAGACAATGGAATACTATGCAGCCATAAAAAGGAATGAGATAATGTCCTTTGCAGGGACATGGATGGAGCTGGAAGCCATTATCCTCAGTAAACTACTGCAGGAACAGAAAACCAAACACCACATGTTCTCACTTATAAGTGGGAGCTGAACAATGAGAACACATGGACACAGGGAGAGGAACAACACACACTGGGGCCTGTCGGCGGGTGGAGGGAGAGAGAGCATCAGGATGAATAGCTATTGCATGCAGGGCTTAATACCAAGGTGTTGGGTTGATAAGTGCAGCAAACCACCATGGCACACACTTACCTATGTAACAAACCTGCACATCCTTCACATGTACCGCAGAACTTAAAATAAAATTTGAATTTTTAAAAAAGCTTTTTGAAAAATAAACCTCTTAATTGTCTGGAGGCTCAGACAATTTCCATGAGGAAGAGTGCCTGATATCTTTGCTTTCAGAACCTGGTCCTGAGAGATTTTGTCTAGTTTTGCTTCCTATTCCGTTTCTCAAACCATTTCTAATCCTTAACCCATTCAGGCAAGCGGAGCCCTCCACCACGTGGCCAGAATTTCCTGACGTCCAAGAAAGGGCATTAAACAATATGGCTTCTGAGAAAACATCTAATATCAGATAAGTCATTGAATATAAAAGTTCATCTCTGTACTCACAGTGCCAGAGTCAGTGCCTGGCCCACAGTAAACACCTAAAGAGTATTTATTGAAAAAAATGAATGGGTTGTTATTTTATCAGGGACTATACTCTTAGGGAGGAATGAGGTACAAGGGGAGAGATGCTGGAAAGGATGGAGAGCCAATATGGAGGAGTACTGAGCTGCCGAGTGTGACTGATTGCTCAATCCACAGACCACACTCCCAAGAAGGTGGATAAATGGGAGCTCAGAACCAGCCCTGTGATGGAGTGGGGAAAGGGAGAAGAACTTACTCCCGGGATGTGCTTGGTCTAAGATTCACCCCCTTGCTCCTCTGGATTGTGCATTCCAGAGCGTGGGCATTAGTGGAGTCTGCAGTGATGTCAACATGGGAGTGTTGGGTGGGAGATGAGAGGGGTACTGGTGTGAAATTGGCTGGGGCCCACACAGAGCTGGAACAAGAGATGGGGAGGCCGAGGCTCTGGAGTGGTGCATAAACAGGTGTTGGGCACAATGTATATAAATTAGCCTTTTAAATTATCTACCATCATGGGCAGGACTTGAGACTGGAGGATAGGCCATTTGGGGAAGGTTTATGTGGGGTGTTCTCATATTCAATTCCTGGCAAGGTTCTAGGTACATTGGAAGTATCAATAAGAATCAACTGGTTGATTGCATAGAGGCATCTAAGCAGGCCAGTATGATACTAGGTACTAGGTTCCTAAAGGGGGACACTGATGGAGGGGAAGTGAATGTGGGGACATGAGGAGAAATGGTGGACAGAAAGGGGCTGAAAACAAACTTAATCCACTTTATAATTTTGTCTGGGTCCAAGCTGACTTGGAAATATTCCCTATGTCCTCTCCTTTGTTCTAAAAGCACCCAGAACCCCTTCCGAAGTTTCTTCTTTAATAAGATTTCCTAATCATTATAAAACCCACTTAAGACCCAGGTAAAGGTTGTGCTCCTAAGGATCAATAAACTCAACTTTCCACTAGATTTTCCTGAAGCCCAAGCACTGCTCTCTTTGTTTTCAGCATATATCACCACCGCCTAAGTTAGGTCTGTTGTCCAGTAAGTAGATAGTATAGCTCTCTTTTGCTCCACACATTGTCTACAGCTGACAGGTATCATTTGGAGAATAAAATTAGCAAATGTTATTGCTGTGTCTATTTATATTTTATTAATCAACAGATTTTTAGCAAATTTTGGTTTTATCTCCATGAATCATAGACTTGAAAGGCCAAAGACACTCCAGGGAATTCTTTATTTTAGCATCTTCTTTCCAGGCAAAAAGACAGGACATCCCCATTAGAGTTGTTGTATTGGACCCCTCGTGTGCACCACTTCAAAGTCCTCTTGGGTTGTTCCTCTTATTTCAGCCACAGCTGTAGACACCTGTTTTCCTGGAGGCTTTGAGCAGCTTGGCACAGGTGCTCTAGGACAGTGGCCTCACCTTGACCCTCATAGGGATCTCTTGCTTCCTGCCCTAGCCATCTCTAATCTTGGTTAATAGTTCTAGAAATCCACTCTGCACTCAAGCACAACCCAGCAGTGCAGGGGAGTTAGTCTTGTGAGGGCCAGTCTAGACCAGTGAAGATCTGGAGTCAGTGGATAAAAGCACTCCATTTCATCCCCTGGCAGACAGTTCTGAAACACTTCATAAACCCTTTCACCAGTCCACTGGGATCAACCAGCCAATGCAATGACACAGGCTTCTGTTGGCTCCTCCCCTCACTTTCTTCCACTCCCCCTTTCTGCATTTCTGCTCCTGAGGATCACATTTCCAAACAAGCTACTTATGCACAAGTCCCCAAATGCTGAGCCAGAGACTAAGGCTTGTGCATAAGTAGTCTCTGGCTCAGCTTTTGGGGGACCCTAGGCTAACACAAGTGGTTGGCAGTCTTAGATTGGGTTTGCAAAATCTCATACCCTGGATTCATGCTCCCAGGGTGCATCACCCATGATTGGTCCCTTGATGCACCCACCACCTCCCCGACAGAAGGACTCCTCAACTACAGTGATGTGGTGTGTGTGTGTGTGTTTGATGTGTGTATTTTTTCCAAGGCTGAAATAGGAAACAGGAAAGAGACATTCCCTGAGAACTTTTGTGCCTACCCTTTTTTTGGTTCTCTCACTTGTCTCCTTTATACAAGGAGGACACAGATTTAGAGAGGCCAGATAACTCATCCAAGACCACACAGCAAGAATTCAAACTAGAATTTGAACCCAGTCCTGTGGATTCAAAGTCCATAATCTTTCTACAGCATGGGAACAGCAGACAAATCCTTATAAGTCTTGAGCATCCTTTTACTTCCACATGTACTCCTTGAAGATCTATAGGACACACTTTACATAAGGCATGACCTGTAGATGTGCAGTTTCACTCTTTTCTGGGGTCATTTCTTCTCAGGTCTCTGCATTTGGTCCTTCTCCATCTCCTTTGGAAAACAAGGTGCTGAGCTGCTTTCCTGGCTCATTTTGACTCTCAGTGTAAAAAGTGTTCTGCTTTGTTGGCTAGATTTTCCCCTTTTCTTCCTCCACTGGGTCACATACTTTCACCACGAAGCCTTTTGGCTTATCTTTTTATTCTCCTTTGCCTCATTAGAAGCATAACTACAGACTCCCTTGGTGCAAATTCCTTCACTCTAGGCAGAAGTGCAGAAGCTACCACGTGGAGAAGCATTTCCCAGACATCTTCAATGTCTCTTCAAGCTTGACTTGGGGGAATGCATAGGAAGGAAGGTGAACATCATAAACCCATGGAGACCACTGACACAACCCTCATCTTCCAAGGTGCTTGGTTAGAGTGAGTGTCTCATCCCTACGGCCCCCACAGGAACCACGTGGATGCCCTGTGGCAGAAAACCCCCAATTTCATCTCAGTCTCTAGATTCCAGGAGGAATAACCAAATCATATTATCTTATCTGCCTGCTTTATTTCACTGCGTTCATGAAACACCTTCACAGAAAAGAATTTCATTTCTTTCCTTGCCTAGTGTTTTTTCTTTTTGTGCAGAAATGAGAACTGATGTTCTTTCTCTCCAAGTGTGGGATGAGAATAACACTAACTCCAAAGGTTAGAAAGAAAGAAATCCTCTGTACATGAATGACACAAATAGTCTGGCCTCTTCACTAACAGGTGCAAAGGGCCATAAGAGCCAATTGCAGTGTATTGCCCTAACTCCGAGCTTCCGCATCAGGCAGTGCTGAAACAGGGCCTGCCTGCTTCCTGCCAGCGCCATCTGGCAGGTGCTAGTGTGGCTCAGCCATGAGCCAGGCTGTATAATTGCCTCAAATCATGGTGGGGTGCTTCTCTGAAACCCTTACCCCTACCATGAGTGCAACTGTCACATAGAAACCACTTAGGAAGCTAGAAGTCATTCATCTGACCCACTCCACAGAGCCTGGCTCACAGGCTTATGGGATGACTTAATCAGAAAGCTAATTTTCATGTTGGGTGGGTGCCACCAGCAAGGAACACATGTTAGACAGCTGAAAGTGACCTGGGCCAGGCCTCATACCAGTCCAGCAATCTGAAGAGTTCTTGAACTTCATTTACCCTATTATACACTCAAGTCTTCCTGCATTCAGTCTTTCCATATTGCATTGCCTGCTGTTTTTAAAACATACCATAATATTACTACTATGTTTAATACTATGTATATGAAAATATAATATGGCTTTAGCATCTTTGTTTCTTTTTTTTTGAGATGGAGTCTCACTCTGGCTGGAATGCAGTGGTGCAGTCTTGGCTCACTGCAACCTCTGTCTCCCGAGTTCAAGCGATTCTCCTGCCTCAGCTGCGCAAGTAGCTGGTATTACAGGTGCGTGCCACCACACCCAGCTAATTTTTGTATTTTTAGTAGAGATAGGTTTCACCATTTGGCCACTTTGGTCTTGAACTCCTGACCTCAAATGATCTGCCCGCTTTGGCTTCCCAAAGCACTGGGACTATAGGCATTAGCCTCTGCGCCTGGTCTGCATCTTCTTTTCTACTTCCTGTGTAAAGCCCTCTTTTCATTTATCTAGGAAGACATATTTAATGCTGCATTATTTTATTTTTAATTATGCTTATATTCTTTATAAGCTGAGTTACATGTTTTCTTGGCTTAATCAAAAAAGATACTGCACAACTGGGACTATGGGGAAATCACAAGGACCTTAAGGTCTTGGGTCTCACCAACAACACAGATTATTCTTCTACCTTTCCTTAAAATGAGCACTCTAAAAATGGTCCAACAAACTGGAATTTCAGAAACATCTTCATGCTTCATACCAGTTGATACAATATTTATCTTAACTGGCATCAATCGTTTATACAATACCTATCTTTATTAGTCTCCTAATGGCAACCCATTGCTTCTTGTGGGCTTCTTGGTAGTTAAGACTAAAAACAAAGACAATTTCTCTGTTCCTGTAACAAACACCTAATAACTCTCTTTCCCTGGGTTGTCTTCTCCTAACCAGAAATCAGAGCCTGTATCCAGTCTTATTAATTGACCTCGTTGAGTTTCTAGGTTTCCAATTCCACGTGTTTTGAGGGAAAGAAAAAGTTATTCTCTTTTTAAGGTATAAGGAAAACACAATAATCTCAACACCTCCTCTTCCCTCCAACAGCAGATGAATAATAGGGGGTCTCCAACCGGACAGAAAATGAATGCTGTCCTCACATTTGTGTAAGAGGAGCCGAGACATCTGGATGTGAAGCCCCATCAAGTGCTCCCAGGGGCAATGGTGGCACCTGTGGAACCTCCAACAGCTCATGGAGCCCCACCTTCTGAAAGATGTTCAGAGCTGAGTGTGCGGGAGCCGTGGCTCATACAGGGCTTTGGGAGACAGAATCACATTTAGAAAGTAAGGCTGTGTGACAATACCCAGGGCACATTCCCAGCTGTCCCTGCCTTTATCGTTTGTAGGGACCTGGTGCTTTGCAGTTCTCCTGGATCCTGCATAAACCCTGGAGCTTTGGGATACAGGCTAATGGAATATCCTTGCCCCTGGGGGAGGGCTACACTGGTGTCCTCACCCTTGACTTCATGGTGATGGTGGTTCACCTTGCAGATGGATCCCAATGTCCCTCTGTGAGACATAGATGATTTCACAGCACAGCTTTTTTGGGGTCTATCCTGATCTGACCCAGTTTAACAGTGGGTAGAGTCCTCCATGTCTTTCTCCATCATCTCCTGGGAACCAGTTTCACACCTGACCTCTATTTTATGCTTTCCAAATTACACAGGAAAATTTGGCTTCCTTCTGGAAACTCCTAAAGTGCAAAACACTCATGTTTTTAACTGCTCCATCCCTATTATAATAGTCAATACATATTAAGCACTTACTGTGTGCCAGGCTGTCTGTGCCAAGAAATTTGCAAACATTAGCTTACTTTATCTTTACAGGAGTTCTCTGAGATAGGTATTATTAACATATAATGGTTTGTTAATACAAAGTTTCACAGATGCTTCCAGAATTCACAAAAAACTGTGCACAGTGTCTTTAAGAATTAACTGGCACATTCATACCTTGATGAGAGCATTCTCTTTTAATCATGCCCTTCTTATTTGCCATACCATTTACAACAAAATACACCATTGATGTTTAGCTAAATGAAAGCTGAAAAAGAAAATTGGTGAATGAGAAAGCCAGTGGTCATGAAAGTGCTAGAAATATTCAGCAGTTTGAATAGCTCTGAACTGTGTAAATCATTTGAAATATTCCTTCCCCCACCTATGAACTGATTTTTATTGTTTTTCATAAATTTTTTCTTTTTTTCATAGTATTAATGTATTGTATGTGTTTTCAAATATTTTCTCATATATGAAAAGGGCCATTCCACAGTGTTCTTTGTAAGCTTTCCCTCACATCATTGTTTTGGATGAGGCTTTATGCTTCTCAAAGCAGTGAGATAACAGATAACACAGAAGCCATGTGCTGGCACTTCTATTCAGGTTGGCATGGCCTCAACCATTTTGAGTCAAATTTCTGTCTAGTCTAGTAGGACCATTTCCTAAAGTTGTATCCATACTAGGAAGGCAGATATGAAGAAATGCTGCTATGCTACCAATCAGAATAATGTAGGCTTTGGGGTCCTGGGCTGGTAAAGCCTGGGTATGATGGCTAAATTGAGCTGTTCTTACCCAGATGAGGCTTATGGTCATCTGCTCTGTCTCCAAAGGTAATCAGCCACTGCACATGAGGTTTACTACACTGCACACGCATGTGTGTTCTCTAGGTAAATTTAAATGATATTTTTTGGGGGGAATCTGAGCTCAAAGAGATAGAGTTCAAATCAGATCCAGTGTCTTTTCTGTCTCTAGGTGCCCAAAATTGTCATAAAGAGACAATCTCTTACCTTCTGAGAAATATCAGTCATTCCCTGTGACTCACACCAGCTTCTATATTTAGAACTGGGTCTCCTGCCATCTGATGCAGGCCACAGATGAACAGGTCTCCTGCCATCTGATCCATACGCCACACTTCAGGCTATGTTATCCCTAAGCCCACCACATCCACTTACGATTGAGGACAAAGGAAAAAGAAAGGGCCATCATCTTTATGTGTCTTTTAAAGGACATTCCTGTCAGTAAGAAGAAAGAGTCTAAGATTTTACCCCGCTAACAAGTTATCCTATTACAGTTTTATAGAGCAGAGGACAAAAAACTACTGGGTCAAAGACAAAGACTTTATTCCATATAGCAATAGCAGTAGCCAGAGTATCAGTAATTTCTTGAACTGGTTCCTAAGACTCCAATTATTCCAATAGGGTGTTATAAAGAGGGCCACATGACACCCACACACACAGCAGATTGCATTACATGAGAGAAAACTCTGAGCTTAGGGAACCAGAATCTTTTATAATAAGCGGTAAGCATCCCTCCATGCTCTAGAAGGAAACACTTTCTCTGCCACTTAAGGCTACTTATTATACAACTGTTATTTTAAAAAACAGCTCTGGAACAAAGGGCAACCAGTGCCTCTGCTTGCAAGATGTGTGATTAGAACTATAGAGAATTTTCTCCCAAGAATCCTTTGATTTTGCTGTTGCCAGTTATGGCAAAAAGGCATACTGTGGCTTTATAATATAGCAATTGCTCCCTCAATAGGCAACCACACACTTTCGGTCAGGGTTCTTGGGCACTTGGCTTTGGGCCTTGAGAATCCCATGGTTTCCAAAGAGAATGTAAATATAAATAATGATGTTTGATTACACGTGTCCGTATAAAGGTATTCCACTTTGAAAAGTAACTTAGGAAAAAACAAAAACCCCAAAAAAGCCCACTTAAAATTTCACACATTTTTTAAAAGGGAAACGGTTTTATTCCTTACGCTTTATTTGAATTGGAACCCTGCATTTAAATTTTAGCATGTTGAGGTTCTTTAGAAAGGAAAGATAAGTTTACATACAATCCCAGACAGAATATAAAAAAGACTCATCAAAAGAGAATTCTAATTCCAGTCAAGTGACCCTCTTTCTACAAATTGTTAATTAAAAGCTCAAGGGTAAAATAGGACAAAAAACCCATTTATTCATTTTCAGATAAAGGTCAGTTCTTCCATGGTATAACATTATTTTCCCTAGGGCAGTTATATTCATACATAGAATCTACTTTAGCAAAAATATTATCTGTTTAACTGGAAATCTATACAGATAATTAAATTCCTGCTATCTCACACAGCTACCTCTAGTCTTATGGAATAAATGAGTGCACATCAGGATTTTTAATTTTCTCATTAATATAGCAAATAAGTAAAATTCATTTACACGGCATTTCTTCACTTTTAAAGAGCAATGTTTCCTGTTCACTCTGCACTTTTAAAGTGTAAACACAACATTCTTGCCATAAGAGATAAAAAGACTATATTCTCTTCAAAAAAGTGCTTTTATGTGAATAAAAAGGAAGTGTATTCGATTTTGTAGAATCATCACAAACAGAACTTAAAATCACACTAGAAATAGATGCTAACAGAAAGCTGTTGAGTTTCCTTGCAAACAGGAAAAGAAGCAGTGGATGTTCCAAAACTGGGGATCCTGTCAATGGCTGGGTCTGCTTAGTTGTGTGCAGTGCTCTGAAAGGGCTACATCAGAAATTCCTTAGTAAATGAGTAAGTGAGAGTCAGAATCTAAAGGCTATGCCTGCCTTGGCAGCACATAAACAGACACCTCAACTGTGCAAAGATGGCTGGCATAACCTCTGTGCAAGAGAAACACATGCCCACAAAGTATTCCATGCTTCTGAAAGTGCCTAAAAGATGTGGGTGATAGTGTCTACAATTCCCCCATCATCTCCTGGCTATTTCAGAGTGAAGAAATGAGCGGGGCGGGGGTGGGGGTGGGGGGGGGTTGGGGGGGGCGGCGGTGGCGGGAAGAGGACATGCAATGAGCAAGTCTTTTGCTTTTAAAATATATGACCACATTCTCTAGAGGATTGTTCTACAGTGTTAGTGTAAATTCAGTAAAAATGTTGAGGGAAGAAATGCTGATGGCAGCCTGGTGAATTCAGTCATGTGAAATCCAGCTCCTATGAATGGTTCAATACCTGAAACAGTATACAGGCATCTTCATTACTCTTCTTACATGCATGGCACTTTGTGCCGGGCACTGCTCTCCTGCTTTACAAATATTAACTTCTTTTAATCCTCATAATGACCTTATCAAGTACTATTATTATCCTCGCTTTACAGAAGAGGAAACTGAGGCACAGTATATGCAGGTTGTTCACAGTCATACAATTGATAAGTGGCAGAACCAGGACTTGAGCCTGGGAAGTATGGCTTTGGGCTGGGACTACAGGGAGCAAGTGAGGCATTTACCTCAGATGCAAAGGCCAGGGAGGCATCAAAAACTCGAATCATGTCTTCGTGCTGTATTTGAAAAAAAAAAAAAAGAAAAAAGAAACTCAACAGTAATGTAAAATAGCCATTTGAACAAAATAACCAAAGTTTAAATAAAGACAGGATCAGCATTGCTGATTTTTCCCTTTTGTCTCAGGTTTCAACAGGACTTGGCAAGGAGTTGCTTTAGACTATGTTTTATCTTCCAGGGCATAAAACCTCCTTTTTAAACATCTCTCTTTTCTTCATAGCTCTGATTTCACTTTGTAATTGTACAAATATAGTGAGTTTGTTTGGTGACTGTCTCTTTTCCCTCTAGATGTAAACTTTATGAGACCAGGGGTCTGTCTTGGGTCACCTTTCATCCAAGTCACGCAGAAGGAAGGGTCTCACTGGGAGGGAAAGGATGGGTGACGGGGAAGGGGTCCAGGTGTCATAAGAAGGTAGCGACATGTTCCCTACAGGTTACACACTCGCATATGATACAATTCTATCCAACTGGAGGAACACACTGAAAAGGTAATGAATACAAAGCTAGATGAAACTGTAATGAGTTATATGCTTGAATAATAAACTCCATTAATCAGTCAGTTAAATAATCAAATGCCTATATGCCCAAATCATAAAATAAATTGGGTTCAATGCAAGTTAGAATTTCTTTCAAAACTGAAAATGGGATACAGACAATATTTCATCCTGTAGCTACAGGACCTAGCTTTTATCACTTTTAGGAGTAGCAAGGAGTAAATGAAATTTTCTAGCCATGTAAAAGGTTTTGGAAGGCTAGAAATCTTAGCAAAGCTTCCTTAGACAGTAACCATACTGTGCTTACAGGTTTATCTAATTTTACAGTGCAAAGAAACATTGCTTCTTTCCTTTGTGTTCATTAGAGTTCAAAATGTTTCAGCAGATACAGCTTCCATTATCTTCACAACCTATCATGAGCTTGGAAAATAACAGCTTTCCCTATTTCATAAATCACTCTTATTCCTATTTTGTAAGGAGTTGTTTGTTTGGTTACTTGAAGGACTATCAAATTGGAAAAGGCAACATGATAAAAGCAATAGTTTGAGACTCAAAAATAATTCAGTAGGAAAGCCAATCATTGTTTCTGGTACATCCTGGATTCTGAGTTGGAACTGGGCTTTAGGGTTTGCCATAAGAAAACTACCTAGTGATGCCTTTGCATGGTCCCTCAGTGAGAGAAAAGACCAAGCACCCCCCTTCAAGGTTCCCTTCTTGTGGAGGCTTAATAATAATTCATTCATTTAATAATTCACAGATAGGGAGAGGGTTTCACAGTTAAATCTGAAACTTAAAAGGGCTATTTATGCTGAATTTCTGCTATTGAGACTTTAAATAGCCAGGTTAACATAGTAACAGACTTTTTTTTTTAAGACGAGCACCTCTGAGCACACAAATAACTATACTAATTCAAGATCAGGAAGTGGTCTACACTTACGTCCATAGCAACGACATTATTCACAAGAACCGCAAGGTAGAAACAATCCAAGTGTCCATCAAAGAATGAATGGATAAGCAAACTGTGGTATATGGTTTCCACATACAGTGGGAAATTATTCAGCCTTAAAAAGGAAGAAAATTCTGATACTGAGGACATTACGCCAAGTGAAATAAGCCAGTCAGAGAGGGACAAGTATTGTATGATTCCATTTATATGAGTTACCCAGAATAGTCAAATGTGAGAGACAGAAAGATTCATGCTTGCCAGGGGCTGGAAGAAAGAATGGAGAGTTCAGAGTTACTATAAATGGGTTTAGAGTTTCAGCTGGGGAAG
Organism: Homo sapiens; assembly: GCF_000001405.40. Lineage (NCBI taxonomy): Eukaryota > Metazoa > Chordata > Mammalia > Primates > Hominidae > Homo > Homo sapiens. The sequence continues at coordinate 108,270,924 of NC_000007.14, forward strand.
AGGAAAAGTTCTGTAGATAGATGGTGGTGATGCTGGCACAAGGTGAATACACTTAATGCTACAGAACTATACACTTAAGTGTTCCAGCTCTTTCAGAATTTGTCTAGCAGGTTTTCTGGTTTTCATTAGAAAACCCCCCACACAAAGAAAAATTAAAAATAAATAAAAATGAGAGCTATACTTAAAAATGGTTAAAACGATAAATTATGTATATTATGTTATGCATATTTTACCACAATAAAGATCAAACAGCTACCAGCAAGAAGTGGACTTTTAAAAATTACGGTTTCCAAATGTAACATAAAACATATACTTAAAGATTTACATCTCCACACTTCCAGTAACAGGCAAATATGCTAGAAAAGAGGCTCTTAAAAGGAAAAAATAGTCTTCTGCTAGGACACGATGGATGATATTCATTCAAAACACACTCCTACACTGTGCCCACACTTTCTCTTCCATTTAGGAAGGTATATTAGAACCTAACAAAGTGACCAGGCACGGTGGCTCACACCTGTAATCCCAGCACTTTGGGAGGCTAACGCGGGCAGATCACTTGAGATCAGGAGTTTGAGACCAGCCTAGCCAACATGGTGAAACTCTCTACTAAAAATACAAAATTAGCCAGGCATGGTGGCACATACCTGTAATCCCAACTACTTGGGAGGCCGAGGCAGGAGAATTGCTTGAACCTGGGAGGCAGAGGTTGCAGTAAGCCAAGATTGTGCCATTGTACTCCAGCCTGGGTGACAACAGTGAGACTCCACGTCAAAAAAAAAAAAAAGAACCTAACAAACTGACCGTGAGATTACCATAGGGTAACCTGAAGTTCTTACCCCATTTACTTTTTGATTAAGTAATTTACAAACTCTGGTATTTTATTACTGTTAAAACTTCTTGGGAGACAACTCACACTCTTCCTGGCATAACATATGCTGAAAACTGTTGGGCTGGGGTCACATGGAGCATAAACTAGCAAGCAAAATTTAGCATAAACATAAGTCACTTCAGAGAGTTCAGCCACACTAGCTGAACAAATGAAGTGATTGATTTTATCCCCTCAAGTAAGACTTATGAGCAAAAAGGGAAAAAGCTAAAAATGTCTTGGTACTAATTTTAACTGTATGTAATGGAAACCTCATTTCCTATTCTAAATTTATAATTCTGATCTTATCAATCATCTCAGAACAGAGTAACATATCTGGATCTAAAATTACTCAAGAAGGCATTTATGCCCTCCTGTGAGTATTATCTTCTTGAAGAGTGAATTTCACCACTGTTTTTAAAGTATCACATGGTCTTTTATAAAGTCTAGTAGGAATCAAAGTTGTATATCGAATAGAATTTCTTTATTCACATTCCAATTTTTGTAAAAGATGAGATCCACATTATCTGCCATTAATTTAAGTAAAAACACCAGCAACTATTGGGGCAGTAACTGCTCTTTGCTGAACACACACACTCCTAAAGTAGGGGTTAGTGCAGGCTCACCATCATTTATCCAAAAGCTCTGAAAAATGCAAGTTTTGATGACAAACCTGACCAGTTGACGATCTTTATTTATCCCACTAAGTGTAAATGTTTGTACGTTTTACTGAAGAGTTACTAATATGTTTGATCATAGGGTACTGTTCTAGACCCCACTGGGGGTGTTATAAAACATTTATATATGTTATACATATTTTTATATATTTATATACATAGCACCCTATTTTTAGAATTTTGATTTTAAAAAGGTAACATATATATATCACTTTGATTATATATATTTATATATCATGTTATCTTTCAAAAATAAAAATACTAAAAATAATCCAGAATTCTATTTTTTTCTTTATTATTATTATACTTTAAGTTCTAGGGTACATGTGCACAATATACAGATTTGTTACATAGGTATATATGTGCCATGTTGGTTTGCTGCACCTATCAACTCGTCATTTAAGTATTTCTCCTAACGCTATCCCTCCCCCAGCCCCCCACCTGCCAACAGGCCCTGGTGTGTGATATTCCCCTCCCTGTGTCCATGTGTTCTCATTGTTCAACTCCCACTTATGAGTGAGAACATGTGGTGTTTGGTTTTCTGTCTTTGTGATATTTTGCTGAGAATGATGGTTTCCAGCTTCATCCATGTCCCTACAAAGGACATGAACTCATCCTTTTTTATGGCTGCATAGCATTCCATGGTATACATGTGCCATATTTTCTTTATCCAGTCTATTATTGATGGGCATTTGGGTTGGTTCCAAGTCTTTGCTATTGTGAATAGTGCCGCAATAAACAAAAGTGTACATGTGTCTTTATAGTAGCATGATTTATAATCCTTTGGGTATACACTCAGTAATGGGATGGCTGGGTCAAATGGTATTTCTAGTTCTAGATCCTTGAGGAATCGCCACACTGTCTTCCACAATGGTTGAACTAGTTTACAGTCCCACCAACAGTGTAAAAGCGTTCCTATTTCTCTACATCCTCTCCAGAATCTGTTGTTTCCTGACTTTTTAATGATCGCCCTTCTAACTGGTGTGAGATGGTATCTCATTGTGGTTTTGATTTGCATTTCTCTGATGACCAGTGATGATGAGCTTTTTTTCATATGTCTGTTGGCTGCATAAATGTCTTCTTTTGAAAAATGTCCATTCATACCTTTGCCCACTTTTTATGCGGTTGTTTTTTTCTTGTAAATTTGTTTAAGATCTTTGTAGATTCTGGATATTAGCCCTTTGTCAGATGAGTAGATTGCAAAAATTTTCTCCCGTTCTGTAGGTTGCCTGTTCACTCTGATGATAGTTTCTTTTGCTGTGCAGAAGCTCTTTAGTTTAATTAGATCCCATTTGTCTATTTTGGCTGTTGTTGCCATTGCTTTTGGTGTTTTAGTTATGAAGTCTTTGCCCATGCCTATGTCCTAAATGGTATTGCCTAGGTTTTCTTCTAGGGTTTTTATGGTTTTGGGCCTAACATTTAAATCTTTAATCCATCTTCAGTTAATTTTTGTGTAAGATGTAAGAAAGGGATCTAGTTTCAACTTCTACATATGGCTAGCCAGTTTGCCCAGCACCATTTATTAAATAGGGAATCCTTTCCCCATTGCTTGTTTTTCTCAGGTTTGTCAAAGATTAGATGGTGGTAGATGTGTGGTGTTATTTCTGAGGTCTCTGTTCTGTTCCATTGGTCTGTATCTGTTCTGATACCAGTACCACACTGTTTTGGTTACTGTAGCCTTGTAGTGTAGTTTGAAGTCAGGTAGCGTGATGCCTCCAGCTTTGCTCTTTTTGCTTAGGATTGTCTTGGCTATGTGGGCTCTTTTTTGTTCCATATGAAATTTAAAGTAGTTTTTTCCAATTCTGTGAAGAAAGTCAGTGTTAGTTTGATAGGGATAGCATTCAATCTACAAATTACCTTGGGCAGTATGGCTATTTTCAGGATATTGATTCCTCCTATCCATGAGCATGGCATGTTTTTCCATTTGTTTGTGTCCTCTTTTATTTCACTGAGGAGTGGTTTGTAGTTCTCCTTGAAGAGGTCCTTCACTACTCTTGTAAGTTGGATTCCTAGGTATTTTATTCTCTTTGTAGTAATTGTGAATGGGAGTTCACTCATGATTTGGCTCTCTGTTTGTCTGTTATTGGTGTATAGGAATGCTTGTGGTTTTTGCACATTGATTTTGTATCCTGAGACTTTGCGGAAGTTGCTTATCAGCTTAACGAGATTTTGGGCTCAGATGATGGGGTTTTCTAAATATACAGTCACGTCATCTGCAAACAAAGACAATTTGACTTCCTCTTTTCCTAATTGAATACACTTTATTTCTTTCTCTTGCTTGATTGTCCTGGCCAGAACTTCCAATACATTTTGAATAGGAGTGGCGACAGACGGCATCCTTGTCTTGTGCTGGCTTTCAATGGGAATGCTTCCAGTTTTTGCCCATTCAGTATGACATTAGCTGTGGGTTTGTCATAAAGCTCTTATTATTTTGAGGTACATTCCATTAATACCTCATTTATTGAAAGTTTTTTAGCATGAAAGGCTGTTGGATATTGTTGAAGGCCTTTTCTGTATCTATTGAGATAATCATGTGGTTTTGGTCACTGGTTCTGTTTATGTGATGGATTACGTTTATTGATTTGCGTATGTTGAACCAGCCTTGCATCCCAGGGATGAAGCCAACTTGCTCGTGGTGGATAAGCTTTTTGATGTGCTGCTGCATTCGGTTTGCCAGTATTTTATTGAGGATTTTTGCATCGATATTCATCACAGATATTGGCCTAAAATTCTCTTTTTTTGCTGTGTCTCTGCCAGACTTTGGTATCAGGATGATGCTGGCCTCATAAAATGAGTTAGGGAGGATTCCCTCTTTTTCTACTGATCGGAATAGCTTCAGAAGGAATGGTACCAGCTCCTCTTTGTACTTCTGGTAGAATTCAGCTGGGAATCCATCTTGTCCTGGACTTTTTTGATTGGTAGGCTATTAATTATTGCCTCAATTTCAGACCTGTTATTGATCTATTCAGAGATTCAACTTCTTCCTGGTTTAGTCTTCAAAGAGCGTATTTGTCCAGGAATTTATCCATTTCTTCTAGATTTTGTAGTTTATTTGTGTAGAGGTGTTTATAGTATTCTCTGATGGTAGTTTGTATTTCTGCGGGATCGATGGTGATATCCCCTTTATCATTTTATTTTGCATCTATTTGATTCTTCTCTCTTTTCTTTATTAGTCTTGCAGGCGGTCTCTCAATTTTGTTGATCTTTTCAAAAAGCCAGCTCCTGGATTCACTGATTTTTTGAAGGGTTTTTCGTGTCTCTATCTCCTTCAGTTCTGCTCTGATCTTAGTTATTTATTGTCTTCTGCTAGCTTTTGAATTTGTTTGCTCTTGCTTCTCTAGCTCTTTTAATTGTGATGTTAGGGTGTTGATTTTAGATCTTTCCTGCTTTCTCTTGTGGGCATTTAGTGCTATAAATTTCCCTCTACACACTGCTTTAAATGTGTCCCAGAGATTCTGGTACATCGTGTCTTTGTTCTCGTTGGTTTCAAAGAACATCTTTATTTCTGCCTTAATTTCGTAATTTACCCAGTAGTCATTCAGGTGCAGGTTGTTCAGTTTCCATGTAGTTGTGCGGTTTTGAGTGAGTTTCTTAATCCCGAGTTCTAATTTGATTGCACTGTGGTCTGAGAGGCAGTTTGTGTGATTTCTTTTCTTTTACATTTGCTGAGGAGTGTTTTACTTCCAATTACGTGGTCAATTTTAGAATAAGTGCGATGTGGTGCTGAGAAGAATGTATATTCTGTTGATTTGGGGTGGAGAGTTCTGTAGATGTCTATTAGGTCTGGTTGTTCCAGAGTTGAGTTCAAGTCCTGGATATCCTTGTTAATTTTCTGTCTTGTTGATCTGTCTAATATTCACAGTGGGGTGTTAAAGTCTCCCATTATTACTGTGTGGGAGTCTAAGTCTCTTTGTAGGTCTTTAAGAACTTGCTTTATGAATCTGGGTGCTCCTGTATTGGGTGCATATATATTTAGGATAGTTAACTCTTCTTGTTGCATTGATCCCTTTACCATTATGTAATGGCCTTCTTTGTCTCTTTTGATCTTTGTTGTTTTAAAGTCTGTTTTATCAGAGACTAAGATTGTAACTCCTGCTTTTTTTTTTTGCTTCCGTTTGCTTGGTAGATCTTCCTCCATCCCTTTATTTTGAGCCTATGTGTGTCTGTGCACATGAGGTGGGTCTCCTGAATACAGCACAATGATGGGTCTTGACTCTTTATCTAATTTGCCAGTCTGTGTCTTTTAATTTGGGCATTTAGCCCATTTACATTTAAGGATAATATTGTTAGGTGTGAATTTGATCCTGTCATTATGGTGCTACCTGATTATTTTGCCCATTAATTGATGCAGTTTCTTCATAGCGTTGATGGTCTTTACAATTTGTCATGCTTTTGCAGTGGCGGTACTGGTTGTTCATTTCCATGTTTAGTGCTTCCTTCAGGAGCTCTTGTAAGGCAGGCCTGGTGGTGACAAAATCTCTCAGCATTTGCTTGTCTGTAAAGGATTTTATGTCTCCTTCACTTTTGAAGCTTAGTTTGGCTGGATATGAAATTCTGGGTTGAAAATTCTTTTCTTTAAGAATGTTGAATATTGGCCCCCACTCTCTTCTGGCTTGTAGGGTTTCTGCAGAGAGATCCGCTGTTAGTCTGATGGACTTCCCTTCGTGGGTAACCCGACCTTTCTCTCTGGCTGCCCTTAACATTTTTTCCTTCATTTCAACCTTGGTGAATCTGACAACTATGTGTCTTGGGGTTGCTCTTCTCGAGGTGTATCTTTGTGGTGTTCTCTGTATTTCCTGAATTTGAATGTTGGCCTACCTTGCTAGGTTGGGGAAGTTCTCCTGGATAATACCCTGAAAAGTGTTTTCTAACTTGGTTCCATTCTCCCTGTCACTTTCAGGTATACCAATCAAATGTAGATTTGGTATTTTCACATTGTCCCATATTTCTTGGAGGCTTTGTTCATTTCTTTTCACTCTTTTTTCTCTAATCTTGTCTTCTCGCTTTATTTCATTAATTTGGTCTTCAATCACTGATATCCTTTCTTCTGCTTGATCGAATAGGCTATTGAAGCTTGTGTATGCTTCTCAAAGTTCTTGTACTGTGGTTTTCAGCTCCATCAGGTCATTTGAGGTCTTCTCTACACTGGTTATTCTAGTTAGCCATTCATCTAAGCTTTTTTCAAGGTTTTTACCTTCTTTGTGATGGGTTAGAACATGCTTCTTTAGCTCGGAGAAGTGTGTTACTACCAACCTTCTGAAGCCTACTTCTGTCAACTCGTCAAACTCATTCTCTATCCAGTTTTGTTCCCTTGCTGGTAAGGAGTTATGTTCCTTTGGAGGAGAAGAGGCCTTCTGGTTTTTGGAATCTTCAGCCTTTCTGCTCTGGTTTCTCCTCATCTTTGTGGTTTTATCTACCTTTGGTCTTTGATGTTGGTGACCTAGAGATGGGGTTTTGATGTAGATGTCCTTTTCATTGATGTTGATGCTATTGCTTCCTGTTTGTTAGTTTTCCCTCTAACAGGCCCCTCCGCTGCAGGTCTGCTGGAGTTTGCTGGAGGTCCACTCCAGACCCTGTTTGCCTGAGTATCACCAGCGAAGGCTGCTGAACAGCAAGTATTGCTGCCTGATCCTTCCTCTGGAAGCTTCATCTCAGAGGGGCACCCACCTGTATGAGGTGTTTGTCAGTCCCTACTGGGAGGTGTCTCCCAGACAGGCTACACAGGGGTCAGGGACCCACTGGAGAAGGCAGTCTGTCCATTATCGGATCTCAAATGCAGTGCTGGGAGAACCACTGGTCTCTTCAGAGCTGTCAGGCAGGGACGTTTAAGTCTGCAGAAGTCGTCTGCTGCCTTTTGTTCAGATATGCCCTGCCCTAGAGGTGGTATCTAGAGAGGCAGTAAGCCTTGCTGAGCTGAAGTGGGTTCTGCCCAGTTTGAGCTTCCCTGCCACTTTGTTTACACGGTGAGCACAGAACCAGCTACTCAAGCCTCAGCAACGGCGGACGCCCCTCCCCGCACCAAGCTCCAGGGTCCCAGGTCAATCTCAGGCTGCTGCACTAGCAGTGAGCAATGCTCCGTGGGCGTGGGACCTGCCACACCAGGCACAGGAGGTAATCTGGTCTGCTGGTTGTGAAGACCATAGGAAAAGCACAGTATTTGGGCAGGAGCATACCGTTCCTCCAGATACAGTCACTCACAGCTTCCCTTGGCTAGGAAAGGGAAATCCCCCTGACCCCTTGCGCTTCCCCAGTGAGGCGACACCCCACCCTGCTTTGGCTCGCCCTCCATGGGCTGCACCCACTGTCCAACCAGTCCCAGTGAGATGAACCAGGTACCTCAGTTGGAAATGCAGAATGCAGAAATCATCGTCTTCTGTGTCGATCTTGCTGGGAGCTGTAGACCAGATCTGTTCCTATTCGGCCATCTTGGAAGCGACTCCAATAATCCTGAATTCTAAAACTCCTCTTAAGGAATAATGAACTTGGACTCCCATTTTACAGATGAAAAAACTGAGGCTTGAAGAGTAGCAGTGTCTTGTCAAGGCCCATATAGAAAGTAAGAGGCCAAGCCACTGAAAGAAGGTTGTCTGCTTAGAAGGCACTCTTTCCATTATACCAGGTGACGAGAAAACACACCCAGATAAAGACTATATGGTAAGAGATGAGTTATTTGGTGTTAATCTGAGTGGGTTTCCTGGCATAAGTGTAGCATGACTAAAATCGCTGGAAAGTCTCTGATTACATGAATATGATAGTGGCAGATTTTTCCTTGAGATTAATAATAGTTTTATCAATTTTATTTCCTTTGTTTTTATTTCCTGTTGGTGAAAATATTTGACATTTTTACATACTCACAAATCTAACAGAACCCTGTTTTGTGTTTCATAATTGTTGTAGTTTGTTTCATGTGCCTTTAAACACTGATATTCTCAAAGTACAAAATATATGCATAAATACAGAAAAATATATATTTTCTATCTGGAAGTTTGGGAATTGGGGAGATTTATGCCCTCACCCACAGTGTGACTTATGCAACACTGTTTTTTTTTGGTTGTTGTTTGTTTGTTTTTTGAGACAGGATCTTGCTCCGTTACCCAGGCTGGAGTGCAGTGGTGCGATAATAGCTCACTGTAGCCTTGACCTGCCGCCTTCCCCCATCCCCCCTGCCCTCCCCACCCACCCCACCCCTGGGCTCAAAGAATCCTCTCGCCTCTGCCTCCCAAGTAGCTGGCACTACAACCATGTGCCACCACAGCCAACTGATTTTTTTTTCCAATTTTTGACAGAAGTCTCACTGTGTTGCCCAGGCCAGTCTCAAACTCCTGAGCAAGTGATCCTCCCATCTCAGCCTCCTAAAGTGCTGAGAAAACAGGCATGAGCCACCATGCCCAGCCTGCAACACCATCTTTATGCTGCTTAAAGGAGGAGAGTATTATTTGTAATTTAACAGCTACATAAATGTGGGCGGAGTGTTTTAAAGAGGAGTCTGAGCATCAATGCAGAATGGACACTGGTGTCCCACATGTTCAGCTGCACACTCCGCTTCAGCAGCCTGGTCCAACATTCACCATCAAAAACAAATCTTAGGTCTCTCCAGGTAATTTTTGTATCCAAACCATTTAATAGTGAATACAATGAAAGCCCAGAATAAAAAGACACCAACAGAATCCTGTAGGTTAAAAGCTGGCCTGATCTCAACATCAGTAGGTTCACAGTTATTTTGTTTGGTAGCTCAAAATAAAATTATTCTTCCCAACAGGCGAATGAACTTAGAAGCGCTAGCAATTCTGGCTCCTTTCACCAGAACAAGCTGCAATCTGCAATAAACAGGAAGAGGCTTCATATGTGAGGTAAAAGCCTCTCTTACTCCCTCTCTGCCAAGGACGATTGCCAATGCAGTTTTGATAAGTAAATAAAGAATTACTGGATGGCCAAGAACTACCACCCTAAGCATATCCAGCAGTCAGCCCATGCTATTCAATTGTGCTACAACTACCTTTAAAAAGAATGACTGAACTCACAGAATGGTAAGAGTTGGAATGGAGACCTCCCACTGGACAGCAATGAAAGATGAAACCCTAAATATATCTGAAGTGAATTTTTTCATTGAACTGTCTCAAAAATCATGATGAGATTAACCTAGAACTCTCATATTTAGTTTCTTTGGTGCTACTGAAAATAGTTTGACCGTTGTCCATTTTTAACTGGACTGGGGGAAATAACAATGTCATTGTATTTTACATAATGAAATAAAGGATCTGGCAACACAGCGCAGCTGTTATAAAGAAGACACAAATGCCACCTTAATATGATTTCTTAAATATATAATAAGCTGGGTTTTAGTCTGGGTCTGTATGCTCACTAATATCAAGTAAAAAAAATGAATTATCTTCTGCATGAAGACAGGGAAGGTAGACAGGGAGGCAATGGTCTTTTATGCTAAAAGCTCTTAAAAGTCAGGAAGGTATTCAATATTTAAAAATTAAATGATGAAAAACCTGTTCTGAAGTCCCAACAGTTTTTAGATATGGGTTCCTTTTGTAAAGGAAATAATCTGCTGTCTGCTCTTTGGTATAACACAATAAATATGATAATTACTTCATATAACAGCTTAAATTAAATTGCTTTTGAATGACTGTATTTGTTTCCATTTTTAAATATCTAAAAAATTATAAAATATAAATCTACCTTTTCCTCTTAACCTGATGAAATGAGCAAAATTCAATACCTGAGTAATTTCTTGTCTTCAATTATATAGTTGTTTACATATATAACATGAACTTTAAATATGATAATAACCTAACTACACATTTTATAAATGCCTTTACTTTTATTTTAATATATTCTTTTTTAATCCCAACACTGTGGGCAATAAAAAAACGAATGATGAGCATTATCAAAAAGTTCCGTGTATAGTAGGGGAGATAACAGGAGACTGTGCCATAAATTACTAAAATACAAGGAATAAAGGGATAAATGGTACAGGAAGGCATGACGTGCTATGAGAGTTCAGAGAAAAGGAAGCTATCTTGAGATTATGAATCAAAAAGGTTTCATGGCATAGGAAATATGTGAATTGGATCTTGGCAAAAATTTGAAAGGATGGCAGAGGGGTCTAGCTGGCTGCCCAGGAGCTAAGGGAGGGGTTATACACTTGGACCCACCAGAAAGGCAGGGTAAAGCCCCAGTGGCAGTTGGGAGGTGGGGTGTGGGGAATGGAGGGTCTCCAGGGAACTCAGAGCTATCAGCATGAGATGGCTGCCAAGCTTGGGGCTTCTCTGACCATGCCAGCAGGCCTGAGCCGGGGAAGGGGCAAAGCCTTGGCTGCGAACACAGTTGGAAGTTTTGATGGGCAAACTGGATGTAATAATAACCAAACTGGGAGTGTTTCAGGAATTCAAATGTTTGGAAGATTTTTGATTAAACACAATTGGGTGAAGTAAGTGTCTGAGATTTCTTCCAGGAGCAGAACTGCCCCACAGAGCAGAAGTGTAGGAGCAACTGTGGGAAAAATTAAAGTTGTTATGTCATTGCCCCCTGTGAGTCCTGTCTGACATAACAGTTACATAAATATGGAATAGCTTAAATAACAAGCAGCCATGTATGATCACTTATTTAGTACTTCTGGATGTACCCATCTCTTTATAAAGAGTACACAAACTTAGTAGTATAACAAAGTACAGTATAAAGAACAAAAGATATTATTATACCATTTCTAATGAAAGGACTAAAATTAAGATTTCCAACAGAGAATGTAAGCAGGAAACCACTGTTAGGATTTCTCCTGTAAAACACAAGTTGGAGCACTTTACTAATGTCTGGGATGAGCTGATGGATACCTCAGTGCTTATCTCTCTTTCTCTTTCATTTCTCTTTAAAGAAAGAAATCTATACACATTTTCTTTCTGGAGACATGATTACCAGAAACATATAACACTGGGGCAGTAGCACTCATCTACCTATTTTTTTAAAAGAAATTTTTGCTTACCTGGAACTTGCTAAGAATAAAGTTAACATGCTTATTTTTCTATTTGGTACTTGGAACAATGTTAATGTACCTCAAAATTTTAGTGTAAAATCAAATGTATTTTCTATCAAGCTAGACATTTTTATATATTCAAGGTTTTGTTGTTTTCTGGCAACTGGCCAAAGCAACCCATTTATAAAAGAAATTGGTATTTCTCTCCTGGCAGAGATAAGAGCTCTGTCAGTCATCCTTTGCGGATTGTTCTCTCATGAATTGGGGGCACAGGGAGAAAAAGAGAGAATACATGACAGTTAAAAACAAATTTATAACTACATACACATCTCAACGTAGAAACAATTAGTCATCACTAGTAAAAGACACGACCTTCAAATGCAAGTGAACTTGAAAAACAGTAGTTCTCAAACTCTACTGCACACTAGAGCCGCCTGGGGAGATTTGAAGACTCCCAGTGCCCAGGCCACAGGCCCTATCAATTAAATCAGAAGTTCTGGGGGTGGGACCTGGGCACCAGGATTTCTAAAACTCCCTAGATGATTCTAATATGCAGCCTACTTTAAAAACCAGTGTTTAAAAATGCTTCTCTGTTCCCTACTCTCTAAGTATACTGACTTTCTGTAATCAAAGTTAAAACTGTCTAAGAAAATGAACAAACAATGTAAGAATGTTGTGAGAAAGTCAGCTATACTGATTTCATATCACACATCATTAAGCTTCTAAGAGCTAAATTTTGGTGGTGGGAAGTTGGTTTTAGAATTCTTCAGATTGTTAGTGAAAGACTATTACATAACTGTCTTTAGTATGACCTAACAGTTGAATTTCAAAGTATTCTGCAAATATGATTTGTGTGCTTTGCAACTAAGCAGAAAGTACAATTACATGAGTGATCATAATATTTGGTAGAAAGTGATTTGTGTCACAGAGATGTACAGAAAAATTGCTATGATTGCCAAGGAAAGGGAGAGATGAATGCCAGATTAGTCACAATTGAAGGTGATGCCATCTGATGTGGACTTTGAAGCACTTGTTCCAGGAAAGGAAAAGGAGCAGGAGATGCGAATGAGGGGCACACGTGGGAAACAGAATGGTTCAATTCGACAGATGTCAGGAGTAAAAGGAGATAGGTTTGGAAAAGGCTGGATCACTTCCAGGAGGGTCCTGAATGTCTAAGTCTGAGGCTCCTGGTACAGAGAATGATATTATCTACCGTGGTCTCACTTGGCTTTTCTGCAGTGTGTGGCACTGTTGACCCCTTGCTACCTTCTTTTCAGTGTTCCACTCCCTTTGGTTCCACAATCTTCCTTCACATTTTAGCTCTTGAATGTCCCTTTTCCAGCTCCCCTTACAATTCTCTTACTCCATTCATCCTGTATATGTCACTCATTTCCAAATTCTTGTTTTGTTTTGTTTTTTGAGATGGAGTCTCACTCTGTTGCCCAGGCTGGAGTGCAGTGGTGCGATCTTGGCTCACTGCGACCTCTGCCTCCTGGGTTCAAGTGATTATCTTGCCTCGGCCTCCTGAGTAGCTGGATTACAGGCACACACCACCAAACCTGGCTAATATTTTCTATTTTTTAGTAGAGACGGGGTTTCACTATGTTGGCCAGGGTGGTCTCAAATCCCAGCCTCCCAAAGTGCTGGGATTACAGGTGTAAGCCATTATGCCCAGCCTCTCATTTCCAAATTATATCACATTTCTTAAATGTCTCTTGTCCGAAAATTCTATTCTACTTTGTCTTTGTTGTTCCTACTATAAACATCTGATGTTTGAACTACTCTCATGTGCTTGGACTCCAAGCTGAAACCTAAGTCATCCACACTCCTGTCTCCTCCTTCTCCCTCACCGCCTTAAGAAGTCACCCAGTTCAGGTGAGTCTCTCTTCTCAACCTCTTTTACTTTCTTTATTTAGGTGTTGCAGGCCAGACTTGGATACCCTAAAAAGCTCTAACAAGGTTTTCTGCCTCCAGAGTCAGTACCCTCCAGTCCATTCTCCACACAGCTTCCAGAGCATCTTTACAAAACCTTAATCACATGACTCCTCTGCTCAGGGCCCTGCGGTTCCCAAGTTAATGTTCAGACTTCCTACTTGGCACATAAGGTCCCTTATGATTTGACACTTGCTCACTTCTGTGTGGCTCACACCCCTCCCCTTCTCATTCTTTAAGTCTCCATCCTCTCCCTGGAAGCTTTTTGAGACTCCCTGTTCTGAGACAGATGTTCTTCCTCTGTGCCCAACTCAAAGCTTATACGGAACCGCAACTGTTAGTTTACTTGTCTGTCCCCAGGAAGTGATTTTCACTCGCATAGACATACATTAGAAACCCACCCTACTTCACTACACTTGTTTACAAGTCTGTCTCCACTGGGAGCCTGTAAGCACCTCGCTGGGGAGGGCAGGACACACTTCTTGTTCTGCTTTGTGCTGCACGCACTTAGCACAGCTACTGGCACATAATTAGCACTCCAGCAAATGAATGACTAATCAGAGTTGTGGGTAGAAGGGCTCATTCACCTACTCCTTGAATGACTGAAGCAGCAATGTGAACAACAGACGGGTGAGACTTTGAGAGAGGAGAGGAATTAGATGCTATTACGAAAAGTCAGGAGCACCAATGCAATTGATGGACAGTGTTCTCTTATTAAATCCATTGGCTTGTCTAGCTAAACCATCTGAGCTCTAAGTCCACCCAATGGCTTTATTCCTCAGTCTCCTCCCTCAGTCTCAGTCACTGAATAACAGATTGTGTCATGTCTTCCACATGCCTGCAAGAACAACAACAAAAAGACCTTCCACCCTTTCCTGTTCACTCACTTCCATTCCTTTAGGGCAAAATACTATACCACTAATCCTCACAGGAATAGCTGTTTGTATTTAATTGAAGAACAATGTGCATTTATTCACAAATACAGGTACTGGCTCTATCAGGGGGTACTATCAGGGAATATGTGATGGGTTTCAATCTGTTTTGAAAAAAAGCTTTACAATAGTTTTCAAAATGGATATTTGATCTGGTCAGTCTTAGTCCTAAAGAGAAACAACAGAATTCCCAGTTTGCTCAGAGGAGACAATGGATTTCCCAAGGATAACAGACTAACTAGGGTAGGGGGAAGGATTCAGGTCCAAACTGTTAATGGGGCTTGTTTCAGTGAAACCTTACTAGACCAGTCTCTCCAGACTAGTGTCTTGATTGCTTCAGAGACAGAATTGTCTAAAAGCATTGGGAAGCTAGAAACAAAACTCCTTTGGACAAAGTTATCATTCACTATATTTTGTCAGGAGTTAATGACATGATGAGAAGAGCAGAGAGATGGATTTTTGTCTGTTTGTGTATACAATTATATCAGAAACTCCACCATCTATCTCTTTGAAACCTCCCATCCACATAGTTACCTTAGGAAGCTCAATATGGATTCTAGCCCTGCTACTACAGCTTCTACCACAAAACTCTCCTTTCAGAGCTAGCTTCAAAACCAAATTAAAATGCACATATGTTTCATTCCTTCAGAATAGTAGTCAGCAAACAGTTTCTGGAAAGGGTCAAAAACGTATGTATGGCTTATAGTAGGCTTTGTAAGCCTTATAGTTTCTGTCGAAACTACTTTGTCATTACCACATGAAGGCAGCCATAGGATTAAACAAATGCATATGGCTGTGTTCCAGTAAAACTTTATTTATGGTCACAGAAATTTGAATTTCATGTAATTTTTCACATCATGAAATATTATTCCTTTTTTCTTTTTCAACAATTTAAAAACATAAAAAAATTTATGGCTCAAAATAGGAAAAGGGACAGGTGTGGCCAGCAGCAGTAGTTTGCAATCCACTGTGTAGAGCAGTATTTATAAGCCTTATCTGCTAGCATGGTGTTGGTCGTGAATGATCTTTTCAGAAATTAAGTGCATCCTCAATAAATGAAAATGATGATAGAGATTCAGTGAAATGATTCCTTTATGTAGAACAATACTCACTGGAATGAACAAATAAAAATAAAAAGGCGAACAAGTAAGAGTAGGGGAAGAAGAAAGCGGAAAAAAAAGGAAGGAGGTGGAAGAAAAGGAATAGGAGAAAAGAAAAAAAGATTTGATGTGGAAAAGGAAGTATTTATTGAATGATTAACATGTATCAGCCATTCTTCTAAGTACTTTCTGTACCTTACTTTATTTAATCCTCCCAAATCCTGTGAAGTAAGTGTTTCCCCTCCCATTTTGCAGACACAGCTATTAAGTGGAAGAACCATAATTCAGACACGATCAGGCACGCTCAGGGTGGTATGGCTGTAGATAGAAGAACCATAATTCAAAGCCACGTCTGTGTTACTCCATAGCCCACAGTTTTTCCATTCCACTTTAATGTCCGTAGAATCAGATACGATATTTTTATTATGTTTAGGCACATCTTACATAGTGAGGTTCCAGTACATTGAGTTTTTAAATCTTAAGAAATCCTAAACGGGTAATTTTTATAAGGCACGTGAAAGAGGTTTGTTTATTCAAGCTCTTCTAAGTATACTCTCTTGATCTTTGACAGTCAACAAAAATATACACTGGGGAAAGGACACTTTATTCAATAAATAGTGCTTGAAAATTGAAAAGCCATATGCCGAAGAATCATACTGGACCCCTATTTCTTACCATACACAAAAATTAACTCAAGATGGATTAAAGACTTAAATGTAAGACCTGAAACTATAAAAATGCTAGAAGAAGATATAAAAATGAACAGCTATAAAAATATATAACAATATATATAAACAACTCTAAAAATATGGAACAACTATAAAAATGCTAAGAAAAACTCTTCCGAACATTGGTCTAGTCAAAGAATTTATGACTAAGTCCTGAAAAGGAAACACAACAAAAACAAAAATAGACAAATGGAACTTAATTAAACTAAAAAGCTTCTGCACAGCAAAAGAAATAATCAACAGAGTAAACAGACAACCTACAAAATGGGACAAAATATTTGTAAACAATGCATCCAACAAAGGCAAAACTGATCCAGAATCTATGAGGAACTCAAACAACTCATCAAGAAAAAACAAATAATCCCATTAAAAAGTGGGGAAAGAAGACGAATAGACATTTTGCAAAAGAAGACATACAAGTGGCCAACAAACATACAAAATAATGCTCAACATCACTAATCATAAAAATGAATATGAAAACCATTTGTGTCATGACAATAACAATGTCACCAATAACACATGAGATACCATCTAACACCCAGTCAGAATGGCTATTATTAAAAAGTCAAAAAAACAACAGATGTTGGTGAGGATGTGGGAAAAAAAAAAGAAACGCTTATACACTGTTGGTGGGAATGTAAATTAGTACAGCTTCTGTGGAAAACAGTAAGGAGATTTTGCAAGGAACTAAAAATAGAACTACCTCTTGATCCTGTAATCCCATTACTAGATATCTACCCAAAGGAAAAAAGATCATTTTATCAAAAAGACACCTGTACTCATATATTTATCACAGCACTATTCATAATAGCAAAGTTATGGAATCAACCTAAGTGTCCATCAATGGATTGGATTTAAAAAATGTAGCGTATATACATGCACACATACGTATACACATAACCATGGAATACTACTCAGCCATAAAAAAGAATAAAATAATGTCTTTTGCAGCAGAATGGATTGAACTAGAGACCATTATCCTTAGTGAAATGACTGAAAACAGAAAGTCAAACACCACATGTTCTTACTTTCAAGTAGGAGCTAAACAATGGATACGCAGGAATATGCAAAGTGGAATAACAGACATTGAAGACTCCAAGAGGTGGGAGAGTGGGAGGGGGATGAGGGATGAAAAATTACCTATTGGGTACGATGTTCACTATTGGGGTGATGCGTAACATTAAAAGCCCAGACTTTACCACTATGCAATATATCTGTGTAACACAACTGCATTTGTACCCCTAAATCCATAAAAATAAAAATTTTTAACAACTGCATATATTGGCAATGGCTACTCAAAGGTATATGGAAAATGTACATCAGTGTAGTATTTTGAGAACTGTAAGTAAACTAATGTACATGCATCTTTATATGCCAATTAGTTTAGATTTAATAAGAAACTTATGTTTTAGCTCACTTCTCATCAATTCATACGTTATTGCATACCCCTATCTTTATTTAACAGCATATTTTGTTGGAGACACAAATCCTTTCTCAGGTTGGTAGACAGTTTAAATTACATAAGAACCTGTCCCACTTCTATTTAAATGCTTCCTAGAATATATTAACAATTAGCAGGCGGGAGAGTTCTCCATTAGTCTTTCCAGTAACAGTAGGGAAAGTGTTTTCTCCCACCAAAAAGAAAACAGGTAACTAACCATATAGACCATCACTACTGAATTTGTTTGTGATTTTTATTTTTGAAGCAGATGTAATTTTCCTTCTTTGGAGGAGATATTATTCATTTCTTTGGCTAACGGTTATGATTTAGACCTTGGGTCTCTTTTATTACTTGCAATGGCTTTTCTATATTTTTATTTTTCTGAGGGTGGGGTAGGGGGTTGAAGATCAGCCTGATTGGAATAGCACATGAATTGAACGGGGCTGAAACTTCGCTGAAACAAAAGTTATCTAGGACTTGGAGCGATCACAGGATACAACTGTCTGTTTCAAATAGAAATGCAAAATAACCATTGGAAGAGTTGAAATAGTATGATCAAAGAATTCGGTATTCCATTAAAAATCCTTTATACACTACCAACAGTATAAATAGAAAACATATAGATAAATTCTCTGCCTTTTAAGTGTAGTCATTTAGGTACTTGAAGCATGTTTGTAAGCCTTTTTTAAAGCTGACACAAAATTGTGTATATTTACCATGTACAACATGTTTTGAAATATATATTCATTGTGGAATGGCTAAATCAAGCAAATTAACATGTATTATCTCACATAGCTGTCATCGTGTGGTGAAAATACTTAAAATGTATTCTCTTAGTATTTTTCAAGAAAACTATATTGTTTTTAATTATAGTCACGATGTTGTACAACAGATCTCTTGAACTTGTTCCTCCCATCTAGCTAAAATTTTGTAAATTTTGACTAACATCTGTTTATAAGCTTTTTAAGGGCAGAATCTTTGACTCATCTTTCTCTTTTCAAGACTAGTAGTGTCATCAGTGTTGGGCACATGGGAGGCACTCAAGAAATGGTTGTTGAATTAAATGCCATCAATACCTATGTCACAGAAATTCAGGCTTTATTTAAAGCCTTATCTAGATTCCTCACTAGCAAGAATCTTGACTTGTAATAGAAAATTATTCTAACCCACTGGGTTCTGAACATGAGGTCTCCAGACCCCCAGCATCAGCATAAACTGGAAACTTGTTAAAAAGGCAAATTCTTTGGACCTACCCCAAGCCCACTGAATAGAAACTTTGGGGCTGGGGACTAGAATCTGTATTGCAGTGAATCCTTCAGGTGATTCTGATGCACACTAAGGTTTGAGAACAACTGTAATATAATAAAAAATGGTACTGTGAGTCTCCTTCTTTTCAAAAAAGAAGCCCATGAAGAGAAAGAGATTCCCTACTTTTGGAGCAAGCCTATGGTGTTACTAAATATAAACTTGGCAGGTTAAATAATAACTAGGCTTATACATTAATCTCACAAATTTCAAAGGCTGCATCTCAAAGCCAACAAAGGTTAACATTCAATGTTAGCTAAATCCAATAAATTTGTCAGTTAGAAAAATAATACTGTCATGAGACGTGCATCCTTTTTGCCTTTCCTAATCTTCTTGCATACTATGTGGGCATTACCAGTAGTCAAATTGAAAGAATAAGGACTAGGAAGACAAACTAAGGAGGAAAAAGCAGAAAGCAAAAAGGATCATCTGCCCTTAAAATGATGTGTTGGGTGCCGTATTTTCCCACTGCTGACCACCAGACTTCCTTGTCCTGAGCAAACATACTACTACTGTACTTGGTTTAACTCATTCAGATGGGAACAACACCATTCTTATCTGACACAAAAGCTAAAAACCATTTTCCTCAAACATTTAAAAAGGAATCATTTAGATCCTTAAAAAGTTGAATCAGCAACTCTCAGAGAAGGACAGAGCTGGGTCAACAGTACAGTACAAAGCAAGCATTTCTACTCTTTGTGATTACAACTATCTAAACATTTCCGACAGATTTCATGTGGTAATGTTTTTCTGAATGCCATTTTACAGAACTTAAACAATAAAGAATTAAAGTTAAAACTTGAAAAAGATAATCAAAGAAAATGAACTGTAATCGTTTTTTAGAAGCTAAATTGCATCAACATTTGACTATCCATTATGTCTTTTGTCATTTCAGCATTATGTACTATCATTATCTATTCTTTCAGGGTTCTGAAAAGGCTTTAGAATCTGCTGATTGTCATCAACTCGCTACTGTAGCCTCAAAGCTCTGCAGCACTGCTGGACCATGGCAAATGTAAAAAAGATAGTTAACTATTGCAAATAGGGTTTCTGCTGCCAGATAAACAGCATTACAAAGCTGGAGTTAAGAGTGCTCACATCTGGGCACTTTCAGAGAGAAATCTTTCAGAGAAAATGAACAAAACCACTTGGGATTAGTCACATTTCCAATGCGAAAACCGGCGAGTCCAGAATCTAGTCACTCAGTCGTTGACAGATAAAATATAGAAGATCAAAAGAAAAGGGCTGCATTTCTGGGCAACTCCTTCCTCCATATAACCTCAATCCAACACCAAATTAATTTACATAGCATGAGTGTTCTGAATTAAACATGCCATGGAAATATTTTATTATCTCCTGCATTTACTTTGGATAAATACTACTTAATTGGACTCCCTTCTGAGTAATTCAAAATGCACTATCTCAATGGGAAATAGAATTAGTTTCATTATGCAATTTATTTTTTAGTTAAAAATAGCCAGCGAACAAGCAAATGCTTAGAGGTCATATGCCTGATGCTATATAATTAGAAAACCAGAGATTAATACAGTGTAATGACTGGCATAACAACATAGAAAAAGACAAGTTGATTTTAAAGAGTTTGTACTTTCTCAAATGTGTCTTTCTTGACAGGTAAGCATGAGTCAGGACTGGCTAACGATAGTTATCACTGACTGGTTTTTAAGTATATTTGTTATGTATGTATATACTTAATGCATCTAAATGAAGACAGTGATCAATGTTTCTTTTGACCGTGCCTGAAACTAATATATCACCACAAATTCTCTAAGTTACAGAGAACAGGAGAGGAAGAGAGACAGAGCGACAGAGAGAGAAGAGAAAAGAAAGTATAGAGGAAGAGACACAATTTTATTACTCCATAAGAGGAGTTGCAACCTGACTATAATCTTAAACTAAAACATTTAAAAAAAGGATCTGAAATCTAAATGGCCGTAATTTTCTGAAAGAACACTGTGGTGTTACACAAAGACAACCTGACAGAAATCAGAAAGTCTTTGTTTCCAATTAGTTTAGTGGTCTCAAACTCAAATGCCTAAGGGGGCCAAGCAGTTAAAGCTAAAGAATACAGCTGTGCAGCGGAGGAAAGGGCACTGGGGCCCCGCTTAAACAGTGCAGGGTGCTGCTACTCAGCTTTAGCTGATAGTGGTCAGGGAAATATACACCCAGTTTTGCAGATCACTTCATTTTTCTTTTAGCCAGAAATTCAAACTTTTATATGAAATCAACTGTTTTTTAAAATGGTACCAACTAATTTAAAAGTGCTATGTGGCTTCAGGGCTCTGGGTGTAAGAAATACATCCAGGGCCAGATGCTGTCTAGACCTTGCATGGCTACTAAGTAGCTCTGGTCCCTTTGGGACTGTTTCCTAATCGGTAAAATAATATGTCCAAGTTTCTGTTGGCACTAGATGCTTATTCTGGTCCTTTTATGTAGCACATTTCTTTACTTGTGAAAAAACGGTTTAGATATTTTAATTTCCAGTGTTAGAATACTGAAACAATATCAAAGTCAGAAAGGATAACCTGAAAACATGGATGCAATTGAAGTTTTAGAGACTTGCTTACTAACTCAGGAGTATGTTTTATCCACAAAAGTTTGTGTTGTTAAATATGTCACACAGAGTTAAGTAAAAAATCATCAAACCAGTAGAGACAGCAGTTTCAATTTTTGAGAGGCAATGCTTCCTAGTGGTCAAGAATACACACTGGAACCAGTCTGACCTTGGTTCAAAGCCCAGCTCCTCACTTACTAACTGACCTTATGCAAGTTACTTAAGGTCTGTATGCCTCAATTTCCTCATCTGTAAAAATGGGGATCACGGCTCCTATCTCATAGGGTTATTACGAAGTTTAAGTGAGTCAGTGGAAAGTGCTTAGAATGGTGGCTGACACAGAGAAAGCATTAGGAAAAAATTAGCTGTTGTTATTTTAACTGGCGTAAAACAGCTGAGTGTTAAAAGCACAAATGAATAGCTAAATCCAGCAAATCTCCTACACTGGTTGAGCTAGCATTTTACTGTAAAATATTTAAAAGACATTAAACCCAATCTTTATCTGATGAAGGCCCAAATCAATGGTTTGCTAAAATCCATTTACAAGTTACTCCACTGGTAACTTGTAAATGAAGACCTAACATGCAACAATTCATAGAAATCTAACAGAGGTCAACCCAGAAAACGGGGGTCAATGCAGTGGAACAGGGGCCATGGAAAATCAAACGGTGTGAATGCCTCATCCTTGGTTTCCACCCCCTTGTGATTAATTAACAGCCTTACTGCATCCACCCACCAGCTGTATCCTAGCTCATAGGCCTGACCCCAACTGAGGACTACAACAGTATCATGAAAACTGTGCTTCTAATTGTCCAGCGGGCGATCACGGCTTGGCTAAGAAAGGCTCTTTTCACTCCCCTCCTTTCTGATTAACTAGATGGCTTTATAAATCGCCTTAATAAGTTCATTTGTGTAACCCAAGGCTAGCTGCCCTTCCTTCCTGCTGCTAAGAGGGCTCAGCTGCTTATCTTTGGATATGACCCATCAGAAGAGAATTGCAAAAAAACATTTTTAAATCTGCTAAATTGACAAGCAACGCTGATCTCACGTCTCCCCTAATTTAGTCATGTTTTCCTACGTCATAAAGGAAGTCTAAGTGCAGGCAGTACACTGTGATACTGGCAGAAATCTTTTGTAGATTATTTTAAAACCCTTATGATTGTCTCCTAAGCAGTAAATTTGATAACTGCCAACAGGACTGTGTAAAGTAACTAAAATTCACAGACATTTTTATCATTTCTAAAAGGTTTTCATATGTATTATATCATTTAGTCTTCACCAAAACTCTGCAAGATATTATTATTATTCTTCTCTTTTTACAAATGAGAGATTTAGGCTCAGAGAGCTTACGTAACTTGTATAAGATCACATTATTACTGTGAGTTAGATACCGGCTTGATTTCAGGTCTTCTAATTTTAAACTCAGGGCTCTTTCCACTATCACACATGTGCTGATTAATTCACCTATTGTCTTTTAGCCCACACCTGTTCCTCTATACCTTATACTACTGGAGCCAGGAGTTTGCACCCTAAATTTCTCATACTCTTACTAGTTGTCTTTCCCTTGGGTTCTGCTAATTGGAGGTACTGGTGAGCAATAAGAAAGCAGGATAAAGACAAAAGATTCTTGGTTCTGAATCTTAAAATGAGGCAGTTGATGGCAATTGCTGTAGGAGCAGTAGGGTTGATGTGATTTTGGGCTCCAGCAGCCCAGGAAAAGCCAGCACTTTCTTTACTGGTTTTTTTTTTTTTTTTTTTTTTTTTTTCCTTTTTTGAGACAGCAGCTCTTGAGTGAACTCACAGTCAAACTCAAGTGTCACCAACCCACTTGGACTTTCAGGAACAAGCTCATGGGCTCCTGCCCAGAAGGGCTAACTGCTTCGAATCTGGGGATCACCTCTTCTTCCTTTATGTTCCTCCAACACCCCTCTTTCTCCCTGTTGCAGTTCCAGCTTTTCCAGTATATTTCCTTGTTCAAAATTCCTAAAGTGGCTTCCATTTTCCTGCTGAATGTTGCTTTGCACCCAGATGGAAGTCAAGGATATTAAAAGGGATATAAAGCAAATGACACTGTCCCTGCCTTGAAGGAATGTGTAATTTTCTAGATGATAGAACGAATGCATTTGAACCAAGAATAAACAAAATAGACATATCCAAGGGCTTAGGTAAATTGTACACAGACTACTTGTGCAATGGGAAGGAAAATGGGCACTTCATCACAAACTCTATTTGTGTGCTGTGAGGAGAGGGACTTGCATTTATGTTTTGCCTTTGGCATGCAGTCTAGTCTGTTCTCAGTGGATCCAGAAGCAGCCCCTTGTCTAGCTCACCCTTACGGTCTTCCGAATCACTTCCCCTTTTTTGGACATGCTTAGTTTATACTTCCTGCCCCGCAGCCATCTCTGGTGCCAAGTTGTCTGCCCCATTCTTGTTCAGTTTCCTGTTCATTAACTTCTGGCTCATTATTACATTAGTATCCCTAAAGTCCACATTTGCATCACCACACATGAAAAACGTTTTGTCTATAGCAAAAAGGGGCACAGTGATGACATATATGATTTGGTACAGAACTACTAATAACAACAGGGGTTAAGAATGGGTGAAAAAGTGATTAAATGATGAAGAGATTGTCAAGTATTTTGCAGCCCTCATTAAATCTGTTGATTTTGTATTTTTCCCCTAAAATGGAAGAATTCTGTGTCATTTGGGATTAAGTTTTATTTAATTTTAAAATGACAACTACTCTTTACAGAGGGCTCGCTCTGTACTAGGCACTTTTCATATGTTAACTTTTTTACACCTCTCTAAAATCAAATGTTCTATAGATGAGTAAAGTGGGGTCTACAGCAGCTAAGTTACTTCTCCATTCTCTTAGTCTATTCAGGCTGTTATAACAAAGTACCATAAACAGGGTAACATAACAGAAATTTACTTGTCACAATTCTGGAGGCTGGGAAATCAAAGGCCAAGGTGCTGGCAGATTCCATGTCTGATGAAGACCTACTTCTTGGTTCACAGATAATTTCTTGCTATGTCCACCCACAGTAGAATAGGGCAAGACAGCTCCCCGGGGCCTCTTCCTAAAGGCACTAATCCCATCCAATAGGGCTTAACCTCATGACTTAATCAACTTTCAAAGACACCACATCCTAATGCCATCACATCAGAGATTTAGGCTTCAACATATGAATTTTGGGGGGACACAAACATTCACCTCATAGCATTCATTGTTTCTTGTTATTGGCAAAGCCAAGACTCACATTGTCTAAGTTATTTGACTTTTGAGTCCGCAGATGTGAAAACAGTGCTAAACAGTCCATCTTCATGAGTGGAGAACAGCATTTGTGACAACCACCAAAGTACCTCTGTGGTCAGTGTCCTCAACCAGGGCACAGCATCATGGACCAGAGCCTCTGCAGGGCACAGAGGAGTGGTGAGGAACAGGGGCTCTGGAGCAACCCCACTTCCCTCTGCTTTGTATATGGGGGGTTCTGCACATGACTGCATTTGAAAAGGGCTTCACTGCGCTTGCTGAAGGAGTGCACTTGAGCTAGCGGAGAGTTCCCAGAGGGTGTCTGGAAGAAGCAAAGGCTATTCTTTGTTTCACTCAGTTATAGATGGAAGTCAGACACTTCTGCCTGAAGTACTTTCACACACTCCACAGTCTTAAGAAGGATGGAGAAAGCATGCCAACTACTCAGAGAACCACAGGTGTTCAAGCAATGGTATCCTTTTATCCCTACAACTAGTGGACAAAGTGGGGCCTCTGTAATTGTGAAGCTAGGAAAACTTCTCTGTGGTCTCTTCCAATCGTGCACATTTTCTTACACAGGTACTGGCCTTTACCCCTCTCCTCAGCTATTAATATCCTAATATCTTTGCCTAGAAAGAACTGAAGTAGAGCCACTAAAGTATTACTTATGGATGAAACCTCAGAGGTTTCATTTCAGCAAGGATCAGAGCAGAAAGTCCCTGGCACATGGAAGAATATACAGGTGACTCAGAGCGCTAATGCCATGTCTGATATGTGACTGAAGCAGTAGCAACTCAATAAATATAGAACTGAATTAAGGAAACCAAGCCTAGGAGGAGAAGTTCAGGCATTAGCCAGCAGGTCAGGATGGTTTTTGGAGGGAGGGGGATTGTAGGGGGTCTTCATACCCTGATATCAAATATGAATGCAGGGTCTGGATCAGGTCTTGAGAATAGATATTTTTTACTGTATGAATAAGAAACATGTTGGCTTTAATGTTAGTACTACAAAACACAGACCCTGTAATTAGAAGGCCATTAGGAACATTGTTCTTATTCATATGATCTCTTGTGCTTTTACAACTGGCAAATTAAATTAATTATTAAAAGAAAAATCTCTAAGAAACAAATAACGAGAATCCTTCTCCCCAAATAATCCGTTTCCCTATACCATTACAGAAAATGATGTCACTTTGACAGAATTATTAATGTTATTTACATCCTGAGCAATGCATTCTTTTAACCCGAAAGAGGGTACTAGGCAAAAAAATTAATTTCTTTGAGAACAAGCATTTTTACTTAAAATATATGTGGCTGTGTCGATTAAGAGCCTCCTCTGTGTCAGTGCCAGGCATTAGTCACAAGCCAAAGGCCCAATCAGTCTTTGTAAACTTATGATCGGCTTTCAACCCCACAAAGCCTGTGTTTGTCAGTAGGATACTTGCTTCTCCAACTACTGGTTAAAGGATCAGTGACATACTTCAAAGATTTTGAGAACAGTTTCTGTTCTTTTTGAAGAGTATTTATTCTCTCAAAAACAAATGCTAGATTTGTTCATTTGGTCCAAAAAATGAGAGGAACATTTCTTTTGATTGTTTTCCAACTCTACCTCCGCATTTTAACAATGGAAAGCCACAATACCCTTTCCTCCTGCTAGCAGAATTTGTGAGTAAGCTGAGTTCCAAAAAAATGCCATTTCTAAAGCTTTAGAAATCAGGGTGTCACAGAAAATTAAAGCAGCATTTAATTAGCTAACAACATTATCTGACAAAGGGATGAAACTTTCATTATCTGACAAAGAGCTGAAACTTTAATGTTTCATAAGTCATCATTCATTCATTCATTTGTTCATTGAGCAAATTAAGTACCTATTACATGCCAGGCAGTGTTCTTGGTGCTGGGATACATTCATGAACACAATAGTCCAAAGTTTCTGTCCTCACAAACCTTACATTCTAAAGGGAGGGAAACATAAAAAAAACAACAACTGCAAATTATATAGTTTCTTAGGTGGTATTACAGAGAAAAAAAATAAAACAAAGGAAGGGGTACAGGGGTTCCAACATGTCAATGTGTGTGTGTGCATGCGCACGTATGTGTGTGTATATGCACATGCGTAATATACTTTCTTGCCACAGGTTCAGGAAATAACTCACCAGAAAATGATATCTGAGCAAAGACCTAAAGAAGAAGCAGCGAGCTATGGGGATATGTGCAGGAAGAGTGTTCCAGACAGAGGGAGCCTCGGTGAAAGACCCTGTGGTGGGAGCATCCTGGCTTGCTCATGGGGCATCAAGGAGGCCAGTCCACCTGCAGCAGAGTCAGGACAGGGCTTTGGCTTTGTACAAGCTTAATTAAGACAAAGAAACAGTAAAACACCCAGAATAAAACACTTTATAATCTGGAGATCATTAATAAAACTAAATACGGATTTAAATAAAATCCACGTTGCAAAGCTATACTTTATTACCAATAATCATATTAAAAGAAACAAGTACATATTTAACATGATCATTGTCTAGAAGGCATTACTGAAATTATTATAATCTAAGCAGGTGGGGGATATATGAGGAGATAGTTTTAGGGTGTGACAATGTAAGGGGCTCACAGGACAGGACTCCTCTATCCAAAACAACCCCCTCCCCGCCAAAAAAACCCGCAGGGCACGGTGGCTCATGCCTGTAATCCCAGAACTTTGGGAGGCCGAGGCAGGAGGATCACAAGGGCAGGAGATGGAGACCATATTGGCTAACACGGTGAAACCCCGTCTGTAATAAAAATACAAAAAAAAAAAAAATTAGCCGGGTGTGGTGCTGGACGCCTATAGTCCCAGCTACTCAGGAGGCTGAGGCAGGAGAATGGCGTGAACCCGGGAGGCAGACCTTGCAGTGAGCCGAGATCGCGCCACTGTACTCCAGCCTGGGTAACACAGCGAGACTCCATCTCAAAAAAAACCAAAAAAACAAAAAAACAAAAAACACACCAAACAACAACAACAACAAACCCAAACCTTCCACATGGAATTCTTCTGCTTGAATCTAAGGATTTAAATTTTCCTTCCTTTGTCTCTCTTCAAGACTATTTATCTTCCAGATTCTTTTATTAAAACACAAATACGGGGCCAGGCGCAGTGGCTCATGCCTAATCCCAGCACTTTGTGAAGCCGAGGCGGGCAGATCACCTGAGGTCAGGAGTTCAAGACCAGCCTGGCTAACATGGTGAAACCCTGTCTCTACTAAAAATACAAAAATTAGCTGCGCCTGGTGGTGCATGTCTGTAATCCCAGCTACTTGGGAGGCTGAGGCAGAAGAATCGCTTGAACCCAGGAGGCAGAGTTTGCAGTGAACCAAGATCACACTACTGCACTCCAGCCTGGGCCACAGAGCAAGACTCCATCTCAAAAAAAAAAAAGAAAGAAAGAAAGAAAGAAAGAAAAGAAAAGTAAAAAAAAAAAAAACCCAAAACACTGGGTGAGGACGCAAAGGGGCCAGGGAAAGGAGTAAAAAGTCACATCAAAGCAGCTATCAGTAAATTTCTTCTGAGAAGCAGTAGTTACCGAGCTGCCTTTGAAATCCTGTGTGAATAAAACGTGGCTCAAGTTCCTGGGTGACAGCTCTAGGAAAGAAGAGGTGGCATGGGTTGAGGAAAAGGTATAAAAAGTGAGCTTTCATTACCACGATTTCTATTACTGTGGACAAAGGTCAGACCTGTGAGCAAACCACAATGACACTACAGTCCAAGAATTTTTTTTCAGATAGAATCAGTCATATAAAAGATAAGAATACCCAATGTAATAGCAGGCAAGCATTCCTAACCATATTATATTGTTTGGTCTGGAATTTGTTTTTCTCTTTCTGTTGCACCTATTTATTCTCTGCAATGCACACAAACATGGAATAGATATTTAGAGCCACATGTGCAGTGCAACAACCTTGACAGTCTTTAGATTTATTATTTGATGTGAACGGGCAGCCGGGTAATAACTTTGACTTCCATATGAGACCTTATTTGTCATGTACATACAGCACATTGACCAGAAGTCTCAAGGCCAAGTGCAGCTCTTGTGAACTAATTAAGCATTCTGGTGGGCACATTTTGTGTCCAAGCAGCGATGTGGTGGTGAAGTACATGAACTCTGGAATTAGACTGCCTTGGTTTGAAGCCCTGCTCTACGGTTTACTAGCTCTGTGTCCCTGAGTGATGTAATTAACACTGTACCTCGATGTCTTCATCTATAAAATGAGTATAAATAACAAGTTACTGTGAGGATGAGATAAAACATGTGCAGTACTTAGAACATGTCTAGCACATGGTAAGCCTCAATAAATGGTGACTGCTTTTACTACAGTAGAACATATGGTTTTCACAACAGGTATCACTAGGAATATCTAAGCCTCCTGTTAAGATATTACTGCCTACATACAAATGTAATCCTTCCCCAAATTTCTGTTGACTTTTTTTTTTTTTTTTTTTTTTTTTTTTTACAAAAGAGCAAGAGAAGAGAGACAAAGCCCTGATATTGAAAAAACACTGCTTAGGGCATATTTGATTATTCGCAATTGTTATTGTAATACTATGCTAATTTTACCTTATTAAATATTGAAGAAGGCCATCACCATTGGGAAGAAGTTAAAATATATTATATAAAATTAAACTAATTTATCTTTATGCAATAAAATGTTAGAGGATACCAGATGCTATTTTTATAATAAACATCTATTTTCTAAAAAGGTCATTATGTCATGCATACACAAACAAACAGAGAAGCAAAAGAGAAATGCATCCCTGGGTAAGTTGAGATCCTTCTAGAAAACATTTTGCCTCCATGTTGTGTTAAACTAGGGACACCATTGAAAAGACTAAGTCAAATTTCCAAAGAAAAATGTCACATGTCTATCCTGTTGAGGCACATAGGCTAGGTGGAAGTGTAAGGTAATGATAAAGGCATCAGGCAAAATTTGTATCAGATCTGGCTTTGCAACCTGGAATTTCTCCATTTTTTTTCTAATTTATTGTGACATTAAAATTATGGTGCTCATCTGGGGGCAGTAAAATATTTTATGACTTAAGAGAAACTCAATCTTAGAAAAGATTATTTTTAAATTCAAATTTTTGATTAAAATATCATACTCAATACAACTCAATAACAGAAAGCTTTTTAAAAAAATTACGTTTTTTTAAAGCTTTTCTTAAAAAATTATGTTTTATTTTACGTTTTATTCAGGAAATAGAATTACATTTCATTGAATCAAATTTTTGTTAAAAATAGTTCTTTAAAAAAATAAAACAGCAAACTACACAACATTCTCTATATTCTATAAATAGAAGTAAAACACTCCATTATAAGGAAGACCATTATGTAATACCAAAAAACAAAGAATAATTTTGATAATAAAATGAATTTAAATTGTAATGAATTCTCTAACATAATCTGCAAAGAATTCTATATAATTTGAACAATTTTAAAATACTGTTATTGCATATCTGAACAAAGATTTCCCATTCCTTTTACCAGGAAAAGAGTTAAGGACAGACGATTAATGTAATTTCATTACAGATGCCAAAGTGTGTTATCTGCCAGTCAGATTCAGAACAATGGCAAGCAAAATGTGGAAATGTTCTTTTCCACAGACAACATTTACAGAAATTAAAATAAGTATTAAGTGGTTTTCCAGAAAATAGGTTCCATGACCTACACAGATTTCTAGGACAACAGCAACTAATGAAGAATTGGTACCAGGCACCTGGGAAGTCATTAGCACCAACAAGGCGTGACCGGTATGAGCTACAGAAGAAAACAGGCAGGGTGCCCCCATGACACCAACTGCATGACCTCTGACCATCCCATCTCATGTTTCTGGGAAAAATTTTTAAAGTGCCAACTCAGGTGTTTCAGATTTTTTTTCTTTTGCTTATCCTATGGACATGAGAAGTAGAAGGGAAATTAGATAATTTTGCTATTTTTGAAAAAAATATGGCTCTTTTCCATTTGATTGAATGGAAGATGAATGGATAGTGGTATGGGTTTTGATTAAAAAATATCTAGGGGCTCAAAATGAAAAATTTATGAATATGAATTATTTGGGCATTTAAAAGTATGATTTGGTGCATTCATTATGGTGAATTTGTGTATAAGTACATACGAATTCCCTCTGAGGCCAATACATCACTTTAGGACACTATTTCTGAGACTTGCGACTCAGCTTTGTACATGCTCTAGGGTTAAATGCCTTTCATCATAATAAATATGAAATAATTATTAAGATGAAAATGTTTCACAGAAATATCACCTTAAACATGTGGCCTGTGTCTAACTGATCACCCTTTCTAAATAGTGACCAAAGTACAAAAAAAAAAACCCACAACAAATCAACAACAGAAACAATGCAGCTCTTTCCCCTTATATTTCACTCAAATTTGTCTGCTTAGTAATAATGACATATTGTTCCGTGTTATTGCTTCAAAAAATGTTTCCAGTGACCCTTGGGAATGCTATGTACTGTTTTCCTTCATTTTTGCTCTTGGCAAAATTTTCTTCATTCAGATCACTCTTTGAGAAAATAATTTCAGTCTGAATTGTGCACATTCTAGGTCCCTCAGTTAATATAAGTTTTTGACCTTTTGGTTTCTACAGCTAGTTCTCTTGGAGATGACTGATGGCATGAATTCTACTTGCATGGAGTCCCCGAGAAACCACTCCTCTTCTTCAAAAAAGTACACTAAATCTCAGGACAAACTGGGATGACCAGTTATCACTGCTGCCAACCCTGTTTTGTGAATTCCATTTAAGATGTCCAACTGAGAACAAATTATGTCTCAAATAAGATTGTATTCACAGAATGATGGAACTAAAGTTCTTGGTAAATTTAAACAAAGTGACAGAAGGCAAGGAGCTACTGTCCTCCTCAAGGGGCAACCTGCTTGACTCCCAGCATCTCTGCCTACCATTCCCATGGCCTCACCTGTAGTTTTGGGATCTCAGTACAAATATATCTAGCAAAGCAATAATTTCCTAACTGCTTTTCTCATCTTCTATGTCCTTTCACCAAACTTTCCTAAAATATAGATGCCAAATTAGCCTTCTCAAAACAACACTGGGCATATATCACTTCTCACTCAAGAACTTAATGAGTTCATAACTGAATATAATTCAAACTCAGTATAGTATATTCACAATTAGACATATTTTAAACAACAGATTCATCACAGTCCTGTCTTCCTCTTAAAAGCAGCCCTTCTGCTGCATTTTATTTTTTATTTTATTTTAGTTTTTGAGACAGAGTATTGCTCTGCAGCCCAGGTTGGAGTGCAGTGGCTCCATCTTGGCTCACTGCAACCTCTGCCTCCTGGGTTCAAGCAATTCTCGTGCCTCAGCCTCCTGAGTAGCTGGGATTACAGACACGTGCCACCACGCCCAGGTAATTTTTATATTTTTAGTAGAGATGGGGTTTCACCATGTTGGCCAGGCTGGTCTTGAACTCCTGACCTCAAGTGATGCACCCACCTCGGCCTCCCAAAGTGCTAGGATTACAGGCATGAGCCACTGTGGCTGGCTGTTCAGGTACATTTTCTACTCTGGTCAGTATCACCACCATCTGTCCAGTCTCTAATGGCAGAGATCAGGCCTTGCTCTTCCTCATTCTTCATTCTCAGTTGGCAAATATACTGTGTACCGTCTCCTCTTCAGCCCCTCTGCTAGGACAGTGGCCCAAGCTCTATTGCTTCTTATCATCTCTAGCCTCCTACTGGTTTCCAGCTTCTGATTTCACCAGTACTCCAATCTATTCTACATATAGCTGCTGGGGTGTCTGTTCTGAACTCAGCTCTGACCACGTGACTCCTGTACTCAAAATCTGTAAATGGAATCCCATAATCTATCCCAAATTCCTGGCCACAGATGACCTCTCCAACCTGTCTTCACAGCACCTCCAACTTCTCCACCTTCAATCATATACCAAGGCACTTGGAGTGTATCTACTACATGGCTTCATGTAGGATCTAGTTGGCCTCGGCTCTCCCAGAGCCTGGAATGTCCTTCTCCATGTCTGCCTGGGGGATGTCCACCCATGTTTCATGTTCTTTCTCAAGGATTTTCCTGATGCCACCATGCAGAGTTGCTACATTTACCTTTATATCACTATTACACCTTTACATGTATATGTACACAATACAGATACATAATATATATGTATATTTTCATATTTTTGTACTAATTACACCACATTGCAATTACTGTGCTGTATACACTCCATGTACAGCTTACTTGCTACTGTTTAGGAATATCTGAAGCACAGTAGCTCACTTATGAATGAATGTATAAATGATCATTCATTCATGAAGAAAGGAGGGAAGAAGTGAACACCTCTCCAAAATTACTTTCAATCATTTCTTAGGTCTACTTGCTGCTTTAAACAGGTTTACTTGTTTTCTCTTTTACTATTCAAATACCATGCTTATCTCCCTCCCCACTCAAGACATTGTGATTTTCCCCACTGTAATTTCTACTCTTTTTAATTTTTCTAAACTACTTTTAGAATAATTCTTCCTTAATGATCAGTTAAAGTCCAAACCAGTCATAAACCTTGGTTAGTCTCCCAGTACCTACTGGTCACCACTCTTTTGAACTCCTAGAGCACTTTTGGCCTCTACAACACATTTAACCATCAATAATGCTATTCCATGCTTTTTTTTTTTTGATGTACATATGTGTGTATATGAACAGTCAATTTATACATATACATCTGAATGAGTGTGATTCCCTGAAGAGCAAGAGCTGTATCTGGCTCTTTTTGCATTTTATCACCTCTCTCAGTTCCCTATTTATAACAAGCAATAGATAATGTTTATTAATAAAGATGGCCACCAGACAGGCATTACATGTAGATTCCATAAATTAGTATCTTATTTGTACCAATGAGACCCAAATGACTTCAGAATAAACTGTGATTTATTATCAATAAAATGTTGAGGTTCTAGGTTCAACTATAAACAATGTTCCCAGCACTCATTCAATGATTACTGAACATGCTTCTTATGGGGAACCACATTTGACTCATAACTGAGGGAAATCTGTTTTATAAAAGAAAGGCTTTCCATTATGTACTCTTTGTAACAAGGGTCTTTCCATACCCTAGATATTGGCTCACTTACTGGATCAAGGCAGCTACATTACAAAAAAGAAAATAATTTGGACAGAATCAAGAAGTCTATTATAATGTAGGTATTTGAAATCTACCTCCTTGCTGAACTTGGAGATTGATCTACAGAAGAAAAATCTTAGCATCTAAAGGTCTGTTTTCAGGAAAATAAAAATGTCTATCAATCTACCATAAACCTGTCTGGGTTATCAACAACCATCAATGAGAAGACCCAGGGGAAAATTTAGGGTATGTTTTCCTTAGGGATGACTTCTGGTTTGGGTAGAATATATTTATTTTTCCTACTCCTCTATGGCAAGAAAGTTTTTCAGATACCTTTAAAAATATATCCCAGTCAAATAACTTATTATTTGGCAAATCAAATCGATTTGAAGACTGTTTTTGCATTAAAGAATATCTATAGTTGGATTCTCAGTAAGAGAGAAATGTTACATAATAAAGAAATATTTTATAGGACACTTGGAACGTAGATATATTTTCCAGGTCATTTGAATCATTTAAATATGGTACTTTTGTCTAGTCATATTTGTCAAGATCCTTCTCAGTTTTTTGTTTTTTTGTTTTTTGTTTTTTGCCCCAGGGAACGAAGCCATTTAGGAAACTACATTAACTGCATCTTCTCTGTGCTTTTTGACAAAAGTAAATAAATAGAAATGTGCAGAAGCCATTTCCCCTGTGCTTCTTCTCCGTGTTGGACTGTCCTCTGCCTTCCATTCTCTCCTTTCATAACCTGTTCCTCCTATGGCCTTTCCTTCCCCAAGCTAACAGCTTCTGTCAGCAGCTTTATTCAGTACAGTATCAAAAGCTTTGCAGAAAACCAGATTAATTGTGCTCACTGCTTCTCTTTGTTTACCCCTTCAATTCTTGCAGAATTCAAGGCAAACCAAGAAAATGCATATCTAATTATACATGTATACTCCCTCTTAGATACCTTTTTGGTGCATTTTGCTTTTAAATAGATCGTATAATTAAAAGTTATCTGAAAACTAATACATTTCAAATAAGATTAGTGTTTCCAAATATAGCTTCCAAATCTAACATGTATTAAAATGATTTAAACACATATTCTGTGTACCGCAAGTTCCAAAAGAGAAGTTTATGTATGCAAATGCAAAAGAAATAATTCAATATTTTCCATTTTCCACAAATACTCTCTGTGAGACAGATATAAACAACCATTTAAAATAATAGTGAATTTTGGGGTTAATTATTATTACTGAAATAACAGAAGTTATGTATTCTGTGAACCTCAAAGCAGACCTTTGAATAGTCTTGTCACTAATATGTGTTAAAAGAATAAAGAATCCTCATTGAAGTCTTATTCTTAAAAATATCAAAATGCCATCCTTCACCATTAATTTCATGCCAAGATTTAAGAGCAATAAATATTGTAGACTTTACCACTTCTTTATATAATGGCTTCATACGATAATTTTTTATTATATAAAAATTCCCTCTTATTCAAGATGAATTTGTTTGCTTTGCTTTTACCAATGTTAAAGGTAATTTTTCTGAATAGCACGGATGGTTTCCTCTGTTAAAATACTATAGTGTGAGCCTCAAGGCACAGCAGGCAATGCCATCACCCCAGCACCACTGGGCCATTTCTTCTATGGCTGAACCTTCTCACATCATTTTAAAACATGGCTTTCTAATCCTTTTGGTCTTCTTGCTGAGAATTAAAAGGTTAGAAAGTTTTTAAAGTAGTAGTAGAAGTCTTATGTCTCAAATTACAAGTTACAAATTACAAAAACCTCCCACTTATCTTTTTCAAACCATTAGTTAGGTAGAACCACATCAAGGTAAGTCTTTCTGGAAACATGCTACGAAACAAACATGTTATTTAATGAGAATTCAGAATACAGCAGGAGAAGTCACAACCTGGAATGAAGCAGAGTGGAAACAGAATTACCCTGTCTGGCCTGAAAGGAGTGGGTTTCCAAGTGAGACTCCAAGTGTACCAAGTGTCTAATGGGCAATCCATTTACACATCTCTTCCCATATTATTCAAGTGCAAACTGTACTCCATAAGTATTTTCAGTTTTATTTCTTTACAAAACTTTTGAAAAGAATAAAAATAAATCCCTGGGTGGGATTATGCACAGGACAGAGAGATGCCACTAAGCCATGCCACCAAGCATTTGTGTTTATTAGAAGAGCATTCCTCCTATGAACATCATAGTTTATAGAGTCCCAACTAGATTATAATGTAGACACTTCTGTCAGATGATAATATGTCTGTAAAAAGTCTGCTAGATCTGTATTTTATTCATAAAGGCAATGGTGTGAAATATACACACAAAAGACCCATGTGTAAAAGGGCTCATGTGAGCGAAGCAGCAGCCGGGGAGAAGGCATATCCAACACACCTCAGGTGCAGTGGCGGCTTAAGGAGGCATCCCAGGAACACATTAATCAACACATTCAAGGAATGCATTAATCAACACTGCTATAACGGCTGGCATGCCCATTGTTTCACTGTAGCATGCTAAAGAGCACAGAGCAGCAATGTGAATGTGAATTTCCACCATGCTACAAGAAACAAAACCCTTTTCAGGACTGGCTCCATGCACCATATCCTACTCGACTCTTTCAATAGAAATCATTCTCTCCTGTATTCGTGGTAGTTTATGAACTTGCTTTCTGCAACAGTCAACCAGAAACAAAGAATCTTTACAGACCAGCTAAGTTTGACAATAGCTGTAGAAATGCCTTCTGCAGATATGAAAACTTGAATCCATCCAAGAGATTTTTTTCTTTGCCTTACAAAATGAATGCTGTCATGAAAGGCAAAATAAAAGAAAACAAAGCAAAGCAAAAAAAAAAAAACCCAAGCATCTATTTGTGTATGCAGTCAGTTGTGACAGCAACATACTGCATTACCAGCAGGGGCCTGGTCCTGGCCTCCTGCTCCACACTGGGTTTCATTTTCCTCCTGGGTAGTTCCCTAGATAACCCTCCTGTCAGGATTCGACTCCCTCCAAAAGCAGCCAGGGATGAAATGGCCAGATGCTGGAAGGAAGAGACATGATAAAATACCCGCAGAACCTAGGCACACATGTCTACCTTTGTATAGAGTACCATGTGGACCTGAACACCTGAGGCCTTCCAGTATTCCTGCTGTGTCTCACTTCCAATTGTCCATACTTGGAGTATCTCACCCATTAGGTTATGTTGCACAATTAAAGTTCAATAAATGATGATTCTGGTGATAAGAATGCTGAATACAAAGATCCTAACTCAATGAATAAGGGATGCCATTTATAACTTTCATTTGGAATAAGCTTCCTCTCAGGGTGAGAATTATTTTAATAGAGGTTGTACTTGCTGGGAACAAGAGCCACAGGGCAGTGCCCCTGCCTTTTGGTGGCACTGTTCTGGTCATTTTGGTGAACCTCAAAATTAAAGTCTATGGGTCACGAATCTAGACTTATTTCATCACGAGTTCTGATTCTAATAATCCCAGAAAACAGTTAAGAACTACAAGCCAAAAGTACAGCAAGGAAAAGAAATCAAATCCAGTAAGTATATGCAAGAAGCTATTTGCAAAGGTCACGCATTAGCCCTTTGGTGTATAAATGCTAAGTGCTCTACATTTCATGTACTGGAGTGACTCAGGCAGTTTTTTATTTCCAGTTTCAAACCAGATATTTCTCCCCACTAGGCTACAATGGGAGGAGAGGGGGGAACACATAAAAGTTGCAGGATTCCTTCTACTGACTACTAGCACCAATTATTGCTGCCACAAAAACATAATGCCACTGTTTTCATCATTGTCTCACTATGGCATTATCCTTACCCAGCTATCTCCCAAGAGAAAATGCTGATGTCTTTCTTCAAACACATTTCAACTGCTCTTTCTGAGCCTTCAGAAACAGCTATCAAACTGAGCAGCCCAGAGTGGTGGGAGTGGTGAGAAGGGGGATAAGGTGAGATGTCCAGAGAAAAATGGCTGTGTCCCATAAGAATAATGAGGACAGGATGCAAGAGGCAGAAATGAGATGCCTAATCAATAAAGGCATCTCAATCACGGATGTGAATAAAACTCAGAGATAAATATCAGGAAATGTATAATTTAGCCTCCCTACAGAAATGTTGCACATTGAATTTAATATGCTTCCATCTGACCCCAGGACAGAGAGCACTGCTCAGACTTCATGTGGAAATGGAAAGCTGAGCAGTCGCCTGGGTTGAAAGAACAGAATGTTCTTCACTGCATTGTCATTCAGCTTCCAGGAATGCTGCATTTCAGTGGTAAGTAGTCATTCTGTGAAAAAGTTCATCACGATCACAATAGAGGGACTGTCCAAGTATGCTAATGTTTCAAGAGATGTCACTTAGTTGAAATCTGTGCCTTGCCTTCATGCTATGTCACAATGAAGAGGGAGGAAGTTAATTTGTATAAGAAAAGATTGTTCTAGTTTTCCAGATGACTACATATTGAATCAAACTTTACTGGTATAAAACAATAAAGAGGTAAATATTTTTTACTTGGAGTTAGATCCCTGTCTTGGTTTTTATAAGTTCTAGGCATCCCAGAGTAACTGCTTTATTCATGAGCTTTTAATCTTCAGCTTCATGGGGCAAGTATTCTTTCTGTGGGTGCTGGGTCTTCTTGATTTGACTGGTATCAACTAAACTCAGCCTTAAAATGATCCTGTAGGACAAAATTTTGATAGCTGTCTTTACTGTTAAATTGTATTAAAAATTGGCCAGGCATGGTGGCTCATGCCTGTAATTCCAGTACTTTGTGAGGCCAAGGCAGGCAGATCACTTGAGGCCAGGAGCTCAAGACCAGCCTGGCCAACATGGTGAAACCCTGTCTCTATTAAAAATGCAAAAAGTAGCCAGGCATGTTGGTATGCATCTGTAATTGTAGCTACTCAGGAGGCTGAGGGATGAGAATCACTTGAACCCGGGAGGTGGAGTTTGCAGTGAGCAGAGATCGCGCCATTGCACTGCAACCTGGGTGACAAGTGAGACTCCATCTCAAGAAAGAAATAAATTAAATAAATAAATAGCATTAAAATTGTATAACTATTAGGATTTTGTAATAAAATACAGGTTCACTTTTACAAATCAACTTAATTATAAGATAAAAGTCTTTTTACTCTTACCAGTTTTACTATTATCTATTCAGGATGTAACTACCCTTCTCCTAAGATGTACATATAACTTTAACAACTCGGTATTGTAAAGTCCAAGGGAAAGAACAAATTTCAAGTCATCCACAAAAACAGTCAGTAAATGACTCCAGCACCTTGTCAGGTTATTCTTCATACACAGCTTGCTGCCAAATGGGAACATGCTTTAAGGTGCAGCCTGGGCATTCTTCTTCCT
This sequence comes from Homo sapiens, assembly GCF_000001405.40. Taxonomy (NCBI): domain Eukaryota; kingdom Metazoa; phylum Chordata; class Mammalia; order Primates; family Hominidae; genus Homo; species Homo sapiens. The sequence continues at coordinate 108,310,205 of NC_000007.14, forward strand.
CAGACTCCTTATGGTTACTACTAGGACCAAACTTACACGAATGTGGCCAGCAGAAAACTCATTTTACGAAGTGATTTCAGAGGTATCCTCTCTCCTCACTCTGGTTGATTATCAAAATGCCACCACTAGCAGCCTTGCATTTTAGCTCAAGGTTTTCAATGCAGGTAGAAGACAGATTTCCCAGGGAGAGAATGTACACATTAGGGTTAATGGCAAACGTGAGCAGTTTTTATGTGTGACACTGGATAAGGGCAGACAGAGGGCACTTCCCAAACAGAAGGATGTGGGATGGGCCTGAGAGTTTGCAAACCACAGTCCACAATTCTGGCTGCATGCATTTTTCTGAACATCACAGCATGCCAGTGAATGTGGGAAAAACTACTGAAAACTCTAAGTAGCTACGAAAAAAACTTATTTATTCTAATGTCAGAGGCCAAATACTTGAATAGCCTAGGGACATTCTGAGTATAAGTGTGCTTTAGAATTTTGGGAAGTTTCAGTCAGTCTTTGTGAGGCCAGGGAAACAAATTGGGAAGACTCAGTATTTAGTTTTGACAAGATTCAACCATTCACGAAACCAAAAAATGAGACATTTTAGTGGCTCTCATAGGACCTGACAACTAAAAGCTCTCTTGAGCCAATTAACAAAAGGCTAGCCAGAAAGACCAACAAGAAGTGTGTATTGAGAAAAGAAGAATCGAGCCTTTTCACTTGTTGCTCTAGAAGACAGAGATTTTCAATCGAGTACCCTTCACACGATGGAAGAAAGAAAAAATAATGCATCCAGCCAGAAAAACTCCCTTAGAACTACCTGAGAGTGGGCTAGGAAGTGGGAGAGCACCTGCTGTTGAGCCAAGCGTTTCCACCTTAAAAGGGCACCATGTACTTCCTCACAGTGGCCGCTGTTTTCCCTGCTCACCAGAAAACACCATTTTTACAAATAAACTCCCGCCCTCAGTGTCTTACTACCTTATAGATATCAGACAATATATTATCTACGAAAGAATTTTCCATACCTTACTGCTGATACTAGTATTGTACTGGTAAGCCACCATACTTAATACCATTACTAGTAACTCCTAGTTTCTAACAACTGTAATTTGGTATATGTCCCTGTCAGAATGGATGGTACTTACTATCACATTGCTTTACCTTGCAGGTGTTCTTTATGAAACAAGGACACTTGTAGAGGAGAGGGGTACATAAAAACTATATAAAATAGGTCATTTTGCTTCAACAAAGGGAGCTTTCTCTTAAAAGAGCCATTTGTACAAAATTAAGGCTATTTTGGTGTTGGTCATAATTACCTAACATCAATTTTGCTAGTCTCTGCTAATTTTCACTTTTCAGGGACTGTTCAAGCAGAACAAAATTTGTGCTATTTGATTTACAAAGCAACATTCTTAGTTTCCAGTCTACTAATTTGGGGATTTCTGATGGTATTTTGAAACACTGTAAGAACTAGTCATATGAAGTCAGTTTCAATACAACACAATGGAAGCAAATTCAGCTGAGGCATGAATCATTTCCTTTCAATTACAAAAGGACATCTCAATGGATCAGCCTAAGAATTCTCAGTAACAAGAGACAACATGCTCAAAGGATTTTACTATCTCAAAATCTTGTATACAATCTTCTTTCCTTAACTAAAATCCATGAGTTTATTTGTTAAATGAAATCAACAAGGTAAAGAACTGAATGTCTGAACAATCGTGCTCTCATAATTCCTTAAAAAAGCTATTATTGGTTGAGATACAGTTCTCTGAACTGTGTTCCAGATCTCCAAGTAAGATTATTTTTTCATCAAGTTCAGTACTATAATAGATGGCCTTTCAGAAGGCATCATAGGCCTAACAGGGTCCATTCTAGAGCTGATAATGCTGAATGGCATAAATAAGAATGGGGCGGACAGCGGGGTAGGAAATAAGAAATGGGGAAGGAATTTACAAAGCAGAAATCACATTTCAAAGTAACATTTAAACTTTCAAAGGAGATATTTTTATTCTTTGGACTCCATTGTGAGACAAGAAAAATCACTAATGGATGGTATACCCTCAGGAGACTTTTGATATATTATTGAATCAAAAAGAAAATTATTTTCTTGTAAATGATTCCCTATAATTTTTAATCTTTAGTCCCTTTATAAACATTTTTACTAGCAGTGCTTTGCCTCTGCTCTCTATTTTCTGGGCTTTATGATTCATGATTTACTTAAACAAAAATCTTATTACTATGAAAGGACATGAGGGCTGGTTTACTTCCCTATGTATTTGATCTATCTTCTTTGACATTGGTATGATTAATGTTTTTGCATCTATGTTTCTACTCTCTGTCTTTTATCATACTCTCTGGATTGAAAAGTATTAAATATGGCAATAATATTACATAATCACATTATTTAATATTATAATTCTCATCTTTAACTACGAATTCAAATGTTTTGAGAAGACAAACTCTTACCTTTGAAGAAGCTCTTAAGTTGTTCTTCCTTTTAATTCTTTAAACCAAACGTCTTCTTAGCATTGCTCTGTGGGTTAAAAAATGGGAGAAACGTTAACACGACATTGATTGTCATCAATCACAGCAGAGTGTCAATATATTAACTCCAACTGGCTCTCTTATGGGAAACACAATTAAAGAGAGAGCCCTGCAAGGAAGACAAATCATGACTAGATTTGCCAAAACATATCTCTGCTGGCTTCAATCAAAAGTGACAGCAGAGAAGTGACCAGAACTCTGGTGGACATCCCATTAAAGGATTCCAGCCTAGAGAATCACGTCTGATTCCTCTTTTCAGTTTAGAGGAATAAAGGTGTTTTTGTAATGTATCTATACAGTGTGGATAAAATACTTTGCTATGGGCTTATTATTATTATTATTTAAATTTTTTTATTTGGTAGCATAGAAATTTTTTAGGTTATGTTTGAAAGGCCCCAGGTTTTCAACAAGGGTCATAAAAAGAAGCTGGGAACAACCAAGATTTGAGGAGTGAGTTCCACCTGGGCTGTGACAAAGGCAGAGCAGTGGACAGCTCCCAAGTTCTGCAGTCTCCAACTCTCCTCTCGTCAGCCTCAATGTTTCCTTTGCAAATAGTCCAGCTGAGAATTAGCCAGAGAAAGAGAGGAAGGATGGCGAGTAGAACAATCACAGCTGAGCACATTAAGTTTCATTTTTTAAACAACCAATTCAGTGACACCCAAGGTTTCTAAGGGAGGATTTGTGTCTTTTTGAACTTTGGATTTCTGGAAACAGAAGTCGTACTATCAACCTCTGAAAAACCCTTCAGAGAAGAGAAACAAGTGTCAATTCAGGAACTCTGGACTGCACTCAAATATTAGGACAACTATGAAACACAAAATTATTCCGTTAATAAAAGATGCTTAATAATCTCAGCTGGTTTTGCTTATGTATGTGTTATAAAATATTCCCTGCATTAAGTTGCAAAAAATGTTAATTACATATAAAACCACCCTTAATAGATTTTCATTGCATGTGAAGCAATGATATTTTATCAGGACAAAATATTAATATTGTGGAGGTTTGTGATTTTTCCTTAGAATTGGAACCAATTTTATAGTAATATTGTTTTCACTTTTTAAAAAAAACCCTAGAGTTGTGTAGGAGAGCATCTATAAGAATTTTAAGATATATCTACAATAACAACTCAATTCAGCAAACTTATATTGAGCACTTAATACATATCCGCCAATTCACTGGATAAATCTAAACAAGAAAAAAATAAAATATAAATACTTCATGCTTCCTACCATGAGGGATCTCAGTCCACATGCTGATGGATTCCTAAGTTTTAATAGTTCTCAGCATAATCCAGTTCAGGGCAAAACGCTCTAAAAAGCACAGATATGTAATTTTGCATAACATGGTTCCATGGCATCACGTGGAAAAAACTATTTCATCCTTGCTTATATATATTATTGATAGGGCACTGCTACATTTTTAACCACCTTGTGGTGATGTAAACCCTGAAGGGTTTGCAAAGACCACCAAAAGACTGTATTAATTGTATTACCATGTCAGCAATTATGCCCAACATTTCTAGGAAATGACTTTTTGTTACATTCATTACTCTTGTTTTGACAAATGTGTCAATGGCCTTTCATTACCCCAAAACACATTTAGGTCAAGAGAATAGGGTAATACATCATTGCTAAGGACTATTTTTCCAATAACCAAGTAACAATTTAATTTTTTAACCAAAATGCAATCAACTTACCCTATTAAATAAAATCAGTCCTAAGTCAAAAGGTCAAGATAAGATTTGATGTATTTTTAAAGTAGCCTTCAGAAAAGACAGATAACATCCACGCGAAAAATGTAAGAAACCCAAAGCCCACAGTACACATAACAAATCAATTACAATAATAGTAATTCAATAGCATATAACACTAAAAATTCAAATAATTCTGAAAAGTGAATACTTGCCTTAGCCACTTATGGAAAAATAAAATAATAAACTTCCTGTTTCAGAGTAAATTGCTATGGATTGGGACACATTTTTTTGCTGGACTTTTTTGGCAGAGAAAGAGTTGTTTGGTTTTAAAATGAGAATTCATAACATTCAATGCAACTGAAAATCTGCTATTACAAGCAGTATTAGGTAAAAAGTATCAGCAGGCAAAAACTTGCAAAATCTCATTTGGCTTATACTTTTTAGTTCAACTCTAAAGATATTAGAGATGTTTACTCTTTGATTCTTGTGAGGCTGATTTCTAAAAACTGGCCTCCTTAACAATACAGTAAAGGTTAGATTACATTAAGATATCAAGCCTTTGATTGCCCCCACCCCCCCAACAACCCAGTCAATTCTGTCTACACTCTTCAAAATAAATACAGATGAGAAATAGTTTTCAGAACATCAATTATGAAAACTTTATACGCAAGAATATATTTATATATCTGCACAAGTATGTATTTGTGCAACATGCAAAACTGTTCTGCCTTTTATCACTATAAAATGACAGTAAATTATAAATTTATATTTAATCTTTGGTCTTAACAGAAATTTGACTAGTAGTAAAATCATACTAAGCCCAAACTCTTTTTTTTTCTTAATTTCCTGCCTTTGACATGATCCTTGGACTGAATTTGGGTTCCATTCATACTTAACTGGAGAAAAAAGGATAAAAAAACCACCTTGTTAAAACTGGCATTTATCTTTGGTTTCTCTAGGGTATGCCTGTCATCCAGCCGCTAATTCAGCTTGACAAGGCCAGAAGCCAAAATCATCTTGAAACCCAGTTCTCCCATTACAGCAGCCTATGAAACAAAATACATTCCAAAAAACAGACAGTATGGTCTGAGATAAAGCATGTTCTCCAACTACAGCTCCATCAGATGGCACCCAGAGGGCCCTCCCTCTACCACAACCTAGCTGGCTGGGGTCCTGGGAACACAGGCCCCTAACTTCTGGCCCCAAGTTTAGCACCAAGTTCAGCCTACTCCTGCAAGACTAAACTTGTTGGGACTTGGGACTGACCCCATGTTATACATCTTGTGGAAGTTAGGGTGGGAGCAAGAAGGGATCCATTCGAGCAAGAAACTTGCAGGTGAACCAATGTGGATCATGCTTTACCTTTCAGAGAAATTAACACATTGGTCCTTGAAGACTGAAGACTGATCACTCACAGAAGCATCTGACTGCCTCAAGTGACACTATCATTTGCTACCTTGTAGACTGATGCAAACATCCAATAGTGAGCAAATTACATTGATAGAGGACATGTTGGATATATACCACCTTACTGTCAGCATGCTGGAAATCATGTTGTCATATACATAAATGTAGCCTTCCATGGTACACAGTTGCTATGGTTTGAATGTGCTTCACAAAGTTCATATGTGGGAAACTTAATCACAAATACAACAATGTTCAGAGGTGGGATCTTTAAGAGGTGATTAGGTCATGAGGGGCTTTGCCCTCATGCATGGATTCACGTCAATATTGTGGGAGTAGGTTTGTTCTCACAAGAGTGGATTTGTCATAAAAGTGACTTCTGTTCCCCTCTTCCTCTTGCTTTCATGTACACTCTATCTTGCCCTCTCTCATCCTTCTGTTTTCTGCTACGGGATGATGCAGCAAGAAGGCCCTCACCAGATGCAGGCCTCTTGAACTTGGACTTCTCTGCCTCCAGAACCATGAGCCAAATACATTTATTTTCCTTATAAATTACCTAGTCTATAGTACTCTGTTGCACAAAACAGACTGAGACATTCGTGCTTGGTATACTTCATGGTTTCATAAAAGTACAAATAGAAACCTAAAAGTTCAGGCCGGGCACGGTGGCTCACGCCTGTAATCCCAGCACTTTGGGAGGCCGAAGCAGGCAGATCACGAAGTCAGGAGATCAAGACCATCCTGTCTAACACGGTGAAACCCTGTCTCTACTAAAGAAAAAAAAAATACAAAAAAATTAGCTGGGTGTAGTGGCAGGCATCTGTAGTCCCAGCTACTCAGGAGGTTGAGGCAGAACAATCAATGGTGTGAACCCAGGAGGCAGAGCTTGCAGTGAGCCAAGATCACACCACTGCACTCCAGCCTGGGCAATGGAGCAAGACTCCATCTCAAAAAAAAAAAAAAAGAAACCTAGAAGTTCAGTGTGCAGTCATGGCTAGCTGTCTAACAAAGAGTCATGCCCTCTCTCTGTCATGTAAGACAGACATGGCTGTGGAGAAGAAGTTCCTGTCCAGGGTCTGTATTTCCAGTTCTCCTTGTGTCTAGGTGTGACTGCAAGGTGTAAGAGAGCTAATATGTGTCACTTCTTTGTTCAGATGTTTAAAAAGAAAATGTGTCTTTTCCACGCCTCCTATCTCTCCATTTCTGGCTGTATGTCAATGCCAGTGTAACCTGAAAAGTTGCACAGCATGGCCTTTGTCAGCTTGGGTGAAGAGTAGAGATCCTTCCCTCCAAATTCATGGTCTGCATCACTAACAGTGAACTGTTACATGAGCTGAGAGGGAACTCTAATTGTGTGATGTTTCTAGTTTGGGGGTTTGTTAGAATAGCTAGCTCTGCCCTATCTAATAGAGTTGGCACACTGTGAACATAATAGAAACTTTAAATGAAATATTGTTCTCACTGGTCCTTTTTCTATGTCTATAATCTAGGAAGAAGATTTAATTTTAAAATATAAGTGTATTCAGAGCAGTAGAGCAAAATTGATTAGAGGGTATTAAATAACTCCTTAGTAGAAACAGCTAAAGTAATAGTGTTTACTTCACCTAGGGAAGAAAAAGCTTAAAGGAGTCTAGTTAAACTGTCAATGAATATATGAAGGTTCCAAAAATTTTATATGGCAGATAGTGAGAAACTATTTTTCAAGTTCACTGAACATAAAACAAATACAGAAGGCTCTGTGTGATGGCTATAAACTAATACCGTATCTAAGAAAATGGGGAAGACTGAGGCTGGGTATGGTGGCTCACGCCTGTAATCCTAGCACTTTGGGAGGTTGAGGCAGGTGCATCACTTGAGGTCAGGAGTTCAAGACCAGCCTGGCCAACATGGTGAAAGCCCGTCTCTACTACAAAACAAAAATTAGTTGGACGTGGTGGCGGGCACCTGTAATCCCAGCTCCTAGGGAGGCTGAGGCAGGAGAATCACTTGAACCCAGGAGGCAGAGGTTGCAGTGAGTTGAGATGGCGCCATTGCACTCTAGCCTGGGTGACAGAGGGAGACTCAGTCCCAGAAAAAAAAAAAAAGAAAGAAAGAAAGGAAAGGAAAGGAAAAGGAAAAGGAAAGGGGGAAGATTGAAAATAGAGTTTTTGTGAGAATCTGATTCTGCAGATTTAGGAGGGACCTGGAAATTCACTTTTCCTTTTTTTTTTTTTTTTTTTTTTTTGAGACGGAGTCTCACTCTGTCGCCCAGACTGGAGTGGAGTGGTGGGATCTTGGCTCACCGCAAGCTCTGCCTCCCGGGTTCATGCCATTCTCCTGCCTCAGCCTCCCGAGTAGCTGGGACTATAGGCACCGGCCACCATGCCCGGCTAATTTTTTGCATTTTTAGTAGAGATGGGGTTTCACTGTGTTAGCCAGGATGGTCTCGATCTCCTGACCTTGTGATGTGCCCACTTCAGCCTCCCAAAGTGTTGGGATTACAGGTGTGAGCCCCCGCACCTGGCCAGAAATTCACTTTTCTAATAGGCAGACCCAGGGGGTTCTGGTGCATGTGGTCCCAGGCTACACAATAATCAACATGGTGAAATAATGTCTCTAGGATAATGATGGTTAAACAATGAAATACACAACATTGTGAGGCTGTTAGATTCCCTTTCTCAAAGTAATATCAGGAACGTTCCACAGGGTGGAAAACACACTGTTGACAAACACAGAAGAGCACTTGGAATCTAGGTAAGTAACAAAGGATTCCAATCCTTGAGCAGCTCAGAGTCTCAGGAAAGTGACCATGAGTCTGTGTGTGTATGAGTGCACATGTGTGTGTGGAGAAGGTGGTGATAAGAAGGAGAAAACAAAGATGACCCCTGGTTCTGAATAGAGAAAAGGAGGTTTCATTCACGGGTGAGCAGACGTACTTCAGCGTGGCCCTGGGAATCCCGGTCTCCCCTAGCCATCCTAGCCCTGGAACAGCCTCCAGATGAGGTTGCCACCCACCAAGTTATAGAATGAAACAAATGAAGTCGAGGCATCCAACCCTATTCAGGAAGCAAAAGCAGTTCATGTTTATATATTTTACAAATCAGACTTCTATGTCAAGTGGGAAGAAAGATTCTAAGGCAAATAAAAAATGTTCTATAAATCTACAACTACATGAAGAGTCATTGTTTAATGGGTATTGAGGTTCAATCTGGGATGATGAAAACATTTTCTAAGATGGATATGATAATGGTCACACAACAATATAAATGTACTTAATGCTACTGACCTGTACACTTAAAAACTGTCAAAATCTCAAATTTTGTGCTATATATATTTTACCACAATAAAAAAGGAAAACATGGCTATAAACTTCCTTCCAACTCTGTAAGTTAATAGACATGATATTTGTAGGAAAAAAATTCAACTTATACCCTAAATTCCTCCATTAATACTTTCTGTGTCCTTGAAAAGTTAGGAAAACATTAATTTATTCAACAAATATTTAGTGACCAACTACTATGGCTCAGGCACTGTTCTGGGCACTGAGGATGCAGTAATAAACAGAATAGAAAAAATCCCTGCCCTCATAGAGCATTTACTTATCACCTCGTTATGCAAAACATTTATTAACCGCCTATGATTTGCCAAGTTCTATGCTGAGCATCAGAAATACAATGGTTATAAAGAAGTGAACCTTAGAAAACCAGTCTCTTCTTGGCCTCATGAAGCTTATGGTCAATGGCAGAAGATAGATATTGAACAAATAATCACAGAAATGGATCTAAAAATACCAATTTTGAAAAGTTGTTAAGGCAGGGGTGTGTGGTGCTCCTAGAGTGTGTGGTGATGGGAACCGGCTTTGTCAAGGTCAGACTTTTCTAAGGAAATGATGACTGAGCTGAGGTCCTACAGAGCTGGGGAAGGAAAGATGTGTTACAGTTTTGATACCAATGCACAATTTAATTGGGCACAAAATGAGAAGAAGAAAAGCAGGGGATAAGAGGGACAGGTCTGATGAGGCTGACAAAGCAGACAGAGGCCTGGCCACTTGGAGCCCTGTAGTTCTTTCAGCCTTTTATCCTAAGGGCAATGGGAAGCCACTGATGTATTTTAAGAAAGCTGAGGGTGGAAGAGGAATGATTTGATCACAAATAATACTTATTTTGCTGCTCTGACAATTTAAAAACTACCAACTGAAAATGAAGGCAAGAACTACAAGTGAATTCCTATACAGTTATAAAAAAACACTTTTGATAGTGTTTAATATACCAAAGATTTATCATAAGATAAAAAATTATTAACAGCACTCCAATTTTTAATTATTTGGTATTGATCAAACATAGTCTCTTGGGCCAGGAACAGTAACTCATGCCTATAATCTGAGCACTGTGGGAGGCTAAGGCAAGGAGGATAGCTTGGGTCCAGGAGTTCAAGACCAGCCTGGGCAACACAGGGAGACCCTGTCTCTGTGAAAAATAAAAATAAAAATAAATTATCTGGGCATGGTGGCATGCACCTGTGGTCCCAGCTACTTGGGAAGCTGAGGCGAGGATTGCTTGAGTCTGGCAGGTCGAGGCAGCAGTGAGCCACTGTACTCCAGCCTGGAGAACAGAGCTAGACAAAACAAAACAAAACAAAACAAAACGGTCTCTTAAGGTACTATTATATAATCTACTAATGAAGCCGAGATCACACCACTACACTCCAGCCTGGGTGAGAAAGCAAGACTGTCAAAAAAAAAAAGAGTGACTATTTTAAAACACAAAACAACAGTGAAACTATTTGATTAAATAAATTATATTAAACTTCATAAAATATGATTATTTAGGCATGTTTCATTGACACATAAAGTGACAAAGGAAACTTAACTAATTGTTGTACAAATTTGATTAGTATCTAAGAACTTGAACAAAGAATCAAACACACATGCAACATTTCTTCCCTTAAAATATGATTATCAATGTAATATATACTGTTGAATGGGACAAAAAATTCAGACCAGCATAATACTGTGTGCTAACAGAAAATATATATGGTAATAAGAAAAACTCTATGCTTTGTATACAATCAGGTTCACTATGTTAATTTACGCAGGCGTAAATGCTCAATAAGTAGATGACAGACATTTCTGTGCATTTCATATTCTGGATAAAAACAAGGATAGGAAACATCAAACTTTTAATTGCATAGTGAGCTATTCTGTCCCCTGAACAACACAGTACAACTCTAGACTATCATTCAAGTTCAGAAAAGTTGTATAGGTTTGGCTCATATAACTTGCATAATTCATCTTTTAACCACACTGTCATTTATACAATTAAGATCTGTCAATTCATTTTTCTGCTTACACTACATTAAGAATTCAATGTATTTAGCCAGGGAACGTTCCCAAGGATGCTTTAGCCATGTTTTATTATAACCTACTGTGTTATAACCTACTAGTTCATTTCCGTTGCTTTAAAGTAATACCTGAGATTGCTTATAAAGAAAAGAGGTTTATTTTTGGCTCATGGTCTGTAGGCTGTACAGGAAGCTTACAATCATGGCACAAGAAGGGGAACCAGTGTGTCACCTGGCAAGAGAGTGAGTGAGAGTAGGGTAGGTCTCAGACTCTTTTAAACAATCAGATCTCACAGTAATTCATTATCACAAAGAGGGCACCAAGCCATTTATGAGAGATCCACCCCCATGAGTGAAACATCTCCCACTGGGCCCCACCTCCAACATTGGGGATCACATTTCAAAATAAGATTTAGAGGGGGCAAAACATACAAACCATACCACCTACCAAAGGCCCCTTGTTTTTATAGGTCCTGGGAAGTAAGACCTACTTGCAAAGAGGCCTCTACGACCATCACTTTTTGAGACTGAGGCTCACAAAGATCTTAAAGTTTAATCTGATTTGATTTAAGACCTAGTAATTTTATTGCTCTATCCATTTACACTTTGGTCTGACCAATTTTAACATAATTGCATACAAAATCTTTCAAAAGTTTCATGTGTAAAATTCTTCTTTCAAACAAACTTTTATATGCCCAATTAACTTGGCCGTTGGTATCAAAACTGTAGCTCATATTCTAGCAGGTGTTAAAAATAATAAACCAGATGTAAAGACAGGCATAAAAATATAGTAAAGCAGATTCAGGAACAGTGAAGGAGAATGAATGCATTTCCTTAAAAGGAAGGCGAGGAAGACTTTTTTAAAAAATTAGAATTATAACTTGGCTGTGCATCTTTTTTTGTTGCTGTTGGCAGTAAATAAATCTCATTATAAAGATGAAATGAGGAGAAGTTTTGAAAAACTTTCAAACAGTTGGATAAAGACTAGACATTTCGTTTTTTTTCAAAGCTGGCAAGTCATTTTTGGTTCAACATTCTTTTTAGATGTTCTAGTTTTCTAGTCTTCCCTTGATACAGACATGAACTTACAAGTAGTCCCCTCACTTTATATTTCCTCACAACTTCCTGAATATTTGACAGGCTCATTGAACTGAATTTGAAGTCTTTTCATAGTACTGTTCTGGAAAGTAAAAGGAATGAACCACAACAGAAACAAAATAAAGTGGTTTCCAAATATGACTCTGATGTAGCTTCTGTGATGTTTATCCCACGTTCCCTATTGGTTGGGACTTGGGACCTCCTAATGAGGACTTTGTCTCTAGTTCTTAGTTGTCTGCAAACACTGATTTTGTTTTAGTTACACTGATTTTTTGAACCAAATGGAACTTTTTGAGCATAAAAAGGCAAGGGAATTCTAAAAGGATTTAAATTATGGCTTGGGAGGACTCCCAATCACACCTAAACCTGCATTATAGATATCTCGGTAGTGTCAGCGGAGGAGAGTGGCCTAATGTTGATCAATATCAAAATGGCTTTGGGAGTCTCTGACCACTCAGTTCTCTAAATCAGTCTCCCATTTTAAGGTTATGAAACACTGATCTTAAAAGAAATCTGGAATATTATCAGTTGCAGGTTGCTAACTATAGTTAAGTTCAAATATAAAGCTGCCCATTTAAAGAGGTCATCTTTAATGTAACATAGCCTGTCTTAAACAAACCATTATTACAAATAAAGCAATCAAATTATGAATTAAATAGCTTACCAAGTGACATTAAGCAAATTACTTCCTCTCTGTGTACAAAATGGGGTTAATAATCCTGACCTATTTCTCAAGGTCTCTGGGGACAATTCATTTAGGAATTGCCTAAGTGCTGTATAAATGTTACCGGTGTTATGAGAGCTTGGTTTTATTGTCATTGGAAGGCCTATCATAATAAGGAATTCAGGGGTTTTAGTCAGAGGTGAATTAACAAAGCGAGGTCTATGCTAATACAAGCGCCCTCTGACCTTGGATCACTGAGCTTGAAAAATTGCACAGATCAGAATGTGAATGAAGTTTGCATTTTCAGAGACACTGTTTTTGTTAATGTATTTCCTATTCAATTCCTTTGCTTTGAAAATCGTTACTTTGGAAGCAAAGCAACCAATTTCTATTTCCACCATTCCATTTCCACATTTTTTCATTATTCTCCATTGCAATTCCCAGCATCATTTGCATTTAAGCATGACATTGAAGGCATCCAAGGCCTATCCTTCAGAATCAGCTATCCAGTACACCCAGGAAACATGCCTATAAGTGGATGTGGGCTGTGTATTCACCAAATCTCTTTCATTTTAAGAATTTTATCCTTATTGTGCAATCCCCAGACTTTTATTACTCTTAGAGAAAGCAAATTCTTTTTCCCACTTAAATTTGCACAAGTTATTAACTTATTTGGCAAATAGTTTCTGAGTACTTAGTATGTACCAGACACTGTCCCAGGTGCTGGAGACAGCAGTAAATAATACAGGCAGAAATCTCTGCACTCAATAGCTTATATTCTAGTGGGTGAAGATAAATAGTAATTAAAATAAGTAAACAAATATTGTGTTTTAGGTTGCAAAAAATAAAGTATGGTGAGAAAATAGAGTGTGAAGATAAAGAGGGGCTGCAATTTTAAGTACAATGGTCAGGGAAAAACCTTCTTGGAAGGTGTAATTCCAAAGAGATTTGAGGGCTGTGAATGTGAGAGCCACTGCGAAAGGGCTTTGCAGGCAAGGTGAAAGTTCCGGGCAAATCCAAAGGCCCTGAGGTTGGAATCTCTTTGCCTGTCTTAGAACAGCAAGGCGGCCAGGTGGCTGAGAGGAGCAGCAAGCAGGAGAACAGTGGGAGATGAAGTAAGGGATGGAAAGGGGCACCACATGATCTAGGGCAAGACCTCTGGCTTCCACTGAGTGAAATGGGAAGCCCTGGAGGAGTCCTGAGCAGGGGAGTGACATGACCTGACTTCCATTTTGAAGGGTGGAATAGGCTGTATTGAGAATAGGCTGAAGGGGAGTGAGATTGAGACAGGAAGACCACATAAAAGGCTCTTACAATAGTCCAGAGCAGAGGTTAGTGGCATGATCCTGGGGGTGCCACATGGGTAGAGTTTCACAGCTTTCAATTATTAAACACACCCTTCTTCTCTAACTGTGGTTTCTTATTTGAGTTACTTCATTCCCTAACAAACTTTTTTCCTTTAAAGCCTTTCCTTCCCGATTCCTCCCTGTCAATAATAATGCTTGTCTTCACATCAGATAAGCATTTGAACCCTGTTTAAAAGGGTTCAAACAGGCCAAATTTGGGTGTAGTCAAATCAGCAAGTAAACTATGCTCCAAAACCACAAATGACTTGACAGGATTCTATTGAAGTTCTCTGTAAAGACACCTGCTTTTCTTCAACAGGCTCTGCATCACAGAATGGATGAAGGCCACATGGAAGCCTCCCTGTCCAGTCGGGGGCTGGGTGGTAAGGAGGAGCAGGATTAGGTTTAGAAGAATGGGATGAGGCCAACAGCTTCCACTTTCAATAACGTCTACAAATCTGTATTTCAAGTTAATTAAGTCCCAATAGCAGTGCACAAAACCATTTTTGAAACAAATTGTCAACCTGCTTTCATATGCTGTTATGTCCATATTAACCAAAGAAATGCTCACTGACTTTTAACTCCTGTTTGTGTAATATTTGGCACTGTACTTTTTTTTTTTTTTTTTTTTTTTTTTTTAGCTTTAGCTATGGCTGGTGTAATCAGACACCACGTACCAGGCAAACCTAACCCTTGAGGCCCTGATTACTTAAAAACAATAGGAGTGAAACCTCCCTCCACCAAATAGAAAGGAGGTGGCTGCATTCAAGCATTATTCCTCGTTCTCTAGAAAGGTAGCGGCAAGGGCTACTACTCAAAGGGAAGATTCTGGAAATGGTTCTTGTGGGAAAAGAAGGAAAATACATTAGTCTTTTCAGCTAACCTAGAAAAAAAATTCTTGGCAACTTCAGAACCAATGGAGAAGAGAAAATGTGTAAGCAGAAAGTTCTTGGATTACCATGGCATCTTCTCTAGGTAGGTGACCTGGGTCACCTACTCATGACTTGGGTCATCTTATTTGCAGAATAATTAAGAATGAGAACTTTCATTCTATCTATGAAGTGGTACATGACTCTAATTAAGGGATTATTACTTTAAATGAATTACCTCTCTTTCCTTCATCTTGGGCAACTCATTAGGAAAAAACCTACCTTTTGACATTTAGAAAAGATTTTTTTTTTTCCTGGATCTTGGAGTTCCAATCTGTTGCTTCAGTTGTTCCCAGTATCTACGTTGCTTTCCCCCTCATCTTCAGGGCTTTTCTTGTATGTCATCTCTATGGAGACTTCTTTGGCTGCCTTGTCCAAAAAGGTAACCTACATTAGATGCCCCACCTCCATTCTCTGCTTTATTTTTTGCCTTAACGCTTATCATGATCTAACTTACTACATGTCTTATTGATTCATCTTTTTTTTTAATCTCATGTGCCAGAATGTAGGATTTATGAGAGCAGGAATTTTTGTCTGTTTTGTTCATGCTATATCCCCAGTGCCTAGAACAATGCCTAAAACAGAGCATCAGTAAATATTAGTTGAATTAGTGAATTAACTCCACAGAGTGATCAGATAAGTGTTAGCTTGAAATTCTTTATTTGAAAAATCAATTTTGGCCACTAGATGCATAGAACGTATCTCTGGTAAGATACACAAAAGATGAATAAGAGCATTTACCTTGGGGAAAGGAATCTGAGGGGGAGATATTTACATATAATTTTATAGCTTTATGTACTAGTCAATCTTTAAATCTTTAGAATATTTTATCCTCACTCAGAATGATGTATCTGAGTGCTGAGTATCTCATTATTTTAAATTCTTTTTGTAATCTTCAACAGAAAAACTAATAAATGTTAATTTAAAAATAAGCACACGTATGTGTAAAAATCTACGCATACACATGTTTTGTGTTCAATAAGACAAAGTTAATATAAAAAGATACATCTAATTCTATGTTTTGATTCAAAAAATCATATGTAACAGATTAACAGAACTGGTTTGTGTAGTATATTGGTACCAAAGACAACTGATGTGAATAAGAACTTCCCACTTATGAAGACATTTTGAATACTGAGGAAAGAACCAAGTAAAAGAGTATTCTTACAATCTTATTTATATCAATGGCATGGCAGTAAGTATTTCAACTGGGGCCCGGGCTTGAAAAGCATTCCAATTTTCACTTGAATTTCAGGGTAAGGCTAAGTATTACACAGTATAGTATCTCTAGCAAGATTTCCTGAGAAAAATGGAAAGAAACCATGAAAATCAAACTATAATCAGGAAAGTCAAGAGAACTGGGCTAACAAAGTAGTAGAATTAAACTAAAAAGCATAGTCACTTGAAGAGCAAGAAAATTCAGAATGAAAAGAAGGAAGACGTGGCAAGTGAATATAACTCAACAGCAGAAACATATTATTCTCAATATTGTGTAAGTAAACATGAGACCTAGGGAAGGTTTACAGATTTGATCCTTTATTTTCTGGCCATGAACTGTAGATATTAAGTTTGGGGAAAGTGCCCTAGATTCCTATTTATAATTCACAGTGGCCTGTGGTGATGATGCATAGCAAATTTCTCAAAGAGACCAGGGACAAGAGAAAGCAGCCCTGAGGGATAAAAACCTTTTTCAAGGAGAGAAAAGAGGCAATCATGAAACCCATGTATCATGCTGCCCTTATCCTTGACTTCTTTAAACAACACTTGGTTATTTTGGTATCTTTCTCCCTTCTCCCTCACTCTCTTGATTATTTCCACTTTCCAACCAAACAGTCTTTGATTTTATTTTTAATCTACCTAACACCAGCTGTTGCCAGAGCCTTCCTATTAAGAGGCTTAGTCCAAACAGTCTGATCTTTAAAGCAAATATCCAGCACATGGAGCCAACACAGCATTTTGGAAAGGATACTGGTCCGAATGCCTGGGTGGGAATTCAGCTCTGCCTATTCCTAGCTGGGTAGCTTGAGGCATGCTGCTCAGTCTAGTCTCTCTAAATCTCACTTATCTTTAAAATGTGGCTAATAAGACGTGCTCTCTTTGCAGAGGATGGTTAAGAGGATCAAACTGAATAGTGCAAACTATAAAGCACTATATACAAACATAAGTTATTTTTCTGGTGACTTTCATCAGATTTTGTTACTGTTCATCAAAAATCTGAACAGAAATAGAAAAACTGCCCTAGGAAAATGGCAGAGTGTATTTAATGCACTTGCTTCATGTCCAGCTGTAATAAAAGTCAGATAATGAGTATTTTCAGGGGTGTTTCTAAAGATGCAAAACTTTGGTTTCAAGATACTAGCTTGAAACCAAATTGCATTAGGTATAATCACACCATGTTTCATTTCATGAGGTTCAAAGAACTGAGAAGCATGGAGTATAATCTTACAGATGGTCTTTGAAGATGTTTCAAGAGCTAAAGCTAACACATCCAATTATGATATTTTTTAAAAAATGTGTCCTTCATCCAGCTTCTCTCATCCTCTTGACCACTGAACTCTCTGGAATACAGGAGAATCAATACAAAAAACCTAAGGGAAACTCTCAAGTTAGTGCCGAGGGAATGACAGTAGATTCTGCTTTTAATCAAAAAGATACATGAGTAAAGTTTATGCTACACTTTGCACACAAAAAGTATTATACTATCCTCAAAAACATCAGGCATGCAGAAAATAAGGGAGAATAAGGCCTAACTAGAAAATTGTCTTAAGGTAATATGAAAATGGTCTGTGAGACTATTAAAAACAAATATCCACAGAAAGAATGACAAAAGCATTAAAATTACATCTTAACACACCCTGTGGATGTACCCTGATGACAAACAAACATACCAGCACTTAATTTTTCTTTACAATATGTTCACATTTTGCTACTAAAAATATTCAAACCATATCTGTCAGTTGCCCCACGAAAGTTCCTCTTTTAAGTGTTAAACAAGCTATGTGAAACAAACTCCACTAACCAATAGCACACAAAATAAAACCAAATCAATGAACAGAGAATATCAAGCTTCAGACAAGCTGTTATAGATGGAATACAATTCTAATCTGGGCTTCGGTTTTAAACAAATCATTAAAACGATACCTGAGAGGAGGAACAAAAACCAGCCAGTCTCTGGACTGTCAAACATTACTTTCCATAAAGTACATAAACAAGCACAGATATTACCTTACAAATGAAGTTATCTTACTGCTTTCCATTTCCTCCCAGTAGCAAAGGGAAATTTTAAACAAAGTGCCCATCCCAGCACATTTCTGCAGATAAAAGCACTGGCAATTGAACCCTGCTGTGGCTGGCCCATGTGCAGTAAAATGTTAAAGTCCTGCTCCTGACAGCCAATCCAAAGCTGCTCAGACCTCCCAGGCCTCCCAGGGTGATCAGCCTGGCTTTGTGGCAATACAATGGGAGTTAAACATTTCTTCGTATCCATTTAGAAGCAAGAAAAATCTGTTTGGTTGCTCAAAATGATTTAGCAAAACACACAATAGGTTATGATTTGGTAATCTTGTTTCAAGAAAGTAACTGCCATATTTTCACCTATGAGGGGGAGATTGTAAAGCTGTTACATAGTTTCTTCTTTCTTTTTAAATCTTGTACTAACTCAAAATAACATTTTAGAATGGCCATCTGGGTTTTTATTCCTTTTGACAAGACACAATAACTGCTGAGACTGGCTTCTTTATTTCAGCCTCAGAACCTACATCACATAGATGGTAGAACTTGCTGTCCAATGACTCACAACAGTCATTTCTGATTTTTCTTTCATGGAAGCCTAGAAACTCTATTTGATTCAGTTAATTTAAGATCTCAGTAAAAATAAATATTATAACTATTTTTCTTACTTTCTTTCCCCCTACCTATTTATTTCTGAATTTCATTCCTCTCTTGGGCTTCTCTAGTACCCACAGTCATGAGTATTCACCCATCCAAGCTGTAAGAATTTTAACATGTTGCTTATTATTCTTCTTCTAAGCCAGATGCTATTGGTACCTAAGTACACAAATAAATAATGAATAGTGAGCTGGTATTTTCATTAGAGTGCATAATACATTAGGATTATATTTCATGATAAGACCTTTAAAAAGTAATAGAAGGTATTTCTAAAATGTATTATGTCCAGTAGGACCTCATTGTTGAGGCCGCCACAAATCCTTAACCATTTATTTTGCTTAAACTTCTAATGATTGCTTTTCAAGCTTTCAGGTTCTCTGGAAAAACTTCAAGAGAAGCAGGTTTATAACTCATTCACCAGCTATGATTCAAGTTTTGAAAGTGTCCATTTACTGTATTTTCAATTACGGTTATTCACTTCCAAACCTGAAAAACTGTTCTGCATTTATTACAGTGACTGTTACATGAACAATGGGTGAATATATTTCTTTGAAGCTCTTTTCAGCAATTCTTAAAGACCTGCTTAGAATAATGCCCTTCTTCACAAAAGCACAATCAACATGTAACCTAATCTCCTTCAAAGCGTATTGTCAGAGAGATCAACAATGACTGTAATCACATGACCTCTGAAACCCAACCAAGTAGAGACATCAGAGAATCTTGACTGGCTCCTATCTCTGCACATCCATTTCTCTGCTTAATATGTCCCAATGAGCCTTGACTTATGCTAATAAAAACTTGAAAAATGGAAATCATTTTCTGATTTTCATTCTTTCAAAAGATAAAAGAAATAGGGAGGAAAGCCTTTAAACTTATTTCCTCTTGATTACATATCTACTGCTATGTATATGTGTTACTAGTGGTACCAGCTGATAGAAAACAGAAAATAATCAGCTGCCTAGTCATTGATACAACACACATGACTGATTACAGAAACCAGGTTAGACACTATGATTTATAGTGTTACTCCTTTTGGTATTTTCCAATCATTTCTTTCAAGTGCATTTATAAAATTTAAATATGCATTTCCATTGGAAAGAAGAATTTGTCCATGTTTTCCTATTAATATGTTAACATAACCTTTTCTTTTCCTAGTTAGCTATTCCCACAGGTATAAAAAAGGCTCACACACCAACTTGAAAAAAGGTTGCATTTTCAAGAACAGTGGAAGGACTACTTAAAATGGTGCTTTAAACTGTGATTGTGCTCTGAGCAGTAAGGGCTCAATGGAGGAGAGACGAGTCTTGATTAAGCAGCTTGCCTGACCGAGCCTAATCAGAATTATTTCAGCACACTGCTTCACTACAGCTCCAGACCCATTAAACACGAAATGTTTCTGCAGGCCCGTTTCTCACTCTGGCTCCCACTGTGCCCGTTACTTTGCGGCAGTAGTTACTCACTGGGCTACTCAAAATAATTTTTGGTAAATAGAGGTACTGGGTTTAACAGGCTCCTCACAATCTATCAATGAATCTGTCATTTTACGACAAGAATGGGTACCGTCCCACCAAAACAGGACCACTGGGATGGCCATGCAGAAGGGGGCCCTTTGAACTAATTCTTTGTCTTGACCTGACAGCAATCACTCCTTTCACAAAAGCAGCTCTGTCTTCCAAAATGTAATTTGGGGTATCTCATTTTAAGCTCATCAGGTTATTATATTTTATCATCTGGTTTAACACACTCTGAAAGAGGCAGTTCCATTTTGGGGGCCAGAGGAGGCGATTCGTGGCACCAAAATGTACACGCAGCTTTCTGTTTCCCTCAATCTCTCAGATTGTCCAGACCTATCCATTACAGGAATGTGACTAATTTTCTTAGTTATGCTTAGTATCCATTTTAACCATTATATCCTTATAATGCTTAGTATCCATTTTAAGCACACAAAAATATTAGATGTACTTTTTTACAGAAATATTTTTTCATTTAAACCTAAAAATATATATATCAAAATTCTGATCAAAGTAGATGCAGGCTGGGCGTAATGGCTCGTGCCTATAATCCCAATACTTTGGGAGGCCGAGGCAGAAAGATTGCTTGAGCCCAGGGGTCCAAGACCAGCCTGGGCAACATAGTGAGACCTCGTCTCTATATAAAAAAGAAAATTAGCTGGGTGTAGTGGTGCACACCTGTAATAGTCCCAGTTACTCAGGAGGCTGAGGTAGGAGGATCCCTTGAGCCCAGAAGGTCAAGGCTGCAGTGAACTGTGACTGCACCACTGTACTCCATCCTGGGCAACAGAGTGAGACCCTGTCTCTAAACTTAAAAAAAAAAATAGATATAATCAGAAATTTTCGGCTTTTAATAAAGTACTTACTATGCAAATGTTATAGTTCTAAACACCATAATGCATGTGTGGTATATTTGCCCTTGTGCCTCAGTTTCCTTATATGTAAAATCAGGATAATATAGTACCTTCTTTGGAAGGCTATTATGAGGATTAAATGAATTAATATTCATAAATTACTTACCTCAGTGCCTGGCACATAGCAGATGCTATGTAAGTATTTCTTTTAAATAAATAGAAATAAAACAGACACCATCTATGAATGAAAAGATGTGTAGATGATTCTTTCAGGACTTCATCCAGAATGCAAGAGTTCTACTTGGAGCTACTCGTTTACCTTCATGATCTTTATTTTTGACATTATTTAGCAGGCCTTTATAATGGCCCAAGTTCACATTCATTGCCAGTTTTTTTCTGCAATGTCTTTATAAGTTCTCCTAGCACAGAAATGATGGATGCTTTTCTTTTGAAATTCTTCTACAGGAAGTAAAAAGAGTGTCAATTACCTGGCTGAACATGAGGTAAAGTTTTTGTTAAAGTAGCCCATAAACTAAGTGGGAAAAATGAATTAACCAAGTGTTTCTTTCCTCTCTCCTGAAATGCTATGCTATGCCAAGAAGCTCACCAGGCATCAAAGAGTGTGTTTCTCAACACTGCAGATCTGCATAGTGGAGACAAGTTAAGTGTCACGTCATTTGAGGAAAGTGCCACAGGAGTCATCTGTTTCTGTAAATACTGTACAGAGACCCAGGAACCCCACAGATAATTTGATGGCACAGCAGACTGACATCCTATTGCTTTTTCATAATTTACTGATAGGCAAAATGCCAAAATTCTAGAAAGGCATCATGATGCTGAGTTAAGGAGAATGACTGAAAAAATGTTCTTGATGCAAATTGGTATATTTTTCAATATTTCAAGAGAATAGTAGAGACTGGGTTACTTTCTGTATCTGGGCACTATCAAAACACCAAGAATGAAATTTGCTTTTTTGTGAAGACAGTCATCTCACATTCATTAATTCTCGGCTCACTGCTTCTCTTCCCTTCAATCACCATCTCCTTACCACTCATGTCCCTCCTTGTATAGAGTACATATGGGTTTTCCAAACCACTGCTTTTACAAAAGAACTGTGGTATTGTGACAACTAAGAACGATTCCTTAAAAAAAGAATCCCTGTGAATGAAAGTAGTCAAACACTGGATGCCTTTAACAAGAATACTAAAACTAATCAGAATGTATCATACACTATATATTTACAACACTTTATATAGCGCCTCTTTATGGCTACTAATGTACATATCAAGACAATGTAGACATGGGGTGTGTCAATACAACACACATCTTATTCAAAACACATGTCTAACTGCATCGCTTTTAAAGTCAGTGAGAATTATCTTTGTATACATGAAAATGTATCAGACAATTCAAAGAACAGAATAGACAATGTAATAATAACCGAAATTTGGAAGGATGTAACAAGAGATAGAAATAAGAAGAGAAAAAAAGGAGGTTGTAAAACATAAAAGGATCAAATCTATGCAATTGCTGTTTTGTAGATCAAAAAAGGTCAAATACCAGCAATTTTATATGATTCAACCTAACTACTTCCTTGGGACTGCCCAGCTCAAGTAATGTCCAAATCACTTAACAGAAATACGATCAGTGTTCCCAGAGCAAATAATTTCCATTTATATCACTAGTTGTAAAACAAGGCTTATTACCATTTTCTGGAAGTTTCCATTGCTATAGCAATAATCTCCCAAACAACCACACATTACTGAAGTGTGTTCAAGTACTGAGGTAATTTTTCCTACCTCTTTCTCATCATATATTTAAACACATACACGCACACACACGTGCACCCTTTCTGGAATCATTCTCTCTAGAATATCTCTATATAAGAATATACTACATAGAAGTTTATTTTTTAAATAACTTCACTGCTGACATCTAGCACCATATTTGAATAATGGAGAAGGAATTCATTTGTAAAACTAAAATAGAAAAAGGCTTGATAATTCTATTTTAACAAAACTCACCAAAATCACCCTAGCTGGAAGAGATCTTTTTAATCAGATATTTTCAAATATTTTCTAAACTGTAAAATCTATCACCTGTTCTTAGAAAAAAATTTAACAAATTGTCTTTTATAACAGTTGTTACAATGATGTTTTGGGGACATGTTAAAAACCAGGCACTCCGATATATTTTTTAATAGTCTGAGCATTAGGTTAGAATCTGTTAAAAGATATAGAACCCTAACCCAAGAAATTCAGAAACCCCTAAACACCTATTGTTCATACAATAGAAAGTTCAACAACCCAAGTTAAGAGTTCCTAAAAGATCAATGCAACTCTTTTAACTGACTTTACTCCTTCTGCTACAGTTCATCCTACTAGTCACTCATCTTTCTTTTCTTAGACAACACTATGGGAAATAATAACATTCTTCACAAAACCCCCATCTCTATTGTATCAGGCTTTCCTTACAGTTCTTGTTTGAATGTGTGTGTCTCTGTGTGTGTGTCCGTAATTTCAACAAAGTTGCAATCTTAAATTTTTAATTTTTGAAGTCAACATTATGTCACAAATATTTTTCATATTGCTAACAATATTCAGAATTGTAATTTCAAGTGAACACACAATATTCCACTGAAATGCTGTGCCATAATTTTTGTCACAACATCAAGAATTTTTGAACATTTTCCTTAAAAAATAGAAGTAGAAACATGTTTATGGATGTGCCATTACACATTATTTTTTAAATGGTTGCATTGTTATTTCTAGCACAACCAGAAGTGTATGTGATCACCTTTACATGCTGCAGAACTGGAAATTACCTTAAATATTTCAAACAGTTCAATAGATGTAAGACATGATAATCTTCCCAAACACCAATTAGCATCTATTACCCACAGGTTAGATTTCCATTGCCTATAGAATAAAATCTTTGGTCTCTTATTCAAAATCCTTTACAATCCATCCCCTACCTACGACTCCGAATTGATCTTCCATGGGTCTTAGACTGTTCCAGCTAAACAGGTCTACGGTACCTACCCCTAACACACCAGGCCCATTCCACCTGTTTTCTCTGTTTGCAGACACTGTTCTTTGAATGTGTTCCTCACTCCTCTCCCTCTGTTCAAATCCCTCTCTTTCTTCAACAACAAGATCCAAGTCCATTTGCCCCATGACAATTTAGCTGAGGAACATGGCCATCAGATCACAGTCCCACCTGAGATGAGAAAGCCAACATGGGGGCATGGCCCACTGGACAGCGTGTGCCTGTGAGTAACCAGACACACCAAGGAGGGAACAGGCTACCAAACATCACCCTCCCACTTGATTTCTTCAGATGATTTACAAATAGAAATAAAATAGTATCTAGTAGTCAAGCAGTAATAAAATGGTATGCCCTGATATATCTAATATTTTAGATAAGATGAGAAATGAGAACTAAAGAGACAAATTAGGAAACAGGAAATGTTGACCATTTTGCTCTTTATATTATATTAAGACAGGGTTATGTAATAAAAGGTAGCATTTGTTGAACCCTTCTATCACTGTTTTAGGCATATTTACATCCATTAATTAACAATCTTTATAATAACACTGATATATTTCCAACTACTATTGCCATTTTACAGAAGAGGACACTGAAGGTCAGAGAAGTAACTTGCCTCAAGCCACAGAGCAAGAAAATTATGGAGCTGGAATTTGTTAGTATATGTAGTGTTAGTGCACTCTCTTTCAAACCACAGATATTGTCACATAAGAATTTGTATTAAATCTCATGTTGACCATGCCACACAAATCATAATCATAGGCTTATTAAAGCAATAAATGCTTCTGCCACTGATGTATTTTCCTTTACAGAACACATAAGAGATTCCCTATATTTTTCCTCATAAAATAAAAAATAAAGAGAAGATAAGAGAGTGGAAACTTCCCTTCCAATTCCTCACCTGGCTGGTTCATGTCCTGTGGATCTGTTCCACCTGCTTTTTTTTTTTTTTTTTTTTTTTTTCAGTTTTCACTGCAAAGACAAGTGGCTGGCTGGCTGGCTGCCAACTAAGGGAGAGTAATTTGAAGAATGCTTGGGAGATCTCAGATTCAACTATTTTGATCTCTCTTCTATTCCTTAGATGCAGAAAATGCCTACCTGCTAATCTCACACAGAAGTCCCCAAAGACATATGTCCTTAGAGCTAATTCCAGGGTACTGAAGTGAAAAAATGCTTTTTATTGGATTTCAGATGTATTTTTCCTCCAGCTGAACCACAGAAATCTTACTGTTGCTATAAACTGAACAGTGTCCTCTCGTATCTCAAATTACATTCCTGGGAGAGATTCTAGCTCACACATAGGACAGATCCATCACTCTATTAACTATCTACTGTTTCCCTCTGTTGCTTAATTCTTTTTTCCCCTCTATTTCTATTTTCCACAGTCAGTAGAAAGCACTACCATTGATGGGGATTACTATAAAGAACAAAAGAATATTTTCAATTACCTATCTTTAAATCAAGACACTACTTCTGAAAATGCCTCTCTCCTATTTGATTTGAAATGACCTTACACATAAATGGACGTCCAGAGCCCCATTTTATTCTGGTCTATATAAATTGTTAGTTGTCCATGACCCCTGCTTCATTCAAGTGACCTTTCTTCTAATTCAGGATTTTGCTGACCTTATTTTCTATAATTACTCATATTTAAGAGGTTGTCTAATACCATCCAACTCATTTACATAACTGAGGCAGGCAAATCCAGGACAGGACCTTAAGCTTCTTCTACAAGTCCAGTGCCCCTTCCCGGCTGTCTAATCCAATTTGATGCTTTTTCTGATAGAGCTTCTGTTATTCGGTATGTTTGCATCCATTTGTATGCACCCAGAAGAATGGACGCAGTGTTTACAAAAATAAAATGATAAAAAGCACAGAAATTTTTTAAAAGAATGAAAACCAGAGCGATTAGCTGATTTAACATTATCTGTAGGAATTAACAACTAAAACGACTTGCCTTTCAAACAACATTATGAATTTTTTTAAATCATGGGTATTGATTACGAATATGTTAAAAGTTAAAAGGTTCTCCTGATTTTCTTTCACTACCCTCAGTATTGTGCCAGCGAAGAATATAGTTTTCCAGATTCTTCTAGGGTTCACTAGAAACTTTAAAATGTTCTAAAAGATTTTATCTGAGGAAACCCAACCTAATTCTATAGAGATCTACTAAACCTAAGCTCTCTCTTCATCCTCACACATTTCAAAAATTTTCCACACACATTGTAAAATTCATGTAAACAACTGAATGTAAAAATTATTTTTAGGTAAAATATAACTTTCATATCTCTTAAGTAATAACAATAAATAATTACAAGTAAATAACTACAGTTAAATAGATTCCTTTTTGAATTAAAAGATAATTTTAATTAAGATAACTAGATAAGATAGAAAATTCTTAAGAGTTCTTCCAATAAGTTATTGATAAGAGCAAGTAATAGTAAAAATAAATGTATTTTGCATTATAGTGAAAAACTGGTTAACACAGCCTGGCATGGTGGTTTATGCCTGTAATCCCAGCACTTTAGGAGGCTGAGGAGGATGAATCGCTTGAGGCCAGGAATTCAAGACCAGCTGGCCAACATGGTGAAACCCCATCTCTACTAAAAACAGAAAAATTAGCTGGGCTGGGGACCCACACCTGTAATCCCAGCTACTCAGGTAGGTAAGGTGGGAGAATCGCTTGAACCTGGGAGGCGGAGGTTGCAGTGAGCTGAGACTGTGCCACTGCACTCCAGCCTGGGTGACAAAATGAGACTTCATCTCAGAAAAAAAAAAAAAAAACCACGGCTACCCTCTTTGGGTCCCCTCCCTTTGTATAGGAGCTCTGTTTTCACTCTATTAAATCTTGCAACTGCACACTCTTCTGGTCCATGTTTGTTACGGCTCGAGCTGAGCTTTTGCTCGCCATCCACCACTGCTGTTTGCCACCGTTGCAGACCC
This sequence comes from Homo sapiens, assembly GCF_000001405.40. NCBI lineage: Eukaryota > Metazoa > Chordata > Mammalia > Primates > Hominidae > Homo > Homo sapiens. The sequence goes on from NC_000007.14 coordinate 108,337,440, forward strand.
ACTGCTGACTTCCATCCCTCTGGATCTGGCAGGGTGTCTGCTGTGCTCCTGATCCAGCGAGGGGCCCATTGCCACTCCCAATCGGGCTAAAGGCTTGCCATTGTTCCTGCATGGCTAAGTGCCCAGGTTCATCCTAATTGAGCTGAACACTAGTCACTGGGTTCCACAGTTCTCTTCCATGACCCACGGCTTTTAATAGAGCTATAACACTCATCGCAAGGCCCAAGATTCCATTCCTTGGAATCTGTGAGGCCAAGAACCCTAGGTCAGAGAACACGAGGCTTGCCACCATCTTGGAAGCAGCCTGCCACCATCTGGGAAGCGGCCTGCCACCATCTTGGAAGCCGCCCGCCACCATCTTGGGAGCTCTGGGAGCAAGGACCTCCCCGCAACCCAGTAACATTTAGCGACCACGAAGGGACCTCCAAAGCGGTAATATTGGACCACTTTCACTTGCTATTCTGTCCTATCCTTCCTTAGAATTGGAGGAAAATACCGGACACCTGTCGGCCGGTTAAAAACGATTAGCGTGGCCTCCGGACTTAAGACTCAGGTGTGAGGCTATCTGGGGAAGGGCTTTCTAACAACCCCCAACCCTTCTGGGTTGGGAATGTTGGTCTGCCTGGAGCCAGCTTCCACTTTCAATTTTCCTGGGGAAGCCAAGGGCCGACTAGAGGCAGAAAGCTGTTGTCCCAAATTCCCGGCAGTAGCCGGTTGAGATCATGGCGCAGCCAGAAGTCTCTACTCAACAGTCACCCATGCATGCGCCCCTATCTTTCCTTCTGACCCATACCTCCTGGGTCCTAACCATGACTTTCTTAAAAGGGTAGCCCCAAAATTCTCCTTACCTCTGAATCTACTTCCTCTGATCCCTGCCTCCTAGGTGCTAATGGTTCAGACTTTCATTTCCTCTAGCAAGTTGTATCTCCAAAGGGATATAAGGAAGCTCTACACTGTATCCTTAGGCATCTAGGCTCTAAACCCAGGGAGTCTTGTCCCTGATGTCCCTACCGATTTAGGTATACAGTTCTCGACATGGGCAGTTATGTGGGACCCATTCCCCACCACCCTTGCCAGGGCCCCAAGTTTGTAAATGGCTAAGAGAGGAAAGTGAGAGAGAGAGAGACAGAGTGAGACACAGAGAGAGGGAGAGACAGAGAGAGAGACAGAGAGGAGAGAGACACAGAGAGGGGAGAGACACAGAGAGGAGAAAGAGGCAGAGAGACAAAGAGGGAGTCAAAGAGAGAAAGAAAGAAAAAGAAATAGTAGAAAAAAAAGTGTGCCCTATTCCTTTAAAAGCCAGGGTAAATTTAAAAAACCTATACTTGATAATTGAAGGTCTTCTCCATGACCCTGTAACACTCTAATACTACCTTGTTCTCAGTGTAAACAAGGGTGTAGCCTGAAAACACTGAGACCGCTGACAACCCATAGCTTTCCTATAAAAAATCCTTAACCCAGTAACCCGCAGATGGCCCAAATGCATTCAATCTGTAGTGGCAACTGCTTTGCTAACAGAATAAAGTAGAAAAGTAACTTTTAGAGGAAACCTCATTGTGAGCACACCTCACCAGTTCAGAATTATTCTAAGTCAAAAAAGCAAAAAGGTAGCTTACTAACTCAAAAATCTTAAAGTATGGGGTTATTTTGTTAGAAAAAGGTAATTTAACACTAATCACTGATAATTCCCTTAACCCAGAAGATTTCCTAACAGGAGATTTAAATCTTAATTACCATACAAAGGTCTGACCAGACCTAGGAGGAACTCCCTTCAGTACAGGATGATAGATGGTTCCTCCCAGGTGAATGAGAAAAAAATCACAATGGGTATTCAGTAATTGATAGGGAGACTCTTGTGGAAGCAGAGTTAGAAAAACTGCCTAATAATTGGTCTCCCCAAACCTGCGAGCTGTTTGCACTCAGCCAAGCCTTAAAGTACTTCTAGAATCAAAAAGATTATCTCAATCCTGACTCAAAAGGTTACCTACACCCTCTGTGAAACGAATTTACTTAAGAACTGTTTATGGGACTGCATCTTGATGGGGCAGCTGGGTTGTCATGAAATACTCAGGAATGCAGCCTAGCTCTAGGACTCACCCCTGAGCACAAAGGCAATGTTGGGCATGCTGGTAAAGGACCACTAGAATCCAGCAGTCCGAACCCCTTTCTTTGGGTTAAGAAAGGCGGGAAAACAGGCGCAGGACTGCTACATTGGTAAGCGTAACTAATCCAATAAGCAGAGGTCCATGGGTGGTGACACACTCTGGAAAGGAATAAGCATTAGGACCATAGAGGACGCTCTACGACTAATGCTCGTCGGAAAATGACTAGAGGTGCTGGCATCCCTATGTTCTTTTTTCAGATGGGAAATGTTCCCCCTCAAGGCAAAAACACCCCTAAGATGTATTCTGGACAATTGGGACCAATTTGACCCTCAGACTCTAAGAAAGAAACGACTTATATTCTTCTGCATTACCTCCTGGCCACAATATCCTCTTCAAGGGGGAGAAACCTGGCCTCCTGAGGGAAGTATAAATTATAACACTATCTTACAGCTAGACCTCTTTTGTAGAAAAGAAGGCAAATGGAGTGAAGTGCCATATGTACAAACTTTCTTTTCATTAAGAGACAACTCGCAATTATGTAAAAAGTGTGATTTATGCCCTACAGGAAGCTCTCAGAGTCTACCTCCCTACCCCGGCATCCCCCTGACTCCTTCTCCAACTAATAAGCAACCCCCTTCAACCCAAATGGTCCAAAAGGAGATAGACAAAGGGGTAAATAATGAACCAAAGAGTGCCAATATTCCCCGTTTATGCCCCCTCCAAGCAGTGGGAGGAGGAGAATTCGGCCCAGCCAGAGTGCATGTACCTTTTTCTCTCTCAGACTTGAAGCAAATTAAAATAGACCTAGGTCAATTCTCAGATAACCCTGATGGCTATATTGATGTTTACAAGGGTTAGGACAATCTGATCTGACATGGAGAGATGTAATGTTACTGCTAAATCAGACACTAACCCCAAATGAGAGAAGTGCCACCATAACTGCAGCCCGAGAGTTTGGCGATCTCTGGTATCTCAGTCAGGTCAATGACAGGATGACAACAGAGGAAAGAGAACGATTGCCCACAGGCCAGCAGGAAGTTCCCAGTGTACACCCTCACTGGGACACAGAATCAAAACACGGAGATTGGTGCCGCAGACATTTGCTAACTTGCATGCTAGAAGGACTAAGGAAAACTAGGAAAAAGCCCATGAATTATTCAATGATGTCCACTATAACACAGGGTAAGGAAGAAAATCCTACCGCCTTTCTGGAGAGACTAAGGGAGGCCTTGAGAAAGCATACCTCTCTGTCACCTGACTCTATTGAAGGCCAACTAATCTTAAAGGATAAGTTTATCACTCAGTCAGCTACAGACATCAGAAAAAACTTCAAAAACTTAGAAACCCTATTGAACTTGGCAACCTTGGTTTTTCATAATAGAGATAAGGAGAAGCAGGCAGAACAAGACAAACGGGATTTAAAAAAGGCTACCGCTTTAGTTATGGCCCTCAGGCAAGCAGACTTTGGAGGCTCTGGAACACGGAAAGGCTGGGCAAATCCAATGCCTAATAGGGCTTGCTTCCAGTGTGGTCTACAAGGACACTTTAAAAAGATTGTCCAAATACAAATAAGCCACCCCCTCATCCATGCCCCTTATGTCAAAGGAATCAATGGAAGGCCCACTGCCCCAGGGGACAAAGGTCCTCTGAGTCAGAAGCCACTAACCAGATGATCCGGCAGCAGGACTGAGGGTGCCTGGGGCAAGCGCCAGCCCAACCCATCACCCTCACAGAGCCCCGGGTATGCTTGACCATTGAGGGCCAGGAGGTTAACTGTTTCCTGGACACTGGCTCGGCCTTCTCAGTCTTACTCTCCTGTCCCGGACAACTGTCTTCCACATCTGTCACTATCCGAGGGGTCCTAGGACAGCCAGTCACTTGATACTTCTCCCAGCCACTAAGTTGTGACTGGGGAACTTTACTCTTTCACATGCTTTTCTAATTATGCCTGAAAGCCCCACTCCCTTGTTAGGGAGAGACATTCTAGCAAAAGCAGGGGCCATTATACACCTGAACATAGGAGAAGGAACAACCGTTTGTGGTCCCTTGCTTGAGGAAGGAATTAATCCTGAAGTCTGGGCAACAGAAGGACAATATGGATGAGCAAAAAATGCCCATCCTGTTCAAATTAAACTAAAGGATTCTGTCCCCTTTCCCTACCAAAGGCAGTACCCCCTTAGACCCGAGGCCCAACAAAGACTCAATAAAATTAAGGAACTAAAAGCCCAAGGCTTAGTAAAACCATTCAATAGTCCCTCCAATACTCCAATTCTAGGAGTACAGAAACCCAATGGACAGTGGAGGTTAGTGCAAGATCTCAGGATTATCAGTGAGGCCGTTGTCCCTCTATACCCAGCTGTACCTAACCCTTATACTCTGCTTTCCCAAATACCATAGGAAGCAGAGTGGTTTATAATCCTGGACCTTAAGGATGCCTTTTTCTGCATCCCTGTACATCCTGACTCTCGATTCTTTTTTGCCTTTGAAGATCCTTCGAACCCAACGTCTCAACTCACTTGGACTGTTTTACCCCAAGGGTTCAGGGATAGCCCCCATCTATTTGGCCAGACATTAGCCCAAGACTTGAGCCAGTTCTCATACCTGGACACTCTTGTCCTTCAGTAAGTGAATGATTTACTTTCAGCTGCCCGTTCAGAAACCTTGTGCCATCAAGCCACCCAAGCACTCTTAAATTTCCTTGCCACCTGTGGCTACAAGGTTTCCAAACCAAAGCTCAACTCTGCTCAGAACAGGCTAAATACTTAGGGCTAAAATTATCCAAAGGCACCAGGGCCCTCAGTGAGGAACGTATCCAGCCCATACTGGCTTATCCTCATCCCAAAACCCTAAAGCAACTAAGAGGGTTCTTTGGCATACCAGGCTTCTGCCGAATATGGATTCCCAGGTACGGCGAAATAGCTAGGCCATTATATACACTAATTTAGGAAACTCAGAAAGCCAATACCCATTTAGTAAGATGGACACCTGAAGCAGAAGCGGCTTTCCAGGCCCTGAAGAAGGCCCTAACCCAAGCCCCAGTGTTAATAAGCTTGCCAACGGGGCAAGACTTTCCTTTATATGTCACAGAAAAAACAGAAATAGCTCTAGGAGTCCTTACACAGGTCCAAGGGACAAGCCTGCAACCCATGGCATACCTGAGTAAGGAAACTGATGTAGTGGCAAAGGGTTGGCCTCATTGTTTACAGGTAGTGGCGGCAGTAGCAGTCTTAGTATCTGAAGCAGTTAAAGTAATACAGGAAAGAGATCTTACTGTGTGGACATCTCATGATGTGAATGGCATACTCACTGCTAAAGGAGACTTGTGGCTGTCAGACAACCGTTTACTTAAATATCAGGCTCTACTGCTTGAAGGACCAGTGCTGCGACTGTGCACTTGTGCAACTCTTAACCCAGCCACATTTCTTCCAGGCAATGAAGAAAAGATATAACATAACTGTCAACAAGTAATTGTTCAAACCTACGCCACTCAAGGGGACCTTTTAGAGGTTCCCCTGACTGATCCCGACCTCAACTTGTATACTGATGGAAGTTCCTTCGTAGAAAAAGGGCTTCAAAAAGTGGGGTATGCAGTTGTCAGTGATAATGGAATACTTGAAAGTAATCCCCTCACTCCAGGAACTAGTGCTCAGCTGGCAGAACTAATAGCCCTCATTCAGGCAGTAGAATTAGAAGGAAAAAGGGTAAATATATATACAGACTCTAAGTATGCTTACCTAGTCCTCCATGCCCATGCAGCAATATGGAGAGAAAGGGGATTCCTAACTTCCGAGGGAACACCTATCAAACATCAGGAAGCCATTAGGAGATTATTATTGGCGGTACAGAAACCTAAAGAGGTGGCAGTCTTACACTGCTGGGGTCATCAGAAAGGAAAGGAAAGGGAAATAGAAGGGAACTGCCAAGCGGACATTGAAGCAAAAAGAGCTGCAAGGCAGGACCCTCCATTAGAAATGCTTATAGAAGGACCCCTAGTATGTGGTAATCCCCTCTGGGAAACCAAGCCCCAGTACTCAAAAGAAGAAATAGAATGGGGAACCTCATGAGGACATAGTTTCCTCCCCTCAGGATGGCTAGCCACCAAAGAAGGAAAAATACTTTTGCCTGCAGCTAACCAATGGAAATTACTTAAAACCCTTCATCAAACCTTTCACTTAGGCACTGATAACACCCATTAGATGACCAAATCATTATTTACTAGACCAGGCCTTTTCAAAACTATCAAGCAGATATAGTCAGGGCCTGTAAAGTGTGCCAATGAAATAATCCCCTACACTACACACCATACATTTCAATCACCATACATTTCAATCCCTGTATCTTTAACCTCCTTGTTAAGTTTGTCTGTTCCAGAATCAAAGCTGTAAAACTACACATCGTTCTTCAAATGGATCCCCAGAGGCAGTCCATGACTAAGATCTACCATGGACCCCTGGACTGGCCTGCTAGCCCATGCTCTGATGTTAATGACACCAAAGGCAACCCTCCTGAGGAAATCTCAACTGCACCACCCCTACTATGCCCCAATTCAGCAGGAAGCAGTTGGAGCGGTCATCGGCCAACCTCCCCAACAGCATTTGGGTTTTCCTGTTGAGAGGGGGTACTGAGAGACAGGACTAGCTGGATTTCCTAGGCCAACTAAGAATCCCTAAGCCTAGCTGGGAAGGTGACTGCAACCACCTTTAAACACGGGGCTTGCAACTTACCTCACACCCGACCAATCAGGTAGTAAAGAGAGCTCACTAAAATGCTAATTAGGCAAAAATAGGAGGTAAAGAAATAGCCAATCATCTATCGCCTGAGAGCACAGTGAGAGGGACAATGATCGGGATATAAACCCAGGCATTCGAGCTGGCAATGGCTATGCTCTTCGGGTCCCCTCCTTTTGCATGGGAGCTCTGTTTTCACTCTATTAAATCTTGCAACTGAAAAAAAACCCCTGCAAAAACCAAACCAAAATGAAAAACTGGTTAACACGTCTAATATTTCCATAACTCATTTTTTGCTGCTATGAAGAGTAACAGCACGTACTACTCTCCCAAAGTGAGCAATTAATAATAAAGTTCAATGAACTGTTTATACTCCATACTGACATTCTGTCCCATTAAATACCAATTCCCTAAGTATTTATTAAATGACTATTACATGAAATGTACCATTTTAGGAGCTATTGGGTATAGATAGAAATTTTATAGTGGGAGAAACCACAGGAATTATTTAGCTTATATTTCTTACTTCATAGTTGAGAAAAAAAGTACATAGAGACAATTGCCTAGTATGGGCAATAATGTCCTAACCTTATTTCCAAACAAAAATACATTTTAGAAATTAGGGCATCATTCTTGCTGCCTTTCATTATATGAAGTCAAGGATAAGGGGGAGGGAGAAGATAAGAAGGAAGGCTTGCTTCTGACTCTATCAATAGAATAGGATTCAACTCAATCTGTGGAAGTTTTACTGAAACAAATTAGCAGGACCTGATGAACAGGGGATAAAGAATGTGGGTCCCTGATAAATTCAATATTTTATAAAGAAATAGTGGAATGATGAAGTGAATTCAAATAGGAAAATTGATTGTTTTACTGTGTATATTATATATGGACATAAAAGAGGCCTGGAATGAGAACAGAAAGTCTGGGTTCCAGGTTCATCTTTGAACCTTAGTGAACTGTGTAATGCTGGCAAGTTACTCAACTCAGAAAGGTTCCTCAGTTATTCAGTAAGATGATTGTCTAGGTAATTACAAATATCAAATCTGGCAGTAAGTTCCCAAAATCCCATGGGAAGTGTTTTGTCTAGAAATAAGGAAAACCTATCTAAATATTAAAGCGGTTCAAAAATGGCAGGCATATCATTACAAAATAGTGTTTATAAGAGCAACTTCTACCTTGAGATTGATCTAAATATCCTCAAAATCTTGCTATGAACTCTTTGTGTCCTCCCCCCACATTCATATAGTGAAACCCTAATCTTCAATGTGATAGTATTCAGAGGAGCAGCCTTTGGGACATAACTAGGTCATGAGGGTGGAGTCTTCATGATGGGATTAATGGCCATATAAGAAAAGACATGACAGAGGTGAGCTCTCCACCATATGAGGATACAGCAAGCTGGCCATCTGCAAACCAGGAACAGGGCCTTCACCAGGAACCCCACCAGCTGACATCTTGGTCTTGGACTCCCTACCTTCCAAAACTGTGAGAAATAAGTTTCTATTGTTTAAGCCACCCAGTCAATAGCACTTTGCTACAGCAGCCTGAGTGAATTAAGGCAGTCCAAAAGCTTTGTCATACGCTGCAAGCTGCACAAGTCTAGCAGGCCTAGAACAATGGGTGTCTGTGGGGGAGCCCAGGAGTCGATGGCAGAGAGCAGATAAAAGCAAGCCATGCCAACTGCTGTGGGCTGTAGGAGCCTCTGATGGGCATTAAGCATGAGATGATCCAATTTTTATTTAGAAAGGTTTCTTCGATGGCTGTGTGGGGGACAGATTTGAGAAGTTGCTACGGAGACTAGCTGTGGTAGCTCAGGTAAGAAATTATGCAGGCTTCAAGGCAGGCAGTGGGGGTGGCGAGGAGACAATGACTGTGGGATTTACTTAAGAGGCAGTGTCAACACAATTTAGGAGGAGTGGGAGGAATTTTGAGATATCACATCCAATCCGTTATTTTACGGATGACGAAACTTTGGGCTAGACAGATTAATTTTCTTGTTTAAGAATCGAAATTTAACTACTGGCAAGACTAAAATTATTTGAGTCTCCTGATTTCCAGGGCTCTTTTTCCTCCCAACACAGTATGCTTTTTTACATGTTAAAATGTTTTTGCATGTTGAAGTATATTATCCAGTATTAGCCATCTTCGTTATTAAACACTTCTGTATAGGCTATTCTGTCATCATGCATTACTCCATATTTCTACTCACTACATGGTTAATTAGCTGGTTAATTCCATTAGGCTAATTTAAGAAAATAATAATATACAGGTTTATTTTGAGACTTAAACATTCTTTTATCCTACCTCCTACTCTATTGTAAATAGAGGACAAAAAGTGCTGGGTTTAATGTCACCTCTTACAGTGATGGTATTTTTCTGGCCAATATGCATGAGATTTGGGAAGATTAAGTGGCAGAAAACCTGGAGCCAGGGTACAGACAGGCTCTCTAACATCTAGAGCATGCTGTCCAATCCAGTAATCACTAACCACAGGTGGCAATTAAGCCCGTGAAATGTGGCTGGTCTGTATTGAAACTACATGAGTACATACATGTTTGGATTTTGAAGATTTAGTAGGAAAAAAGCAGAATATGAGCTACCTCATTAATTGTTTAATATTCATCATATGTTTAACACTTTAGATTTATTGGGTTAAACAATAAACATTAAAATTAATTTCACCTATTTCTTTTTACTGTTTAAAAATATATCTACTAGAAAATTTAAAATTACATATGTGACTCATATTATATTTCTGTTTTTTTTTTTTTTTTTTTTTTTGAGACAGACTGTTGCTCTGTCGCCCAGGCTGGAGTGCAGTGGTGCAATCTCGGCTCACTGCAAGCACTGCCTCCCGGGTTCATGCCACTCTCCTGCCTCAGCCTCCCAAGTAGCTGGGACTACAGGCGCCTGCCACCATGCCTGGCTAATTTTTTGTATTTTTATAGAGATGGGATTTCACCGTGTTAGCCAGGATGGTCTCGATCTCCTGACCTTGTGATCCACCCGCCTCGGCCTCCCAAAGTGCTGGGATTATAGGCGTGAGCCACCGCGCCCGGCTTATATTTCTGTTAGACTGTGCTGCTGTAGAAATTTACAATGTATCTCAAGGAAGTAAGGCATTCATAAATAACATCACAGGGGCCAGGTGAGCAGTAAAAGAAGCTATGGAGATAAACTCTGTCTAGGCTAATCAGAATTTACCTAGGCTCCAATCCCTCAAAAGCAGAGAAAGAAAATCCCAATAAAATAAAGTCCTGGATTCCATTTCAAATTCAGAATGAGAACCATCCCCTGAGGATTTGATCCCCAAAAAAATCCTTCTAAGGATGTATATATTCCTTAACTAATAATCCCTAAACCCTGCAATTCAGGAGTGGAAGTTGTATTTTCCTAACTCAAAGGGATCCAGGATATGCCTGATGAGGGGTTCCTTTAAGTGAGAATCTTTTGCCTATGAGGGCCTTGCAGAATGTTTTGAGCAGCTTCCCAAAAATGTGAGGAATGCCTCAAGGCTGGCTACACAAAGCGCTCTCCTTGGTCCTGAGACCTGTCTTTGGTTGAGCTCAGACTCTGTTCCCCAGCCAGTGAACTGAACCCCTCCACCTTAGCCCTGCCCTGCTTTATTTACTCTGCCTAAACCCGCCTCCTCTCCACCCCCATACTCTGTGCACATCCCAATCACTGCACTCACCATGTTCTAGGAGGGTATATTTATACATTCATCTGTCCCACAGGATGGAGCTCCTTGAGGCTAGAACAGCATTCTGTATTCATCTTTGTGCCCCAAATACGCAGGTAAGAAGTAGGCACTCAAAAAATGAATAAATGTCTACGTAATACATGTAACTGTGCTACTTTGTGATGTGTCGTATCTCCTTTGCTGGGCAGGGAATAAATTTGAGAAAAAGATAGATTTAAGATGTGATTTTCTTGTGGGTAGAGATGTGCATGCATGTGTGTGTGAGTGAGTGAATATATGTGTGGGAGACACAGTGATAAATTTCAGAGGAGGGGCAGAGCCAGGGCAAAGACCCAGAGTAGGTAACAACAAGGTATGTTCAGAGCTTGACAAGTTCTGTTAGGCTGAGCCTGGGGGTTGTGAGGGAGGAGTCAGAAATAAGCCTTATCTGCCAAGTAAGGAGATTGGCTGTTATCCTTGGGCAGGGAACAGGAGCTTCAGAAAGATCTTATTTAGAGGACTGACAGGATAAAAGGAGTATTTTAGGGAACAGTGTGCTGCAGGAGAGGATCAAAGGCAAAAATAGCATTTAAAAAGTTACTAGGGTATTAAATGAGGGGGAAAGGCTCCCTGGGCTTGATTTTTGAGGCAGAGTTTGCAGAAAATAAGAATTGGGGCCGGGCGTAGCAGCTCATGCCTATAATTCCAACACTCTGGGAGGCCGAGGCAAGTGGATCACTGGAGGTCAGGAGTTCGAGACTAGCCTGGCCAATATGGTGAAACTTTATCTCCACTAAAAATACAAAAAATAGCTGGGCCCTGTAGTCCCAGCCACTCGGGAGGCTGAGGCAGGAGAATCACTGGAAAACCCAGGAAGTGGAGGAAGCAGTGAGACGAGATCGTGCCACTGCACTCTAGCCTGGGTGACAGAGTGAGACTCCATCTCAGGAAAAAAAAAAAAAAAAAGGAAGGAAAGTCTTTAGGGGCAGCCAAGGAATGTATGAGCTATCAGGATGGGGGGGAATGTATTGGCAAGACAGGATTTAGGGAAGTTTTGCTATGTGATGCGCTGTGTAAAATCTCTATGTACAAAAACCTAAGTATGATCGACATTATTTTTCCAAGGATTTCACAATTGGGCTGATGAGTAATAGAGTGTGACTACAGCCTAGAAACTGACCAAAGAGAGCACTGGTTTGCCAAGTTTTAGGTTGGTTGTATTGTTATTACTGCTCTGAGCCTCTCAGCAGTTTTGACTTCACTTATTTAAGTCACTATTCTTGTTACTGCTCTTTAAATTTGTGTAGTTATGAACTCTTTTTTTTTTTTTGAGACGGAGTCTCACTTTGTCACCCAGGCTGGAGTGCAGTGGCATGATCCCGGCTCACTGCAAGCTCCTCATCCTGGGTTCACACCATTCTCCTGCCTCAGCCTCCCGAGTAGCTGGGACTACAGGCGCCTGCCACCACGCCCTGCTAATTTTTTGTATTTTTAGTAGAGACGGGGTTTCACTGTGTTAGCCAGGAAGGTCTTGATCTCCTCACCTTGTGATCCACCTGCCTCAGCCTCCTAAAGTGCTGGGATTACAGGCATGAGCCACCGTGCCTGGCTTAGTTATGAACTCTTAAATCTTGTTCTTAGTCAAGGAGCCAGCCTATTTTTAGATCTTATTTACTATAATGTGTATTTCATCTTTTTATTATTAAAAAGAACATTATTAATGGTTTGATACCACTTTTGAATAAATAGGAAGCACTCCCCCTCACAATATGACGTTTCTTACTGTGATATTTCTATTTCCCTGCTTTAAAGCACAATAGTCTCTGACCCATCTCCTTGTTTCCACCCTTATCCCTACACCGAGGTCATAGCGATCATTTAAAACAGAAACAGATTATACATACTGTTCAAAACCCTCTAATAGCATCACATAATATCCAAAATAAAATCTGAATTCCTTGTCATGGCTAAGTTCTACATGACTGGGTTCTTTTCTATGTGATCAAAGGCATTCCCTACCTTTCCTCACATCGGTGATCACGCTTCACCCAAAATGGCTCCTTTAGTTCCCTGAATCTATCAAATTCTCTCCTGTCTCAGGGCCTTTACACCAGCTATTCCTTCCACTGGAGAGCCTTCCCTCAGATATACCTATGCTTCAATCCTCAACATTCAGGTTTCTGCTCAAATGTCACTTTCTCAAATGTTCCCTCTATACTCTCTGAAATGGCGTTCCTGCTTTCACCTCCATAACCTTACTCTGGTGTTTATTTATCATCTAAACTCACTGTTCAACCATCCTAAGATGCTCATGGTGATAGACATTATCAGTGTTCCTCTGGGATCCCCTTGGGACTCATCCTTCTGGGAACAGTGATGGCTTCCTTCTCTGTAAGTATCTGTGACTCTTTACTCATCAGGTTTTCCTGGAGTGCTCAGCCTAGGTGCGAGGATAGGCCTGAAGAACTAGGAGCTGACACATTGGCTGAGTTGATGTCTCAGTCAATGACCAATGGCAGTTTGTATATAAATATCCCAGCTGCCTTAACCACTTGGGTGGGACAATATTGAGACACATTCTAAACCACCTCCCGAAGCTTGCAGTAGGATTGGTTACCAGTTGCCCACAGTGGTTACCTTTCATTATTTTGCCCTGACTGTCTTTCTTTATTTTTTGTCTCACATACCCACTCCCCTGTTGGTGCCTCCAAAAAAAATTACTTGCACTCAAATGCTCATCTCAGAGTTTGTTTTGGGGATAATCCACCTTAACTTATTGTTTTTCTTTTTTTTCTTCTTCTTTCTTTCCTTCTATCTTTTTAAATGATTTAACATATTTGAAATCAGAATCAATTTCCAGTAGACAGCTTGTCATAATTTAGTTGGCAGCATCTTTCTTTTCATGATCTTACATAAATTTGGGTACTTGTTGATTGGGATCCCCAATAGTATATATGTTATATACACAAGTTTGTCTGTTTCATTCTTAATTCTTGGGAATGTCCCTCATATGCTGAACAGAGCCTAGCACAGAATAGTTGCTTTATAAAAATATTTGATTGAATGTGGAATTGAGGGGTGCTACGATTTGAATATGTTCCCCAAAGTTCATGTGTTGGAACCTAATCCCCAATGCAACACTGCTGACAAGTGGGACCTTAAAGAGCTAATTATGTGACTAGATTAGTGATATTATCTTGGGAGTGGGATTCTGATAAAGGGATGAGTTTGGCCCCCCTCCTCTCTCTTGCCCTTCTGCCTTCTGCCAGGGGATAACACAGAAAGAAGGCCTTTACCAGATGCAGGCCCCTTGACCTTGGACTTCCTAGGCTCCAAACCTGTAAGTCTTTGTTCTTTATAAATTACCCAGTCTCAGGTATTCTATTATAGCAACACAAAATGGTCTAAGAAAAGGTGATAGTATCACCTCTCTTCAACAGCCACAACTTACTCCCCAGAGACATGGGTCATGGAGGTCCCTTACAGAACAGACTAGCTTCATCACCAAACTCTGGAGGGCCAGGAGGCAACACTGGTAGATGCAAGAAGCAACAGCACTATTGGACTGATTGGATCAGGGCTCTCTCCACTGAGTATAAGATTTGGGATAGGCTTTGGGATTGGAGAACCTAAAATGTCATATTTATTTCACTGTCTTTTTGACAACTCAGGAGAAGGAGGGCTGAACCCATGGAGGGAGATACTGGACTTACTGCTAAGATGACAGCCTTAAATAATTAACTAGAGATTTATTAAGATGAAACAAGAATTGTAACTCATGATTGTAGAGCAGGTCATATTGACCACTTTTTTTTTTTAAGTAAGCTGGCTAAGGATATTTTTGAAACATGATGAAATACACATTTAACAAAAGAAAATATTTGTCTTTTTGCATTTCCAGTGCAAACACTACAGTGCAATTATGTTGTTTGTACAGACCCATTAGTCATCCATAGCAAGGCTACTAAAAGACAATCTCACAGAATGCAGAGACATCTGTGCTGTTGCCCTGAGAGTGCCTTAGGGCCTTGGGGACCCCTCTCAAAGCAGAGATGAAAAGACCACTCACTCCCTGACTGCAGAGTCCTTAATGCCTGAGTAGCACTAACAACAAAGCCACCATTATACAAAGTATTATTATTATTTTAAGAATATTCCTTCCTCTAAGAATTGACCTGAGATGACTTATTTCTACACAGCTCATCAAAAGCTTACAAATTTAGGTTGCCAGTCAAAATTGTGTATTTTGCTAACTTGGAATGCAAGATATTGCATCCTATTGGCAAGTCCCTGGAGTCCACCAGTCCATTAAAATAATGAGGGTTGTAATGTTTCCCCAGCAATATTAAGAGCATCTTAATTACTTAATCTCCAGTGAGTGGCATACACATAATTTTTATGCATAATCTAATCAAAGAGCTACTGAACAGTGTTCTGTGTTTAAGTCAAAGAACATTTTCCTTCAAAAGTGAGATTTGGTTGGCCAATATCAGAACTACTAAAGAAAGTAAATACGGAGTATCAGGTCTGCCTGGATGCTGGAAAGGTTGCTCTGCCTGTGTTTTTGTAAATTGATTTACAATTCTATGGAGGAAAAAGATTTTTTCAAATAACATTCTTGGGAATTGCTATAAAAAATAACCACATACAGAAATGTTTTTTACTTATTTTGTAAAATTGTTACGACAATGTTTTACTTGACAAATATCAACAGAATAATGGTGGTTAATTTTTCCTGAAAATCAACTTTCATTCCCACTTGGGGGAAAAAAATCTGTTCCTTCCTTAAACATCCTCATTTCAGTCAATAGCATGACCCAGTTGTTTGAACCATAAAGCTAAGAGTCCTGAATTGTTCTCTTTTCCCCAAACCATTTATCTACAGTAGCCACAAATAGCTATAAAATATAAGTTTAAAAAAACCCTAACACTCACCAATACCTCTAATTCATCAGTAAATCTCATTGATTATGCCTCAAAATATATTCCAAACCTATTCATTTCTCTCTAAGCCTGCATGCCACTTTACACCAAGCCACTATTTTTTTCCCACACATGTATTTTTTTAAATTATACGAGTGACATGTGCTCATTGTAAAAAAAAAAAAAAAATCCAAACATTACAGAAATACCTCTCTTCCCATGGCCAACCCTGATCATACTTCTCAGAGATAATTCTTCTTGTTTCTTGTCTTGAACATCATAACAACCTCCTAGCTGCTTCCAGTGCTGTGTTGGCCTTCTGTATCCTTTTCTACACTGAGCACCAGAATGATGTCTTTAAAATATAAACCAGGTTATGCCACTTCCATTTTAGAATCCTAAATCCTGTCACTGATGTATTTTTCTTCTTCTTTCTTCTTTCTTCCTTCTTTCTTCTTCTTTCCTTTTTTAATTATTTTTATTTTTATTTTGAGACAGGGTCTCACTCTGTCACCCAGGCTGGAATGCAGTGGTGTGATTGTGATCCTCCCACCTTAGACTCCTGGAGTAGTTAGAGCTACAGGCATGTGCCACCACACCCAGATAATTTTAAATTTTTTTTAGAGAGACGGGCTCTCATTATGTTGCCTAGGCTGGTCTTGAACTCCTGGGCTCAAGCAATCTTCCCGCTTCAACCTTCTGAAGTGCAGGGATTACAGGCATGAACCACTGCACCTGGCCTTCCATTTTCTTCTGTATGATTTATTGTCTGTTCCTTGCTACTAGAATAAAGTCTTCATGAAAAGAAAGACCTCTTCTTATTTTATGCTATGTCCCCAGCTCTTAGAACACATGGCAGGTGTACAATTATTTGTTGAAAGAATAAATGAATACATGAATGAGTTTTCCACCATGTGCTAGGCATTGTGCAAAGCACTTTACAAGCAATGTTGCTTTTGATCTCTAGCAACTTCATGAGACCAGGACCATTATAATCTCCATTGCACAGAGGAACATTGGGTTCATACACTAGTAAGTGGTAAGTACAACCACTCCACATGAGTCCAAGTGTGATGTTGGATTGGTCGTTTAATGTTTTAAAGTTTTAGTTTTCTCTCTCTAGTTATCACATACATGTCCTTCCCAATTTCTTATATAAATCAGAGAATCCTTGAAAATAAATCACAGAATCATCCAGCCACCAGTTACCTTAGCCCTTAAGTCTAGCTCCCAATTCCACTATATATGAATTATCCAACAAGGAAATATCCAACAATGCAAAAATGTATAAATATAAATAGGATTTCCAAGAAATATATAAATGGTTTAACATTACAAAATATACTAAAGCAATTCACCATACAAAAGAATTAAAGGGGAACAACTACATGCTCCTTCATTAAATACTCATTCGAAGTGACTACTCATTATCTTAGCCTAATAAAAGACATTTATCAAAAACTTACAGTAAACATCCCAGTTTAGAGTGACATGTTAAAATCAAGAACAGGAAAAGGATGCCCATTATCACTACTTCTACTCAACTAAAGGCAGGTAAGATAAAAGGAATTAAAGGTAGAAATAATGAAATTAAGAGGCAGTCAAAACCATAAATATTCAGACATTATGATTAGCTGCAAAGAAAACTCAAGAGCATCTATAGACATATAGATAGAATTCATAGAGATTTAGCAATTATGCTGGATAAGAACAACATTTAAAAAGCAATTTCAGGCTGGGCGTGGTGGCTCATGCCTGTAATCCCAGCACTTTGGGAGGCCAAGGTGGGTGGATCACCTGAGGTCAGGAGTTCCAGACCAGCCTGACCAACATGGAGAAACCCCGTCTTTATTAAAAGTACACAATTAGCTGGGCGTGGTGGTGGGTGCCTATAATCCCAGCTACTCGGGAGGCAGAGGCAGGAGAATCGCTTGAACCCAGGAGGCAGAGGTTGCAGTGAGCTGAGATCATGCCACTGCACTCCAGCCTGGGCAACAAGAGCGAAACTCTGTCTCAAAAAAAAAAAAGCAATTTCACTTCTGTATATCACTAACAAACTGTTATAAATGTAAACTAAAATAATACAACATACAAACTATCCAGGAATAAATATAATGAAAGATGCGCAAACCTATTGTGTAGAAAATTATAAACTTTTATTGAAGGGTTTTAGAGAGCTCTGCTCCTTGATAAGAATTGAAGCCTTATTATCATAAAGATATCAGTTATCTCCAAATTAATCTATAAATTCATTCAATTCCAAAGTCCCATGTAATTTTTCCATGAAATTGGATAAATTGATTCTAAAACACATATTAAAGAGCAAAGGGACCATGGATCTCTAAATGTGCAAATATGATGGAAAGATTAAGAAAAGGTCTGAAAGAACAGATGTGAAATTGAGAATACTTGTTATCCCTGGTGAGGAGCATAAGTTTAAAGAAGACGTGGGCAACAGAAGTGAAGAACTTTTATTTCTTGTCTATGTAATTATGAATTACATTTTTAAAATAATAATAACACATTTACAGATCACCTGAGTAATATACAAAGTACAAGGGGATGAAAGATGCTGTATGATTTATAAAGATATCAGCTAGAAGCCCAAGTACAAAGAGAAAAAATGATGTATACAATAGTACCCCCAGCTTATCCATGTCATCAACTATGGTCTGAAATTATTAAATGGAAAGTTCCAGAAATAATCCATAGGTTTTAAATGGCATGTCATTCTGAGCAACATGATGAAACTCTGTGCTGACCTGCACCATCTCACCTGGCAAATGAGTCTTCCCTTTGTCCACTGTACTGTGCTGTAGGCTCTACCACCATGTTAGTCATTTATATGATCTATTCTTGACATCCAACCATCATCATGACTCCATGATCCAAGATCAGTCAAAGCAGATGATCACCATTCTGAGGTATGGCCAAAAGGGCAATGATAATCTGTGGCTACATCACAATGCCTACGTTACTCACCTCGCTTCATCACATCACGTAGGTATTTTATCAACTCACATCATCACAAGAAGGGTGAATACAGTAATACAGTACAGTAAGATTTTTTTTTTTTTTTTGAGATGGAGTCTCGCTCTGTTGCCCAAGCTGGAGGATGGAGTGTAGTGGCACCATGTCGGCTCATTGCAACCTCTGCCTCCCAGGTTCAAGCGATTCTTCTGCCTCACCCTGCTGAGTAGCTGGGACTACAGGCATGTACCACCACATCTGGCTAATTTTTGTAGTTTTAGTAGAGACAGGGTTTCACCATAGTGGCCAGGCTGGTCTCGAACTCCTGACCTCGTGATCTGCCTGCCTTGGCCTCCCAAAGTGCTGGGATTACAGGCATAAGCCACTGTGCCCAGCCACAATAAGATATTTTAAGAGACAGAAAGACCACATTCACATAATTTTTATTACAGTATGCTGTTATAATTGTTCTATTATTATTAATCTTTTACTGTTCCTAATTTATAAATTAAATCTTACTATAGGTATTTATGAATAGGGTAAAACAGTGTATATAGGGTTCAGTACTATCTGCAGTTTCAGGCATCCACTAGAGGTCTTGGAATGTATTCCCCACAGAGAAGAGGGGGCTACTGTATACCTTTTTTACAAATGTCCCAACAGCAGGATGTTCATGGCTGTGGCCTAACCTAAAAATCTGTTTAACGAGGAGCTATAAAAAAATTGTTCTTTTTTTGAGAGAGAGAAAAAGACTGTTTTTTAAGAAAATAATTATTACAGCCTGCCGAAATACAGCTATGTAGACCAAAGAGGAGCCAGGTGGCTTGACTTATATTAGTTTATAAAAAGCATACACAATGAATTAGAACTCCATAGAGGTTGACGGTACCCAAGTCAGAAGACAATTTTAGCACAGCCTGGAGCTCCTACAGAGCCCTCTGCTATAATGAAGGCATCATTATTTTGTGTTACCCCCAAAATTCATATGTTGAAATCCCAACCCTTAACGTGATGGTTGAGGTGGGCCCAAAGAGATGGGCCCTTTGGGAAGTATTTAGGTCATGAGAGTGGAGCCTTCATGATGGAATTAGTGCCTTCGTAAGAAAAGACAATGGACCACACTTCTTTTCTCTGTATTCTCTGCCATGCAAGGATACAACTAGAAGACCGCTATCTGCAAACCAGGAAGGGGACCCTCACCAGACACAGAATCTGACAGCACCCAGATCTTGGACTTCCCAGCCTTCCAGTCTATGATATTCTATTATAGTAGCCTGAACTAAGACATGATGCAGGAAAAGAAGAGGGCAAAAGTCTCCATTGGGAGCTTTACTTTGCAAACAACATTGTAAGCATAAAGTATGTACTTCATGGGCTTTGGTTTTATTGTCTTTTTTTTAAAGTTCTGTTCAGATTTTCATTATCCCTAAATCATTTCACAACATGAGAGGATTAAAAAGTACTCTTTTGTTAGGTGGGGCCAACTTTTTTTTTTTTTTTTGAGACAAAGTCTCGCTCTTGTCCCCCAGGCTGGGGTGCAATGGCACGATCTCATCTCACTGGAACCTCCACCTCCCGGGTTCAAGCAATTCTGCTTCAGCTTCCCGAGTAGCTGGGATTACAGGTGCCTGCCACCACGACTGGCTCATTTTTGTATTTTTAGTAGAGACAAGGTTTCACCACACTGGCCAGGCTGGTCTTGAACTCCTAACCTCAGGTGATCCACCCACCTCAGCCTCCCAAAATGCTGGGATTACAGGTGTGAGCCACCGGGCCCGGCCAAGTGGGGCCAACATTTTAATGAATGTAAACTCTTCTATCTTTTTGCTGGTCTTAGAGATTCTATTTATATTAGACATGTCATGGGGATGCAGAGTGGAAAGGCTCATTGTTTTCTCTCTCCTATCTTCAGTAAATGCACCTCCATTGGTGATTAAATTAGGCTTAAGTATTTCTAACAAAAACAGTTTCTCTAGTTGGGTTTTCCCCTCCATCTGCTAAGGTGGTCTATTTGGAGAGGGAAAGAATAAAGCTAAAAACATTACTCCTTTGGCCATCAAGGCCTCCCGCTTCACCTTAAATAGACTACATATGGTAGGGAGGGTGGGGAAGCCCTTTCATCCCTACGGATTGGCTTGTCCTGACAATGTGTAAAATCTCAGGGAAGAATCTTGTGATTGAAATCTTCATAAGCCAAAGCTAAAAACCACAAATGTTCCCTTTCCCCTCAAATGGTCTTTAGCTACACTTGCTTTTTAAGGGCTTAAAGCTTCTTGCTGGCTAGCTGGCGGCTCACACCTGTATTTCCAGTACTGTGAGAGGCCAAGGCAGGAGGATCACTCGAGCCCAGGAGTTCAAGAGCAGCCTGGGCAACATGGTGAAACCCCCTCTCTACAAAAAAAAAAAAAAAAAAGGCCTGACAGTGCATGCCTGTAGTCCCAGCTACTCGGGAGGCTAAGGTGGGAGGATTGCTTGAGCCAGGGAGGTCGAGGCTGCAGTGAGCCGTGGTTATACCACTGCACTCTAGCCTGGGTGGCAGAGCAAGACCTTGTCTCAAAACAAAAACCAAAAAACCCCCAAAACTTCCTGCCACTGTCCCAGTATTCCTACGTATTTTTTTTTTTCTTTTTAAAGAGAGGTAGGGAGATGTTGGTGATAGGTTGGTAGGTTTCATACAGAAGCTTCGCCAATGTCAGGTGATGTCTAATGCATTCACACACAGATTCCCATGACTGGTAATGCACAGAGCTCCTCCTGAAAGCTTGCATCTCTGAAGCCTGAGCCAGGCTTTCAAGTACAATAACTGCATAACTGCTGGCGCTCTGCTGCTTCAGCCCCAGCGTATGCCCTGAACACTGTAAGTCACTCCCTCCTGTCAAGGGGAGTTTGTTTACCCTATTAGCAAAACGAACTGAGTACTGCCTCTGGGTATGTGAATGCGGCAGATGTCTGGTCAGGAATTCTGCCTGAGGCCAAAGTCTAAAGGCACTGCCAGATGAGGACATCACAAAACTCCCAGCAGTTAAAGGGCTGTAGCAGGGGAAATGACTTAACAGATTGCATGAAATTGTTTAAGAATCATTCTAGGGGTTGTCATGCTTTTCAGATTTGCATAGATATGTCTATAAGCTCAGGACCTGGCTGACAACCACCAGAGTTATACTCACCTCCTACCATATTTTGTCTAGTTCATTACACCTTTTATCCTAGCCTTACAAGTAGGATGTAGGCTATTTTAGAGTTTTTGAAATGGCTTTCTTTTACCAATATTCCCTCCCCATTGCCCCACACCTTCCAATCCATCAATCTATTCATCCATTCATCCATCCATCCATTTAATCAATGCTTATCTAGGTCCTATGGGAGACAGAAATGAAGCAGATGTAAGTCTTGCCTTTAATGTAACCGAAGTGGGAATCAGATGTTCATAAACAGTGCTTGGCACATTGTGAGCACTATAAACATAGCAACATAGATAATTACAATAAAACTAGGAGAAAGTCAAGAGTCCCATAAAAGAAACACAAAAGCTACCAGGACAGGTGTTTGAGAGAAGGAGGGTGACCTCTGATATGATACTTGAAGGAAGATCATTTTGACACTTGGTGATTGGCAATGGGAGATGGGAAGACATTCCTAACTAAAGAAAAGTGAAAGAAAACACAGAAGTGGAAAAATATGGAACACGTGTGAGAAAGAAAATCTCATTTTTCTGGAACACAGGGCATAGAAGCGAAATAACAAGAGAAACTTGGAAAGGTATCTAGGTCTCAGATTTTCAAAGACCCCTGAATGAACAAGTTAGGGAATTTGAGCTGAAGGCAATGGTTAGCAACCAAAATTTTTTTATTTTCGACCTAAAAAAAATGGAGGTATAATTCCAAACAGAAAAATGTACAGATCTTCAGTGTCCAGTTTGATGAGCTGTGACAAATGTCTGTTACCATGTAGCTCCAATCAAGATATAGAACATTTCTATCACTCTAGAAAATTCCTTCTTGCCTCATTCAAATCTGCTCCCCTCCCATTCTCCAGTGGCAACCGAGGTTCTGAATTTCATTCCTATAGATGAGTTTTGTCTGTTCTTGAACTTCATAACAATGCTATCATATAACATGTGCTCTTGTTTCTAGCTGCTTTCGCTCAACATGGTTTTTAGATTCATCCATGTTCCAGATGTTTTAAGCAGGAAAAATAATATGATTATAACTGTACTTTGGATGATTAATCTGCTCTATTGTATGGAGGCCTTTGAAAATGTAAATGTAATTTCAGCAGCATATTTCAGGGAAGTGGTTATCTGTAGAAATGTACAAAGAGATTGGATTCAGACAATAGTGGAGTAGGTAGAAGGCTACAAATCTAGTCAATTAAACAGAGAAGGAGAAGTGAGAAGGGAAAAAAAAGATCACTATAAACTTACCCTCCCCAGTTAAAATCTCTGCAAGGCCTAGGCTTAATCAGCTGATACTTTCAGCAAGATTAATTAACTGCTGAAAATTAACAGCCCTGAAAAAGAGGCACAGGTACATTCAAATGAAGGAGCAGGAATAAATACAAATGAACATGACCCGGGGTTGCAGGGTGGGGGATATAAGAGAAAAACAGAAATAGCAGACAGATTTCAAAGATTAAAATATTTCTAAGGCTAAAATTCACGTGAAACAAAAGAGACCCAGAATAGCCAAAACAAGTTTGAAAAAGCAGAACAAAGTTGAAGAATTCATACTTCCTAATTTTGAAACTTACTTCAAAGCTGCAGCAGTCAGGACAGTGGACACTGCTGTGAGTAGACATATAAATCCATGAAACAAAATTGAGAGTCTCTAAACAAACCCTTACATTTATGGTCAACTGATTGTTGATAAGGGTGTCAGGACAATTCAATGAAGAAAGAATAGTTTTTTCAACAAATGGTGTTGGGATAAGTGGAAACCTGCATTGCAAAAGAATGAAGTTAGAACCCTACCTCAAGCCACATACAAAAACTAACTCAAACCAGATCACAGACCTAAATATAAAAGCTAAAACCATAAAACTATTAGAAGAAAATATGGATTAGAAAACCATTTTTTATATATGACATCAAAAGTACAAGTGACAAAAGAAAATAACACTCATATTGGGCTTCCTGAAAAGTAAAACCTTTGGCACTTCAAAGGACATCATCATGAAAGTGAAAAGACAGTGCACAGAAAGAGAGAAAATATTTGTATATGGGGCAAAATATATGACTAGAGACCTCACAAAATAATATACACATATGGAAAATAAGCATATGAAAAGGTGCTCAATATCATTTGTTTTTAAGCCATTGAAAATTAAAATAGTAAAATGCAATATACATCTATTAGAATGGCTAAAATTCAAAACATTGACAATTTCAAATGCTGGTGAAGATGACACAGTTTGGCAGTTCCTTACAAAGTTAAACATAGTCTTACCATATATGATGGTTAATTTTATATGTCAGCTTGATTGGGCCATGGAGTGCCCAGATATTTTGCCAAACATTTTTCTGGATATTTTGGGATTAAATTAACATTTAAATCAGTAGTCTGAGTAAAGCCGATCGCCCTCCCTAATGTGGCAGGCTTCATCAATCAACTGAAGGCCTGAATTGAACAAAGAGGCTGACCCTCCCCCAAGTTAGAATTCTTCCTGTCTGACAGTTTTTGAATTGGGACATTGACTTTTTCTGCCTTTGGACTTGAACTGAAACATTGGCTCTTCCTGGGTCTCTAGTTTGCCAGCCTTCAGACCAAAATTACACCATCAGCTCTCCTGGTTCCCACCCTTTAGACTCAGACTAGAACTAAATCATTAGCTCTCCTGGGTCTCCAGCTTTCCAATTCATCCTGCAGATCCTGGGAGCCAGTCTCCACAATTGAGTGAGCCAGCCAAATCTCTTTATTATATATGTAAATGTACGTATATATGTATATGTGGAAATGTATAAGTATTTGCATTATATATGTATATGTATTACATATGTGTATATACGTATATGTATTATATACGTATATATTTATACCTCCTATTGGCCTTACTTCTCTGTAGAGTCCTGACAAACAGAATCATGTAATTCGGCAGTTTTTCTCCCAGGTATTTATTCAATTGAGTTGAAAACGTATGTCAACATAAAAACCTGCATACAAATGTTTATAGCAGCTTTACTCATAATGCCCCAAACTGGAAGCAACCCAGATGTCTTTTAATAGATGTCTTAGTCCGTCCAATCTGCTATAGCAAAATACCACAAGCTGGGTGGCTGATAAACAACAGAAATATATTTCTCACAGTTCTGTAGACTGGAAAGTCCCAGATCAAAGCCTGGCAGATCTGGTGTCTGATGAGGGCTGTCCTTTCACTGTAATCCCAAGTGGAGAAAGGAGTGAGGGATCTTTCTGGGGTCTCTTTTATAAGAGCACTAATCCCATCGTGAGGGCCCTGTGTCATGACCTAATCAGCTCCCAAAGGCCCCACTTCCTAATATCATCACCCTGAGGGTTCAGATTTCAACATATGAATTTTGAGGAACATAAACATTCAGACCATAACAATGGGTGAATGGGTAACCAAATTGCTGTATATCCATAATAGGATATTATTCAGAGATAAAAATGAATGAGCTATCAAGCCTTCAAAAGACAAGGATGAATCTTAACATACAGTTTGTTGGCAAAGCTGTATCCTATTTAGAAATATGGACTAACAATTCAGAAACTCCTATACATATATACTGAAATTGGACAGTTAAGTACATGGTTGGTGGATGGTAGGAGCCAAATTTCTCACTGCTGGAATGGGAGTTTACAGACAAGAAAGGGGAAGAGGCTAGAAAAATCCTTGTGGTAATAGATTTAAGTTGGAGACTTTGATACAAACTCATCCTTAGCCAAATATACAGATGGTTACATATAGGAATATTTATAGATATGTGTATCTACACAGGTTATCATGCATTTCCGTATTTCCTACTTCTGTTTGCTGAAAAAAAACTAGTAGCAGTGAGCACACCTAGTGACCAAATCTTGGTTTCTAACACCATTTACCAATAAAATAAACCAGGGTTCCTTGGAAAAATGACTCATTCTAGAATTGGGGCAGGAAATGTGCAAGATGAGCCTGGAGCATCTTAAGAACTTGCTAAACAAACAAACAAAACTCTAAAACATCAGGATGAGAGAATGCCACAGAGACATGGGAGCCAATTGAAAGAGCTCCCAATGGCCTAACTAGAATAATTTAAGAAATAAGAAAAAGTCAAATTGGATTATAATCCCAAGTATAAAATAAATATCCATGAGTACAAACTGATATAAACAAATGATTAAATAATGAAGAGAGACATATGTTCTGTGAAAAAGAATTTCAAATAATTTATGCAGATACTCCACCCTCAAGGAGGTAGAGTATAACCCACTATTTCCTTTTTTTTTGAGACAGGTTCTCACTCTGTTGCTCAGGCTGGAGTGCAGTGGTGCGCTCATAGTACGACGTTGGCTTCCTGCAACCTCCACCTCCCAGGTTCAACGGATCCTCCCACCTCAGCCTCCCAAGTAGCTGGGACGACAGGCGTGTGCCACCATGCCCAGCCAAATTTTTCGCCATGTTGCCCAGGCTGGTCTCAAACCATGTGCCTGCCTTGGCCTCTCAAAGTTATGGGATTATAGGTGTGAGCCACTGCATCCAGCCCAACCCTCTACTTCTTAAGTGTGAACTGCTCATAGTGACTTCCTTCCAAAGAGTACAGTATGGAAGGATTGGGTAGTCTCTTTACAGTGCAGAAACCTGATAAATACTACCTCAGCCAGGTGATCAAGGCCAACATCAACAGTGATGTCATGTTGATAGTATATATTTTTGATATGATATGATGTGATGAAAATAGCACTCTACCTCTGTGGCCTTAGCCCTAGTCTTATCATGAGAAAGACCTCTGGCAAATCACAATAGAGGGATATCTTACAAAAAATATCTGATCAATTCACCTCAAAACTGTCAAGGTCATCAAAAACAAGGAAAGTCTGAGAAACTGTCACAGCCAAGAGGATCCTAGGGAGACATAACAAATAAAATGTAATATGGTATCCTAGATAGGATCCTGGGACAGAAGAAAAAAACAAGATTAGTAAAAATCTAAGGAAATATGAATAAGTATACAGTTAATAATAATGTATTCATATTGATTCATTAATTATAACAAATATACCAGCCAAATGCAAGACGTTAATAATAGGGGAAACTGGGTGTGGTATTTACGGGAAGTCTCTGTACTATCTTTGTAATTTTTCTATAAATCTATAAATGTTCTAAGAAATAAAATTTAAAAGATGGGCAAAGGATTTGAACAGACGTTTCTTCAAAGAAGATACACAAACGGAAACAAGAACATGAAGACATGCTCAACATCATTAGTCATTAAGAAAATGCAAATGAAAATCACAGTGAGATATCACTTCACATCCATTAAGATAGCTATAATAGAAAAGCTGACAATAGCAAGTGTTGGTGAGAATGTGGAGAAAATGAAACCCTCATACATTGCTA
Source organism: Homo sapiens (assembly GCF_000001405.40). Taxonomy (NCBI): domain Eukaryota; kingdom Metazoa; phylum Chordata; class Mammalia; order Primates; family Hominidae; genus Homo; species Homo sapiens. The sequence continues at coordinate 108,364,403 of NC_000007.14, forward strand.
ATGGGACTGTAAAATGGTATAGGCACTTTGAAAAACAGTTTGGCAGCTCCTCAAAATATTAAATATAGAGTTACTATATGACCCAGAGATTCCACTCCTATGTATAGACCCGGGAGAACTGAAAGCATATATCCACACAAAAACCTGTCCATTCATGTTCATAGTAGTATTATTTATCATAGACAAAATGTGAAATCAACTCAAATATCCATCTACTGATTAATGAATAAACAAAATGTGGCATATATCCATACAATGACATGTTATCTGGCCATATGGCTGCCACTTTACAACATGGATGAACCTTAAAAACATTACGCTAAGTCAAAAAAAAAAAAGACAGTTAAAAAAGCCATTCCACTCATATGAAATGTCCAAACTAGGCAAATCCACAGAAACATAAGGTAGCTTAGTGGTTGCAGAGGGGTGGGGAAGGGGAGAATGGGGAGTGACTGTGTATGGGAACATAGCTTCTTTTGGAGATGACGAAAGAGTTTTGAAGTCAGATAATGATGATGGTTGCACAACTCAATTGTGCACTTTCAAAGGTGAAATGTATCATATGTGAAATATATCTCAATATAGCTGTTATTAAAAAATAATATAGTGCCAAAGACAGCCAGCCCCTACATTACCCTGAGCTAAAAGCAGTAATTACATACCTACAAGCTCATGGTGCTGGGGAGTATAATCTTTGAAGAGACTTACATACACTGACCTGATAATTTAGCATTTAACATATATATATTTTTAGCATTTAATATACATTATTTTATTTAATCCTTATAGTCGTGCCAAGAGGTAGGTGTTATTACCTACAGTTTAAAGACTAGGAAAGTGAAACAGGCTTAAACCCAAGCTGACTTATTCCAAAGCTAGCTCTAAACCATTACATTTTAATGTATTATAATGATTATATCTCAACCTCTCAAATCTTGTATTTCTCATCAAAGTGTCCTATTTACTCCATAAAATTATCTTCAAAAGTTTTATTTTATTTTTCATTGACAAGTAATAGTTGTATATTTTCATTAAAATGTGATGTTTCAATACATGTATATATTGTAGAATGATAAAATTGGGCTAATCAACATATCCAGCACCTCACATACTTATAATTTCTTTATAGTGAGAACATTTAAAATCTAAGATAATATGAAAAAGGCTTGTAACATATTAATTATTAATTTATTCTTCCTTCTCGTATTCAGACAGATACATATTCAGGATGAAAACCACACAGCTAAAACATACAAACAGCATGCCCTTCTTGGTTCCACATAAGAAAACCTGAATACAGAGGCTGTGAACAAAAGGATGCTAAAAAAGATTTACAATTGCTTCAAATTTAAATACTTTTCCAATTCAGAGGTGACTTAATTTTATTTTGTAAAAATATGCCTTTTTGGTTATTTGTGGGATTTTTTTGGGGCCCCAAATTGTGCTTTTTATTATTGGATATTTAAGTAACATGTAAAGGCTTTAGGTATTGCTGTGGTCTGAATGCATCTCTCAAAATTCATATGTTAAAACTTTATCACCAATATGATAGCGTTATGAGCGGAGGCCTTTAAGAGTAATTTAATCATCAGGGCAGAGCTCTCATGGAGGAGACTGGGGCCCTCATAGAAGGGCTTGAAGGAGTGGGCTTGTTCCTTTCCATCTCTTCTGCCATGTGAGGACACAGGGTTCAAGGTGCCATCTTGGAAGCAGAAAGTAACCCTCACCAGTCACTGACTCTGTCCGTGCCTTTCTCGGACTTCCCAGCCCCCGGAACTATGAGAAATAAATTTCTGTTCTTTATAAATTACCAGTCTCAGGTTTTTTGTTACAGCAGCACAAAAAGACCAATATAGGCATAATACATATCAGATTCATGATTCTGTCCCATGCTCTGGTTAATAAAGTGATAGGTGGAGATATATTTAAAGACATTTACACAGAAATTTTATAAGACTGCAATTGAACCACTAATGTAAAAGTCTTATGAAATGATATATTCTGAATGTCTGCTTATTTTAAAAAGGTTAGATATGAAGATATGTGTTTCATAAACAGAGGTCTGCCAGTGTAAGGTAGAGATGAAAGACTAGCTCCACATCAGATAACTTGAATTTAAATGTTAGTTCTGCCTCATTGGACGAATTGCTTAATTCTCCAAGTTTTGCTTTCCCCACCTGTAAAATGAATATTACAACTTTTACGACAAAGAGTTGTTACTGAGAATTAAAAAGAAAAGCATGCAAAGACTTAACAGGGTGCCTGGCAGGCAGTGAGTGTCCCACAAAAAGTCAACCAAAAGAAAATTCACCACAATCTCAAATACTGGTGTAAATACCTAATTGCAAGCTAATTGTCCAAGATTGTACAGCTGGAATTCAATGCCAGATATATCTGAGTCCAACTCATTTGACTACACCATACTATATTATAATGATCATTTGTCATCTTAGAACAAGGCTTGGGCGATGCTTAAGTAAAGCTGGGACAAAAAGCTAAAGATTTTCCCATTCTAGGTTAAAATGTGTTATCTTCCATATTATTTTCGTACCCCAGAGCAACTAACTGTATCCAAGGATAAGTGAGAAGAAACTACTGAAATGATTTTGAAGAGAGATGTCATATACCTAACACCAAATGTTAAAATAGCATTTACTCAATTCTTTGGCAGTCTGCTACTTTGATTAGAACAGAAAATGGGAAAGTGAAAGTGACTTTCTCAACTAATTATGGGCATGTTAAATCACACAGACTATAATATTGGAGATACCTACAAAGAAAGGTACCTGCTTGGATCCAATCAAATATTTTGACCACTATATCAAAAAGCAACTGCTTTGAAATATCATCCTGCTAAAACTCTAAGTTCATATTTTTAACATATAAAAGTGAATAATCACATTAGATATGAAATATATATATAGTATTTTCATTTTTAATGTATATCTGATTAAAGCTTGAAGAATGCATTTGATTTATAATAATGTGGAATCTTGTAAGACATCTGAGTTTTTAAGACTGATTAATTCTTAAATTAATAACTGAGGTTCCACCTATAAAGATCCTAAAGCAACCACTAACATATTTGTTTTCCTGAATTCATTGTTTGCTCAGTAATAGAATTATTCATACAGGAACTCTGTAGGAGTTTGGGGCAGCTATTTTGTAAGCAGAGTTAAGCTAGATTTTGGAAATGTGCTAGAATTTTTCACATTTAACATTTTTGCAAAACATTCTTATCTGTAAACCCAATTTTCTTTTCTTCTATATCTGAAGGAGAGTCTCACCTTTACCAAGCAGAGAACCATGTGAAAGAAAAATCATATGTTGTAAGTGAAAATTTTTTTGAGAAGTTAAGAAAAAGTGCTTATACAAATGCAATGTGTCATATAAATAGTCATTTCTCCAAAATGGTTGGAAAATGTGGTAATCCACTTAAAACAAATATTTTTATTACTAAAAGTTACCATATAAAGCACACATGCCTTATCTATCAATGTCAAACATTTATATATAAAAAGACTCAAACCCTAACGTATGGTACAGGTTAAGTTTTGTTCGTGTTTAGGGAAGTAGTTCGAATCGTCTCATTCCTCAATATCACCATTATGCCTTTTAACCACCATGATATAGAGCTGGATGAAAACACACATTATTTGAGCTCTGAGGTTGACTCTCTTCCAGTTAGAGGGGGCTAATAGGATTGTTATTTTTATCTTGATCCTCACCAGGTTTCTGATGTTCTGCCTAGATCCCACTGTGTTATATTTAGCACCGGCTCTTCCTGCAGGAGCCTCAGCCACGTGGAATCACACTTTCATACCCCCCCCCACCCCCCCGCCTGCTCACTACTGCTGAATACATAATCTAAGCCCTGAAACATGGTTTCTAAAAGATTAATTTCTGCTCACAGAAGTATGGGTGAAAATTTTCCTAATGTGACTTGACTTACCAAGTGAAGTTTATTAAACCTTGTCAGAAACCATCTGACTTGCTAAATACATACACACGCATACATACACACTTCTGAAATACAGTAAAAAATCTTTTCCGTTGAAAAAGAGGAAAGATTTTAGGGGAATAGATGAACAGTGTGTATTTTAAGCATCCCTCTACAGATTACATTTATGTGTATGTTTGGTTTGTAACAACAGCAGCCCAATAAATGTGACGAGACATATATTTCACTCAAATGTTGCTATGGAATCCTTTCCTGACTTGAAAATTAAATTTCTCCATCTGTTTGCATGACTTCGTGTTCATTGTAGTGCCAAGGGCCAGCTGATCTAACAAACATGCTGTAGAACAAATTCCTCAAACCAGAAAAAAAAACAAGCGTGAAGTAGAGCAAATAGCATGAGAAACCGTATATTTCTGAAAGATTCACTCTCCGAAAGCACATTAATGTTGATAAAACTGGTGGCTTTACTTAGGGATATATTCTTACATGGGCAACTAATCATACAAACTTCTCAATAGTACAATGAACATGACCTGTGTAGGAAATGCTGTAAATCCAAATATTGAATAGCATTAAGATACTAAAATAGGGGGATTTAACAGATAATTTAGACATGACTTGAGCTGATTTTAAAAGTACCAAGAAGAAAATAAACCTTATTAAAAATACTTAATGTATTCTATATAATTCTCTTTGTAAAACCAATTTGAAGATTTTTCAATAAAAACAGAAGATTGTGATACAGATGATGCATTCAATACTAATTTTAACTTATTTATAATGTAATTCATGTTAGCAAGTTTCAGAATATTCAAACAAGCCTATTCCAATTAATTCCAATTATCTGAGTAATTTTATATTTATAGGATTATAATTACAAAACATCTAATTTATAAGTGTATCCACCCACATACATTTTGACACTAATATATAATTCTTAATTATTTACCTTAGCAAATTTGTACATTTATCAGAATAGTATATAGAATAAATTACTGATAATTTTTTTTGAAAATTTAAAAAGTAACTTATGAAATATAGGCCACTGAAAAGTCTTTGAAAGTATTTTCCTTTAAAACATTTAATCACTTTTTAAATTCATTTAATTAAATTCTGTTTCTAAAGAGAAACCAGCAGATGTTATTAGCTCACTGTGTTTATCCTCTTCAAATATATATTGTTCCCAAGTAGTTTTTTAGTTATTTGCTCATATCACATTTGTAGGGTTTGTTTTCTTCTCTGACTTGCAGGCAATTTTATTTAAGGACGAGTTTTCCTTCCCCTAGTACACTAAGAAGTTCTGAGAGCAAGAACATTATTGTGCCTTACCTGAATGTTTGTTAAAATGGCTTATCCATCTTTAAATTCTCCCACATTAGTTAACCTGTTATCTTATAATTAAGCATCTGTTTGCTGATTAGCTTTAACATATAGACTCATACTACATTTTCCCTTTGAAGCCATTATGCTTCAGGTACTTAGAATATAAAATTTTTAAAGAGGGTAGAAACTTGAACTTTAGCATCATTTGGAGAAAACACTATCTGATAAACAAAATAATAAATCTTACTTGAGAATTTTAGGTTCATGAAAACTAAGTAGTTATTTAAAAATTATTTTTTAGCAAACTATTACGATTAAAAGAGTCAATCCAGCTGTCTGAAAATATTCGGTAATAGAATCATTCATTCTGATGAAACTGCTGACCTATTTTCTAGGCTTGATGAAGAATTTAACTGTAGTTCTCTATACTTATCATTATTTTTCTATCATAAAATTATCTCAAAGTGCCCCAGAGATATGATGTAACTGATGCAAATAATTACTAGAAAGGAATTTAATAGAGTATTATAATCTTGAGAACAATTCAGCCTGAGCCAATGTTTTCCAAAGTTTCAAGTTAAAGCTGTTCTAGACAAGTTAGGCTTCGGGTGCATTCTTGTATATTTGGAGGGCTTTCTTTGCGTCTTACTTTCTATGCCAACTCTCTCAGATCCCTCGGAAATAGAATCAGAGAGTCAGGCAACATAGAATGTTTTCATGTATTACCAAAAGACTGGTCTCACTGTAAAAAGGTCATTTCCAAAAATAATAAGCATGGATAGCAAAGAAAAAATATTTTAAGGAGAGTGATTAAATAAATAGAAGAAGAATATTTGGTCAAAACTTTCTAGGATAATAAATTAGCAATCATGCTATTTCTGTAAACATTAATAAAATCGTAACGTTTTTCAGATAGCCAAATATTTAACTCATTGGCCCCGATTTCCTTAATATTATAATAAATAACTTGTTTTGTGTGCTCCAAAGTAGCAGTAAAAGTAGACTGGGTAAACATTTGCTGTATCTATTTCTGTAATACATCTCCCACATTATATATACAAGTTAAAGCTTCAAGACTGTGGTTAATTTTAAGCCTAGTCAAGATGGCAGCACACCCACATTCCCAGGCTTAAAATACAGCATCTTTCATAACTGCTTCTTCACACCTTACAGAATTCATATATACTTGCCGTCATATTAATAATATTTCTCCAACCAGGTTCTACTTACATCTGCCTCCAAAATTTGCTCATTTTTTAATGTTCTGATGTTATCCACCAGAACTGGATTTCTTCTTTAAAACACTGAGAAATTTGTTGCAGACAATAGATTTGAATGAGCTAGAATAACAGAAATGACCTGCTAGCTCCTATAAAAACAAAATTTGTTTTCTTCAGATGAAAAACAAAAGCTAGACCAAGGATAACTCAGATTTCCTTCTTTTTACAGAGACTCTGAGACCATAGCAAATATAAGTAGTTGTAGGATGAGAATTAATTTTACCTAGCAGATATTAAAGGCTAAGCCTATTGGTCATAAAAACACGTTAGTGTAACAGAGTAAGAGGGCAATGAAGAAAGGGAAAAGTTGGGCTAAAATTTTATTTTCTTGGACATTTCTTGGAGAATGTGGGGACAGGCACTTTGCTGTTTTAGTTCTTGTTCAGCAACCTCCCCCACTGCCTTCTACTCTGCCACTACAACCAGTAAGCAGGGAGGGAATAAAGTGGAAGGGATCAAAAGGTCTTTGACTCTCACTCCACACTAAGGGCATGCTATTGTACGTAAATGTCTTCAGGGCTGCACAGAGGGAGATGATATGTTTTCTTTGTAGGCTGAAGAGAACTTGATGCTAGAAAAGTGTTCTCAAAAGTTTGGGATAAAAAAACATATTTTTACAAATTGAATTATTAACAACTATGTGTTGAATATCTCTAGGTGTAAGGCACTAGAATTGCCACTGTGGATATACAGATGATTAAGACACTGCCTCTTATTCCAGATTACTCAGCTGGAGTCCAAGTTCCATTAATATAACAGTTATATAGATGACATGGAGAAAGTGCTTCTATAATAGTACAGTAAAAATATGTTTACTTGTTAATATTACCCAAAGTGATCTACAGATTCAATACAATGCTTATTAAAATCTCAATGGCATTTTAACAGAAATAGAAAAAACAATTCTATAATTCACATGGAGCCACAAAAGATCATGAATAGCCAAATCAATCTTGAGAAAGAACAAAGCTGGAGGCATCACACTTCCTGATTTCAAAATATATTACAAAGCTACAGTAATCAAGACAGCATGGTACTGGCATAAAGAAATACATATAGGCCAATAGAACAGAACAGCAAGCCCAGAAATAAATCCACACATATACAGTCAACTAACTTCAACAAAGGTGCAAAGAATTCACAATGGGGCAAGAATCTTATCTTCAGCAAATGGTGCTGCCAAATCTAGATATCCACAAATGAATAAACCTGGTTTCTGATCTTATGCACACAAAACCCCATTCAAAACAGCTTAAAGACTTAAAGGTAAGCCCTGAAACTGTAACACACCTAGAAAAAAACATAAGGGAAAAGCTGCATGACATTGATTTCATGAATGTGACACCAAAAGCACCAGCAACCAAAATGAAAAAGAATAAGTGGGACTATATCAAACAACAACAACAACAAAAAATCTGTACAGGAAAGGAAATTATCAATAGAGTTAAAGGCAACCTATGGAATAGGAGAAAGTATCTGCAAACCATTTGCCCGATAAGGAGTTAACATCCAAAATAAAGAACTCCTATAACTCAATAGTTTTAAACAAATCTGATTTTAAAATGGGCTAAGGACTTGAGCAGACATTTCTCCAAAGAAGAAAGAGAAATGGCCAATAGGTATATTAAAAAAAGTTCAACATCATTAGTCATTAAGGAAATATGCAAATCAAAACTACAATGAAATATCACCTCATACTTGTTAGAATGGCCATTACAAACAAATAAACAAAAGACAAGTGTTGGCATGGACGTGGAGAAACTGGAACCATTACACACTTCATGGGCAGGCAAAATGCTGAAGTCACTACAAAAACAGTATGGAGATTCCTCAAAAAATTAAAAATAGAACTACCATATGATCCAGCATTCCTACTTCTGGGTATTTGCCCAGAAGAATTGAAATCAACATCTCAAAGGAATATGTGCATTCCTGTGTTTCTTGCAGCACTAATCACAATAGCCAAGATGTAGAAATGATCTAAATGCCCATCAACAGATAAATGGGTAAAGAAAACATATATACATACCGTGGAATACTGTTCAGCCTTAAAAAAAAGAATATTCTGTAATATGCAACTACATGGATGAACATTGAGGACATTATGCTAAGTTAAATAAGCTAGTCACAGGAAGATAAATACTGCATGGTTCCACTTATAGGAGGTATCTAAAATAGTCAAATTCATAGAATCAAAGAGTACAATGGCGATTGCCAAGGGGTGGAAGTAGGAGGAAATGGAAAATTACTAGTCATTGGGCATAAAGTTTTAATTAAGCAAGATGAAGAAGTTCTAGAGATCTGTCATATGCCATTGTCCCTAAATTCAACAGTACTGTATTGTACACTGAAAAATCTGTTAAGAGGGCAGATCTTAGGTGTTCTTACTATAATAAGAGAGATACACATTTTTAATGTGAAAGGCTGCTTCAAAAAATGGCACAAGGACATGGATATGAAATGAATCTCCTCTGAGATGTAGACCTGTTCAGAGGGTATGGGGAGCTACAGCTACCTTACTTTCAATTTCAGATCCAAATCTACCATGATGAGTAGCTGCTCCCCCTACAATGGGCTAATACTAAAGCACAGGGGACAATAAGGTGGAAACTAACAAAAATCAGTTATGGTTGTTAGCACACTGGTGCCCTACCAGCAAATCCTGCACTAGGAAGGCAAGGGGACCACTGAGTGTGCAACCACCTTATCCATTGGCATTGCCCCAGATAATAACATGAGGGCAAGACTTGTGAACTTGTGACTTGTGAACTACAGAGCTAATGGTTGTCACTGGTGTGTAAGTGGGTGGGCAACATGCATTTGGACTTAAGGTGATTGATAACTTCCTAAGGGGTAGGGAATGTTTAATGATGTTACATGGGAAGTGCCATGGCAACCACGTTTATTCTAAATGGGGAATACACGCTAAGCTCAGATTTTAAGACAGTAATTCTTAAAATGTTTTTAAATGTCCTTCCCATCAATAGAGAGTACAAAACAACAGTGATGCCAGCAGAGAAAAACACAGCCATGAAACAAAACACCCAGACCAGAGACACAGAACTGCTTCATATAGCCATTTTCAGGCAAAGCAGGGAGCCAGTGTTTTGCCATGCATATTAGAGAAAAGGGAAGCCTCCTACTGACATAACCTAATACTTAGTACTGAAAGGCTATTCCTGAAAAGTACATGAGAGTAAGCAGTCTTAATGACTAGTAACTAGGGCTCTGAAGCTAGAAGAAAACATTCCAGTGGAACACATGGAGAAGAATCTAGTCTGAATGAGACTTCAGTTGCAGTCACTAGAAGTTATCATTAAGACTTGATGAGGAACAACTGATAACTGAACAAAATCTAGTGTGTACACTCAAAATGTGTTACGAATAGTTTGGTATAGTGTATCATTTCAATGACCAAATTATCATCTCATAAAACCCCAAGCAAAGCACCTAAGGTTTAATGTAGTAATACCTGGAGCAAGAGGAAGACTCTACCTGAATATTATAATTAATGTTCTGTTCCCAGAATGAACAACAGGCCATCTGAATTCATTATGGAGTACTCTCTTAATGAGGCTCATTTCTGCGTTTTCTCAAATTAGTGTAAGAAATTAAGCATATGTAGAAAGATGATGAATTCAAATATGAAGTGAGATTTCAATTCAACAAACACTGAGCTATGAGTAGGATGCTGTGCTAAATACTGTGGTTTCACAGATGAAACAAATCCCTTGCTCCAAATGCAAGGTAAGTCCACAAGCAAAGATATGCCATGTGATGAAACAGGTGCCATAATAGAAACAGAAATCAGAGCACAGTATGGGTATGCGTAGGCTCATGATCAATGATTAGGGAGAGCTCAAAGAAAGTATGGGTTCCAAAGAGAGTACAAATAATAATTTTCCTGCTCAGCAGTACTTGTAGGCAGGAGATGCTTTCTTCTTGTTTTGTTCCTTACTGATTAGCAATAATGAAACTCTGCAGCTTTAGATATAAAATATTTATTGAGAGTCAGTACATGGAATAGCACAGATGTCATGAATTAAATACATTATTGAGAACACAAAGTATCAGAAAGCTAGAAGGCTAGCCACCCAGCCCAGACTGTCTGTCTCAGTAAGGTTAGATTAGTTTCAGTAAAGATATAACAAGTCCTCTGATTTTGACTGAGGAGCCCCTATCTAGCAGCACATATAGCTATATATGTGCCTATTTCCTCCTTGTAGTCCATGAGCTACTTGAAGGCAATAACTACATTATGCAGCAGAGTGCATGGCATTTAGAATGTGTTCAGTATTTGAATACTGAATGAATCAATGAATAATTCTATACTGAAAGCACCACTCTCTCCCCCAAAAATAATTAATAATGATTTTTAAAGCCCTTCAAGGTCTTCTACAGCCCTTCAAGGATCTGTCACAACTTCTAGGAATCAGGACATTCATCCGCGTGATGGATGTAAGTGAAAGGTCCACTGCCAATGTTAGCACATTTCCTAGTTGTTTGACCTTTAAGAATTTAAGACTACTCAGGAAAAGCCTGGAAATAAAAGGATCATAGTCTTCAAGATACTCATGAAGTCACCACTTCATTCTAACATAAGCACTGCCTACAGAAAAAGAAAAGACATGAGAGATAATAATGGAACAGCTGTAAAATCTCTTTCTGGAGACAACTAATCAAGCTATAGCTCATCTTGGGTTCTATGTTAATCTTATATACAGCCAAAGCAAGTATACGGAAATTAGTTAACCCCATGAATATCACTATTTTTATTCCATTGTCCTCCAAACAAATTTTTTCACTGCATTTGATATGTACAAACATGTGAAGTTTAAAAAATGTCATCTGTCCAGTCTCTTGTAGAGGAAATAATGTGAACTGAAATAGCTAAAGGACAAAAGAAGTAAGAGGAAGAGAAACATACCTGAAAGAATCTAAGTTACTGACAAACCCCCAGGAACATTTCAATATGACTGTATTAGCCAGACCTATGATAGAGGACTAGTTTGGTTTTGATATTAAATTGCCATTGTCCAAACTCCAGTGATCCACAGTTAACCTGAGATGGACACCTGTTGGTGTTTGGTTGTTTAAGACTTAGGCCTGGTTTCTAAGCACATCACAAATTTCTTTCTGGGAGTTACTTCAACTTTGGATATAATCTGGAGAGGCCCTGAATCCAGTTCCCTGACTTTTTCCAGCCAAGGGGCAGCCATGTGATCCCAGCTTGGTCAATTAAATACCTGCCTGGAATTTAAATCCTGAGCAGAGTGCCTAAGAGACTAAAATGGCTGGGGTTCATCCATTTCATCACTGTCATCCTGACCAGCTGGCTCCTGCTGCAAGAGAACACCTGTTGTTCCTGCTTCCTGCTCTCTGGAGGTAACCTGGTTCCTGACCATGTTCACATCTGGTCCCATAGTCATCTTGTAAGTTCTATGCTCTCCTAGTGGCCTTCTAATAAACTGCCTTTCCTTTAAGTTACTTAGGCTTTTTTGGATATGTGCAGGGCAGGTGTGGCTGGTACTTGCTGCCCTCCTGAGAAGAGTTAGTGTAAGGGGTTACAGCAGAGGTTCCTGTTCTCATGTTACTTTAAAACCTGGCAGCCTGAGTCTACCAATGAGCATCTGTAAACCATGCTGGGGTATGCCTGCCTAATTCTCTTTTCCTATTTTCCTTTTCTATCTCTCTCCCAAGTAAGGCCCAGTTAAAGAAGAATGCTAGGCAAGGACAGTATGGGAAAACTGGGGAAAAGACCACCTTAATTTCTTTCTGCAATCTGCCTTAAACGCAAGCAAAAGTCAGTCATTACATAAAAGCTACTGTTGAGCAACTCTTTCCAAAATAATGTTTACTACCATGATCAATGACACTGAAAACCGACAGTTAATAGAATAACTTTGAGAGAGAGTGGGCCAGGTGCAGTGGCTCATGCCTGTAATCCCAGCACTTTGGGAAGCTGAGGCAGGCAGATTACTTGAGCCCAGGAGTTCAAGACCAGCCTAGGCAACAGGGCAAAACCTCATCTCTACAAATAAATACAAAAATTAGCTAGGTGTTGTGATGTACCTGTAGTCCTAGCTACTTGGAAGGCTGAGGCAGGAGGATCAATTGAGCCTGGGAGATTGAGGTTGCAGTGAGCCATGATCACGCTATTGCACTACAGCCTGGGAGACCCTGCCTCCAAAAAAAATTGAAAGTGAATGGAACATACAGACTGAAAATATATCTGCATATTGTATTCTTGAAACAGAAAATTTGAGCATTAGGAAATTTATAGCCAATACAAACACACACACAAAAACTCACTTAGCAAACAAAATGAATCCCAGACAACTGTAGCACTTTCACACTTGGGAACCTGGTTTGCAGTCTCATGAGTAGAAAAGCATATGAAAATAATAATTAAAATATGTTAGAGACAAGTGTCAACAAACCTAGCTATAAATATCCTCAGTGAGAACATTAAATTTCCTTTGGGAAATTATTGAGAGTGGATTGTACCAGTAAGAATGGAAAAGATCAAATTAAGAAATGGAGGCAACATTTCAGAAAGTAATGCAATCCCAGGAGTCCCTCAATATTATTATAGCCTTACTGGCATTCCTGAGACACAATAGGCTGGAAAAGACCTTGGATGGATGAGAATACTGATGCCCTTCAATACCCAGAGCAAGAGTGCCATCCTCTCTCATTACTCACCAACCTTACAGCAACACTTTTCCAGTACCACTGAGAATTGACAGCACTTTAAATGCTCAGAATTTCCCCTCCCAGCAATATAACAGACTACACATTCTGAAATCCAACTAAACACCTAAACATTCTGGAAAAATACAAAAGCCATGATTATAAAAGAATAGCTAAGCTATAAGTAACTAAAAGGGAAATATCAGAGGATAACGGTAGAGTGAAAACACTAATCCCAAAAGGCTACATTCTCTGTATGACATCCCCCCACCTTGCAAAGAAAATCCAAAGCCAACAAATTAATTTAAAGCAATTCTGTTTCCCTTAGAAACAAACTTAAATCTTCTACAAAGATATGCACCCTCATAGCAGACCTTACAGAATTCATACAGATAAAGTCCCAACAAATATAATTTCATAATTTTTAAAAAATTTGAATTACATGAAAAAGACATCATGAGAAAGAACCAGCAGAATACACTGCACAGACCTGCCAAGACTTCCTATGTTGGAATACTAAAATCAAAATATAAATTAAGTGTGCTATTAAAAGATTACTGAGGGACTTGAATACTTAAGCAAAGAGCATGAAACTATGAAAAATGAAGCCAATTTGAAAAAGAACCAAATAGAACTTCCTGAAAAAAATGATTTAAATGAAAAAATGTATTGGACAAGTAAACAAGTTAATAAGACACAGGTAAAAAGATTAATAGAGAACTAGAAGCCAAAGTTGAACAAACTACCACACTGGAACAGAGACCAAAAAAGAGAGAGAAATACATTTAAAAAGGTTGAGAATCATAAAGGATACAAATAAAGGACTAACATTTATAATAGGACCTCTAGAAAGACACAACTGTGAAGATGAGGGAGAAATGATACATAAAGAAATAGTGCCTAAGAATTCTTCAGAATAGATGAAATACACAAATTCATAGACTCAGGAAACAAAACAAATAAGCAGGATTCAACACACACACACACACACACACACACACACACACACACACACACACACACACACACAAACTCCAAGACACACACTACGGTGAAATTTCAGAAATCCAAAGGCAACGAAAAAACCTCAGAGCCAGACAAAGCAGTGTGGTGGATAAAGAGAAGGAAAGATGAAAAAGGAAGGACAAAGTAGGAAGAAAGAATAGAAAATGGAAGGAGGATTATAGAAAAGAACGGAGAAAGACAAAGGAGAGAAAAAAAAAATACTTGAACAAACAGGAAAGCCAGACTCTCCTTAGGGGTAAATGCGGCTAACAACCTGAGGATGCTTTTGAGGTACAGCTAGCTGAACCTGAAATCCTGACATTAAGCTGAAAGGCTAATGTGTTTCCAGACTGGTAGTGCTTCTGACTCCTGATAGCAAAATAAAATCCTCCCTAAGATAGGTCTCAGGATTTCAAAATACTAAGTTCAATCTATTATAACCACATAAATAATATTCCCAAACACCTAGAAACACTAGCCACCACAAAGGAAAATCAGTAGAACAAGAGATCAAGGTGCCCAAGAACTGCAGATAATATAATTATCAGATATTAATGTAAAACTACTATCTCTGAAATGGTTAAAAAAGTAAGTGTGGTAACAAAAATGATAAAGGAACGTATAATGAAATATTATTTGACTTTAAAAAGAAGGAAATTCTGGTGCATGCTACAACATGATAAGCCTCGACTTTGCTAAATGAAGTAAGCCACTCACAAAAAGACAAATACCTCACTTATGTGAGGTACCTAGAGTATTCAAAATTATAGAGGCAGAAAGTAGAATGGCGACAGGAGCTGGAGGAGAGGAGATTTGTTTAATGGGTCTAGCATTTCGGTGCTGCCAAATGAAGAGTTCTGGAGATTGGTTGCCTGACAATGTGAATGTACTTAACACAACTGACGGGTGTACTTAAAAAGATTTTAAAATGGTGAATTTTATCCTATGTGTATTTTATCACAGTTAATTTTTTTTTTAATCACAAAGGATAAGATGTCACAAAAGTGACCAGGCAGATGTACAAAATAATAAATGAAACTTCTGAAAATAAAAAATGAAATCATTTTACTTTACAAATTTTTTTAACTCAATATATAAGATAAACATATTAGACACAGCTAAAGAGAGTATTATTTTAGAAAGCAGAATTGAATAAGTTGCCCATATTACAGCACGAGCAGAGGGAAAATATAAAAGAGAAGTCATAAAAAAAATAACGCACTGGTTTAAATTAGTCTAGTTTGGGTTTCAAATGGAGGAGAGACAATTTTCAAAAAAGTAATGGCTGAGATTTTTCTGTAATTGATGAAAGACTTGAATTCACTGATGTAGGAACCACAATATATATCAAGAAGGTTGAATAATAAGAAATATACACCAAGACATATTAAGATAAAACTACAGACTTCTAAAGATAAGATTGTTTACAGCAGTATCTCCTGTAATCACACAAAATTCAAAACAATCCAAAGGGATAAAAAATTGTAACACTCACATAATTTGGAATACTGTTGGCATTGAAAACAATCACATTGAATAAATCTCATAAACATAACATTAAGTGAAAATTAGTATGAAATTAATTATATGAGGTTTAAAAATATTTAAAGTTATGTAACAATTTAGAAGGAGTTTACCTATTATTTTCTATTATTTTATCTCTCTGTGCAGCATGATAGATAATTTATTTTGACCTAATTTCCAGGTCATTATTTGCCCTTTAGCTGCACCATGTGCAGCTATTGAGTTTTAAACTTCGGTTATTTGTTTTGCTGTTTCTATAAGTTGTATTTGGTTTCTTTTTAAGTCTTAAATGTCCCTTTTTGGGTTTCCTATTCTCTGTAGATTTGATCAAGCTTATTTTTCATTTCTTTAAAAATGGTAAGCATACTTTACAGTTATTTTATAGTCTGTATCTGGTAATTCCAACATCTGAACTTTTTGAGGATCTGGTTTTGTTGTTGATGTAGCTACTGCTTCTTGCTCTTGGGGTCTAGTTTTCTTGTGTGATTGGTCATCTTTTGTTGAGACAGGATGTTGCTCTGTTGCTCAGGCTGAGTACAGTGACATGATCATGGCTCACTGCAGCCTCAGCTTCCTGGGCTCAAGTGATCTTCCTGCCCAAAGTTCCAGGCTAGCAAATAGTAGTTCTAAGACCAGAATCTAGGCCACCTATCTCTCTAATAAATGCTCCTGAGTACTGGGTTACTCTCCCTCTCTTTTGTATGTATGTAATATCCCATTTCATAATAAAAAGAAGTCAGCCATGGTGGCTCATGCCTGTAGTCCCAAGTTCTCAGGAGGCAAAGGCAGAAGGAATGCTTGAGCTCAGGTGTTTGAGTCCTGTCTGGGCAACACAGAGAGACCCTATCTTTAAAAAATATATAAAAGAATATACAAAGAACTGAAAAGGAGAAAAATGCTTGGCACTAATACCCTAAGGACTAATGCCATTAAAACTATTTTGCAAGAAGATTAAATATACGTATGTAGCTATATATGTGTCATTGTAATGAAAAATAACATCAAAAAGTTAATAATCATTTGCCTGTGTTACTTTTACTGTCTTCCCATTTTTCTTCATTTTTCCCAATTGTCTGCAGTGAACATGTATTACTTTTAAACTCAAGGGAAGAAAATAATACTATTTTAAAATACTCTTGCCCACAGCTTTTTTATTTAATTGCATATCCTAAATCACATGGTAAACTGCATAGTCTAATTATATCTTGCCTGGGAGATAAAAGACAATTTTGAGTATTGCTGTGATCCAAAAAGGGCCTTCACTGTGTATCCAAGGGCAAATAGCGTTTCAAATTTCAATAGAAAATGTTAAGGGCTAGTAAAGAGTTGCTTTGAGCTGGTCTTAACATTGGCTTTGACCATTTTTTTTTTTCTTTTTTTTTTTTTTTGAGACAGAGTTTCACTCTTGTTGCCCAGGCTAGACTGCAATGGTGCGATTTCGGCTCACTTCAACCTCCGCCTCCCAGGTTCAAGAGATTCTCCTGCCTCAGGCTCCCAAGTAGCTGAGATTACAGGCATGTACCACCATGCCCGGCTAATTTTTTGTATTTTTAATAGAGACGGGGTTTCACCATGTTGGCCAGGCTGGTCTCAAACTCCTGACCTCAGGTGATCCGCCTGCCTCAGCCTCCAATAGTGCTGGGATTACAGCCGTGAGTCACTGCGCCTGGCCTGCCTTGACCATTTTTTACATGGCTTTAGGGTAATCTCATCCTATCTAGGGCAGACAGGTATGCTGGGCTCCTCTGTCTATAGCCACCCCATTAAATAAGGAGAGATACAGATGGACTGTTATGCAACAATCAATAAATAGACTTCACAGTGCAGAGATTAGTTGCCTGACTAGCAAGTTTAGACAAACAGTCCTTAAATGGGAGTGTGAGGCTCCTGCTGACATTCAGGAAAGCATCTGAGGCTGTGAAGGGGTGCATGGTAACTTCAAATTGTGTGGTGCTAAACCCACAGAGTCACAGAAGATCTGCATCAGTTTTGCTTTCCGGAGGAGGGAGATTTTGCTTTCCAGAGGAACAGAGATTTTTTTTTTTTTTGAATGTAGAAAAAAACTCTTTAGAAACAGGTAAAGGTAGAGTTTGGTAGCATTATCCAGTCAAGGAAACACTAACAAGGCTGGGCGCGGTGGTTCATGCCTCTAATCCCAGCACTTTGGGAGGCTGACGCAGGAGGATCACTTGAGTTCAGGAGTTTGAGACCAGCCTGGGGAACAAAGTGAGACCCCATCTCTATTTTTTTAATTAAATTAATTTTTTTTAATTAGCCAGGTACAGTGGCATGCACCTGTAGTCCCAGCTACTTGGAAGGCTGAGGCAGGGGGATTGCTTAAGCCCAGGAGTTCGAGGCTGCAGTGAGCTATGACTGCAGCATTGCACTCCAGCCTAGGCAACAGAATGAGACTCCATCTCTAAAAAAGGAAAGAAGAAAGAAAAAAGAAAACCCTAAACTAACAGGGCAATCTGTAGAGGTACCCTGGCATCTAAGTACTAGCACTGAGTCTCCAGATTAAGCAAGGACAGGAACAGCAGGCTCTGCTCAGAGCAGCCCAAGTTTAGTATCACTTTTCTTAAAAGCTTAATATACCAAAAACACCCCATATTGACTCTGTAAAGTAATTACCCCCAAATTACCCACTATCAATTTCTAGGAAAACAACCAGAAAAGCACTGTGGAACACTCACATTTCAATGACCTCTCTCATCACCTGCTCCCCTTCTTTCATTTACTAGTTTGTGAATTGGAGGAAATCACTAACTTTCCCTAAGCTTCAGTTCCCAAAGGGATATAATTATACTTGCCTCACAGTGCTGTTGTGAAAATGAAATGACACAGTGGCTGTAATGCCCACCACAGTGTCCTGCAGAGGCTCTGGAAGTGTGTTCCAATGTAGTCCCATCTATTCAACCACTGAGTCACACCACACACACACACACGCTCTCACACACACACACACACCCCTTGGTGTTGCCTAGGCAAACAGCCTTCTAAAGTCACTCCTGTCTGGCTCAGGACCTCCAAAATCAAGATTAAGAATCCAAACATATTAAAGTGAGAATTGGGAGTTATTTTCACTTCAGATTTCATTTAAAAATAACAAATTACAAAACAGTAGCTAGAAAGGGAACCTGCTAATGCATATTCATGAGGACTGCTAACCAGAAATAAAGACAAAAGCTGTCTTTTCTTGTAACATTAAAGTGAAAACAAATAAGATACGGAGAAGGCAGCACGACAGCCAGAACGATACTTCCATTTCAGGGATGAGGGAATTTGATATAACTTATGACAAGGGCTTGGTAACACACAACCCCTGGGAATTCTAATGAACACAACCCCTGCAGACTTCAACGGAGTTCCATCTTGAACATCCAAGGGCAGTCATCTGGCTCATGGCGAATAGATCTAACTCTTGGCTACTTAGCCAAAGAAGATTGAGAAATTTGAATAAAAATTAAGAACAAGAGCTTTTAAAATGTTTCTTTTTAATAAAGTACAGTCCCATACTTCATTAACTTCAGTTTATGCTGAAGACAATTATACATCTTCCTTGAGCCAAGAACCTGGGGAAATATAAGAAATAAAAACTGGAATTTCTTCATGGTTTTATGTTGGGGGTGTGTGCTTGGTTTTTTTCTTCTGACTCTCAAAGGAGTCTGAGATGCGTAACTGAACTTCCTACTCTGAAAAATGACCATCATGATAACATACCATTAAGACTCAGGGCTTTGAAGTGGTGCATTTGGTTTAAGAACAGGTTGATGAGAACATGAGGTATTTGATTTTCTGTTCCTAAGTTAGTTCACCAAGGATAATAGCCTCCAGCTCTTATAAGTGGGAGCTAAATGATAAGAACTTATGAAAACAAAGAAGGGAACAGCAGACACTGGGGTCTACTTGATCTGGGAGGGTGGGAGGAAGAAGCAGAAAAGATAACTATTGGGTACTGGGCTTAATACCTGGGTGATGAAATAATATGTACAACAAACCCCAAAGACATGTGTTTACCTATGTAACAAACCTTCACATGTGCCCCCAAATCTAAAATAAAAGTCAAAAAAACCCAATAATAAAAATTTAAAAAAGAGGAGAGAACCCTTGATCCAGCCAAAGAAAAACAAAAACAAAACCAAAAACAAAAAACAGGTTGGGGGTGAACTGGTAGAAAAAAAATAAAGAATTGTTGAAGGGCACAAGATGGGAGATGGGTTGGGGGAAAGAAAAGCTCCTATTTCCATATGAATTTGAAGGTTGTATTTGAACTTTTAAAAACCTGAAAGTAGCTAAAAAAAAATCCATCAGTTCTGTTAAGAGTCCTCTTCAAAGGAAAGGAGATTTGGCAGAGGAGATTTGAAGGCAGTGATAAGAGTAAAAATAAAAACCCTTTTCATGTTTTTACCTCTGGTGCTTAAACTGCCCTTGGATTACAGCGCTTTTCTCACTGTAAAGTATTAATACATATGAATCCTGAGCCTCCTGTTAAAACACATGCTCTGATTCAGCAAGTCTAGGGTAGGACCCACAACTTTGCTTTCTAACAAGCTCTGGGTGATGTCCACACTGCTGGTTTATTGACCAAGCTTTCAGTAACATGTAAAGAAATTTGAGTTGCAGTGCCTACTATTGGTTCATCACATTAGGATTTGGAAGTTTTGTCTCCTAAGCCCAGTTTTTGTGCTTGACAGATACTAGCTTGCCCTAGTTACCTCATGGGTTATCGTGAAGCTGAAACTAAACAACATGCCAAGTGCTTTATGAAGTGTGAAGAACAAAGAATAGCAGTATGATCACCATCATGTAAAATAAGATCATAAAAGACAAATGACTTTCTGAAGGACCCAAAGTAAGAGGCAGAACTAGACTCAAAATCTGTAGCATCTGATCCTAAGCAAGTGCTTTGTACTCTAAAGTGTTGCAACTTAAGGCGTTATGAGGAATAGATCACATTTATTTCCATCTTACATTTGTCTCCCTGTCTTAATGCATATATTACATTGAAAATGTACACATTAGGATGATTCAAACCCTTGTATTTCCTTAGAGGGGTAGAGATCACTGCTGCTGTACTGTCCTCTGATGCACTCTAGGAGGCGATCATAACACCCAATATACCTACAGTCTAATAACACCACTGTTAACCAGGTAAGTGTAACGGAGACGGGTGTAAACACCCAATCACATGAGAGAATTTCAGAGATGTGACACAAAAATGTGGGCTAGAATAATCAAGGAAGGCTTTGTGGAAGAAAAGCATGCATTTTGAGGTGTGCTCAAATGAGAAAGGTTTAGGTAGCTTAGAAGAAAGGCAAGGCTGACGCTGAGCAAAATCACAGTGGGATCTCCAATGAATTAGTCGTCCTGCACACAGTGTCAAGGACTATATTTAATACCCAGAAATAATCCTACATGTTAGAACACAGAGGCCAACTCAACTGATTCAGTAGATTAGTTCAATAATTAGAAAGGAGGGAGTCCTGGAATACCAGGGTAAGGACTGTATACTTTATCCTTCATGGGATGGAGGGCCATTTGAAGAATTTTTAGCTTGGCAGAAACAGGAATGAAATTGCGTATTTGAATGGAATGTATTGGAGAGAATATGGAAGGCATGAGAATAAGTAAGTATATCTTTACAATTTATGTTTACAGCAGTGGATCCATTTAATCAAGTGAGATCTTAAAACACCTATCTGTCTGTCTATGGAGAGAGAGGGAGGGAGGGAGGGAGGGAGAGAGGGAAAGAGAGAGAATATGAATATCAATGCGAGTATGTAAGCAGAGCTGTTTTAGGTCAGGGTGTGATGGGGCCCCTAGGCTGAGCTGTCAGGAGTGGAACCCTCAGTTCCGCTTGGTTTCTTTTGAAAGAAGGTCACTGTAATGTGATAAGTATATAAGGATGCAGGAACTAGAAATGAAAGGAAAACTATACAGACATGTTTTATGAAGGAAGGATAGATCATCTGATGGCTCCAATAGCTCCAGAGCCAGGCATTTTGGCTTCTAGTCCAGTGCTCTTCATCTATATCATTCTAACTCTGCCAATTACTATTTGACAAAACATGCCAAGGAGAAAATGCAAAGTCCAATACACTTATTAGTAATTTAGAAACTTCTTAGGCACTTCCTTTTATCTTCCAACACTGAGGTCTTAAAAGAGCATTTAGTCTAAAAATCTAGTCCCATATCCATTCTTTAATCTTATCTCTAAGCAATTAATTGATTGGAAATAAATTATTCTTCAAAGTTGCAGACTTCCTGTTGTTGTTCCAAAGCCTTTCATAGTGATCTAATACTTGTATTTTAACAATGTCATCACAAGATCTGAGTCACAAAAGAGATTACATTGGGCACAAATAAGTGGCCCAGGATAGGAGGTGTTAATTTATTTTCACATAGAATATAGAGATGGCCTACAGTAAGATTGAAAACTATGATAATAATAACCAGCATATTTATAAACATACATAAAGACACCTATTCAATGAAAGAAGACCTGTTGTTATATGTTCAGAAAAGCATACAAGGTGTGTATGCACACAAAGATACTATGAGAAAGTTATAGAGAAAATGAATGTGGATATAGTGATTATTTTCTTTCATTTGCAAAACAAAACATACGTGTTTGAATTTCTAGGAGGTATCATTTCTGAAATCACAGACTTCAGAGTTCTTAAATACTCTAGGAAGCATCTCAGTAACTCAGGACAGAATGTTCTCTTCTTTTTTTGAAGATTTTCAGAAGTTTATATTTTACAAGCCTCTTCCAGTGTTTTATTGTCAAAAGCAGAGGAGTTCCCTTGATATAAATCTAACTATCTTCCTTCTTTAATGTATGTCCATTTCCTCTTGTTCTATCCTCTGAACATGGGCAAAAAATTTCCAATATCCTCCTCACAAAAGGCTTCCACTTATTTGATGACAGAAGGTAAGTTATGCCTCAATTTTCTTATCCTGAACAATTCCAGTTCCTTTAACTTTTACTCAGAGAAGTTGCTCCTCATTTCTTTAATCACTATAGTTTCCCTTTGGAATCCTGTCCAATTTCTCCACATACCTTATTAATAGGGACTAAAAGTATGGAATTATTTAAAATTGCAAGTGATGCATCTTTTATTAACCTCCATATTCTACCAAAGGAAATGTTGTAATAAAAATGGCAATAAAGTGCTCTCTGTATTGTCCAATTGGTCAGAACTGGTGCACTATTTATGGATTACTTATAGGTAATTACTGGTAATTATAATAATAGCTATGATGCAATGAACGTTTCCTATGTTCCAGGCACTGAATATTTTGCTGTCAAATCCTGGCAACAACTCAAAAAGGTAGGTATTTTTATCCTAGTTTTTTTAAAATTTATTTATTTATTTACTTTTTATTATTATACTTTAAGTTCTAGGGTACATGTGCACAACGTGCAGGTTTGTTACATATGTATACATGTGCCATGTTGATGTGCTGCACCCATTAACTCGTCATTTACATTAGGTATATCTCCTAATGCTATCCCTCCCCCTCCCCCCACCCCACAACAGGGTGTGTGATGTTCCCCTTCCTGTGTCCAAGTGTTCTCATTGTTCCATTCCCACCTATGAGTGAGAACATGCAGTGTTTGGTTTTCTGTCCTTGTGATAGTTTGCTGAGAATGATGGTTTCCAGCTTCATCCATGTCCCTGCAAAGGACATAAACTCATCCTTTTTTATGGCTGCATAGTATTCCATGGTGTATATGTGCCACATTTTCTTAATCCAGTCGATCATTGATGGACATTTGAGTTGGTTCCAAGTCTTTGCTATTGTGAATAGTGCTGCAATAAACATATGTGTGCATGTGTCTTTATAGCAGCATGATTTATAATCTTTTGGGTATATACCCAGTAATGCGATGGCTGGGTCAAATGGCATTTCTAGTTCTAGATCCCTGAGGAATTGCCACACTGACTTCCACAATGGTTGAACTAGTTTACAGTCCCATCAACAGTGTAAAAGTGTTCCTATTTCTCCACATCCTCTCCAGCACCTGTTGTTTCCTGACTTTTTAATGATCTCCATTCTAACTGGTGTGAGATGGTATCTCATTGTGGTTTTGATTTGCATTTCCCTGATGGCCAGTGATGATGAGCATTTTTTCAAGTGTCTGTTGGCTGCAAAAATGTCTTCTTTTGAGAAATGTCTGTTCGTATCCTTTGCCCACTTTTTGATGAGGTTGTTTGATTTTTTCTTGTAAATTTGTTTAAGTTCTTTGTAGATTCTGGATATTAGCCCTTTGTCAGATGGGTAGATTGCAAAAATTTTCTCCCATTCTGTAGGTTGCCTGTTCACTCTGATGGTAGTTTCTTTTGCTGTGCAGAAGCTCTTTAGTTTGATTAGATCCCATTTGTCAATTTTGGCTTTTGTCGCCATTGCTTTTGGTGTTTTAGACTTGAAGTGCTTGCCCATGCCTATGTCCTGAATGGTATTGCCTAGGTTTTCTTCTAGGGTTTTTATGGTTTTAGGTCTAACATGTAAGTCTTTAATCCATCTTGAATTAATTTTTGTATAAGGTGTAAGGAAGGGATTCAGTTTCAGCTTTCCACATACGGCTAGCCAGTTTTCCCAGCACCATTTATTAAATAGGGAATCCTTTCCCCATTGCTTGTTTTTGTCAGGTTTGTCAAAGATCAGATGGTTGTAGATATGCGGCATTAATTCTGAGGGCTCTGTTCTGTTCCATTGTCTATATCTCTGTTTTGGTACCAGTACCATGCTGTTTTGGTTACTGTAGCCTTGTAGTATAGTTTGAAGTCAGGTAGCATGATGCCTCCAGCTTTGTTCTTTTGACTTAGGTTTTTCTTGGCAATGTGGGCTCTTTTTTGGTTCCATATGAACTTTAAAGTAGTTTTTTCCAATTCTGTGAAGAAAGTCATTGGTAGCTTGATGGGGATGGCATTGAATCTATAAATTACCTTGGGCAGTATGGCCATTTTCACGATATTGATTCTTCCTATCCATGAGCATGAAATGTTCTTCCATTTGTTTGTGTCCTCTCTTATTTCGTTGAGCAGTCGTTTGTAGTTCTCCTTGAAGAGGTCCTTCACATCCCTTGTAAGTTGGATTCCTAGGTATTTTACTCTCTTTGAAGCAATTGTGAATGGGAGCTCACTCATGATTTGGCTCTCTGTTTGTTATTGGTGTATAGGAATGCTTGTGATTTTTGCATATTGATTTTGTATCCTGAGAGTTTGCTGAAGTTGCTAATCAGCTTAAGGAGATTTGGGGCTCAGATGATGGGGTTTTCTAAGTATACAATCATGTCATCTGCAAACAGGGACAATTTGACTTCCTCTTTTCCTAACTGAATACCCTTTATTTCTTTCTCCTGCCTGATTGCCCTGGGCAGAACTTCCAACACTATGTTGAATAGGAGTGGTGAGAGAGGGTATCCCTGTCTTGTGCCAGTTTTCAAAGGGAATGCTTCCAGTTTTTGTCCATTCAGTATGATATTGGCTATGGGTTTGTCATAAATAGCTCTTATTAATTTGAGATATGTCCCAACAATATCTAATTTATTGAGAGTTTTTGGCATGAAGGGCTGTTGAATTTTGTCAAAGGCCTTTTCTGCATCTATTGAGATAGTCATGTGGTTTTTGTCTTTGGTTCTGTTTATATGCTGGATTACGTTTATTGATTTGTGTATGTTGAATGAGCCTTGCATCTCAGAGATGAAGCCCACTTGATCATGGTGGATAAGCTTTTTGATGTGCTGCTGGATTCGGTTTGCCAGTATTTTATTGAGGATTTTTTCACCGACATTCATCGGGGATATTGGTCCAAAATTCTCTTTTTTGTTATGTCTCTGCCAGGCTTTGGTATCAGGATGATGCTGGCCTCATAAAATGACTTAGGGAGGATTCCCTTTTTCTATTGATTGGAATAGTTTCAGAAGGAATGGTACCAGCTCCTCCTTGTACCTCTGGTAGAATTCGGCTATGAATCCATCTGGTCCTGGACTTTTTTTGGTTGGTAGGCTATTAATTATTGCCTCAATTTCAGAGTCTGTTATTGGTCTATTCAGGGATTCAACTTCTTCCTGGTTTAGTCTTGGGAGGGTACATGTGTCGGGGAATTTATCCATTTCTTCTAGATTTTCTAGTTTATTTGCGTAGAGGTGTTTTACCATTTTCTGATTTACCATCAGAAAATACTGGTGGTAGTTTGTATTTCTGTGGAATCGGTGGTGATACCCCTTTATCATTTTTTATTGCATCTATTTGATTCTTCTCTCTTTTCTTCTTTATTAGTCTTGCTAGCAGTCTATCAATTTTGTTGATTTTTTTAAAAAACCAGCTCCTGGATGCATTGATTTTTTGAACAGTTTTTCGTGTCTCTATCTCCTTCAGTTCTGCTCTGATCTTAGTTATTTCTTGTCTTCTGCTAGCTTTTGAATGTGCTTGCTCTTGCTTCTCTAGATCTTTTAATTGTGATGTTAGGGTGTCAATTTTAGATCTTTCCTGCTTTCCCTTGTGGGCATTTAGTGCTATAAATTTCCCTCTACACACTGCTTTAAATGTGTCCCAGAGATTCTGGTATGTTGTGTCTTTGTTCTCATTGGTTTCAAAGAACATCTTTATTTCTGTCTTCATTTCATTATGTACCCAGTAGTCATTCAGGAGCAGGTTGTTCAGTTTCCATGTAGTTGAGCAGTTTTGAATGAGTTTCTTAATCCTGAGTTCTAGTTTGATTGCACTGTGGTCTGAGAGACAGTTTGTTATAGTTTCTGTTCTTTTACATTTGCTAAGGAGTGCTTTACTTCCAACTATATGGTCAGTTTTGGAATAGGTGTGGTGTGGTGCTGAGAAGAATGTATATTCTGTTGATTTGGGGTGGAAAGTTCTATAGATGTCTATTAGGTCTGCTTGGTGCAGAGCTGAGTTCAATTCCTGGATATCCCTATTAACTTTCTGTCTTGTTGATCTGTCTAATGTTGACAGTGGGGTGTTAAAGTCTCCCATTATTATTGTGTGGGAGTCTAAGTCTCTTTGTAGGTCACTAAGGACTTGCTTTATGAATCTGGGTGCTCCTGTATTGGGTGCATATATATTTAGGATAGTTAGCTCTTCTTGTTGAATTGATCCCTTTACCATTATGTAATGGCCTTCTTGGTCTCTTTTGATCTGTGTTGGTTTAAAGTCTGTTTTATCAGAGACCAGGATTGCAACCCCTGCTTTTTTTTTGTTTTCCATTTGCTTGGTAGATCTTCCTCCATCCCTTTATTTTGAGCCTATGTGTGTCTCTGCATGTGAGATGGGTTTCCTGAATACAGCACACTGATGGGTCTTGACTCTTTATCCAATTTGCCAGTCTGTGTCTTTTAATTGGAGCATTTAGCCCATTTACATTTAAGGTTAATATTGTTATGTGTGAATTTGATCCTGTCATTATGATGTTAGCTGGTTATTTTGCTCATTAGTTGATGCAGTTTCTTCCTAGCCTTGATGGTCTTTACAATTTGGCATGTTTTTGCAGTGGCTGGTGCCGGTTATTCCTTTCCATGTTTAGTGCTTCCTTCAGGAGCTCCTGTAAGGCAGGCCTGGTGGTGACAAAATCTCTCAGCATTTGCTTGTCAGTAAAGGATTTTATTTCTCCTTCACTTATGAAGCCTAGTTTGGCTGGATATGAAATTCCGGGTTGAAAATTCTTTTCTTTAAGAATGTTGAATATTGGCCCCACTCTCTTCTGGCTTGCAGAGTTTCTGCCGAGAGATCCGCTGTTAGTCTGATGGGCTTCCCTTTGTTGGTAACCCAACCTTTCTCTCTGGCTGCCCTTAACCTTTTTTCCTTCATTTCAACTTTGGTGAATCTGACAATTATGTGTCTTGGAGTTGCTCTTCTCAAGGAGTATCTTTGTGGTGTTCTCTGTATTTCCTGAATTTGAATGTTGGCCTGCCTTGCTATGTTGGGGAAGTTCTCCTGGATAATATCCTGCAGAGTGTTTTCCAACTTGGTTCCATTCTCCTCGTCACTTTCAGGTATACCAATCAGACGTAGATTTGGTCTATTCACATAGTCCCATATTTCTTGGAGGCTTTGTTCATTTCTTTTTACTTTTTTCTCTAAACTTCTCTTCTCACTTCATTTCATTCATTTGATCTTCAATCACTGATACCCTTTCTTACAGTTGATCAAATTGGCTACTAATGCTTGTTCATGCGTCACGTAGTTCTCGTGCCATGGTTTTCAGCTCCATCAGGTCATTTAAGGATTTCTCTACACTGGTTATTCTAGTTAGCCATTCGTCTAATCTTTTTTCAAGGTTTTTGGCTTCTTTGCGATGGGTTTGAACATCCTCCTTTAGCTCAGAGAAGTTTGATCGTCTGAAGCCCTCTTCTCTCAACTCGTCAAAGTCATTCTCCGTCCAGCTTTGTTCCGTTGCTGGCAAGGAGCTGTGTTCCTTTGGAGAAGATGTGCTCTGATTTGTAGAATTTTCAGCTTTTCTGCTCTGGTTTCTCCCCATCTTTGTGGTTTTATCTACCTTTGGTCTTTGATGATGGTGACGTACAGATGGGGTTTTGGTGTGGATGTCGTTTCTGTTTGTTAGTTTTCCTTCTAACAGTCAGGACCCTCGGCTGCAGGTCTGTTGGGGTTTGCTGGAGGTCTACTTCAGACCCTGTTTGCCTGGGTATCAGCAGAGGCTGCAGAACAGTGAATATTGCAGAACAGCAAATGTTGCTGCCTCATCATTCCTCTAGAAGCTTCGTCTCAGAGGGGTACCCAGCCGTGTGGGGTGTCAGTCTGCCCCTACTTGGGGGTGCCTCCCAGTTAGGCTACTCGGAGGTCAGGGACCCACTTGAGGAGGCAGAGTGTCCATTCTCAGATCTCAAACTCTGTGCTGGGAGAACCACTACTCTCTTCAAAGCTGTCAGACAGGGACATTTAAGTCTGCAGAAGTTTCTGCTGCCTTTTGTTCAGCTATGCCCTGCCCCCAGAGGTGGAATCTACAGAGGCAGGCAGGCCTCCTTGAGCTGAGGTGGACTCTACCCAGTTCGAGCTTCCCGGCAGCTTTGTTTATCTACTCAAGCCTCAGTAATGGTGGGCGCCCCTCCCCCAGCCTCGCTGCCACCTTGCAGATCGATCTCAGACTGCTGTGCTAGCAACAAGCAAGGCTCTGTGGGCGTGGGACCCTCCGAGCCAGGTGCCAGATATAATCTCTGTTTATATATAATATAAACTGTGTGCCGTTTGCTAAGACCTTTGGAAAAGCGTAGTATTAGGATGGGAGTGACCCGATTTTCCAGGTGCCATCTGTCACAGATTCCCTTGGCTAGGAAAGGGAATTCCCTGACCCCTTGCGCTTCCCAGGTGAGGTGATGCCTCACCTTGCTTCGGCTCTCACTCAGTGGGCTGCACCCACTGTCCTGCACCCCTGTCCGACAAGCCCCAGTGAGATGAACCCAGTACCTAAGTTGGAAATGCAGAAATCAACCGTCTTCTGTGTCGCTCAAGCTGGGAGCTGTAGACTGGAGCTGTTCCTATTCAGCCATCTTGGAACCCTCCCCCGTTTAATTTTTTATAGTAAGTGCCTGGGCTAGATTGTCACAGATCTTGATTGTGATTCCAGAGCCAGTACCTTATCACAGTACTATGAAGATAGGTAATCCCATCCTCATACACACACGTGCTACATCACATGGCCCACGTATGGTGATTGCTGCAGTTCAGGTTTCTCTGGAACCAGGCTCTGAGATGAAGATCTGCAGGCAGGATTTTTACTGGTGAGGGCTCCTGAGCACAACCCCAAGGGGAGTGCACAAAACAGGACAAGGGAGTCAGAGAAGTTGGGCCGTGGTGCTGTCACAACAAAAGCCTCAGCCAACCTTTCAGGTCCTACACATTGTCCTGAACTGAGTCAAGAGCCTTTGTGTTCCCAAGTCGACCACTCATTGAATGCACATGGGCCTGGGGCAAACAGTATAATCTTGGGTGAGGCAGCTCTGATTAGCTGAAGGCAGAGGACAATCCCCAAAAGGAAGGACCTAAGTGAGCCATCAGCTGTCAACACTCCAAGAAGCTGGAGAAAGAGTGCTTCAGTCAGGAAAGGGCAGGGGATCTGAGTGGCACATCACAGCTCTACCACAGTGACTGTGTCTTCTGATCCCCAACTCAGGATGCGGCCCTGTGAACCTGTTTATGGATTCTGAGTTACAGATTATATCATTTTAAGGCCAAATAAGTCAAAGAAATCAGACTGAGGGGAGAAAAGAACTTCAAATACTGCTTTGGTTTATGTGTAGGGCAAGAGGAGTATTTCTCTCTCCTCTTAGTCTCTCTCTTTGCCTCTTTCTGTCTTTGTCTCTGCCTCTGTCTTTCTCATTTACATTCTCTGTGATACACACATACTAATATGATGACACTAAATAAAACATGAAACCCCTGATAGCAAGGAGGGGAAACAGAAAAGGAGAGACAATAATTTGAAATACTGGTAATGGATAGTTATTATCCAGGTGGATATTGGGATTTTGGAATAATTCTATCAATAATGTACATGTCCTCTAAATGAAGGACATTTATGTTATGTTGGGTGAATAGAACCCTGTTAGTAGTTCTGCATCCTCAATCTTTTTTTTATCCTCAATCTTTCCTCATAGGTCTTATATATTAAAAGATATAATTGCCTCAGGATGGTTCTTGCCTAAAACAAATAGCAAAGATACTTATACTACTGATTGTGAAGAGGAAGTTGTTTTATTTTTCCATTTTAAAATAAGAACAATAAACATGTTTTTAAAGTTTAAGATCAAAATTATTTATTATTTAATGTTATCTACTTATCCATTATGCAGATGCTTTTAAAAAGCTAGAAAGTCAACAACTGGCAAGAATGGTTTTATTAGGGCATGAATTAGAAATAAATCCCCAAGGGAAAATGAATTCAGCTTATATTATGAGAAAATGTGAAGAGTCATTAATCCATATTATGCTGCCTTGCTATTCTATTAACTAAGGCAAAAACAAATTCTCTAGTCACCATTCTCATTTTCATGAGTAGCAAGGTATTAGTGCAGTAGCTAGGGTTCAAAAGTTAATAATAAACCTGAATCAAGAATAATTTCAAAAGTACCCAGACAACAAAAGGCAGTGGAGAGTGAAAATTCAAATGTAGCAGGACATTATCTGATTAGAAATCTGTTGTCATTGTCCTCCACCAAAATGGCCCACGAATTGCTGAGGTAAAGTCTGCGATCTCTATGATGGGATTGAATTTGTACCCAAAGTTAGTAGCTCAGCATTTCCTTTCCTCTTTCTTTTTAAAACCCCACATTATAAAAGGGCACACAGCAACACATTTTACTGTTAAATATGATCTGAGCCTGTTGGAATACTGCCCATGCAAAAGTGTCACCCTGGCAACTCACCCATGCCTTCCACTTCCCAATAGGAGTTTTCCCATACAACCCTCCCCTTGTAGAATGCTGTTCTCTAACCACAGGGTACAAGGAAGGCAGTCTCCAGTGCTGTTCCAAACTCTGAATACTTCTAAGTGGCAACTCCAAAACTAACATAAATTGCATGCATTGCTTTGCTTGCACAATGACACTCACTTTGGAATCCAAGCAGAAAGCAGCCACCTAATATGGTTGCATTCTGTCCTTTACCCATGGTAAGATAGTTCAGAAGAAGACCACCACCAAGTCAGGTAACAGTGGTGAAAGCTGACCTCCCCTTTCGCAGCCATCATACCATCTTGTGTTCACAGTCTGCAATAGTTTCCATATCTATTCATCCCTGCTCATACGGTTGTTCTGCCCAATGCAGCCAAGCGATACACACGGCAAACACTTAGCAAATGCCAATGTCTCCCCACAGCACTCACCCCTTATCCACAACATGCTATTTCCACTACCAGTTCCACAAACCAAGGGTCTCACGTTTTAGAGACATCATATTAGTGTGTGTCTATCATGCAGCGAATATGAGTGAGACAGAAAAAGATTCATAGAGACAGAGAGAAAATAGAGGCAAAAAAGATTGAAACAGGGAGAAATATTCTTTGTGTTCTGCGCATAAATGAGTAGAAACTTTTGTTACTGGCAGCTTTCGGGATGAGTGAATCATGTTTTGTACACGCACTCTGATAATTTACAGCCCACTGGTTTCACAGTAAAGACTGACCATTCTGTGGACTTCAGAGAACAATTCATTGTCTTCAAGACCACCTACAACTCGCGTGTATGTGCCGTCATTCCAAATTATACTAATGCAGCGTTTCCATAAATTCATCCTCTACACATAAAACTCACAGTAGATTGCAATGTAATTGACCAAATCAGAAATATCTTGTGCTTTCTGGATGACTGTAATTAACCACAATTTATTGTATATTTCAAAATAGCTAGAAGAAAGATTTCTAATGTTCCCAACACAAAGAAATCATAAATGTTTGAGGTGATGGATATACCCAATTAATCTGGTTTAATCATTACACAGTGTATGCATGTATCAAAGATCACCTGTAAATATGACTAATTTGTATATGAAATATGTATAATCATTATGTATGAATTTAAAAATGAACAAAAAAGGTAATATCCTGTGCCTAAAAGTGTTGGTTTTAAAGTCACTGATGTCTTTTTTAACTAGAATTTAAACACAGGTGGTTTGATTCTGTTCCAATCTTTCATTTCACTGGTAAAACCAGTCTAGAGAAATAAAGGCTGCCAAAAACAAAATCTATGTTAAAAATTAAAAACTATAAAATTTAAAAATAACAAAGCCTTAATCAGAGCCTCAAGTATTAAAAGAGAATCTGATTGTTGCATCTAGATTGATTAACCAAAGCAAGTGTCATTGGTGTGAACTGATTTACTTAATTCAATTCCCTATTTTAAGACATATAGATAACTTTACAGCTCAATAAAGATTTAGAATAAGAGAAAAAAAAGATGAGGTGGAAACGGCAGAGTGAGATTCAGGAGACCAGGACTCTGGTTCCAGCTGTTAGTGTTCAGTAAGTTACTTAATTTTGCCTCAAATTATTTTTCTTGTGTATGAAAAAGTGACAGATTCGTGGACCTTTAAAGTTCCTGAAAAGATGGTAGTGAACTACAGAGAGTAAAAATCGAGCATTTTGTAGCTTTCCAATGGGTATTAAGGAAAAAAATCAGTAAGCTAATTAAGATCACAGTAATCAAATAAAATTCACTCAAAATAGTACTATTGTAAGTATTATTTGAAGTTGAAATTTTTACCCCAGACATTCCCTCAAAGAAGGCTGTGAGAATGAATTTCAGCAGTCTGACTTGGGTGGACTTGCTCTCAAACAGTGCAGGCTCTGTTATAACAGGCCTCAACCATGTCCTGGGTGGATGCTGAGAAGACCCAAAGGGAGGGGCCCTAACACCACCCCACTGAAGAATGCAAGAAAGACCCTCTCAGTCTCCCATAAGCAATGCTGAAACACTGGGCAGAGCAATGAAAGTGAGAATTTGACAAAAAATCATGATTGATACTGAAAAAGAATGACATTTGAGAAAGCAAAGCTCCTTTCGTAAATAATTGCTGTAGCTATTGTGAATTAAAATGGAGAATAGCACTGGCTTGTTACTGTCCTTAACTTCAGGGTTCACACTGTTTGTTAAAGACTGCTTTGAATTTCCTTTTATCAAACTGGAAAGGTCACCGTATTTGTCTCTAGGAAGAAAAATCCTAATTTATTATGCCAAGAAAATAAGAAGAAATACTACAGATACAAATGAAACAGCAGATAATGTCAGAATAAAATGAAAATAGAGAATGTGGTAAGTTGTGCTTTCAGTAAATAAATGAATAATATTGAAGGCTTAAATACAAAATCAAATACATAATTAAGAAAATATTTTTAACCATTGCCTATAACTCCCAAGTGAATGTTTCTAGTTCTGAATCTTCCCCTTACCTCCACACTTACACTTCCAGCTGTCTGATGGATATTTCTATCTAGATGTCCCTTATATACTTCAAAGTCCTTCCTTTCCCAAGAATAAATCTGCTTCTCTCCTAAATTCCCCTTCTGGCATCATAATGTTCTCAGTCACCCACATCAGAAATCCAAGAATCCCAAGTCCTGACATTTTCCTACTTCCCATGCCCAATCAACCACCAAATCCAGCTCTTTCAAATTCCCCTTTCTTTCTCTATTCGATGCTGCTTCTAGCCAAATTCTAATTCTCCTCGCTCTCCCCCATATAATTACAAAATGCATCTTTCCCTCCTTCAATATTGCTCTAGTTCATTCTCTATACTTCCTCCAGTGTAATACACATAAAATGCCAATGACTTCCAGCTGATAACACCTCAGTGCTTCCTGCTCACCTTCCTTTCACACATATGCCATAACTTCTTACTTTCTCACATGGATTTCACACCCCTATCCCACTGCTCCTACCTGCAATGCCCTTGTCCACCCTACCCTGCTCTTTACCTAACTCCTATTCCACTTTCAGGAGCCATTTTAGGGGACACCTCCTCTAGGAAGCCTGCTTTTACACACAGCCCTCTGGCCCCAGACTGCATTAGCTGCCTTTTCCATTCCTTAATGCACCCTCAATATACTTTTATCATATAGAAGTTGGTCATATCTATTTATGTGCCTGTCTCTTGCATTTGGCAGATATTCCTTGAAGGCAAGGACTTATCACCTTTGCTTCTTGAGAGCCTAGCAATGTTTACTGAACTGAACTGAAAATAAATGAAACTATGGGGAAAAATATATTGGTGGGTATGAGAGTATTTCTGAGGATTATAAATGTTTAGAAAAGTAGAAATTGTTTTTCTTACTTATGCAAATAATACCTCATGGTTTACAAAGTGTTTTCATAAAAGTTATATCGTTTGATCCTTAAAACAACCCAAGAAGGTAGGGTAAGGCAGATATTGAGGCTGATAGAGACCCTAAATACATAAGAAATTTCTCCAAAAAGAGAAACATTATTGATTTTTAAAAGGGGTGTGTGTGTTTGTGTGTGTGTGTGTGTATGTTCAGATAGATCTTCATAAGATCAGAGCTCCAACTTCAAATAAAGTTCCTGTTTGGTCAAAATAGCCAATTGGTTTCCTCCATATTTACTAAAAAGTTTTCCCAAAAAAGAGAAACTATCAATTGTTTATAAAAAATTTTCAATAACCTGTTTCCCTCTTTTCACTACTTTCCAAGTAGATTTTGGAAGACAGACCAGTTAATTCAGTCTTGTAAAGACAAAGAGAGAACTAATTCACTCTCACCTTCAGAAGGTCCACTGGGCTAGACACCTCCCAAATGTTTTTCTGATTTCTGAAGCTATCCTTTTCTCAGGAGAATGCCAACAGCTAAGACCAGCTTTTGTCGAAGTCTTCAGCAAACAGGGGATAAAGAATGCTGAGAGAGAATGTCACAAAGATTCCTGAAAAAGAAAAAAAGTAACACAGGACAATGTAAATTGTTTTGGGTTAATTCTATTTAGCTGAGATTTCATCCTACTATCGTACGAAAAATTGACAAGGGGGACTTACTATATATCAAATTCCATGATTAATTTTAACCAAGCATTATTGTACTTAATGACATCAATGTCTAAGAAATTTTAAGCAACTTAATAGGAACAGGTAATGAAAATAGGTAACATAATTCCAATTACATTGCAGTGTAGGACAGAAGTCTGAATTACCCCTAAATAGCAGGAAACAACTGTGCACACAAATCAAAAAGAAAAAAAAGGCACTTGATCTTATTCTACTCTGATGCTTCATGGGAATACACCGTGCTCTATAATCACATCAACAACAGGCCGTGGCGGGGAAGAATCTAATACAGACTGAAAAGAACAAACAATGAAGAACTAAGTATTTGATCAAGGTTGACAATGTCAGAGAGGAACTCAGCAATGCAATTAGTATTTTAGAGGTGGCTTTGAAGGCGGTAAGAAAATATGGCATCTGGAATAAAGGGGTTGCTGAACACACCATTATAAGAAAGAAAAAGCATAAGGTTAAAGTGGAACAGAATAAAACCTTAATTAAACAGAAGCCAACTAACAGGTGTGCTTGAATATTATGTTTATTACATATCTCACTTTTATGAGAGAGGGTAAAACCACAAAAGGAATGCTTCAAAAAGCTTCTTTTAAACCAGAACTTAGGGTCAGTCTGTAGTAAGAAGAGCAGAAACCACGAGTTCTAGACCTGCCTCCACCACTAACAGTATGGCCTTGGGCTTGCTAAGTGCTTCTCAACCCTGCCTGTGCATTAGCACCACTGGGTAAGCTTTTAAAAAGTATCGATGGCTGGGCCACATCCAGACCAAATAAATCCCTGACCAATTCAATCAGAATCTCAGGTGGAATGGCACGCAACTGTCAATATTTTGCAAAAGAAAGTCAGGGAAGATATTCTTTGATGACCCCTCTAGCTCTAACATTCTGTCTTTTCTACACTTTTGGCACCTGACAACTCATTTGTTTTAAAATAGATAAAATTTAAATTGATAGTATCCAAAACTTTAGAACCCTATAAATAGTTCCCATTTTCAGGAGGCGGGAACTCAGAGTCAAGAGGTACAGTGACTTACACAAGGTCCAAGCAAAGCAGCAGCGTGAGAATGGGGTCAGGTCTTCTAGGGAGGAGAAAGCCAGATGGATCATGACCTGGGGCCAGACACAACTCTGTTTCAGGATGGGCTGGGTATGATCCAAAGACATGAGCCACACTGATGACTAGGAAGTGATGAGGCTCGTGGCTCTCTGGGCAGGGATGCATAAACACAGGGTTCCTGCTTTTTAAGGAACTACAGGCCAGGTCCAGTGGCTCACGCCTGTAATCCCAGCACTTTGGGAGGCCCAGGTGGGCAGATCACCTGAGGTCAGGAATTCGAGACAAGCCTGATCAACATGGTGAAACCCCGTCTCTACTAAAAAATACAAAAACGCCTGTAATCCCAGCTACTCGGGAGGCTGAGGCATGAGAATCACTTGAAGGCAGGAGGCAGAGGATTTAGTAAGCCGAGATGGCGCCACTGCACCAGCCTGGGCGACAGAGCAAGACTCCATCTCAAAAACAAAGGAACAATAGCAGGCAGGGCACAGTGGCTCACACCTGTAATCCCACCACTTTAGGAGGCTGAGGCAGGTGGATCACTTGAGCCCAGGAGTTCCAGACTAGTCTTGGCAACATGAAGAAACTGTCTCTACAAACAAACAAAAAAAATTATCTGGGTGTGGTGGTGCGCACCTGTGGTCCCCGCTACTCCAGAGGCTGAGGTGAGAGGATAGTTTGAGCCAGTGAGGAGGAGGCTGCAGTGAGCCAAGATCATGCCACTGCACTGCAGCCTGGGCAACAGAGGAAGATCCTGTCTCAAAAACAAAAACAACAGAAAATAGTAATCTTAGTAGCTAAACTACTGAGCACCTTCTATGAGCTAGACACTGTGCCAAGAAGTGCTTTCGTTCTCACAAGAACTCTCTGACCTAGGTACTATTATCATTGCCAATGTATCAATGAGGGAACTGAAGCCAAGAGAGATGAGTCTTGTCTCAAAAATGATGGACCTCGAATTTTAGAATTTTAACAAAGCTACTCTCTCTCCCGACCATGCGTTGCCTCAAAGAAATACAACTCCCTTGCAGGCTGGAGGCAAGGCTGCTCTGCCCTGATATCTACTTTATCTTTTTTGTCTCAATGCATCCTCACACTGGAAAGTGGAAACAGAAGCCTCCTGGAGTCTCCATGGTGTGGTGCTTTCAGATTTTCTCAGGCTAAACAATTAAATTTCTGTTGAGAGAGAATTAACATTTTATGGAATAACTTTTATTCTTACACACACACTTCCAAATTAGTACACTTTGGATGCTGAGATTTAACTGTTTTGGAGAAGTTCAGCTCAGGCAGCCATCAGAAGAGTCATCACTGAAAACTGCCCTAAATAACTCAGTCCATCATGATATCTGAGTTTAAATGCCCAACTGAAATCTCTGGAACATCATTCACAATTCATGGGTAAACAATTTTCCTAACATTCTTACATTCATCTTCAATCCTCTTAAGAGAAGTATCCATGTCGCAGTTTGCTGTCCCATTACATTTACATTGGGTAAATTATTTCTTTTATTTGTACAGCATTGTTATTTACTATAATAAAATCTAATTTACAAATATGTTGCATATGAAATATATTTTAAGAGGCTAATGCAAAAGCATTACTGTTTCTGACACCTTAGGCATATCCTAATTATACTGTGTCAGAATTATCTTCATAGCTCATTTTAATAATAATGTGAAAAGATGGTTTTCATTAGACACATCTGGGAAGAAACAGAAGAGTGGTATTAAAAATAAAAACACAATTTTGGGAGACAGAAGGAGCCTGGAAGGTCACTAAATCCAACCATCTATCTGCCTGTGGCCCATTCTATTTTTAGGAAATTCTATATGAAGCTGAATCTCTCTTCCTGTAGCTTTGACTTATTGCTCACAATTCTGGCCATTGGAGCCACACCCAGGTTCATATTCTAATGTTAACTTCCCCAACCACAGCCCACTGTTCAGAAAAACAAGGATAAGCTATTGTTTTGGTAGAGGTGCTGCTTGGATCAGGAGTGAGCACCTTAGAGGCTGGTGGATGACCCAGGAGGTAGGTTTGTGCAGAGATACGCTAGAACAAAGACAATAGTAAGACAAATTGATCAAACCAGCTCTTTCTGGGATTTAGTTGATGTTGGGAGTCAGAGGAGAACCTACTAAATATGCAGAGATAGCAGAAAGACCATACGAGAGAGCATGTGAAAGGTGTCAGTCCCTTGAGTCATCTCAAACCGAACTTTCTACTTTACAGATCCAAACAGGGCAGCTGTGCAGCAAGCCCCTCCTCCTTAGAGTGTCTTGAGTGAGTTGCTGTTTTCTTTGGCCCAGAGTGCCCAAATTCATACAGACTAAGATTACAGCACTCCATTTACTGCCATTCTTACAGCTACATTTCAGACTGACAGTTAATATTTCTCTAATCTTTTTGTAGGTCTTTTTGTTAGAAACAAGTGAAGCCTTTATTTTCACAACATCAATATTTCACCTTCTTAGATTGGGTCCATTATCCCAACCTGCTAAAAACTTTTGACTTCCCAATCTTGTCCTTACGAAATATTCATTATGCCATCATCTATGAGTTAGACAAGAACACTATCTAGCAAAATATTAATGCTACTAATAAAAAATTTAAAAGCCAGCAACAATACCAAATTGGACACAATTTTAGAGAGCAAACAGTAGTATAAAAATTTGAAAATCAAATTGTTAGTAAATAAATTTATTTTAGTGTATGTCATTACTTAAAATTAATAATTACCAATACTCTAAGTTGATTGCCAATTATCCTGAAAATATAATAAGCTACATAAACGGACATGACCAAGCAATTCATTTGCTGGATAAAGGTTTTAACATTTACTCGTTAGAGACTGCAAAACCCAGAAGAATGAGGTTTCGGCATCATTAGAGAAAATGAGGCCATAGTTGAGATAATTGGTAACATGAACTTTGTAGCTGGAGTAATTACCTGTGCAGTCAACCAAGAAGTTATGTTTGAGAAACATATTGCAAAAACAGAGCCAAGTTAGCTTCAACCTTCCCTGAGGCAATCATGGAAATTAGCAGAATCTGTCATTTTAGGTCATCGGTATCCCCTTGCCAAAGTGAAATTGTTCTCTGAAGAAGATCTCAACTGCTTTTGTCTAATTTAGTTCTCAGTCAGCCTCACGGGATCTCTCCTTATGGTAAAAAGTCTCACACCGAAGGGCTTTTTAAGTTCTCCTGGCTGCTTTTCTTAGTTTTTCTGACTCCACCATTATAGTCAGGTGCCACTTCTCAGGTGGTCAGTATGCCTGCCCAGAGCAATTTAACCCAGCCTCACTCCACTAATTGGATATGCCTGGTCCTCTCCAGGCTGACTCTGGGTAAAGTAAAAGTGAAGTGCCTCAGAGGGAGAGCCCGATGCACGAGCCTATTAAAAAAGCACGAGTGAATGTGTGAATTTCACGCCATCTCTGATGACCATTGAGAGGCCTTTCTGGCTTGCTTCCTTCTCAGTTGTGCTGAATGGGTAAACTTTTCCTTCAACAACTGGTGTTGTAGACCCATTAGGTGCCACAAGAAATGCAAAGACTCTAAGACTTGGCAGCTCCTGCTCAAGAACAGAGATAGGAGATAATACCAATTTATGTTCTATGGCATTTTGAGGCTTATTTTTCATAGAGGTAATCTCATTTAATACTGAAAACGTCGTTTTTCTAGCATTTTACAGATTTAAAAAGTAAGTTTCAATAAGGAACTTCTCAATGGCTCATCATAGCTAGTAGGTGGCAAAACCAAGACTACAAGTATTTTGTAATTCTTAGTCCACATCCACTGACCCATATGCAGGCAAAATGACCACATAGCAATATGTTGAGTGCTTACTCCATCCTAAATACCGTTAAAACTGGTTAGCATATATTTGATCCTCATGACAACTTAATGAGGTATGCAATTTCAATATCCCCATCTAATAGATGAGAAAACTGAGGCACAGAAAGAGGACTAATGGTCCAAGGTTGTACAGCTAGTTGGGGGCAGAAAGTGATAAACACAATGAGAGCCCTGCCACCCGAATGTGGAGGAAGTTGTTGGATTTGTTGCTAGGAAGAACGCTAAGCAAGTTTTGGAACGTTTTCTGGCATTTCCAGAACAGTGAGACTTTTCTTCTCTTGGAAATCTTGTGAGGAGACATTGGCATCAGAGATGAGAAAAAGATGGCAATTCCAAGAAAAGAAGGAAATGTGATTTTTTCCTCGTCCCCTCCGCTATGACTATGGATGTGTGAGTGACTTAGCAGCACAGAGAGCTAGCGGCATATGAATACCATCTGCTGCTTTAATACTTGCTATGTATATTTTCTGTCATTTCAAATTCTTTGGACAGATCACACTGGTTGAGTAAAGCAGAGAGAAGAGACTGTTGGCATTCATGACCTTACATTTGTGGTTTGTGATTTGACAGTGGACACCCAGGAAGTTTATTAAGTGTAGTGATTTAGCAATATGCTGGAATACCAGTTTGCATCGTACAAACTCACTGGCTACTGGGCATTCACGCCTCAGTGCGGCTTCTTTGTTCTGAACATGTTTTCGGGTATGAAAAAGGCAGGAGCCAGGAAGAAAGGAAGTGCTCCAGCTTTCAGTGAGTAGTTTTCATGGTCCATACTTGGGACTCAGGGCTTGCAAACACCTCTTTGAACCCTCACAATAATCCCATAAGGTGGACATTATTGCAACAATTTCATACGTGGACATATTAAGGCACAGAGAAGTCTAGTGACAGACCCCAAAGTCAGAGAGCTTGTCCATGTCAGAGATGGCATTTGAACCCAGGTCTTTCTGACCCTGTTGTGGCATGGCCTCTTCCATTTCTGCTCAAAGAGTTAAGCAAACACACAAACAAAAACTTTGCAAAGAGGAGGGAAAGCCACTAGATGACATTACGTTTTAGTTAAAGTTAGAAAAGCAGTATCTTTAGATATGTTTGATATGTGGAAAAAACACAGGACATTTAGTGGAAATTAGTTCCAGGAAAAAGCCAGCAGCCTCTACAAACCTTTTCATATTTTTGAATTAAGAGGTACCTTAGGTCGGGTGCAGTGGCTCACGGCTGTAATCCCAGCACTCTGGAAGGCCAAGGTGGGAGGACTGCTTGGGCCCAGAAGTTCAAGACCAGCCTGGGCAACATAGTGAGAATGCCTCTACAATTTTTTTTTTTTTTTAATTTAAAAAGAGATACTTTACAGTCTAAGAAGCCAGTCCCCAAGGGACTGCTGTGTTCCCAGGAATTCAGAAGTGGAAGGAGAAATGCATCAAAGATAGGACTATTCCTGGCCTAGCACAGGGGTAAGGGTGTGACCATGGTAAATACTGTGAACAACAAATAAAGGGCTTAGGTGGTCCAAAGGAGACAGAAAATACTTCTGGCTGGAATCAGGCAGTAAATAATGACCTCATTGAGACACTGGCAGGAAAAAAAGGGGAGAAATAGAATGATAACTTTAGGGAAAAGCAAGATGAGAAGTGATTTTAGGCCAGAGGAGATTTGAGCACATCTGTAGGCTGACATGTAATAAGAACAGACAAAGAAAGCGAGTGAAGCTGCAAGTTGGCAAGAGTAAACAGAGCCAAGGCCTCATGTAAAGGGTTGGGAATAGGATATACAGGGATTAGGGAGTTTCTACTATACTTCAGCCACATTTTGTGCACATCATAAAAATTTAATCTACTTCAAATGGTAAGGGATACAGAGACTCATTTCATGTCTCCTTCCATGTTGGAGAGAACACTCCTCAGATTGAAGCTTTTCTGAAATGGCCAAAAACTATTACAACAGCCCATATGCAGCAACCTGCTTATTTGCATATTGCCCAGTCTTCTTACTGGAAAACAGCTGGAGTCAGTCAAAATGAAATGAAA
The DNA here is from genome assembly GCF_000001405.40 of Homo sapiens. NCBI lineage: Eukaryota > Metazoa > Chordata > Mammalia > Primates > Hominidae > Homo > Homo sapiens. The sequence goes on from NC_000007.14 coordinate 108,406,668, forward strand.
TGCCAGCACACTTCAACAGTAATACAAATGCCATGCAACCTTGAACTTGAGTTTAATAGAATAAACAAAACAATTTGCTTTGATGACTCTGAAAAGCAACTGAACTTGTTCCAACTTGAGCAGGAGTTTGTTTATTTTGCTTAGCTCCAGTCATTTATTCAAATCACTCAAGAAACATTTAGTGAGAGCCTACTGGGTAATGCATACTAGTATGAAGCTAGAATGCTAATGATTTTCATATTCTTCCTTCATTTCTACTGGATTATTTTAGATAGGGTTTCATTTTTAGGTGGGGAATTTCTGCAGCTGATGTTTAATAATATTTATTCTTTCTTATCAAAAAATTGTTTTCATTTTCCAAAATATAAAAAGTAAAGAAAAATTTTTAAAAGAAATTTAAACATTTTCTTCCATGTTCATGTTTTGGTGTATGTTTTCCAAGTCTTTTATTTTTCTTGTGTGTCTGTATTCACTTTTTTCAGAATAGAAGTGGTATCATTCAGCACACACTGGTTTATCAACCTGCTATTCTCACTTAACCATACACCATGAACATTTCCCCAACTCATTAAATATTCTATAAAATCATTTTTAGTGTCTGAATGATATTCTACCATATAAAGAAACCATATCTATTTAATCGCTGCCCTAATATTGGATATTAATGTTATTCCAACTGGCTGACTTTTTATATGATTTTTTTAAAGGTGCGCTATTTTACTAGCACTGGCTGAAAAACCACCAGTAAGATTGTTATATGGAATCTGATATATGGAGCATTATTCAACTGTGAAGTTCCATTTCTCTCATCTAAGATTGTGATCAACTGAACCGAGAGTATTTCAGGCCAAGTACCTGCTCAGAGCACAGCCAGCCCAAATGCCCACTTATTTCTCACCTTCTCCCATCACAGCCCTGCCCTCACCATTTGCTGTAGATCTGTAGTTTGACAGTGAGCAGTCTGCCTGATTGGAAGGGAAGAACAGCTAGAAGTTATGTGCTTACCCAGCTCATGATTTTGAGGCTGTATTGCAGTAGTTCTCAGCTCTGCTGGACTTGGGAATCACCTGAGCTGGTTTTAAAACCACAGGCGATATGTTTACTATCTTGATTGTGTTGATGGTTTCACAGGTGTATGTTAAAATTTATCAAATTGTCCATTTTAAGTATGTGCAGTTTGTTGTGTTTAATTATATCTCAATAAAGCTGTTAAAAAAGCAAAACTCCAGATGGCCAAAGCCCACAATTGAGATTCCGATTTAATTGGTCTTGGGTAGGACTCTCCAGGTGGTTGTAATGTGAAGCCAAGAACTATTAATCTAATATATAATGAATCTTTCCAAATTTAAATTGATGTGATTGATATAAAATTGATAAGGGAATATTTTTAAAGAAGTGATTTTATCATTTTCAACTACAAACAATAACAGATTTGTTTTCTTTTTTTAAAAAAACTGCCACCCAGCAAAGAAATTTAGAGACTTCCTTTAATGATTCATAATAATTCATAAATCCAACCTTTAATTGCCTATCGTGTACTAGGTACTATGCTAGGTAGCACATAGATTATATGCTTGTATGGAACTGACACTTTTTAAGAGCCCAACATTCTCTTAAATGAATTTAAACTAGATTAAATCCACAAACTGGTTAAATATTGATTTGTCTAGGAAGAACTAAACGGAGAAAATGTAAAAATGAACCTGTTGTGGCCCTATTTGGTGGTCATGGATTCTCTATGAGTGCCATTCAAATCCAGGAGGTTTTGCTCTATTTGCCAAGCTGCTGAGCTGGGCACAGGCTTTTTAGCAAGAATGTGAGAAAAGCTGTCCCGGAAAATTGGAAGCTTCCTGCCAGAGGGCACCATCCTCCCCTCCTGACATATGAGGTTCTATGCCAGTGTCTTCACATACAGATACCAAGACAGCTTCATATCCACAATAAAATAGCCAAAGCCTCTTATTAGGGAAAATTGATATTTAATATTAGCTCACATATGTCTTTACTCCGTTACTAATATGAAACTTTGAACATAATTAGTGTTGGCTTTGAATGCAGTTTGGAACTGCACCCAGCTGGAAAGGGGCCATGGAGCATTGGGTTTCATTCCTCACCAAGCTGAGCACTCCCTGAAAGGGATTAGAAGAGAAAGAAATGGAGCCGACCCTCATTCAGTAAGAAATGTCCTCCTTGGGTTCAGTGGGATGACTGTAGAGGCGGGGCGGGTAGGAGAACTGGGACTGTCACCCTCCTCAATTCCTTGTCGCCTCCTACCTCCACAAGGCATTGCAAAATGAAATTAGGTGAATGGAGCCCTTAAGCTGGGGAACGAGGGGTGTGACATATTCAGGGAGCTGTTTGTGTGAGGGAAGGCACAAAACACCTGCCTAGAAAGAGAAGGTGGCTGTGGAGTCTCACACGGCCCCAGAGGAGTGAGATTCACTTTGGTCACAGGATGGAGGCTAGGCAGGAATTTGAGGTTAGGTAGGATCAACGCGTGCAGAGCATTAAGAGAAATGTAACCTGCAAAAAGGTAGAATTTCCAGACTGCTGACCACTATCACTGCTTCAGCTAAAACAAAACAACATTGAATGTTTTTTCCTAAATAGAAATGGATGACATATTTTACATCCTGCATAGGAAGGAAAGTAAAGCCATCTGGCAACTTCCAATAACCAGCTCAATGCATTGCACCTCCCACTCCTACGAACAGTCTGTGACAGCCACACTTATACTAAAATCTAAAGCTTCTGACACTTCCTTCCCAAACTTCCCCATCTGTTCTGACATCTCCTGTTGACCTCTCTCCAGAGCCTCTTTAGATCTCTCCCTGGGTCACTCTTCAATTCCATTTTCACCCCGGTGCCATCTCGCGCATCACCCCAGTCTCCAGGCACCAGGCCTGAGGACAGGTCGCTCCTCCTTCATTCTGATGCCCAGCTCAGGGGTCCAAGACCCCATTTTGGGGGAGGAGGAGCATGATGGCTTCCCCCATGTTCTAATGGTTTCAACAGCATCTTATATGTAACCTGTAATAGACCCTTATTTTAGTAGTGAAAAATTAAAATTTAGCAAAATTTCCCCTGGCAAAAAAATTTCACACCCATAGAAGCTGTGAACACAAGGTTATGTTTACCTTGTTAGATAAAATAATATGCATAGACTTTTGAAGGACATCTAGATTCTAACACTATATCATAATTTGCAGTTCTAACTTCTAAATAAAAATTGTTTTGCATATTATATCTTTCTTTTTAAAAGGTTGTATTTGAATGATTGATTTCCCACTAAATCAAGCCAAATATGTGTCTCACCTTTGACTTATTCCTGCCACCACCTTGTTTGTTTTTAAATCATTACAAAAAGAAGAACCCTGAGCCATTAAAAACTATAGGCATACCCAGCAAATAGTTCCTGACTCAAGAGACTCTCAAATCAATATTCTTAAGTTGTATTTTAGTACAACTGCTGCAACTGTGCGGACCTCGAATTCAAGTTTAAAAACTTCATTAAAGTACAGATAGAAAAATATAAGCCCATATTAAATAGCCCTTGATTAAATTTGGGTGTTTCCTTATAATTCTAGTCACTATGACTGTATTTCACCCAATTTCTTATTAAGAATTGTCTTGTTATAGTGGTTGCAGTATGCATTGATACTCATCCCACAAACCTTTAAAACATTACAAGCCATTTCATAGAAAGACTAGGGGATAATTTTCTTGGACAAAAGATGAAGGTGAAATGTGAGAGTGCTCCTTAAATTTGATGGGTTTCTGGGAGTACAGTGGTTGCCAGTCCTCACTGTACATGAAACTCCCTGGGGCACTTTCAAAAACAGTTCTGATGCTTGGGCCCCAATCCCAGGGATTTAATTGGTCTGAGGTAGGGACTGGGCCTTGATCAATTTTTAAAGCTCAATCTAATATGCGTTAGAGGTAAACCTTCCCTGAAGGTAGATTTTACTTTAATACAGTACTAAGAACTTTGTAAGGAGAACTGTCCAAGGACAAAACAGGTCACCTCGTGAGGGTCAAGTCCTTTGTCACAGCAAGTGTGGAAGGGCAGCCTGTATGACTGAGCCCCTATCAGGGATAGTGGAGGAAGTGGTCCAGCATGGGGTGGTTCAGACCCTTGAAACTGATTTTTTCTATACTAGTTCTATCTTGGGTCAGTATTTAAGGTAAAGCAAGCAAAGAAAAACGCCTTGTTTGCTATGTCATCCTTGAAACAAAATAGTTTATATAACATCTTTCGTATCATCCCGATAAAACTTGTTAATTTGCACACAAAATCAAGCACAAAATTTTGTTCCATTTTCAGTTTTATTCTGTTTTTTTAAAAAAACTTTCCTTCTACAATGAATTGATTATATTCTAATTGTTGATACTTTTTCCAACTTTCCACTACTTCAGCCTATGAAAGGCCTTTTTTAATCAGTTGGCATTTATTTTTTCTTCAATTCATAAAAATAATTCCTCATCCCAAATGTTCTGTGAAATGTTATTAATATAGGACTACCTGTGGATTTCTCTCCAATTATCTTTTTTTTTCTTAAGCACTAACATGAAAATTTCCTCTAACCTTTCCTGGGAGATACATTTTGGCTTTTATTTAAAGGATGATACCCTTAAGGTTTTTTTCCTTCAAATTTAAATGCATGAATACTTGCAGGAGCTAACAGGATAAAAAGGAAAAGGTCCCTGAATGTCTCTATCATTAGGTTGGGATTTTTAAAGTTTTGCTTTTTGTTGTTTCTCTATAACTGGGTTGATGTTAATACTATATGCTATTTTACAACTTACTTTTTAAATGTTACAACATGTGTTGAGATTGTTCCATATCAGTAGACATGGGCCTAGATCTTTTCTATTTTTATAAAATAAAAATAAATACAATAAAAAGTAAGTGAGTGCAATGGCGTGATCTCAGCTCACTGCAACCTCTGCCTCCTGGGTTCAAGGGATTCTCCTGCCTCAGCCTCTTGAGTAGCTGGGATTACAGGTGTGCGCCACCACGCCCGGCTAATTTTTTTTGTATTTTTAGTAGAGACGGGGTTTCACCATGTTGGTCAGGCTGGTCTCGAACTCCCGACCTCGTGATCTGCCCGCCTCAGCCTTCCAAAGTGCTGGTATTACAGGCATAAGCCACCACACCCAGCCAGGCCTAGATCTTCTAACAGCTACACAGTATGGATGTACCTTAGTTTCGTAACCATTCCACTGTTGACAGTCCACTGTTGATAGGTACTTAAGTTGATCCATTTTCTTTAAGGAAACAAAACTACAGTAAACAATCTTGTAAATATGTTTATGTATACACAGATCCCCCAAAATGGAATTTTTGGTTCAATGATTATTTACAATTTAAATTTTGATAAAAAATATCAAATTGACTTCCAAAAAGGCTATTATGATTTACACATTCATAAATGTATAAGAAAACTGTTTTTCTATCTTATTGCCAACACTATATACCATCAATTTTCATTATTCCAATCTCAAAGGCGAAAAAAAACAACTGAGTCTTGCCAAAGTTTAGAGTGTAAGCCAAAGCATGAGCAACTTTCTAGATTGTTGTTAAATTTTACAAAAAAAAAAACCCAAAAAACGATGAAGCTAAATTATCACAGCAAATGTCTGAAATCTACACCCAAACCTGGCGTTTTGCTCAGATTCTAAGACTGTGTGAGACCTTTGCAGTAACTCCTTCCTCTTTTCCCCCTCATAGTCACTTTATTGTATTTTTAATGTTTTATTTTTATGGACAAAATTGTATATATTTATAATGTACAACATTATGTTTTGAAATATATATGCATTGTGGCATGGCTAAATCAAGCTAATAAATATATGCATTACCTCACATATTTATCATTTTTATGGTAAGAACACTTAAAACCCACTCTTAGCACTTTTCAAGAATACAATATGTTAATAACTATAGTCATCATGTTTTATAACAGATCTCTTGAATTTATTCCTCCTAACTTGTTTTGTATCCTTTGACCAACATCTCCCAAACCTCCCTCCGTTCCCACCACCCCAGCCCCTGGTAACCACCATTCTACTCTCTACTTCTATGAAATCAGCTTTTTAAAGATTCTACATGAAAGTAAGATCATGTGGTATTTGTCTTTCTGTGCCTGGCTTATTTCACTAAACATAATGTCCTCCAGGTTCATCCATGTTGTCGTGAATGACAGGATCTTATTCTTTTTATGGCTATATAGTATTCTATTGTATATATAGACTGCATTTTCTTTATCCATTCATCCATAGATAAACACTTCGGTTGATCCATGTCTTGGCTATTGTGAATAGTGCTGCTATGAACACAGGAGTTCAGATACTGATTTCATTTTTTTTGGACATATGCCCAGTTGGATTGTTGGATCATATGGTAGTTCTATTTTTAATTTTCTGAGGAGCCACAATACTACTTTCCATAATTGCTGTACTACTTTACATTCTCACCAACAGTGAACAAGTGTTCTCTTTTCTCCACATCCTTGCCAATACTTCCTACCTTTCATCTTTTTGATAATAGTCATTCTAACAGGTGTGAGGTGATATCTCACTGTGGTTTTAATTTACATTTCCCTGATGATTAGTATGTTGAGCACTTTTTCATATATCTGTTGCCCATTTGTATGTCTTCTTCTGAAAAATGTCTATTCAGGTGCTTTGCCCATTTTTTTATTTGGGCTGTCTTCTTGTTATTGAGTTGTTTCAGTTCCTTATATATTTTGGATATTAACCATTTATCAAATGTATGGTTTGCCAATATTTTCTCCCATTCCAAATAACCCTTTCCTCTTTATAAATCCTTACCACTATAGCCTTTGAAAGACAACTCAAAACTCACCTCCTCCAGGAAGCCCTCCTTGATTAATTACCTTGATCTCACACATTTTTATTCTTCCTTTACTCTGATCCTTCAACACTTACATATTTAGTCTAAATTGGCTTTTAGGTTTCCCTTTGTATCTCCCAATAAGTACAGTAAGACAGGAATATAGGGGGCAATTAACCAACAGACATCAATAAATATTTATCAAACATTTATTATATTTAGTTATCCAGCCAATAGAAATTCATTTGGTGCTGTATTGAGTCCAATTTTTCTGCTTTCCCAGGTTTGCCTGCCCCTCTCCACACTGTTCCTCTGGCTGCTTGCTCAGTGTAAAGTCCCTGCCACAGCCACCATCTTCTCTCCCAACACCATCAGCTGTCTCAGCCTCTCTGTAGCTGATGGCTCTGACTCAGCCTCTGTCATGTCCACACTGCAGCAGGAGCTACACCCCTGCACCCTCATCCTGTGTAGCTGCTATTATAGAGACTCTGGCTTCTTGAACCACTTCTACATTCCAACGAAGCACCCTGCTGTGGGGTATAGGATCTGGCTTTCCCAGAGGCTGATCAGAGGGTCATGGTAACATAATCTGAAAACAGGAACTTAAAACTTAATGCGGAAACCTTGACCAGTAAGAGACAGGAGACAAGAAGGAGCTAAAAGATCAATTCCTTGCCATTCCTTCTTGTGACAGACTGTTGCAAAGTACAGTGTGATCCCAAAGACCTGTCTGCAAGACAGTGTGTGTCACAGAGCAACCAGCTGTATTTCCTTGAGAAGCTTTGGACAGCTTGGCAAAGCACTGTTAGGTATTATTTGTCTGGCTTCCCCCGTTCCCTCACTATTTTTGTCCTGGAATTCCATCTCCTCATAAAACCTTCTCAAGTGAGCTCAGATTCTGTTTTCTAGGGAACCCAGGCTAAGACAATTATCTACATAAACTCTCCACTCTACATTAGACTAGCCCTGAGAAAGGGTACAAAAGAGGCATAAAAGAAGTGAATCCTGTCCACAACAACCTCACAATCTAACTGGGGAGGCCAGACTCTACCTATGTAACAATAAGTGAAAAAGACAAAGGAATGAATGAATGTAATTAGAGGGCAAATTGTTCAGTGTTTTAGAAAATGGGAGCCATTTGATACCACTCAGTGTACAGGGCCCAGAATAAAACAAAAAGTATTCACAGAGAAGAGGAAAACCATCAGATCTCACCCACGGCAGACTGCTAGGAAGAGGGGCTTAAAAAAACGCTGGGAAGACAGAGAAGGGGGGAAGACTGCAGGGAGTGTGTTCCCTGGAGAAGAGTCACCTTGGTGAAGCCAGCACAACCACAACAGTGGGCGTGGTAAGGAGAAGCAGGGAGAGCCTGAAGGACATTGGGTTTCCCTGAACAGAGGGGCTTGCTGGGGAGCAGCAGGGTGAGTCCAGGGTTCATAGCAGAGGGCTGTGGAGGCAAGACAGAGGGGTTTGGAGGTGAAGGGCATTTGCTACTCCTCATATTACCACAGAAGAGATGAAAAAGAAAAAAAATACTCCATTTCTTAGGAGGTTGCAGTATAATATTCCCAGCTTCTCCCACACCCTCCATCACACCTGTGAGCCAACAGCACAAGGAATCTGGGGGAAGAAACAAGGTCTTCTTGGCCCTGAGCCTTCTGGTTTCCCTTTCATATCTGCCATCTGACAACAGGGGTACCTTTCCTTGGCAGGCCTGCCTGTGTGAGCAACAGCCTGCGGTGGGACCTTGAGGGTGACAATGTCTAATGGAGAAGGAGGTACCTGGAAGCCCTGTGGCCGCACGTCTAATCACTTCCCCAGTCAGCCTGAACTATAATCAAGCTGGCACTTCTCCTTCAATCTGGTTTTTGTGTCGTCTTTCTCAAATGGTGCAAACTTGGGAGGGAGGACAGGAACATTATTTAATGACTTCCTAAAACATCAAAAGGGGGCTTAGATCTGATGCAATGAGAAATGGGCATGGCAGGAAAGAAGCATGATAAAAAGAGATAATAAATGCTTCTTGATTAAATGGTTGGCCTACATCCTAATTTCTACCCATAAAAAGGAGAAGAAGGCCGGGCGCAGTGGCTCATGCCTGTATCCCAGCACTTTGGGAGGCCAAGGTGGGTGGATCATCTGAGGTCAGGAGTTTGAGACCAGCCTGGCCAACATGGCAAAACCCTGCCTCTACTAAAAATACAAAAAATTAGCCGGGCATGGTGGCAGGCACCTGTAATCCCAGCTACTTGGGAGGCTGAGGCAGGACAGTCACTAGAACACAGGAGATGGAGGTTGCAGTGAGCTGATATCACGCCATTGCGCTCCAGCCTGGGCAGCAAGAGCAAAACTCCCTCTCAAAAAACAAACAAAAAAACAAAACCAAAAAGGAGATGAGAGGGCTCCGTGGTTTCCACATGGTTGCTCTTATGTAGTTATTTTTACCCTCCAGTGTTTTTCACAGTGGCCCTCTCTGGCTTTATTTCTGTCATGAAGTTCCCTTTTCCTCTGAGAGATGCTGCAAACATTTCAGAAACATTTCACTTGCTTCTTCCAGTCCAGAAGAGTGATTCTTCCATGACAGAACGGGCCAGCTGCTGATGTGAGCCCATCCCTCCAGATCAGCATGACTAAGATATTCATCTTCATGGAGCAAGAATAACTACAGGAGATTTGAATGCTGCATTTGCTTTAAATAAAACTGCAGATGCAATTCCAGGAGTAGGATAGAGACAGCAGAAAAACAGCACATTTCTTTTATAGTATCATAGTGTCTATTTTAATCAGCATATTACAGATGTTTTGAGACATTCTAGCAAAATTGACATGGTTGACAACGCTAGACAGAACTGCCTCACGGGGGAAAAGAGGAAAAGATTAAACCACAGGCGTGTGGCAAAGGAACCTGCTTTGTCAGAACTATGCTTTGTCATCACCGCTGAGATCAGAGAGCTGTTTCTATGGCAGCAGGCAACATGTTCTGGCCAGGAGACAATCATGTAGGGATTTTTAATTTCATTTGATGTCTAATTGCCTACTACTTCGGGAAAGAGACAAATAATTAAAAAAAAAAAGTCTTCCTTAACTAGACAGACTAATACCCCCAAGGAAAAACTTGGGTTTTTATAGTATGCTTTTCAAGATTTGAATTTCATGTCTGTATAGTTGAAGGCATGGGACCTTCTCCAACAAGGCAGAATGAAACCAGTAAAAAGGAAAGGAAACTCAGATGAAATTTCCATCACTGCAGAGCAGTTCACACATCCTGTTAATTACTATTGCCATTCATAATTAAGGGAGGTTCCTCATGGATCTTACTAACCCTTCTATCAAACAGCACCTACTCTTGCAAACCATTGGAAGAGGTTGTGCTATTTATGACAGGTCCCTCCCATTTCAGATCCATGCTGTTCATTTCCCTGAGCAATTAACGGACATTACAAACACATATTCTCCAGAGAGATTCCTAGTTTGGGAACATCACTTTTCAGATGTTGCTACTGTTGTCACTGACCATTTATTTCAATGTTTTCCATCTTCCCTTAAAGAGTAAGTGATTGAATGTCTCATGATTCTCTGCTTTTGCAACATAACACGCTTCCCTCCATTTGATCAAATAATACTGGTGCTTCTAAGGATCCTTTAAGCTAATAGCCAACAGTAGCCTATTTTAATTGCTATGGAGATGTCTTAGTTTGTTTGAAGCTGTTATAACAGAAAACCTGAGACTGGGTAACTTATAAGGACAGAAATTTATTGGCTCACAATTCTGGAGTCTGAGAAGTCCAGTATCAAGGTGCAGACATCTGGTGACGACCTTGTAGTTGCGTCATCCCATGGCAAAAGGCAGAAGGACAAGAGAGAGCAAGAGAGACACAGGGAAGGGGGCCAAACTCATCCTTTTATAATAACAACAATCCTACCTATAAGGGTGGAGCCCTCATGGCCTAATCATCTCTCAACAGTCCCACCTCTTCATACTGTTACAAAGGCAATTAAATTTCAACGCGAATTTTGGAGGGGACAAACATCCTAACCCTAGCGAAAGAAAACAAATAATTTTCTGGTAACTGAGGTAAATATTCCAGCAATTTGATTGGGAGTTCATGTCATAATGAGCTATAATTTTTTCTTTTTAATTCAGATGTCCAGAACTCAACTTCTAAATCTCTGGACACTAGGCAGATGGCTCTTTCTTTTCTTTTCTTTTCTCTGCTCTTCTCTTTCTTTCTTTTTCACTCTCTTTCTTTTTTCTTTTGCAAGTTACAGAGGTGACACTGGTGTTAATACCTGGTTAAATACCACTCACGGACAGTCACTCATTGCCCAGCTTTCCAATACTATGGCAGCCCTTAAGCTGCAATGAATTAACAATTTGTACACAAAGTGGGCAACAATTCTCAATATCACAAACCAAACTGCAACCTTTTAGCCATTTAGCACTGAAAGTTGCTATCACTAACACTGAACCAATGGGATGCACCCTGACTTCAGCAGAAGAATAAAAGCATGGAGCTCTGGAAACCCCTCTGCTCTTACATCATGCCCACAGAAGCAACACCTGTGACACGCAGACCAAGAAATGACTTCTAGGTGACCAGGAGCCGTGTGGTCACTCAATTCCTTGAGTCATGGCTACCACAGGTCTGCATTTCTGTGGTCTTCCCCACAGTTCAAGGCCAGTGCAAAAGGACTTGCTGACTTGTATTTCTGGAGATTCTCTCCAGAAATTGGTAGAGATTCTCTCACCAAACAAAAGATTTCTGTGCTTCTATGAAGCACACAATATCAAAGCATCTATTGAGAAGAAAGACAAGTCCACTCACAGAATAATATGCAGGAGGGCATCTCCAGGGACACCAATCACGGCTAGGATCTTAGGACAAATGTTTTCCTGAAGAGCATAATAATAGATGGGACAAACGATGACATTCTGACTTGAAGTGGTCAGCACCACAGCCTGCCTGTGAAAGCAGCATTGGCCTGACCACACACTGGCTGGGAAGGGAGAGGTCTTTTATCTGGTATACATATTATACACACACACACACACACACACACACACACACACACACACGCACTGAAAGTTGCTATCACTAAGTATATATATATTCACCCATGTGTGAACAATTATTGAGCACGTAAGCACTTAGAAAATACACACCATCCTCATTTTCAAGTTATAATGAAGGCCCATACTTAACATGATTGATTAAAATGGTTTGATATAATTTCAACATTTTAATACAACTGTGTGGATTTTTTTCTGGCTTATTTTATAGCATAAACATTTATTTGACCATCAGTGTATAGGCTTTTGAATATGACACAAGTAACAAGTCTAATAACATCATGCCACATAAATATTCTGGGGAAAAAAATCTGCTCAAAATTTGAAAAATCGAGTGTTTCAGGAATGACTCTTCCCTACCCATAACTTCCAAAAATATCCCCTAGTCCTTCTGATATTGAGAGGCACTAACAGGATATATGTATACTTAACTAGTTTCACACACACACACAAAAAATCACCGTATGTCCGCTCTGGTTAGGGCTTATCGTATGTATTTCCTTTCATTGCCATCTGATTCATTGCTTCATCTTTTCTTTAAGTAAAAGGAGTGCCCTCATCCCCGTAACTGTTCTTAGAAGATAACGTTAGTCATTGTATTCCTACAATATGCTTCTCATCTGGCAGTTAATTTCCCCAGAGGGTACTGCAGACGTTTTATTTTCAGATAATCTCCAATTAGCTTCCTCTCTTCGTTACCCTGACCAGCTCACTTTCATAATTTTCTCCTATACATCCTCCTCCTCTTAACATATTTCTTACTTCACAGGGAAGAATATGATTTATATTGCTTTTCATTTACCTCACTTCTTTCCTGTTTACCTGCTTGCTACAGATTTTGCATTTTAATATCCAAAATCCAACATAAAATAAAGCTGCATGTTTCATCAAATGTTGCTCTTCCCATCTGAGCTCACTTTGCATTCAGTCCTTTTCTTCATGAGTTTGGCAGTATATATAGAGTTTGAGGTATATATTATATGTACTCACAAACAGGCATGCTTAAGCCATACAAAAGTGGGAGCTCACCCAGGTGCTCTCATTTCAAAGGCACTTCTTTTCTCTCAGAAAGTTACATGTCTCCACTTTCGTGTCCACACACAAAATTCCTTTATCCAAGATAAAAACTTTTAATGTCAAAACTAGAGATATAGTTTAAAGCAGAACAGGTAAATAAATAACTTAAATTTTCACTAGTGGATGAAAGTTGGATTCTTTCTTGAGAACAGGTTTTGATGTCGGGGTGAGGGTGTCCAGTAGGCATTAAGTCTGTCCAGGTGCACCTCAGAGAAGGGAAATGAGTGTATGTAAAAAGGAGAAACTGAGGCCACTGAATACACTTCACTTGGTTTTCCATTTTATGTACAACACAGTCATCTTCTAGTTATTTGGTAGCAAACCAAGAATTTACAAATTTAAGTACTTACAAATATTTTAGTTCCATCGTGTGTGTGTGTGTGTGTGTGTGTGTGTGTGTTTATTTTTAATTTTCAAGTATTTGAATCTACAAAAGAATATCCTTTCAGAACATCTGTACCCAGTTAAGGAATCTGGGAAAGAAAACAGAAGTGGACTGAAATGTGTTGGTCTTATCTTTGTCTGGCCTCTATGAATATCTTGACTGTCATCAAAAATATCTCTTTAGTAGATATTACTATAGAGATTCTGCTTTTCAGACACACACAAATCCTTGCAGACACTTGATGTCTGATGAGTGTCTCTTTTATGCATTTTGACTTCTGAGAAGGTCTCTATCCCCAAACAGTGAGCACTACTTTGCTAAAAAAAGTCTGTGTGTTCTGAATAAATGGAAACGTCTTACCAATATATGAATTGCTGATCTTTAAAGTAAATAAATAGGCGAATAGATTCTTATCCACATTTCTTCTAGCCACAAATTTTAAGGAAATCCTGCAGTCCTTTACAAGGGGGGGAGTTTCTCAGCTAGATGGAAAGATATGACGACAATTTCCCCATTCACAAAACATTTCCTGTCTCCGTAAGTACCCACTGCCCAATTACTCATTTTACACTTATTCTGTGTGAATTTACATTGTGACTTGGCATTTTTAGGCATCCGTGGTTCCTACTGATTTCCTCTGGTCCCCATTGGTTTCCTTTCTTAGGCTTTACTGAATCTCCCAAGGGCCAAAGTAGAAACCCAATTAATGCGTGCATAACCTAGATGGCTCATGCCCTTACTTTTACATTCTTTCCATTGCATGACACTGTCTTGGAGCTCTTTAAGGAAGCATCTTTCAAAATCTTGTGTGTGAGAGAGAGAAAAGACTCACAGAAGGAAATGTAGAATGGGAAGAAACTATTCATGAGGAATATCTCTTTAATATAGTAAGAGCATGTTGGTAGAAAAATAAAGACTGCTTGATAACTAAAGGTTAATAAAAACCACAACTGTTGGAAAGCAAAGACATAACTTCATTCCCCCACATACCCCAAAATAGCATACACAGAAAAGCAACTCTACATAGCCAGTTAAGAAGGATTAATTATGCCTCTACCATGAGCTCAACATTATGGTAGGTGCTTAGCGAAAAAAAGACTATAAGTGTAGATGTATATATGTGTGTGTATAAAACGTGTAAAACAATATAAAAGAATAATATCTTATGTTAGATGGAGTGGAATAGGCTGAAAGCATTAGGAGAGAAATTAGTGTGAGCCGGATATTAGTATATTTTAGCTAATTTGCAAAAACTCATCTTTGACTAGTCATGCTAAAGTATTGCCTATAATATCACATGCCATTTATCAATGTTTACATGTCTCATGATCATATATTCAAATGTTGATAATTATTCAATAATATAGACCATTGCAAGACTAAGTCACCCCCAATGAGAAATGTAATTCAAACCTGTAAACCTACTGAAAATGGACTGAAATAAAGAATGTGAATGCATTTTGTAGAAGGAAAAGTATTATTCATGAAGTAGATATTAGAATCATTATTACTATTGTCATCTTTCTCATAAGATTACTTGAAGAAAAAAAAGTACAAAGTTAAAATACAAAATGATGTCAATTCTGTTTATTAAATAAAAGAGGCAGGTATTGTTTTCCCTGTATTCCAGATAAGGAACTGAAGCTATTCAATCTACAACTTAAGAAAAATCAATTGGGTAGCAACCACTGACAGAGTAAATCATTTTGTTCTTCAATCATCTTGTATTTCTGACCAAACTGCACAGTTTATTTTGAGAACTCTGTGGTTTTAGTTTAGGATTTTAGGAGTCTAGAGAGACTTCTGACCTGCCCTGTGGAGATTAACGACATACTTAATTCTGTTTGTCTAACAGCAGGCAAAAGATCTGACTAGCAGAATGGCAGCAACCTTTTCCACTAAAACGAAGGTATGTTTATGGCATGCCACATACAGTGGAACAGTAGTCAAAATAGTCAAAACAGGTCTATTGGAAGTGGGGATTCCAACCTCCTCCACAGCAAAATACATTTCATTGATAACACCTCCTCCAAGAGCCACTTCACGAGTTCTTAGGTCAGAGTATGCTCCTCCCTTCTGTCTCTCTTCTCTAAGCTGCAATACCAGTCACACAGCCTTCAAGCTCTATGTTCCATTCTACAATAAATGTTTCAAATAAATTCCAACATGACTTAATGTTCTAAGCTTAAAATGCCATGTTATAGTAGCTAACATTTATTTAGTGCTATATGCCAGGCAGTGCAGTAAACACTTTACATGGATTATCTTATTTCATCAACTGTTTTGGGAGGTGGGACTATTATTACCCCATTTTCACACATTAAAAAAACAATGCCAAAGAAACTAAAAATCTTGCTGAAGGTCACCCAGCTAAGTCACTTACTGAATACTCACTTACTGTATCCCTTTGGCCCAAGCTCTTTTATGTATATGAAATCTTTCAAACAAACTGAGACGCAGAGTGTGTAATATAAAATACATCACCCAACTTTGACAAGTACACTTAAAGTAAAAGATACAGGTCATCCTTTACATAAAGATACATTTTAAAGTATAATGGGGTTTCTCAATCAAAAAGAAAAGGGCAATAGGAAGCTGAGGACTGAAGTGAATCTACACCCCCATAAAGAAAGTCCTACTAAGAACAGTGCCAGGCATTGAGAAGGTGCTTAATAAAATTTCACTGAACATGTAACAATATTTTCCTTTCTAAATATATAAAAGAGGCCAGAGAAGATAATCTGAATAAAAACATGATGGTCCAATGAGGAGCAATTCAGCCACGTTCTGTAGTGAAAGAGTTACCCTTTCCCACCTGCCCTGACTCCCACCTTCCCTGGCTGCAGTAGGGTGGTCCTCTCATTTCAGCCCCCCATCTTAGCCTCCAGGAGCCAAGAGAAGGGGCCACTGCACAGGCTGAGTGCAGGGGAAAGCATCCTGCCTCCTGCCCAGGGAAACCTAGGCAGGATGTGAAATAGAGTTAAAGACAGTGGTTACCTCTGGAGAGAAGGGAGGGGGATATAGTTGAGGATGGGACTTGAGAGCTATTGGTGACTTTCTGCATCTTCAGCTTGGTAGAGAGGACGGTGATTCTCATTATGTCCCTCTTTATCTTTTTGCATATATGGAATAATGAAATATGTACATAATACAAAGATCAGAGGTAGCTGAGGGGAGAAAGGATAGTGAGTCAGGAAAGGAAGTAAATGAAAGCATAAGAAAGATGAAAAGTAAGAAGGAAGGGAAAGTGAAGGAGAAAGAGTCAGGTGGATTGGGTAGTAAGGGAAGACTGAGGCAAGAACACAGCCTTCAGCAAGGATCTCTTAACAAAAGTGGGGATGGGGGTGGAAATCACCTGATTCAGAGAGAAAAGGAAGAGGCACACATAAAATGAGAAAATCATGAGTGAATGACGAGATAAAAATAAAAGGTAACTTCAAATATGACTATGTGCTTTGAGCTTGCTTTAAAAGAGAACTTCAGCAGTGGGAACAGAAAAGGTTTGACTGATGAGGTAAGTTCCAAAATACAAAACCAAGAAGCACCTCAGTCGTTGCATAAGTCTATATTCCAGCTAACAAAGATACATGTTAATACTTTAAGCTCTGAACTTCATTTTTGGTGGCAATCATGCTAAAACATATTACACTTCATGACCTTCTTAAACAGAATCTGACCTGTTCTCTACCACTCGGTGTCATCACCAAGAACCTGGGTGATAACACTCAGAGGCTATTGCTTGCTGTGGCAGGGCTAGGGCCCCCACCTCCCAGGCTAGAAACACCTAGCTACAGGGAAGCCACATAATTGACATATGCTGACGTCAGAGTGTTGAAATCCTTTTTCTGGAAGTTGATCTTAAAGTTTGGCCCCAATGAACATAGGGACAAATCCCACATCTAAATCTGTTAATACCACTGTCATCCCCTCTTCTCCATGTGCTTCTCCCTCTCTTCCAAAAGGAAAGCACATATTCCAAATGTGCCCCAGGGCAGTTGTTCTGATGATCAATCACACTCACCTCTTTGAGCCCACCGACCTTGGATTATGCACTCACATGAAAGAAAAGAAACCATATCCCTTCACAGCCAGAAATCTTCAGGCCCCAATGTAGCCCAGTGCTGACTGACCAGTTAGAGCTTATCAGGTTTCCTACCAGGAGTGGGGCATCGAAGAGAGCTGGTGAGAAGGGAGTGAGCTAGAAACTGCCCCCTCAGTCCCATGTAGTCTTCCTGGTGAAATAACTGAGAAGGTAGCCATTCTGTTCAGTAAGAAAGATGAGGTGCTGGAAAAACTGCCTGTGCGGTGGCTTCCTGGAAGCTCTGGAGAAGGGAAGTCGGTCAGAGGTGTGGCTAGTGTCTCAAACTGATAATTACAGTGCATCAACTAATCATTTGAATAAAGGGATGTGTTGCCTATCAGGCAAGAAAGCAAAGACATGTGGAAGCAGAAAGGGGCACTTTACACAAAATGTTAAAACACATCATTTTCAGACTTCGTAGTTTTTGTCAGTGGGGTTTACACTATTGCTCTTGATTTTTAAAACTGAATGTAGGTTAGTCCTATCTACACCTGGAGTGCAATGCTTCTCAAAGGCGCCTGAGTGAATAGTCATTTCAGTGAAATTGAATAATATATTCTATCATGAAAATATCAGGGGGGAAAGAATGTACTGGAAACTGACCTGTCTTTAAAACATGTATAATTATTAAATCCCAAATCTGCATGTTATTTTTGAGCAGCAATATGACTATAGCTCTATGAGTCCAATGTCTAATAGAATATATATGAAATATACATTACATTAGTGTATTCATTTTGTTTCATCTGCAGCCTTTCTCAAGCAGGATTCCACTTACTTCTGAAAGAATTAAGCTCTGGAGAAAATTATTTGCATGATTATTTTCTCAATTCTCTCAAGGATGGTACATAGCTAGTGCATAGATAAGAAGTTAATTCATTACATTCAATTAGTGCCTTAGGACATTAGAGTTCAGTAAAGTCTTCCCCCAACCCCTCGATTTCATGGAAATTTTTTGCAAGCATGTGCACATGAGCAATTTTCTGGGGTGAGATGTCATGGCTTTCATCAGATTTTTTAAAAGATTATGACCCAAAAGGTTAAGAACCACTTTGCTAGAATATTAGTAAGATTATAAGAAAATATGATGGTAATGGAAGAGAATAACTCAGAAGAAATGGAACATTAAAAGACAAAGTTTTATTTTCCCAACTTTTATTTCATAGATATTTCCAAATTCATTTTGATTATTTTCTCCCAATATACATGGAGACTGACACCCCTGCACAATACTAAATCCCAAAGATTTATCTCCTATGACTCTGCAAAGTGGGAATCTGGCCCCAGAAGAGATGATACATGTGCAGTATTTTAAATCAGTGGGTTTTATATGTGGTGATTTGGGAAGGCTTTCAGGTTCAAAATCATAGTGTGTCCATTTTCCTCACAATCTATTATGAGTCTGTCAAGATACAGAAATATATCCCAACAATTTTGCTGCCTCAAATAATTATCCCTGACTTTATAGTTCTTACATATATTTAAACATACTTTCATCCACCGAACAGATCCAAATTCAAGGTTATAAATTAAATTACAAAATAGCAACGACCTAAACACAAAAAAACTATCATATTGACCTGTCTGGCTCTAGAGATGATATTGGCAAACTATGTGTTGTTATTATTATCATGACAGATTAACTGTTGACACTGTACATTGTCTAGGTGCGTCCTGAACAGAAATGGCTGGAGAGTTCATGGTTCACACATCAGACAGAAGTCCAATTACTAAGGAAAGCCTCAGAGACTTCCTCTCAAGAGGGCTCTGCTTTCTCTCATTGCCACTATTGCTCCTGGCTTTCTTTCGAGTCTAGAGCAACTGGCCTAAACTGCTGTTTTATTTATGAGAAAGGAATTTTTTTAATGTATATCATACAAAGATGACACTAATGCATTCATCATTTTTAAAAAGAGATTCAGATTTTCAAGAGAGTACAGTGAATGACTCCAGGCATGCCTGAAGCAGGTCTGATTATGTCTGTGTGACTAAGAAAATAGCTACATCTCTGTCATCAGAACTACACATGAAGCAGAATGTGGTTATGTGTCTAATTTTATGTTCATTTTATGAGCTGCAGCTACACAACTCTTTCACATATTATAGTCTCTTATAAATGTATATGCACCCCTCTCCCCTAAAACTCTAGATGTTACATGGGGACAATAAAACATACCTTCTTCATTACTGTGCTCTAGGCACAAGGCTTAAACAGAGTGAGCACTTGATACTTCCCCTTTATTTTAATTGTCCAAAATAACTGGTTAACCAAATGCCTTTATAGTTCATAAAGCATTCAAATGCCTAATGCCCATAGGGAAATCCATTTTACTCTGACCAGATGAAGTCTGCACCATTTTTCTTTCTCTGAGCAGAAGCCTCATTCAGGGTAAGGCTGAAGCCCACCCCCCTTATAAAACAAGAAGGTCTAAGATGGGGGTGAAAAACCAGCTACATTGATCAGAGAAGGCCCTGACTTCTTTTCCCCATCAGCAGATTAAGACCACCTGTCATTTGGCCTGAACAAAGGGCACACAAGCACATTTTATTAAGCAAGCAAAACATGTAATTATCTCCACAACACAAAATAAATACTTTGGTATTATTTGTTGTTTTTCAAATATCTGTAAAACCAGACTTCAAAAGCCATAAATATTGAGGGAAGTGGGTCGGCAACAATGTGTAAAACACTGTGGGATGTTCAGATGATACATGCATCCTGCTTACAGCTGGCAGTTTACTATTCCTTGAACAACGCTTTCATCATCTTAGTTATTGAATCAAAGTCTGTTATTGCTCCCCATTGTGCAGTGGGGTACCAACTTTTGACTAAGGAAGTTTATTACAATTTGATCCACTTTATTCATCCAATCTACTTCTCCATATTCCAACACCGAAGCTCTGCTCTACTCAAGCCAGAGTTACTTACTGTTTCACGAACATGCCTTTCCTCTAGAATGCCCACTCTCTAGGCTCCTCACTCCAAATCCTAGGGCACCTGAAGGCCCATCTCCATTCCTTTTTCTTCTAGGAAGGCTTCTTCACCCTTGCAACCTCCAGGGATTACTTCCTTCCCCAAAGACCCAGGGCATGCATAGTCTCTTCTCCAAAACCTAGGGCTTAATTAATGAACAATACAGGCAGATAGAATTATTTCTGGTGTGCTAGTCCTCACTCAACTCCATGAGTTCCTAGAAAGCGAACACTCCCTGTGCCTCCGACAAGGCTGTTAAAGTAAGTTACTTTACAAGTGTGCCTGGCACATTACAGGTGTTTCATAAATATTTATTGAATTTAGTTATTGTTCGGCCCAATATTTCAACTTAAAGTCAAGTTTTTTGAGACATTGATTTGTTCTTCAGTACAATTTATTCTCTCCAATGGCTGGAGAGACACTTTTATGAAGATTAACAATTACAAGTACCACCAATTTTACCTTGAAGAAAAAGAATTTATTTATGATTTTACCATGCTCACTTCACTAAAAATAGCTAAACTCTACCATATTCTCTGCTTATATATAAATACTTCAAAAAAGAGATCAGAACCTTGAAATCCTTTACTCAAAAGCAAGAGATAACCATTAATACAAAAATCTTGCCAATTCTTTGTCTAGAAATTATTGGCTGGCAAACAAAAGTGATTGTTTTAAAAGTAAACAGCAAATCCAAGAAACTCCACCAAATACAGTTATTTCAATCTTGCTCTTGATTCATTGTCCTTAACTATTTTACTACCATATCTTATTTTATTTGAGTGATTAATCATCAATCAAATTTCAAGGCTCCCCTGTGGCCTCATAACCTGCCAATTAGGAAAATGAAATATCTCTGTTGCCAGAGCTTAGATCCATGACCTTCTAAAGTATGTATAATAAAAAGGGGTCATGGGTCATTAATGACAAATGGGCTTTGTGATGGATGACTAAAACCAGAGAAAGGACAAGATAAAGCAAAAGGAGAAACGTTTTAGAACTTCATAAAAATAGAAATGATATAAAAATCTAGAAATATCTTCAATGACATTAGTCACAACACCATGCTATTTATTATATTATACATATAAAAACCATTCATAGGTTTTCTACACACTGTTGAGAAAAGAAAAGGTGGCCTTTATTTTTCGCTAAAAATAAAAAACAGCTAGCATGGTGAAAAAAATTAATTACATAGCCTGTATCAGTTGTGCCTACATATATTAGTGAAAGTATACAGGTGTTGGCATTTTTGCCCTGTTTTTTCTTCCATGATACATATTTTAACATTCTAATGAAGAGGAAAAGCATGGAGACCAACCTGCTGCCCCAAGGAGTAGAGAGCGAGGGCTCTGCACAAGTGACCTTTCAGCTTGTGAGAAGACTATATGTTCCTGTGAATAAACTCACAGAGGCTGCAAACCAAACAATGCTGAGATCCTTGGACAAAAGGAAGGCAGAGGAGGAGAAAGGGCAAGAGAAATTGACAGGCCTAACAGAGAAGGGTCCCTTCTGTGGGCAAATCTGTAATACACAAAAAATAAAAGCTTTTACAGAAATTGTCCTTGGTATCAATGTAACTAGCTTTATGAAGTTCAATAAGTATGTTTAATAAAAGATGGGGCTCCATTTCTTTCAGATTTTGAAATTTTTCATACTTTTTCTTTTTCTCCCATCTTACTTCGTTTGCACTTATTTTCAGTTCCTGTTTGGTTGGCAGAAGAGTGGAGACATTAATTGATTGGAGGGCAAAATCCACAATACTTGGTAAAGACAAGAAAAAAAGTTTTTGGAATTTTGACATGCCATTGTGACCTAAAATTTTCTTTTCTTTTCTTCTTTTTTTTTTTAAAGGCTTCCAAGGATTGTCAAGGGTCCCATTTCTCCAGACCATAAAGAGGAAACTCAGTAATCCCGCACAAGCACTGTTTTGTTCAGAGGGCATGGTGAAATATACATTATGTTCTATATATGTCCTTAATTGACAACATTTAATTTTTAAAAATTTAAATTGCAAAACAATACCAACAGTCAATGTGAAGGAATCTCCTCTTTAAACTGGATTTTAAACTGGGTGTTTCTTTTTTTTTCTTTTTGTGAGACAGAGTCTCACTCTATCACCCAGGCTGGAGTGCAATGGCACGATCTTGGCTCACTGCAACCTCTGCCTCCTGAGTTCAAGTGATTCTCCTGCCTCAGCCTCCTGAGTAGCTGGGATTACAGATGCCCGCCACCACGCCTGGCTAATTTTTGTTTTATTAGTAGAGACATGGCTTTACAATATTGGCCAGGCTGGTTTCAAACTCCTGACCTCAGGTAATCCACCCATCTTTGCCTCCCAAACTGTTGGGATTACAGGCATGAGCCATTGCGCCCAGCCCGGATGTTTCTTTTAAAAATACACACTCCCCACACAAAACAAAGACTGGAATTCATTTTTACTTTGCCAATTGCAAATTATTAAATTGCAAACAATCCAAGATAAGTGTTTCAGGGTGCCCATGATGTTTCCTCACATAGGTAAGTTCCCCCAGTGACATGTACGGTGACTTTTTCATTATTCATTCAACATATATTTACTAAGATCCTAAGGTGTACTGGCTACTATTTTATGTGTTGGGATGCAAAATCTCTGGCCTGTGCAGCTTAAACTTCCACTGGGGAGAGACAAGCTAAATAAGAAAATTATGCAGTATTTAAAAAGTGGTAAGTAGAATAGAAAATGAAAACACTACAGCAAGCTAAAGCAAATCAGGAGTAAGTGGTGAGGAGGTGAAATTTAAATAGGGTCAGCAGCTTAGATCTCATTAAAAGGTGACATCAGAGGAAAAACGTGAAAGAGGTGACAGAGAAATGGACAAACAGACCTAGGGAAAGAAGGTTCCAGACACAGGGCACAGCCAGTGCAAAGGCTGATGGCAGAAGCAATGCCTGGTGTGGTCGAGGCTGGGCACAGGGGCTGCAGAGCTGAGTTGGGGGGTGCACAAGGAAAGATGAGGCCAGAGAGGCAGCAGGGGTCATGTCCAGTAGTATGTTGCGGGTTTGGTTTGTTTTCGTTTTTGGTAAGAATCTTGCTTTTTCTAAGAGGAGTGGGTTGGTATTAAAGTTATTTACAGTGTCATGATCTTACTTTCATTGTTAGAGGATCCTCTGTTTGCTATGTTGAGAAGATGTAGCACCAAGGATAAAAGTAGAGAGAACAGGAGGCTCTCACAATATCCAGGCATGAGACCACAGTGGCTTGATCCGGGATAGAACTAGTGGTGATGGAGGGAAGGGGTCCACTTCCAGATATATTCAGAAGGTAGAACAAACAGGGATCTCCCGATAGATTAGATGTAGGGTATGGAAGAAAGGAAGGAGTCAAGCATAACTTCAAAAATTTTGACCCATGCAAGTGAAAGGACGGGGCTGCCAGAAACTGAGATGAAGCAAGTCCAGGCTGGGGAGAAGAGCAGGCAATCAGTTTGGAAAACATTAAATACAAAATACTTCTTTTAATATATCTAGTGGCTAGAACCAAGTAAATTCAAATATTCTCTCAGTCATCCAAAATAATTAGCTATGTACACACACACACCTCTTTGCCTGTGAATATTCTCATTTCTCTGCCTAAGATGCCCTTTTACCTCCTTTCAGTCTGGCAAACTTCTAATTATTTTCCAAGAGCCAGGTCAAAAACCACTTCCTCTGTGGTGATTTTAACAACTTTCCTAGGAAGAGGTAGCCATGGCTACCTCTGTTCTTCAACAGCGTTTGGTAGCTGCTGAAACTCCAGCACCCAACCCATACTGCACTGTAAGGTTTTGCTTGCAGGTTCCTCTTTCTTCTGAACTGAAAATCCATAAGCTCCAGGTGCATGGATCATTGAGGTGTCCCCTAGTGTATTAATTAGGATAAGTCATGCCTGTCATGTACATGTTTGCTGAATGAATAAATAAACAATACTAATATTTGCCACCATCTTTCACTTTTTCAAGGCATTCTGACTTATTACCTCATTTTCTCTCCATAATAATCCTGAGAAGAAAGGGCAGCATTGTTTATGTCAGCAGGGAAAATGAAGCTCAGAGAGCTTGACTTGCCCAAGGTCATGTTATTTCATGGCAGACTGATCTCCAGCCAAAGCCTCCTCCTGTCTCTTTGTCCAGTGCTTTTTCCACTAGACCGTGCCACTTCCACTGCCACAGGGTCTGGTCATGCTGCCAACATCAGCACCCTCCCTGCCATTACATACATCTTGTGTTTGGGAAATCTAGACCTTGCATGGCACTGTGGCAAAGGCTTCAGCAGCTCCTCAACAATTGACTACTGTCTTTAGTTTTGATCATGATTCATAATTCCTGTCAAAAGAGCAGAGGACAGTAATGGCATCAAATTCACAGGACTGGCTGGGTGTGGTGGCTCATGCCTATAATCCTAGCACTTTGGGAGGCCGAGGCAGGAGGATCACTTGAGCTCAGGAGTTCAAGGTCAGCCTAGGCAACATAGTGAGACTTCATCTCTACGAAAAAAATACAAAAATTAGCCAAGCACGGTGACATGCACCCGTAGTCCCAGCTACTCAGGTGGCTGAGGTAGGAAAATCACTTGAGCCTGGGAGGTCGAGGCTGCAGTGAGCTAGGATCATGCCACTGCACTCCAGCCTGAGAAATAAAGCGAGATGCTGTCTCAAACAAATAAAAATACACAGGTTATATATTTTTAAAAGCATAACCCAAAATGGGACAAGGCATTATTTCCAAAAGTTAGTTTTAAAAGATTTATTCAGGGCTATGCAAGCCAAACCAAAAGGTAGAGGTAAGGGTAACTTGGCTTTTGTGAGTCAAGCTGTTTTAAGTACCAGTCACTTCTTTGCCCAACCTGTCAAAGTTTTAAAGTTATCAGATAGGTGCAAGTTCCAAAGGTTAGCAGGGGAGGGAAGAAGACAGGCAATGCTGCTAAGAAAGGTATTCAGGATTTTAGTGGACAGCCACTTGTGTTAGCAGTTGCTGGATTTGTTTGGATCACTGTTTTGCATGGATTGTCCTTACAGAATGTTTACCGTCTCAACCACTAAATCTTTATCCTATGTCCACTATGTCAGCTATTCTACAAGCTTTAAAAGAGGATAAGGAATAAAGAAAAGGTTAATGTCATTGATCCTTTAATATGGATTACTTAAAATGCAATTAATGGCTATTTCCACTGACTCTTCAGAGACAAGATTAGAATCCTGTAAATTATGCCAAATCATATGTTCTTCTTGTTCGAAGAATTGGTGTAACAAGACTATGGATTTCTACGAAACAGTAAGCAGGAGCATAAGCATAAGCATCTTTGCTCCAACCCTAAGTGGCTAGCTGGAACAATGGAGGATTCTCAAAGTTATAAAAAACCCAGTAAATGGACATGTTGAAAATTTGTTGACATACTTTGAGTATTTAGTGTGCACACTGAAGAGGAAATCGAAGTGTTCTCTCACACTGCAATACAGACATGGGGAAAAAAAGAAGCAGAAAAACTGGAGTCTTGGGCGAGGTGGCTCTCGCCTGTAATCCCAGCACTTCGGGAGGCCGAGGAGGGCAGATCACTTGAGATCAAGAGTTCGAGACCAACCTGGTCAATATGTGAAACCCCATCTCTATTAAAAATATAAAAATCAGCCAAGTGTGGTGGTACGCACCTATAGTCCTAGCTACTAGGAAGCATGAGACAGGAGGATGGCTGGAACCTGGGAGGCAGAGGTTGCCGTAAGCACCACTGCACTCCAGCCTGGGTGACAGAGTGAGACTCTGAAAAAAGAAAGAGAGAGAGAGAGAAAGAGAAAGAGAAAGAGGAGAAAGAGAAAGAGAAGGAGAAGGAGAAGGAGGAGAAAGAGAAAAAGAGAAAAGAAAAACTGGACTCTGTCCATTTTGTGTTTTGGCCCAAAGATAAAATAATTTCAACCAAACGTTTCCTGAAGTACCCATAAGCAGGCCTAATCATACTTGGAGCAAGAGTGCAAATGGAGGCTCTCTTTGTTCCCACCCATCCCAGTCCTGCTTCTGTGCTTCTGTGTGTAGAATCCCAGCTTGAAGGTCCAAGCTTTCCAAGCATTGTCTTCCATATCCCCTCAACTCCCAATACCTTGAGATTGCACGCCCCCACCCCGCAACCCAGCTACCTCCTAACTACCCCTCCAGCCTGTGGGTGTACACACTTGTAGCAGTCAGTCCTCTGAGACCCATTCAGGTCTTGGATATAGGCTCTGGCTCTAAGACAGGGAATCCCAGGGTCTCTAGTACCTGGATCAAGGTCTAGAAAATTGCTCCCCAAAGTGTGGTTTGGGAGACCAGCAGCACTGTTATCACCTGAGAGATTATTAGACATGAACCTCACGTTGAAATTTGATCCCCAATATGGGGGATTATTGGCCCCAATTATTCAGGCCTAAAGGAAGGTTTCTGGGTCACAGGGGCAGATCTCTAGTGAATTGGCTAATGCTCTCCCTTGGGATGACTTTTCACTGTATTAGTTCCCTCAAGAGCTGGTTGTTAAAAAGAGCCTGGTGCCTTCCCCCTACCCTCTTGCTTGCCTTCTCACCATGTGATCTCTCTGCACATGGGAGCTCCCTGTTGCCTCCCACCATGAGTGGAAGCAGTCAAGGCCCTCACCTGAAACTGAGCAGATGCCAGCACCAAGCTTCTTGTATAGCCTGCAGAACCGTGAGCCAAATAAATCTCTTTACTTTATAAATTACCCAGCCTCAAGTATTCCTTTGTAGCAACACAAAATGGACTAGAACATCATGTATGTGTTTCAAATGTATTCCTAGGCCCATCCATTCTGACGAATGAGCCTTCACAAACACACACAGTGTTATGAAGGGAACTTCTGGCATAATGGAGTGAGGAAGTTGACAAATACTCTCCCTAGATAGCCATCATACAACGGGACAAAACTGTCAAAAAATCATTTGATTGCTCTAGTAATTGACCAAAGGCACTCAAAAATCTGAACAGCATTTATTTATGACAACTATTGAACTCAGGGTCACAACAGTGAGTCTGTGGCAGTGATTTTGCCTGCATCTGCTTCCATCCCACAACCCCCATCCCCGGCTCTGTCATTAGGTAATTCACTCAACCAGGGCAGGACAGACTGTGAAAAACAGCAGCTTCACTGCACCTGCCAAAGGAGGCTCACTTGATTAGAGCATTCACAGTTTAAGTTTTTACTGGAAAGCAAACAAGAACACCAGCAGTTTAGATAGACTGAAACTGTTTGTTTGGAGAAAACAAAAAACTAGTGGATCAATCAGAGATTTATCAGAGAGTTCCAGCAGGTAAACCAAACACAGAGGGCTAGAAAAAGTGCTTCACATATACTGAGTTGACCAGGGCCACACAAATGTGTAGAAGAGACCTCAGGGGCCTAAGCCACCTACATACCCATGGCCAATGGAATGTACACACACACACACACACACACACACACACACACACACGACACAAGAGAGGACAGCTGAATGTAAGAGCTGGGAGAAGACTTGAAAATGACATAAAGTTTGAATGTACTCTCCAGCCACACACAAAACCATGAGCAGAGAGTGGAAGCCTTATTGGCTGGAGGTATTTGAGTCCAACTTTTGGTCAGTTATTGACTGACTACTGAACTATGCAGACACAGGGGCAAACCTTAAGAAACCAGGCTAATTTTTTTTTAAGTAAAAAAAGAAACTGAGTGGAGACATCAGCAATTGCACATTGCAGGGAAGACATGCCACAGATTTACTACAAACAAGTTACTAAACAAACAATAGCAACAGCTACAAATTTCTCAGGGTAGAGAAAAGCAGAAACCACAGTTACCACTACATATCTAAAATGTCAGTAGTCAATAATAACAACAAAAATTACGAGACAAGTAAAGAAAAAGAAAGTGTGACTCATACATGGTAGGAAAAAAAAAACTATCAATAGAAAATGTCCCTGAGCAGTCCTAAACAGACTTAGCAGACAAAGACTTCTAATCAGCTATTATAAATATGTTCCGAAACTAAAGAAAACCATGTTTAAAAATTAAAGGAAAATCTGATGCCAATTTCTCAACTAATAGATAATCTCAAATTTTTTTAAAGAAAACAATTGAATGGGAAATTTTGGAGTTGAAAAGATCGATACCTGAAATGAAAATTTCTCTACAGGCACTCATAGCAAATTTGAGAAGGCAGAAGAAGAAATTAGTGAACTAGAAAACAGATCAACAGAAATTATCTAATTTGAAAAACACAAAGGAAAAAGTTTTAAGAAAAATAAGCAGAGTCTCAGAAACCCATGGGACAACATCAAGCACACCAAATAAGTACCATGGTAGTTCCAAAAGCAGAGGAGAGGGGGAGAAGAGTGGGTCGAAAAATACTTGACAAATAATAGTTGAAAATCTCCCAAATTTGATGAAGCATACTAATATACAGATCTAAGAAGTTCAACAAACACTAGTCAGGAACAACAGACACTGGGTCCTGGCTGAGGGTGAAGAGTGAGAGGAGGAAGAGGAAAAGGAAAATGGTTATTAGGCTTAATACCTGAGTGATGAAGTAATCGGTACAACAAACCCCTGTGACACGACTTCACCTATATAATAAACCTGCACATGTACCCCTGAACTTAAACTAAAACTCTAGTAAGATAAACACAGAGATCTATATCTGGGCACATCAAAGTCAAACTGTTGAGAATCGAAAGGCACAGTAAATCTTAAAAGCAGCAAGATATTGGCCAGGGGCGGTGGCTTACGCCTGTAATCCCAGCACTTTGGGAGGCCGAGGCGGGTGGATCACGAGGGTAGGAGATCCAGACCATCCTGGCTAACAAGGTAAAACCCCGTTTCTACTGAAAATACAAAAAAAATTAGCCGGGCGTGTTGGCGGGCACCTGTAGTCCCAGCTACTCGGGAGGCTGAGGCAGGAGAATGGCGTGAGCCCGGGAGGCGGAGCTTGCAGTGAGCCGAGATGGCGCCACTGCACTCCAGCCTGGGCGACAGAGTGAGACTCCGTCTCAAATAAATAAATAAATAAATAAAAAATAATTCGCTCACACACGTATACCACCCTTCCTCTCTCCCAACCTTCAATTGCAAAATGGATGGGCTACAGAGATTAAAAGATTCTTCAGAAGCAGACCAACCAGTTGCAAAGTGTGAGTTTTATAAAGATTCTGAATAAGATGTAATGTAAAACCAAGAAACAAACAAATGTGACATAAATGAGAGAATTTTGATATTGATTAGATATTCTAATATAGAAATAATTTATTTTTAATTTTGTTTATGATAATGATGTGTTTATGTTCCAAAGAGCTGTGGCCTTTAAGAGATACTAAAGTATTTACAGATAAAGTGATATGCCTTCAGGAATTGGTTGTAGGTTAATTTCTTGGGAATAGATTCCAGATTCTTTATGAATTTGCATTTATTGAAGCAAGGTCATGAATACAGGGGAGCTGATTTTCTATTCTCTCTGCTTTTGCATTTAAAAAATTTTTTCATAACAAAATTTTAGTAAAGATAGTATATTCAGCTCACTGTTCACATCACAATGTTTAAAAAATAAAACACTACAAATACTTTTTAAAAAGAAAGCAGCAAGAAAAAAATGACTACCTACAGTGAAATGACAATCCAAATAATTTATGACCTCTTATCAAAAATAAGGGGAGGCAACCCTTGCATACACTGTTGGTGGGAATGTAAATTAATACATCTGATATGTATAACAGTTTGGAGGTTCCTCACAAAGCTAAAAATAAAGCTACTAAAAGATCCACCAATCCCACTGCTGGGTATATACCCAAAAGAAAGGAAATCAGTATATTGAAGAGATATCCGCATTCCCATGTTTATTGCAGCACTGTTCACTATAGCCAAGACTTGAAGGCAACCTAAGTGTCCATCAACAGATGAATGGATTAAAAAAATGTTGTACTCATACACGATGGAGTACTATTCAACCATAAAAAAGGATGAGATCCTGTCATTTGCAACAACATGGGTGGAACTGAAGGTCATTATGTTAAGTGAAATCAGCCAGGCGCAGAAAGGCAAACATCACATGTTTTCACTTATATGTGGGATCTAAAAAATCAAAACAATTGAACTCATGGACATAGAAAGTAGGAGGATGGTTACCAGAGGCTAGGAAGAGTGGGAAGTGGGGGAAATGGGTAGGGGAGAGGTGGAGATGGTTAATGGGTACAAAACAAATAGAAAGAATGAATAAGACCTATTATTTGATAGCACAACAGAGTGAATATATTCAATAATAATTTTACTGCATATCTTAAAATAACTAAAAGAGTATAATTAGATAGTTTGTAACACAAAGGATAAATGCTTGAGGGGACAGATGTTCCATTTTTCATGATAAGATTATTACACATTGCATGCCTGAATCAAAACATCTCATGTACCTCATAACTATACACACCTACTATGTAGCCGCAAAAATTAAAAATTTAAAAACAAAACAAAAAACAACGGAGGCCTGAAGGCCGTAGAATAAAATAATCAAACTACTGAAAGAAAAAAATCTGTCAATCAAGACTATATCCCACTATGATCCTTCGAAAACAAAGCACAAAAAAAACACATTTCCATGTAAACAAAGATTTTATAAAGCAATACTTAGAGCACTAAATGGAGTATTCATACATATGTAAATGTAATATAAATGACAATAATAGCATAAAAGAGTGGGGGAGGAAAAGGAGATGTATTGAAGTAAAGCTTTTATATTTTATTAGAATTAAGTTAGTATTATTCTGAAGTAAAGTAAAATAAGATGCACATTATAATGACTAGAGCAACCATTCAAAAATAGTTCAAGAAAAAAAGAATAAAAACAAATTACTGAAACCAACTCAAGGAGACATGGAAAATCCAAATAGGCCTATAAGAAGTAAAAAAAAAAAAAATTAATTAATTAATTAAGAATTTAAAATATTCCTAAAAGAAAAATTCAGGCCCAGATGGCTTCACTGGTGAATTCTACTCTTCCACAAACTTTTTCAAAAAACAGAAGCGAGAACACTTCCCAACACAATCTATAAGGCCAGTTTTACTCTGGTAACAAAATCAGACCAAGGCATTATAAGACCAGAAAACTACATATCAACATCCCTAAGGAACACAGAAGCAAATATCCTAAAATATTAACGATCTGAATTCGGCAGCACATAAAAAGCATTGTACAATATGACCAAGTGGGATGTATTGCAGAAGTTTAACATCCAAAAATCAATTAATATACTACATTAATAGAATAAATGACAAAAATCACATTATAGTTTTAAAAGATGCAGAAAATGCATTTAACAAAATCCCTTTCATGATAAAAAAAATCTCAACAAGCTAGAATAGAAGTAAATTTCTCAACTAAATAAATGACTTCTATTAAAAAATCTACAGTTAACATACCTAATATGAAAGGGTGAAAGCTTTCCCCCTAAGATTGGGAACAACGTAAGGATGTCCACTCTTACCACTTCTATTCAACACTGTATTGGAGCTTCTAGTTAGTACAATAAGGAACATAAAAATCAATGGCATCAAAATCAGAAAGGAAGAGTCAAAATTGTCTTTATTCAGAGATGACACAAATGTAGGAAATCCTGAGAAATCCATTTTTAAAGACTACTAGAATTAATAAACAAGTTTAGCAAGATACAGGATGTAAGGTCAATTTTCTTTCTATACATCACTAACAAACGATCTAAAATGATATGAAGGAAATAATTCCATCACAATAGCACCACAAAAAATAAAATACTTTAAAATAAATTTAACAAAAAAATGCAAGATTTTACATCAAAAATTCAAAGCATTGTTAAGAGAACATGAAGAAAATCTAAATAAATAGACATTAAATGTTATGAATTGGAAGATTTGATATTAAGGTAGCAATTCTTCCCAAGTTCATCTATTGATTTAATGTACTACCTACCAAAATCTTAGCACTTTTTTCCATGAAATTAACAAGTTGACCTTAAAATGTATATGGAAAACTCTTAAGAGAAAACATGTGAGTAAATTTTTGTGAAGTTGAGTGAGGAGATAAATTATTAGATACAACACCAAAAGCACAAGCAACAAAAGAAAAAACAACTACATTGAACTTAACAAAATGAAAAACTTTTTCCCTCAAAGGGCATATCAAGAAAGTAAAAAGACAACCCACAAAATAGGAGAAACATATTCACAAGCCATATATTTGATAAGGAACTTGTATCCAGAAAATATTTTTACAAAACAAACTCAATAATCAGAAGATAAATGACTCCGTTCTAAAAACCGGCAAAACATTTAGACATTTCACCAAAGAAGATACACCAATAGCTATGAGAATATGCTCCACGTTATTAGCCATTAGGGGAGTGCAAGTAAAACTACCATGAAATACCACTCCATGGTCACTAGAATGGACATAATAAAAAAGACAGGCAAGCCGGGCATGGTGGCTTACGCCTGTAATCTCAGCACTTTGGGAGGCTGAGGCAGGTGGATCACCTGAGGTCAGGAGTTTGAGACCAGCCTATCTCTACTAAAAATACAAAATTAGCTGGCTGTGGTGGTGCATGCCTGTAATCCCAGCTACTAGGGAGGCTGAGGCAGGAGAATCACTTGAACCCGGAGGCAGAGGTTGCAGTAAGCCGAGATTGCGCCATTGCACTCCAGCCTGGGTGACAGAGCAAGACTCCGTCACAAAAAAAAAAAAAAAAAAAAAAGGACAGGCAATACTAAAGATTGGCAAGGATGTCAAGAAGCTGGAACCCTCAGGCATTCCTGGTTGGGAAAGTAAAATGATACAGCCACTTTAAAAAATAGTTTGGTAATGTCTTAAATCAGAAATATAAATATACCATACAAGCCAGCAATTCCACTAGTATCTATCAAAGACAAATGAAAACATAGGGACACATAAGGACTTGTACGCTAATATTCATAGCAACATTATTAATAATAGTCTCAAATTGGAAACAGTCCATATGTCTATCCACTGGTGAATACGTAAACTCAATGTGGTATCTACATACCAGGGAATACCACTGATACGTGTTACAACATGGAGAACCCTCAAAAACATTATGCTACCTCAAAGAAGCCAGACACAAAAGATTCTATAGTATATGGTTCCATTAATATGAAATGTCCAGAAAAGGCATATACCTTAATAAAGTTGTAAAATATATTTTACAACAAAATGTTGTCCATAGTACCATAATTCCATTTTTTAATTTGGGTTACATTTTTTTTTCATTAAATGAATTAAGCCGAGGACTTAAGGAACTGATCCAACAGAAAAAAAGTTTTCTACATTCATCAACCATACCCTTTATAATTTGTTACACCAATTAATTTACAGTAATCACTTCAGACACAAGAACACAGCAGTCAACTTTTCCATTAGTTGGGTTTTACTCCTCTGTCAGCTTTCTTAGTAATGAATGGAGGCTCACTTACATTCAAAGATTTCACACTTCCAAAGACAATCTAAAGGTAACTCTACTGATTGCTCTGCTAGGGAGTGGCTCCATTTTGAGCTTCCCTCAAACAAAGTATGAGCAAAAATGTTTAGTCACATGAAGCCTCCATTTTGCCAGCTGCACACTTCCAAAAATTTATTCACCCAAAGGTCAGAAGCGGTGAGTTCTGGAGTTCTTTATGGTGTCCTGGGAATGCCTTTCAAGTCTCTGGCTGCTCACAATATTTTTGTGTGTGCTGAACTGTTATCTAAAACGAAGTATTTCCTAATTTCAGCCTACTCTGAGAACCTTCAGCTTTTAAAGAGCTTGCTGTATAAAAAACACAACAGGCCTCTGTAATTCTACTTCAGGTGCGATCTGGACACCATGAAGCACTGCAAATTCTCTAAGGGGATGCCCGTTAATGTCAACTGGATGGTTATCTTGTAGGTTTGTTGTTCTTAAGCCCAAACTTAACTGTTACCATGGAAATAAAACACAAAAGGAGTTGTCCATCCTGGAAAATAAAAACCTTTAGAATTCTCATTCAAGGAGTTAATGTTAAATATGGGAGAAACTCTTCTGCATAATGTTTTTGTGAAAAATAAATTTTTTTCCTTGAGAATATGCAAAAGTTATCTTACTATGTAACACTTGGACCCCCCAACATATAAACAAAATTTTAAAACTAATAATGTACATAATTTTAAAAATTAGGGTCATTTGCTTTTTGCAATCCTATTGACTAAAACAGCCACAATATCAGATTGCTCAAAGAACTTTAGAAGCTTTTTTCAATTAGTCAAGGATGCAATTACATTACCTGAATGTGCTGTAGATTAGATTAGACTATCTACACTTTCCTAAATAGCATCTTCAGGACTCAGTTCTCTATACAACATTCCCCTTAGAAGTTTGGGTCATAACTGTAACTCTCACCATGCAGAAGCTAAAAGTCCATTTCCTTGTTATATATCATAGTAGGATGACACAGTAATGTGCAGGAATTACGACTGAGGGATAAGGGTCAAATTCCTTGGGTTAGAATCCTAGCTCTGCAACTTAGCAGCTATGTTATTTTAATCAGCTAAACTCCCTAAGCCTCAGTTTCCTCATCTATAAAATGAGTATAATAGCATAAAGCAGGGTTGGAAAACTTTGACCGTGGGCCAAATCTGGCCTGCCGCCAATTTTGAAAAGAAAGTTTTACATGGCCATGCCTGTTCATTTACATAGTGTCTATGAGAATTTTTGGAGATATCAAATAGCCTAAAATGCCTACATATTTGTACTATCTCGCCCTTCATAGAAACAATTTGCTAGCTTCTCATATAAAGGGTTTTTGTGAAGATTAAATGTGATCATTCATTAAAGTGTTCCATATAGGTAAGCAACTAATAAATGGCAGGGATTATTGTTATTTATTAATAGTAATAAGTTATAAAAATCATTGTGATCTCATTTCCTAAAATTCAGAGAGACAACTTTACATATAATACCTCGGGAGCAGGCTGCCCATACAGTAATACCTTGGGATCAGTAGGCTCAGCCCCCTTTTTTTGATGAATTGGTCATGGAGGTGGCTGAGGTGGTATGATCACAGGATGTGATGTGCAGCTGTCAGTGCAGGGCAGAGAGCCCGGTGAGTCACAGACAGCAGCTGCCACGAGTCATCCATTCCAAGTAATTGATACTCTGCCATTCTGTGATGGAGGATCTCTTGGTCACAGGTGTATAACACATGCATATTCGTGATTGGCCCCACTCCTAACTGTGTAGAGGAGACCAAAGAGGGAGTGGGGAGGGCTGGAATTATGCTTACACGATGACCAGAGCAGGTGCAGGTAGCCACAACACAGCCTATTTCCATTTTCCAGGCAGTAACTGGTTTCCCAAGATGTATTCTGTTGTCCAGAACAGGGAATAAGATGGGGTGGTCTAGTACATAAAATTCTAAAATGTGAGTTTGATGTAAGAAAATATAGATTAACCATTCAAAGTAGTAAAAGCTGGTGATTACCAGCTGGTGATTTACCACAGAACTGGCATCACTGGTCCCATGCTAGTACATCTGCAAAATGACTTTGGTCAATCACCAAATATGACAGTGTTATCCACAAATCTTTCAAACTGTCCTTAGAACACCGTCTTTCAAGGCAAATATTTAAAAGATCTAAAGAGCTCATACTGAAACAGTGATATTCAGATACAAACTATCGCCTGTACTCTCTGCTCCTGTCTAGGGCCTTAAACATGTCAATCAATTTTCACCTCACTTCCTTGTGTGTTAAAAAGAAGCTGCGAGAATATGCATAATAAAAATAGCCATAATTCAAAATTGTTTCCTGCTGGATGTTGGTAGATTCTCATTAGTTGTAGTTGCTCCTGTCAGGATCATAAATAAATTTATGTCTGTAGCACGGAAAGAACATATTCACCAGGAGGAAACCTCAAATTGGCAAATGGTCCATGTATTAAAATGAGATCAGTGAATGACACAAACTCAGAATTGTAAAGTTCTCAGTGTTCATCCCAAGAATCTTCCTACCAAACAATCTCGTTGCTATTATTTAAAACAATTAGACCTTTTTTTTTTGTATGTCACAGTTCATTAAATGCCATACACATGACATTAATAGGTAAGGTCATTTCCCTGGAGGAGCTCACCATCCAAGACAGACAAGGCTGCCGCTGGTGGGAATGAAGAACAGACATTCACACCAAATGGGGAGACATCATAAAGGACCAGCTGAAATGGTTTTAGAGTTCACAGTATATTCAAATTAATATTCAAGTTGAATCAAAGCTCTTGACAATTCTGTTTCTCCAAATAGACAGTGGTGCTGCCTGATTATAGCTAGCTGCAAAATTCTCCACAATGCCATTTTTACCCTGCCCCACTGAAGGCTGAAGTTGTCTAAGAGATAGCTCATTCAAGGCTTTGCTTTCCTCAGCTTGAGTAAACATCAGCAACTGTAACATTTTTCATGTTGAAAGAAACCTTCTGACTACACAGCCTTGGCACCTGTAGAGACTTAAACAAAATATGTGCCCTTAAGTTACCAGGTGATGAAAATTTACACTTGATGGAGGCAGCAAAGTTGCAGCTGATTATAATCGAAAAAGGTAATCAACTAATTAAACTACCAACTTCAAACATTTGTCCAGGTAATAAAATTAATACCCTCTTCACCACTCCCAGCATCTCTGTGCCTTAATTCAAGGAATAACTTTCTAAATAGCCAATTATTATATATGTATTCCTTTGGTACACAAAGTATACAGATATAGATAGATAGATACATACATACATACATACATACATACATACATACATAGATACAGGTGTAGGTATAGATTCAGATATAGATATAGATGATGAGATAGAGAGAGAGAGAGATAGGGATACAATTGGCCTTCTGTATCCCTGGGTTTTGCATCTGTAGATTCAACCAATCACTGATGGAAAATATCCTTAAATAAATAAATAAATAAAACAATGCAACAATTTAAAATAATATAAATTTTAAAACAATATAGTGTAAGAACTATTTACATAGCATTTACATTGTAATCTAGAGATGATTTTAAGTATATGGAAGGATGTATGTAGGTTATACGCAAATACTACACCGTTTTATATCAGAGACTTGAATAGCCTCTGATTTTGATATCCTGGGGGTAAGGGGGTGGTCTGAGAACCAATCTTCCTTGGATACTGAGGGATGACTCTATAGACATAGCTATATGACACAGAGGTATGGGAAAGCTGTATTCTCTTTTTTTTTGGTAAGAAATAGGTTTAGAAACAGATGAACTATTATTGTATTCTGTATTAGTTTGCCGGGGCTGCTGTAACAAAGTACCACAAAATGGAGGCTTACACAACAGAAGTTTATTATTTCACAGTTCTGGAGACAGGAAGTCCAAGATCCAGGTGTCCGCAGGGTTGGTCCCTTCCAAGGGCTGTGAGAGAGAATCTGTTCCATGCATCTCTCCTGGCTTCTAGTGGTTTGCTGGCAACCTTTGGCCATTTTTGGTTTGTAGATCTCTGTCTTCATTTCCACAGGCCTTCTTCTACTCTGCCTATCTCCAAATTGCCTCTTTTTATAAGGACACTAATCATATATGGATTGGGGCCTAACCTAATTATCTCACTTTAACTATAAAGACCCTGTCTGCAAATAAGGCCACATTCTCAGGCACTGGGGGTTGAGACTTCAACATATGAATTTTAAAGGACATAATTCAATCCATAACACATTCCCATTTCTAAAATTCTGTGTCGACAGAGTCCAGGTCAATAATGATTACAATTTTTAATCTCCATCTCTTCACTGAGGTGCAGAGGAACAGAATAAATGCAAAATACCTCAACTGTATATACAAACCTGCTCACAAGCCACACTGCATGTATCTCCCTTTATTTCAAACTTCTAAGTACATGCAGTTTGTAAACTAGATGAATTTAATATATTAAAATGGTTTCATGCTTTATTGGTTTATGGGGTTGCTAGTTAGTCATGCCTGACACACAACAAAATTATTGACTGTCCTTTTCAAAAATATGAATGGATTATGGCTTGAAATAAAATACAATTAGATTTATGGACATTGACTGCAACTGAAAAATAAAAAGTTCCTTCTCAGAAGGACACACTGCCGACAGCTTTGCTGACTCTTATTTTATCATATTGACTCAACATGACTTTAACATATATATTATCATTTTTTGGAGAGTAAGGTTATAATTTGTGTTTTGAGAACAGTCCTATCCTGCAGCATCAACAAGGGTATCAATCTCCAGGCTGCAGTGCAAGACCACTTCATTTATTCAAAATCGAGTAGCCACATGTATTGTTAAGAATACATGATACATACGTATGCCTCAAGCATGTTTTTGGTGCAAAAAATGTCAAGTGCATTCTACCTAATAACACAGATTTACGTCATCTTTCTCTCTTAGCACTTTCATTTCATCATCATTTGTTACAGTCACATACCCCTGTGATGTAGGGTTGGGTGGTGACAAAGATTTTGTGTTTTATCTCTATTTTCTAAATAAAGAAAAGTTACTTAAGTAACTTTTCCAAAGCCATGCAGTGTATGAGCTTTCTTAATCTATGTGTAGTAGCCTAGTTCTTCTCAAATTTTAATTAATCAAAGATGTTACATAACTTTTTATTCTAGGTGTCTCTAATATGGCACCACTGCCCTGAATCCAACCCCTATAACCCACTAACTAGTTACGAAAGGCCATGCTGTAGTTCAACTCACATCTTAAGGGAGAAAGTTCCATTTTTAAAGCTACAGCATGAGAGCTTCTGATCTGTTTCACAAACCAGTCTCTTCATTTTTCATTTCAGTTCTGTGTGCCTCACTTCTGATTTCTTCAAATTCAGAGGGTAGAAAGCAATCTCAGAAAGTGCTTAACTCAGTCAGTGTGCAGCCACCCAGAGACCTCCGGAGGAAAATGACAAGCACCAGCTTCAGACAGTGAAGGGAAAGGAAAGCCACGTGCAAATCTGGAATCATCTGCCATTAGCAAAGGTAGAAAATTATAGAGGAACTCTTTGGGGTCACAAGGATGTCATTTAGACCTCCGCAGCAGAAATTTTTTAAATAGTACCCTTCTGGATTCAATGATTTCACCTGCTTGCTCAAGTGCCTAATTTAGAACCAGCAAGCAAATTACAATCTACAGAGTCCAGGCATGAAATTATAAATGTTTGGTTTCTCATGGTCTAGATCTATCTATGTCTTCAAACCAGGGCTGAGAACAAAACCCCCCAATTTTCCCCAACAAAGATCCACCTGACATTCTGACATTTTGCAATATTCATGTATTCAGTCATTCATTCTTGCACACACTCATTTATCAAATTTGGGGGCTCTCAGATACATACCACCATGCATAATGTGAAGAGCAGCTCAGGCTCCTCGCAGAACAGAGCAAGGATGGTTTCCGAAGTTAGGAGACATGGAGAAAGCTGACTAAGATAAGCAAGGGCCCCCAATGCCTGGATGACTAGTTATCTGCTTTTCTTTATCATGCAGACTCGGCCCCTCAATGTTATTTAGAGCAAATATCAAATATTTTTATACAATCGTATGTTCTCTCTGCATTTACAACCTATGTCTTTTTTTTTTTTTGAGATGGAGTCTCGCTGTGTTGCCCAGGCTGTAGTGCAAGTGCATGATCACAGCTCACTGCAACCTTCGCCTCCTGGGTTGAGGTGATTCTCCTGCCTCAGCCTCCTGAGTAGCTGGGATTACAGACGCCCACCACCACACCTGGCTCATTTTTGCATTTTTTTAGTAGAGATGGGGTTTCACCATGTTGGCCAGGCTGGTCTCAAATTCCCGACCTCAAGTGATCTGCCCGCCCAGGCCTCCCAAAGTGCTGGGATTAGCATGAGCCACCACACCCAGACCCACCTGTCTACCTCTTTACTAATTTTTATTCAGCCTTATTTGCTTAGGTTTCACTTGGTATCTATTTGCTCTTTCAACAGAGTCTCTACTTAGATATTTCTGAAAAATTTTTCATGAATTGAACTTTGATACATTACAGCAGCTCACTCATCATATAATCCTTATGCAAAGTGAAGAATCCTCTTTGATGTGAACAGTCACCCCATATGGGTTTGCCAAGTTCACTTCTTTCTTTTTTTTTTTTTTTTTTTTTTTTTAGACAGCGTCTCGCTCTATTGCCCAGGCTGGAGTGCAGTGGCACAATCTTGGCTCACTGAAACCTCTGCCTCCTGGGTTCCAGTGATTCTCCTGCCTCAGCCTCCCGAGTAGCTGGGATTACAGGCACGCACCACCATGCCTGGCTAATTTTTGTTTTTGTATTTTTAGTAGAGAGGGGGTTTTACCATGCTGGCCAGGGCGCTCTTGAACTCCTGATCTCATGATCCGCCTACTCTGTCCTCCCAAAGTGCTGGAACTACAGGTGTGAGCCACTGCGCCCGACCAAGTTCACATTTTCATATGCTAACTTTCTCAAGCTAGGGCCACCTGTACATAAAGGAACAAAACAGCTGGAAAATAGAGTGGATTTGGCTAGGAATTTAAGCATGTTACACTGAAATAACTTTAGCTTTCAATTCTTAGTAAATTCTTCTCAATACATTTCTTTTAAATGTAAATGTCTTATCATATTTCATTTTTGTAAGGTGACTTATGAGTTATTTCTATTTTATGATGTCAAGTTACTGCAATGACCCAAAGTACTACAGTAAAATATCCCTAGAATATTTCGTATTGAGTGCTATGAAGTGGAGACTATTCTCCATTAGCCAGGCAATAGCCATAAAAACTTTTATTCTTTTCCCTTTCTCTTTCTTTCAAATTTTAAGCTATTACCTTTAGAGGTAATGAGTCTGATCATGAACTCACTCCCTCTCTGCTGTTTAATGAACCCCCTCATGGTTTTAGGACAGCAGTGAACCCTTGACATCTATTTACCTTCCATTATAATTTCACATCACAGTAACTGTTACTAGAAACGTAAACATAACCATGGAGTTTTTTAAACCCCAGCACATCTATTAAAATGAAATTTACCTTAAAATTCATGAAACACACAAGGTATATATCATGATTCATGTAAAACACAACATGTCGTGTAAGTTAATATAATCATTCTGAAGTAAATTAGATGTTGTTCACATTAGAGTATTTATTATGTTGGAATTTCCATGTTACTAACTGTTCAAATATTGCCATGTCAATGTTATTTCCCTAAAAGTAGAAATATTCATTTGAATGTACTAAATATACATTTACAAAAATGGCTTTTAGCCATCATGCTACTAACATCAGAAGAAAAGACTATGTCGAGTCATTTAAGCAGTCAAAGATGCGAAAGCAAAATTTGGTGATGTTTCAACTTTCAATTTTTCAGTTTTCAAATACTACAATT
Source organism: Homo sapiens (assembly GCF_000001405.40). Lineage (NCBI taxonomy): Eukaryota > Metazoa > Chordata > Mammalia > Primates > Hominidae > Homo > Homo sapiens. Next base: position 108,448,520 of record NC_000007.14, read on the forward strand.
TTTCCATTTCCAATCGCAGTTTTACAGAATACCAGGAAGAATTTCAAATTACCCAAAATTGCTTTTTATTTCACTTATTATAATACATTCTAGTACCCTCTACCTCCTAGTAGCTGCTTTTATTATTCTAGTGATGCACACACTAGAAAACGTTTCCTACTGAAATGTTTTCAATCAGATGCTGCCTACCAAAATGAATGGAAAACCATGTGCCATATGAAAAACTTCGAGAGTAAATATAAGAGTGATGGACTCCCACCGGGAGCAGAAAGCCAAAATCACACTTCATAAATATACTTATCTGGGAAGAAAAAACACTGGTTAGACAATATTTAGGACAGATGTATCTTGTTGCACATCAAAACAATCTGTGGACAACACCACAACACTGCGATGCAATTTTACAAGGGAAGCTGGTTGGGCATTTCTGTATTTATTCAACTAGATAATAGAGGGGAAAGCCGCAGAACAGTCAGAAGAATATTTGCAATGCAATTAGGGGGAACAAGTGCATCTGAGTGAGCGCCAGACACAGGGGCCTCCCCTTAATTCACACAGTCCAATGTTTTAATGCAGCGTACAGCAGCAAACTGAACTTCCTACAGTTTTAAAACTTTTGTCAGTTAACTAGATGTTTACCAAGTGCCTCGCTTGGGCACTCAACATTTCGGGTGTGCCATCCAGCTCTATGTAGGTTGTTCCAACACCATCTGTCACTTAAGCTTCCACAGATTCACAAATTTCAATTCGAACTAATCTACTCGGCACTCAAACTGAAGCTATAATTCAAATTTCAACATGAAGCTTGAATTCCTTTTCAGTGTTCTTCAACTTTGACCCAGCTCCCCCCTCCCTTCACTGAAAAGGGCCAAGACAACAGCCCAGCAAGTGGGGCAGGCAAAACAGGCCTCCTTTGTTCACTTTTGTCCTTTCAGCTCTCTATTGAGGTAAGGGACTGAAAAGGCACACCAGGTTTTGGAAGGCAGCAGCGGACTCGCTCGCAAGCCATCCTTCCTCAAAGAACCAAAAAACTCCAGGACAAAACTCTTTGGACAGGCCACTCTTACCTTAAGGCATAATTAATGGGAGATTAGTACTTCCCCTTTCCCTTGAGAGAGAATCTGTTAGTGGTGTTGAATATGAGTCTGTAAATGTTCATCAAAAATGCATGCCATAAATCATGCCATTCAAATGCCAAGGACATCAAAAAGTGGCATGAAATTAGCTTTAAAGTTGAAATTTGGAGAAAAGATCACTACATGCTGAATACTCATACTGAATTTTTTGAATGCTCTCAGCCCACTTGAGAAAGATAAATCAAATTCATTGCATATTACCCAGTGGAAGACCTCCTACAGGATTCCCTCAGATTGCCCTAGAAATAGATTTTTTTTTTTTCTGGTTACAGTGGGTTTTGAACCAACACACTATGCACATAATAAAATTTAAACATATATATATATTCAACATATATATATTCAAAATATAGTTTCCAGCCCTTCCTACCATTATTTAATGAGAAGAATTTCAAAAGGATCATTTTTGCCTGACAGTACCTGTCATTTTCATTCTCATGTGAATTAAACCATGTTTTAGTCCAGGGCAATATGGAAGAAATTCGGAGAGCACATAATACAAGTAAGATTCATCATTCCTGTGTTCGAACTGAATATGCCATTAGGACAGTATGTGAGTACAGGAGCATTAGTGGTTATAATTTGTTCCCTTTACCACTGGCTTTTTTTTTTTTTTATCTTCACTAGCTTCTTAGTCACTTGATGGAAACCCTCCATCAGACTGTTAAAAATTACCTTTTTCTAATTTGAAATTCCAATCTTGTAGGCCAGTAAAATAGGTCAATTAAGTTGACACCACATCTTTTTTATTAGCTCAGCTAAGCAATTATAATTGGGTGGTGAAGGTTTATGCTGTCATCTTGGAAGATTCAATGGTAGGGAGAAATGCCCAATGTGGAACTATAATTTACAATGCCAGTACATCCCTAAACATTCAGCATAAGAATATTTCTATTTTCAGATATGAGGCAAATTTGCTCTTGTTCTAGATTAAAATAATAATGCCATTTTTTGGCAGTAAAAAAAGCATATTTATTTAACTTATCCTCATAGCAAAATCATTTAGCACAAGTGTATTACAGACATAGGTACTTTAATTCAACATTTTAGAAAAATACCATGAATGTATGCCATCAATGCTGGCTTATCCTGGACTTGGACTACAACACATATGCTCCACAACATCAATTTCTTGCTTTGCACAAAGTATGTAATCAATTAATACTTGTTGAAAACCATATACCTCCATATTAATAAATGTTAAACCAATAAATTAGAAATGCTGTGAATGACTTGTTCAGAATATATAGATATTAATTTACAGCTTTAAAAGATAACAGTGGCTGGGCGTGGTGACTCACGCTTGTAATCTCAGCACTTTGGGAGGCCAAGGTGGATGTATCACCTGAGGTCAGGGGTTGAAGACCAGCTTGGCCAACCTGGTAAAACCCTGTCTCTACTAAAAATACAAAAATTAGCTGGGCATGGTGGCAGGTGCCTGTAATCCCAGGTAATCAGGTGGCTGAGGCAGGACAATCACTTGAACCAGGGAGGCAGAGGTTGCAGTGAGCCGAGACTGCAGCATTGCACTCCAGCCCAAGTGACAGGGCGAGACTCCGTCTCCAAAAAAAAAAAAACAAAGAAAGAAAAAAAAAGTAACAGTGATTGCACTTCAAACCTATTAGGATGGCTATTATCAAGAAAACAGAAAATAACAAGTGTTGGAGAAAATGTGGACAAACTGGAACCCCTGCGCATTGTTGGCAGAAATGTAAAATGGTACAGCTACTATGGAAAAGAGTATAACGATGTCTCAAAAAAAAATAGAACTACCATATGATCTAGCAGTCTCATTTCTGGGTATATACCCCAGAGAATTGAAAGCAGTGACTCAGATATTTGTACATCCATGTTCATGGCAGCATCATTTGCAATAGCCAAAAGATGAAAGTAACCCAAGTATATATGACATATGAATGGATAAACAAAATGTGGCATATACATACAATGAAATATTATTCAGCATTACAAAGGAAGGAAATTCTGACACATGGATCAACCTTGAAGGCACTATGGTAAGCAAAATAAACCAGTTACAGAAAGACAAATAAATACTGTATGATTCCACTCATATGAGGTACTTAGGGTCATCAGATTCATAGACTGGAAGTAGGATGTTTGTTGCCAGGGGCTGGGGGCTGAGGGGTTATGAACTATTGTTTAATGTGTACAGAGTTACAATTTGGGAAGGCAAAAAATGTTCTGGAGAGGTATAGTGGTGATGGCTGCACACAATGTGAATGTACTTAATGCCACTGAAGTATACACTTAGAAATAGTTTAATGGCATATCTTATGTCATATATATTTTACAATAAAAAACTTAGCAAAAACATTTTTTAAATAAACATATTGCATTTGCTGCCCCATTTAAAGACAACCTGATAATGAAGGATTTACAGTTGCTGACGCTGAAGGCTGAGCCATTCCCCTATTTCCTTCCTCAGGTAGCCTTCAATTTTAAGAGAAAAAATAAAAATTTGTCAATTCATTTTGGTACATCTTCCTATTCTTAGAAACTTCAGTCAAACTCATAGAAGCAGAGAGTAGAATGGTGATTGCTAGTGGGTAGGGGAATTGGGGAGATGAGATGTTCTCACCACACATACACAAATTAACTGTGTGAGGTGATAGATGTGTTTATTAGTTTGATTGTGGTAATCATTTCACAATGTATACATATATCAAAATATCATGTTGTACATATTAAATGTATACAACTTTTACTTGTCAATTATATCTCATTAATGCTGTGGGGGGGGGAAGAAACTTCAGCCTTTGATCCCAATAGAGGCTGTTTTAAACAGAAGGAGCTTTTCATTTGCCAAGGCAGTAAAATGTTTAAGTAAAATAAGTCACTGGATTTTTGCCCTTAGCATCCAGTTCTCTCCTCTGTCCTCACCTGCCAGGAAGGTTCCTGGAAGGGATGCTTCAGGTAGGGAAGCATAAAATTTTAAGGGAAAAGCATATCTAAATGTATTTAGTAATTTTCAAATCACTTCCTCTTCATCAATCATTGCAACAGCTGAAGACTGAAGTAAAGCAGTCTTTTGATTCAAATGCACAAAACTTCCTAAAGAATATGTTAGAAGCTCTACATTCCAGTTAAATTTGCTATGGGTTACCGAGCTTCTCAGATGGTAGGTACTCTTTGAAAATGAGGATGAGATTCCAATAGCTGCTGATCTATGGTGAGAATATAAGGAAAAAGCCTCAGTGCCTCAGTGGTTACCCTTTGGGGTGAGTAATGACTGGAAGGGACCACAAGAGGGCTTTCTCAGATGTGCATTACACTGTTCCTTGATCTGAGTGCTAGTTAAGTCAATGTGTTCAGTTTGTGCAAGTTCATCGGCTATGCATTTGTGATATGTGAAAAAAACTCTGTGTGATGAAGTATGTAGCTAGATGATAAAATTAGAATTAATCTTCCCAAGGACAGATATTCTGTTTGGTCACCACTGTATCCCCACTGCCTGGAACACAGTAAATATTTATTAAAGAATGAAGGAATGAATGAATGAAATCTTTTTAACGGAAAAGCTTCCTGTAGAGTTCCATTCAACAGCTCCTATGTACATACACAATATAATATCTGTAGAGTCTATTTATATTCAATCTGTTACACAGGGAAAATTACACCTGCATGAAAGCATTATTTGAAATGATTCTTGAAATTTTCTACAGCCCAGGTGTATACATTCTCAGGACCCCCTCACACTTCTGAAGCACTTACACCTAGCGATTATTGCCATCATTGTTGTATTGGCCTCACAGGAAGTACTATTTCCAAAGATGCTTTGCTTTCTATTCACTGTTACCGTAGCATTAACAAAAATGATGTGGTGTAAGGGCAATGGCCTTCAGTCCAAAGACCTCATCACTACCCTGCATTACGAGGCTGAGCCCTATTGCAGTTGTTTTGAAACTCGAAGGATTAGTTAGATACAATGTTGCCTGAGTCCTCTAACAGCTCTAAAATTCCTGGATTATGTAAAATGTTTAGCAACTTTCCTGTAATAAAGTAAAAAGAAGGTTGAAACAAGACTATGAGTCAGTAGGATTATGAATGCAAAATAAATCAATTTTTCCAATTGATCAGTTAATTATAATTCTAAAAGCTATTCCAGAAATAGCTGATTCCACTTTGGTTCAAATTTTCCTTTTTTACTAGTTAACATGGAGCATCTTCATAAATGCCCCCACATGTTTCTATATATTTAGGAAATAGAATGATTTCCTAAGATTGGATGCTAGGGTCCTATTCAAACTCAACATCCAATTTGAGGAGTAACTCATTTGCAGTCAAAACCGTGTACAAAGGACATTCAGGGCTGGGGACCTTTTCTTTAAAGAAAAAAAAGTTTTATGAAACTTTATGATGTGCCAGGAACATCTATGTAATCACAGAGGCCCTGGTTACTAAGAACATGTTGTTCAGTGACTGTAATGGGTTGGATTGTGGGTTAACAGCCACGTACTTAAAAGCTAACAGGAATAAAAGAATATGTAAAGGAGTTACATGGGAATAAAAGGCTATTCCACAATACAGTTCTCTGAATCACAATATTGCCTGCTACTGTGAGTTCTGCAGAGCTCCGAATTAAATGGGCTTGTAATGTATCTCCCTGGTTTTGAACACTCAGTGGTTTAGGTTTCCCCTAAACTGATAAGCCTCCAAAAGGCCACAGTCTCAGTCTTGGATTGTAAAGCACAAGGACAAAAACAATCCCACTCCCCTACTTCCTAGCTGTGTGGCCTTGGGAAAGTTACTTGGTTTCTCTAAGCCTTCATTTCCTAATTTTTAAAATGGGGTTGCTGTGAGAATTAAATGAGATGATACATGTAACATGCGCAGCGCCCAGCACATCTAAAGCTCTCAAAACCGGTTGGCTATCGTTACCATTAAAGCAGCAAGTATCAGTTGCCTAACTCCATTTCAGTACTTCAGCAAGTACTGCCATTATTACAATATTTTAACAGCAGGGCATGGTTAGCACAATGCAGTCCCATAAAGCAGCCCAGCCTCCGAGGTTTGTATTCAGAGGTTACTGTGTTCCTTTCCAGGACCACCCCAGGGGGAGCTCCTGGTGCACAACCAATGCTTCCTGCCTCATTACACTTGGCTCCATCTCCTCCTGCAAAAGCCTGGGGCGAGGAAGAGCCCAGTCTCTTAGACCCGCACTTCTGAGCGTTAACCATCTGGGACTCGGAAAGGAAAAGAAAGCTTTCTTCTCAGGACAGTTCTGCGCCGGTGGTAGCCAAGGGCTGGAGCCCCTGATGCGAAGAAAAGGGAAGGAGAGAGGCGGGGTGCGAAAGAAACGCCACCGCTCGGCGCCCTCCCTCGGTGCCCGCGGCGCAGGGGCCACCCGCCAGCGTACGGGGGACGAAGATGTGGCCGCGGGCGCGGGCGGGAGGGGAGGCGATCCGGGGAAGGAAGCGGCCTGTTCGCCAGCCCCGGGGCCCGGGGAGCCCTCCAGCAGCGCTTGCGGCCCTGAGGACACCGCTTTGGGAGAAATGACGACTCCCTTGCTCACCCTACTGCGACACCCCGTCCCCCTCCGCACTCTAGCAGATGCGGGCCGGGAGTAGCTGAGCTGGCCAACCGCCTGGGACCAGGATGCGGCAGCGCCCACCCGCGCGGCGTGGAGGGGGCCGGGGGCGGCGCTCGGCGCAGATGGCGCTCGCTGCGAGATGGATGCTCCAGGGCGGGTAATCACTCCTGGCTCAACACAGCATCCCGGGCGGAGCGGATGCCAGATCCCACCGCTAAGAGCCTGGGCTGGGAAAGCAATCTTTCCAGGCAGCCCCCAGCCCGGTGCGCCGGCCCCGACAAGTCCCAGCCCTCGGAGGCAGGGCGGGGCGCAGGGACTCCCGGGACCCGCACCTGTAAGGCCGACAAAGCCCCCGCAAGCGCCCCACCCCTCTGTCCTCCGTGTCTCTCTCGTTCCGCCTCGATTCCCCGAGCCCTCTCCAGGCAGCGACTGGAGAAGCGAAGTCGGCCTCGCCCCCGAACTCCGTGGTCAGCACAGGTGTACGCACTTCCGAACAAAGCCCACGCCCAGACGTGTCCGCAGGGGCCCGAACAGGCACACGCCCGTGCGCTCCCGGCCCGGCCCCCGCGCTCCTCGCCCCGCCGGCACTGTGGCGTGACGCCCCGCGCCTCCGTGTCCAAGCCCGGGAAGCCGCCGTGCCGGGCCCGCAGGCTCTCCATGCCCAACTGCCCACGAGCAAGAGCTCTGGGCAGGGCTTCCCGGAAAGCGTGGGGTGCGGGCGCGGAGCAGAAGTTGGCCACAGGCTGGAGGGGGTGGTGGGTGCCGGCGCTGCTGGATTTCAGCTGTGCCTTCACCCAAGCGCAGGTCCCCCTGCTCCCTCTCGGCGCCCGCGGGAGTGTCGGGGGCCTGCAGGGGAGAAGGGAGTTGGAGATCTGCTTTGCCCCTCCTGCAGCGCTGCCAGCCCGGTGAGCGCTCGGCTGAACCCCGCGGCGGTGTCCAAGTGACAACGCAGCAGCCTCGCGCGTCCTCCTCCGCTCCAGCCGTCACCCCCGAGCAGGACCCAGTGTCACCGCCAGACGCGCAAGGAGCTACTTACGTTCTCGCGCCGCGCCCTCCGCTCAGCTCTGGCGCGACTGCCCAGGACCCTGGACCGCCGGTGTCCTCCGTTCTCGACGAAGCTATCCCCTCTGGCTGCTCCAGCCAGGCGGCCCCTGCGCCGTCCCCCGCGCCCGCGCGTCTGAGGCTCGGACTGCGGCGCGCGTCCGCCAGCGACCCTGGCGAAGCGAGGCTGGCCCCGCGCCGGCGCGCGCCCCCGCCGCTCCCGCCCTCTCCGCTCCCCCTCCCCGCGCCGTGCTTTTGCCCCTCCCGGCTCTCCTTAGCGTCCTCCCGTCCCCCTCCCCCGCACTCCCTGCGGGCGTCCTCCGCCTCCTCCCCTCCTGGCCAACCCCCTCTTGCCCTGCTGCTGCGACGGCAGCGAATGGGCTCCAGCCGCCGGCGCCTCGAGGGACTGGGTGGCCCCTCACCTGAGCGGCCGCCCCACCGCCAACCTCCGTCAGCCTGCGAGCGCGTGTGGCGGCGGGGGTGGGGGTGCGGGGACGGAGGGCGGGAGTGTTCCGGGGCTAGGATGGCTGGGATTTAGCTACAAAAGATGTTCCAGAAAATGGGTAGTTTTTGAATGCCACTCTCATGGGTTTAGCTTTCTGTGGGAGGTCTGTGGTCTTCTAGTTTTTTCTTTTTTAAAAAGCACTTTCTTCGAAATTCATCAGTTGGGGTGGTTGAGATTGGGTGAGTGGTTTTGGGGGTTTTGTTTTGTTTTTGCAACCGTTCTTTCCAAACACTCCCCGCCGCCCCCCACCACCGCAGAAAAAAGAGCTTTTAGCATAAGGCGGATGCTATCTATCCGCGGTAGAAACTGGGTCTTCTGGTCCCAAGGAATAGGGTTAGTTCGGATTTGCTTATTTACAAATGGGGGAGTATTATGGAGATTTTTTTTTTTTTTTTTTGGCAATGTAAATCGAGAATTAAGATTTTCCAACTGTATAGTATTTGAGTAAACACACTGCTTGCTGCATAGTTCAGGCTCCGAAGCGCACGTCTCCACTCTATCGTGGATGGTGTTCAGGATCCTTAGCCTGACCCTTGGGTCCTCCGTAATCTACTCCGGTCTGCACACAAATTACTTGTCTGCTGGGTATCACCCGACTTGACCACTTACAGCAGGCTCCAGCGCTTAGTGAGCTCAGCGGAGCCTTGATTCCTTCAGTTCTCTAATTCAGGAAAACATTTTCTGAGCTCCTCACCACCCCACCCCACCTCACCACCTCCTCCACCCCCAGCCTCCAAGGTGCTGGGGCAAGATTCAGGAATGAAAAAGAAACAGGTTCATCCTTCAAGGTCTTGACTACCCCAGTGGTCTGTTCTAACTTCAATTTGAACTTGCCCCGTCAGCTCACAGCATCTGCATGCAAGTGAGCAGCCTTCTTTTCCTTCTCCTTCTACTGCCATCCTCTCCTCCTTCTCCAGCCAAATGTGCTCTGGCCTCACAGAGCCTCCCTCGGTTCCTGAACCAGCATGATATCTGGCTGCTGGGTCATTGCACAAGTTGTTTCCACAGTCCCATCAGTGGTTCTTCTGACTCTAGTCCTTACCCAACTGCCATTCAGGTGGTACCTTGCACCTCTCAACTAATTGTCCAAATTTTCCTCTAAAATACCTTCCCCCCCGCAAAAAAAAAGATTCCATGATCCCCCTACTTGAAAGTCTGGGCTGGTGGGCTGGTTCTCTATTGCCTACAAAGTAAATTCCACATCTCCTGGTGTGCCTCTTTACAATCTGCTCCTAACTTATCTCTCCATTTTCCATAACTCTAAGCCTCTGCATGTGAGGTTCCTCCTAGCTAGAATATTGGTCCATCTCTTTTTCATTTGGCAAACTCTTGTTCATCCTTCAGAGCCTTACTTGGTTGTTACCTCCTCTGTAAGGACTATTATAATAGTGCTGGTCACCTTTTAATGATCTGTTTGCATGTCTGACTCCATAAAATTTCACTTCTTTGAGGACAATTTGTCTTATTTATTTTTGTGTAACCACATTTCTCATCAATACAAATGAAGCCACAGATAACCATAATCAACTCTCACTGCCCCATCATTTTGCCCTGTGTAAAGGACTTGAGGCCCCTCCGTTCCTTCCCCACTGCAGTAATTGCTGAGAATCCTGGGGTTGTCTTGCCTGTCCTTCCCATGTCCTTCTACTTCGTACTCTGGTTTTCCAAGATTGCCCCTCACCCCGGCCACTGAGAAACATTGATTTCTGGTCCACATTATTTTCCAGTGAATGCCACAGGGCAAACCTGTCAAGTGGGAAAATGACACCCTACTCTCTTCAGTTCTTGCCCTGGTTCTGTGTAGTAATTTATCCCCCGGGCACTGAAGCAACATTGCTTGTGTCTTCCTGTGTTACAATCTCATAAAGACCCTCTTTAAACAGCTCCTTGAACTTCTGCTTAGAATTGTTCTTTCTCTTCAGGCTCCAGTCCTGGTCTATGAAGCCAGGTTGAGGCAGACGATATTTGGTCCTGGTGAAGTCCAGGTTAGTCCTGATGCCTGGGAGACTACTTAGGCTATTGGGGGTTGCTGAAAGAATAAGGACATGAATAGAATCTCTCTCTTTTTTTTTTATGTGAGTGATGATTTCTCAGGTATAGTTTCCCTTACCTTTACAGGTAGAGTAACAATACTTAATACATAAGGTTATTGTAAGAAAGCACTGGACAGTATCTAGGACATAATAGGTGCTCAGCAAATTCTAGTTTAAGCAGTAATTATTTGATAAGATGTCTGTAATGTAAATACATGCTTGAATAAAAAGTACAAAGCCAGAAGAGAAAAAGCTCTGGAGAAGATAGGAACCACAGTGATAGTACAAAACAAAAACTAAAATTAAGTAATTTGGGGCTGGGTACGGTGGCTCATGCCTGTAATCTCAGCACTTTGGGAGGCTGAGGTGGGTGGATCACCTGAGGTCAGAGTTCGAGACCAGCCTGGCCAACATGGTGAAACCCTGTCTCTACTAAAAATACAAGAGTTAGCCACACGTGGTGGTGTGTGCCTGTAATCCCAGCTACTGGGGAGGCTGAGGCAGGAGAATCACTTGAACCCAGGAGGCAGAGGTTGCAGTGAACCGAGATCACACCACTACACTTCAGCCTGGGCGGCAGAGTGAGACTCCGTCTCAAAAAACAGAAAGTAATTTTGATACTACATAATAATTGTAATAATATAAAATTATTATATAGTTCTGATTTCCAGCTTATTACTTCAACTGCACTGCAGCTCTACATTGCTGGGGATTCATCTCCTGAGGGAATGAGCAACAGGAAGAACAAACTGAGGCTTCAAGAGGAGCTGAAATGAAGGGAGTATGGGAGGTGGGGATAGAAAAATGTTCTACAATTAGAAAGATGGCGGTGTGGGCAAATAGACTTTCTAATGCAGTCTGTTTGATCTGCTTGGTGATGCATGAGGCAGTCTGATTTGGCTGCACTTTGCTGGTGATACCCACAACTTGCCTCCTTACCCTAACTGCTGCTATCCCTTTCCCATCCCTAAGCCTTATCCTCTCCCTATTACCAAGCCTCACTCCATCTTCAAACCCAGCTGAGGACTGGGAATAAGGTCTGTGTCCTCATCATGTGATAATAATAGAATCATTATTATTATTTTCATTTATTAACTCATTTATTCTGACAAAAATTCCATTCAGTAGGCACTATTATCATTCCCCTTTTAGAAAATAAGGCAAAAAAAAGTTAAGTAACTTGCAGAGGTCACACAGTTTATCTGCAGAGATGGGATTCAAGCCCCGCATTATAACTCCAAAGTTAAGTCTTAACCAGTCATTGTGCCATGCTGTCTATCAATGACAACACACCAAAAGTTTCATTGTTTTCATAGACACATCAGAATGTCACTGTGTTAAAACAGCTACATCAGAAAGTCATGGAGCCCCCCAGTGGTACCTGCAGTGAATATGTTTTAGCCTTTCTCTTTTCCTCTACTTCTGCAGTCCTGTCTCTTTTTCTCAGAGTTCTCCCTCCCCTCTTTTCCTCTTCCACTTTTTTTTTTTTTAACGCCTTGCCTTATTTTCCATCTCAATTTTCTTAATCCACATCCATGCTGCAGGCCTCCCAGGGGAGGCAGTACCATTGGTCCTGTCCTCAAATCTAATGTTAAATTCAGCAAAACCTAACATGGACCCAGCAATGCTAGTAATGAGCCTGTTGCCTTGCTATAAAATGAAAGAATTGGACTAAGTGAGCACAGAAATTCTTTTTCAGCTGTGTCATTTTTTTTGATTCTGGTGGTAACCAAGAGCATTTTTTTCGGCTCCTCTAGTAAAACACAGATAAAACCTGGCTGAATTCTGGTAAGAATGACTGAAGCACTAAAAAAAAAAAAAAAGAAAGAAAAGAAAAAAAAAGTTCCTGTCATAATATAACAGGTTTTTTGCTAGAAGAATGGCTTATACCAGTGTCATCATTATCTTAATATAATAGGTTAGGCTGGGCAACGTGCATTAGATTTCTGACAGGCATGTGAGAAATGTAGGTATTTTTGTTTGTTTGTTTTTTGAGACAGCGTCCCACTCTGTCCCCCAGGCTTAAGTGCAGTGGCGTGATCTCGGCTCACTGCAACCTCCGCCTTCTGGGTTTAAGTGATCCTCCTGTCTCAGCTTCCCGAGTAGCTGCAAATGTAGTAATTTTTAAAGCCTTTCTGTTTGAAAGGGTATTATAACCCAATATTGTCCAAAAGCATAGTTGTTATAATGGGAGGCTTTCTAAACTGGTTCCCAGTGACATTCTCCTCCTGGTATTCTTCCTTATGTGAAATCTCCTCCCCTTGAGACCAGACCTACTGACTCCATTCTAACTATCAGAATATGGCAAATGTAGTGGGATGTCACTTCTTCTATTGGATTACAAATCACTCTGGTTTCTGTCTTGCTGTCTTGCTCTTTTGCTTGCTTGCCTGCTGCCCTGTTGTAAGCTGCCATATGGAGAGGAGAGGTTCTCATGACAAGGAACTGAGGAGATCCTGTGGCCAACAGCCTGTGAGGAACTGAGGTTCTCAGTCCATCAGCCCAAAAGCATCTGAATCTTGCCACAGCTATGTGAATGAACTCGAAAGCAGATATGGTGCTGGATAAAGTAGCAACTGTAGGACAGACGAGACATCGGTATGACTTGACCAAAGTTAACCTCAGCAGCTCTTAGCTCCATACCCCAGGGTCACACTGAGCTCCTAGAGCCAGGCCTGGGTTCACCCTTCACTGTACTCTACCAAGAGCTGGTCCTTTTTCCTCTTGGAAAAGTTCTCGCTGGCCCATACCTCTTGCAGACTCACAGTGGGTGATTTATTACTCACTATGGATTAGGATATGTGCCTATGTATTTGTAATATATAAATAATAGGATGTGCAGTTTCATATGTCACCTGATCAGTAAGCAATGGAAAGTTTCCACAGATGCAAAACACCAATTGCTCTCCCATGCTTCTCCTCACCATCTGCCACACCGCCACAGAATTCTATTTGCCACTCTGGTGCCATTTGGGCACGTGTCAGAACCCAGAAATTTGAAACCCATTCCTTGCCTGATGCTTAGCAACACAGCATCCCTACACCTATTGAAAATATGTAATGCTCAAGCAATTGGAGGAAAATGTGACCTTAGTGGCTGCTATATGTGGATTTCTCCTCCACTTATGAGTCACTAAGACCTTCTGCTTGGCTCAACCCACCCCCATGCTTGGGGAACCAAGTTGGAAAGAGGAGGAACATTTTCAGCGATAATAACCATGTTCCTGTAGCCAATTTCTCCATCTGTTCCTACAGTTTCTGTCTACAAGAATGTACAAAGGTTCTGCTGCATAGATTTAAGACTAGCCAAGGTCAGTGTGCAATCAGCCATTGCAGATGAGGTCATCAAGGACAGGGAATTGCAGCTCTGGAAAACAGATGCTGAGAAACACGCTGATATGTGCCCTTCATGTCTGGCTTAAGGGGGAAACAGACAACAGGTACAATGAAGACGAATTCACTGTGGAGGGAAGAAAGGAAGCGGCTTCAGAAATAATACTCGAGTATAAATGAATGATTTACTCAAAAGCTTTCTTATTTGGCTGTTTTGTTGCATTTTAAAACAGAAAAGCGATCTTAGATTAGTGCACACTGACATTCTACTGTTTATGTTTTAAGCATCAATTTAAATTTTACTTTAAGTTTTTCAATATATTTTTGAAATTGTGGTAAAATACACATAACAAAAAATCTTCCATCTTGGCCGGGCCTGGTGGCTCACGCCTGTAATACCAGCACTTTGGGAGGCTGAGGCGGGTGGATCACGAAGTCAGGTGTTTGAGACCAGCCTGACCAACATGGTGAAACCCCATCTCTACTAAAAATACAAAAATTAGCCAGGTGTGGTGGTGTGTGCCTGTAATCCCAGCTACTCAGGAGGCTGAGGCAGGAGAATCGCTTGAACCCAGGAGGCAGAGGTTGCAGTGAGCCCAGCTCGCGCCACTGCACTCCAGCCCGGGCAATAGACTGAGACTCTGTCTCAAAAAAAAAAAAACAAAAAAAAAACTTCCATCTTAACCATTTGTAAGTGTACAGTTTAGTAGTGTTGAGTATATTCACATTGTTATGCAACCATCACTACCTTTTATCTCTAGGATTCTTTTTATCTTGTGAAATTGAAACTCTATACCCACTAAACAACAAACTCCACATTCCCCTTTTCCTTCAGGCTCTAGTAACTACCAATCTACTTTCTTTCTCCATGGATTTGACTACTCTAAGTCCCTCATATAAGTGGAATCATACTGTATTTGTCTTTTTGTGACTAGTTTATTTCGCTTAGCATGATGTCCTCAAGGTTCATCCATGTTGTTGCATGTGTCAGAATTTCCTTTCTATTTAATAATATACTATTGTACATATCTATCACACTTTGTTTATCCATTCATCTGTTGATGGACACTTAATTGCTTTCACCTTTTGGCTCTCATGAATAATGCTGCTATGAACATGGGGTTATGAATATCTTTCTGAGATCCTGCTTTCAATTTTTGGGGATATATATTCAAGGTGAGATTGCTAGATCATATGGTTATTCTCATTTTTTTAAGAAAACTATTGTTTTCCATAGTGGCTGCACCATTTTACATTGCACACCAACTCTGCACAAGGGTTCCAAATTCTCCACATCCTTGCCAACACTTAATATTTTGTTTTGTTTTTGGAGAGTAGCCATCCTAATAGATGCAAGGTATTAAAATATTTTTAAATGTCAAAAATTCACAAGATACAAGCAAATTCAGTATTTTAGAAAGTCCTGCTCTACCCTGGACCCTGTGCTTTAAGAAAGCCCTGTTCTGACTCTCCTAGAGGTTATGCTACCATCTCCTCCTTCTAGAACATATCTGGGTACCTAGGATCCAAGAATTCTGTTGGGACTTGCAAAAGCCCCTTCCCCACATAACAGACAGTGGGCTGCTCTGCTGGTATACACAACAGAAAGCCTCAGAGACAGCTGATGCAAAGGTGTGGGGGTGGTTTGCAGGATGTTGATATAACTTGCTTGTGGGTTGGAAAGTTCACCCAAGGTTACTTGAAGCCTTTGAAGGCTCAGGACTAAGTCGGGTGGGCCACGGGCTGGGTGTTTCCATGTCACCACATTCTACCACAGAATTCTAAAGAGTCTAAGAATTCTAAATTCAAACCTGGACTTCCAGGTCTTTAAGATTATATGTTTGTCAAGGTAAGACAGAAAATATACCTTTTAAATATTTAACTCAAAACTTGTTACCTCCCATGGGCTCTGATGAGGGACTTTAGAGAAACTAAATGCAAAACTGGACAACAATAAAACCCATTTTGTTCCATTTGTGTCATGGTTTGAATGGTCCCCCAAACTTCACGTATTAGAAATAATTCCCAATGCAATGGGAGAGGGGTGCTAATAAGGGGTATCTAGGTCATGAGGGCTCTGCCCTCATAAGTGAATGTAGTTATGGTGAGAGTAAGTTTGTTATAGCCCAATGAAAAGATTCCATCTGACAAAATGAAGATTCCAGATTAGAAGGAATCCTATGCAGCCATAAAAAAGAATGAGATCATGTCTTTTGCGGGAACGTGGATGGAGCTGGAGGCTATTATCCTTAGCAAACTAATGCAGGAACAGAAAACCAAATACCACATGTTATCACGTATAAGTGGGAGCTAAATGATGAGAACTTATGAACACAAAGACAGAAACAACAGACACTGGGGTCTACTTGATGGGGGAGGGTGGGAGGAGGGAGAGGAGCAGAAAAGATAGTTACTGGGTACTGGGCTTAATACCTGGGTGATGAAATAATCTGTACAACAAACCCATCTGCTATAGAATTAGCAGATATTGGTCAAAAAGATTTCTCAAAGCTCACTTTCGGACAAAAGAATCCTTTTATTCTGTGCCTGGAAGGCCCATACTGAGTCCCTGTCAAGATACAAGACATGCAAACGGTATGAACGAAGTTTACCTTAGCATTAGGTGAAAGGAAATGTGCAATTTCTATTGTTTAGAAAGTCTCCCAACTCACACTGAGGAGAATGGTCCCAGTTGTGATTCTACTTACCAGCACAAGGGAGAAGCCCCATTTGATATCTTAAAAAGAAATTCTTTCAAAAAGTACATTTTAAAGCATTTTCATTTCTCCCATCTCCCTATAATTGCGTAAGGCAGATGACTCAGTTAAGCCTAACTTAAGAAAAATATTAAGGACTTATAATGTATCTATAATAGCAGCACGCTACAAGCTGTGAGGTATTTCTAAGCAGCATATGGCAAGTTGAGTTGGGAATGCATAATATAATTAGATAAAAACAAAGAAAACTATGCAATTTCAATTATTTACTGCCCAATGAGGACTTTTCCTCCTTTTGCTCTCAAACTTCAGAAAAAAGCAAATACAATAGTTTCAGGTACATGTTTTAATATTGAAATTGTGACTTTTGCAGGTGTTTTCAAATGATTGCAAGGCTTAACATTCTGGTGCATACAAGATACTTTTTTTTTTTTAAGTAACTCTTTGGTTGTGAAAATTACTCAAAAGAGGGTTGGAGTTGAGCTCTTATTCTCACTTGAGCTTGATTATGCTTGTGATGAACCAACCAGATGTAGCAGTTCTTCCTGGACACTATTGCAGACACATACCAGATTAGGACACAGCTACTTTCCCATGCTCAAAAAATTAGAATGGTAAAAACCTATATTACAAAATTCTATACTATCTAAACTTCATCAAAACCTTTGAAGTATGTATATTCTTGTAATACTCCATATGCATATGAAAATCAGATATTTGCATTATATACTAACATAGTCTAAAGTTTCACCACTTCTACCATTTTTCAGTGTCAGCTTTGGGCATTTTTTTTTCACATAATTCAACACAGGAAATGGAAGTATAAGGGCATGTTTAGATGTGTATGGATTAATTGCCTCCTGATACCAAACATGTTCATTCAAAACTAGCAAAATAACAGCACCTGTGATTTATAAAACTGTGGTTTCAATGATTAAAAAATAGAAAAAAAATTGTAGTTTTAAATAACTCTTAATTCTACTGGCATTATTTTCAAAAATCTGTGTTCTTAAGACCAAATCTGAAAGACAGAGTGCGGTAGAAATTACACTGGCTTTGTTTACCTTTTTCAATTTGAAAAATTTTGATTAAGAATTCCCTAGAGTGTTCATATGTTACCGTAAATACAAAAGCACAATGACTGTTCTCCTAGTACACTTTCAAAAATGTGGTCCAAATGTACAAAACAGAATGAAAGACACTTGCTTTTTCAAGATTACTACAGGTGAATGTGTATTCATATAGATGACACATATCTTGCCACAAAACGTTTAGTGGCTTCTTTTTTTCCTTTTTAGCATTTTGTCGCTTGGCCAAGGTATGGGCTATTTTTAATTGCATTCACGTTCTTTTTAAAATTACTTTGATAGCCAATTTAATTAAAATACTACATTAAATACTTTTCTAGACCAAGGTATGTTGGGCATACTATGCACTATAAGATGATATAACCTTCTTTTCTTCTCAGATAATTGGACAGAATTTTGGATTGCTGTTAACCACTTTATCTTTTACAAACATAGTCAGTGGTAGTGTATGCCATAAGAAAGAGTGCTACCCTATTCACAGTAGCAAAGACACGGAATCAACTTAAATGCCTACCAATGACAGATTGGATAAAGAAAAATGTGGTACATATACACTATGGAATACTATGCAGCCTAAAAAAGAACGAGATCATGTCTTTTGAGGGAACATGGATGGAGCTGGAGGCTATTATCCTTACCAAACTAATGCAGGAACAGAAAACCAAATACCATGCTATCACTTATAAGTGGGAGCTAAATGATGAGAACTTATGAACACAAAGAAGGAAACAACAGACACTTAGAGTCTACCTGATGGGGAAGGGTGGGAGGAGGGAGAGGAAGAGAAAAGATAAATTATTGGGTACTGGCCTTAATACCTGGGTGATGAAATAATCTGTACAAGAAAACCATGTGACATGAGTTAGCTATGTAACAAAGCCTTCAAATGCACCCCCACACCTAAAAGTTACAAAAAAAGAGCACTACCAAGTAGCACTTGTTAACTATTTTATATTCTATTAGATGGGTACATTTATCTTGGTTTGATCTTTGAAAATTGCCTAAGTAGTACACATCAATTATTTAAATGTGATGTAGATTAGATGACAATATCTGAAAGGATATTAAAGTGTTTGTAATTCTAGATAATTTTGTAAAGATTGCTATATAGACATGTTAATGATGTGGTTTATAATTTCCCATTGATATTGAGAAAGCAGTCAAGAAATATGACTTTTCTCGCTATCATCTCAGTGTTACTATATAAAATAGGAATAATGATGATACCTGCCTTGTAAGGTTGTTGTGAAGATTAAATGGCAATAAATGTTAGCTACAGCTATTACTGGAACATTCAACCATTTTGGACCATATAACCTGTTCCTATTCAATCAGACTGAAGTCCTTAAAATACCATCTCAAAATTTATATTGTTCAGGGGCAAGGAATGAATCTATAAGAATGTTAAAGATTTTTATCACGAAGATAAGTCAACGTTACAGTCAATACTTTATTTTTATCAAAATAATTAATTATCCAAGCTAATAATGCATATCTGTGAAGTGTAATGAATTTCAATCCACTCGCATCAAGCTGAATAAAGGTTACAATAAACAAAGCAATCAGTGTGACTTCTGAGAGAGACATTTATCAAACCTTGGACCAACACAGCCAACGGTTTAGCCTAGGGACATCTGTACTCTATGAATCTTTTTTGGATGGTACATAGCTCCTGCCAGGAACAGAACAAACTGTTTTTTTAATGTGATCCCCTCCTTCCTATTTCCTAGTCATGGAAGAGTAATTGCCATAGATTTGCTCCAAAAAAGTGAGATTAAGTGAACAGTTTGATTGTATTTAAACTTGGCAAAAAAAAAAAAAAAAGGAGGAGGACCAATGAATGCAAAAATAATTCCAGTTGGGATTGAACTGGAATGGAATTTTACAAATGGTTTATGCACCCTGACTGGGCAAAGTATACCTTTAATTTGTTGTGGAAGAAATTCATTACTTGCATTTTGTGGATGAGTAGCTCAGAGTTTCTAAAAGGGAGAAATGTTGGTATTTTGGGTGGAAGAATTATTCATGAGGGGCTGTCCAATGCCCATTGCATCCCGTAACATTTATTATCTGTCTCCTGGAGTACTTAATGCTGGCGATTCCCCCAGACAATCTCGCTTCTCCCCACTCCCAGATTTGCAAACCTTCCAAGACCACTGTGTTAATAAATGAAGAGATAAAGAGAAGTATTCACATAATTTGATGTTGTAATAATTGTTTTTCCAAAAAAAAAAAAAAAAACCCTCTGAAGTTATGAAGACTGAGAGGACATTTACTGAGACAAGTACATTTCTCCACTGATTAAACCCCAGATTTCACAGATTCAGTTTAGTAAACTAGATTTGAAGTCACTTCACAACATTCCAGGAAAGACATTCCGGGAAAGAGAGACAGGAAGAGTTGTGGCTAAGACAATGGACTGGTCCTAGCTCTATCGCTCTCTAGCTGTAATTATCTTGGGCCACTTTTTCTAACAAAGGGATAATACTGCTATTCACCTTGTAGGCTTATTGTGACAATTTAACGTAACCTGCTGAGCTCAGTTCCTGGTACTCAGCAAGCACTCAAGTGTTAGCTATGTTCTAGTCACAATACTGGCACAGACACTTGTGAAATATTCAAAAGTGTGACTAGGACCATTTCTAGGGCATAGCGGGTTAGGTACAATTCTGAGCTTCAAACTTCAGAGGTCCTAGCTACCCCACTAATCAGCAGCTCAGCTGTTACTAGTTGCTGGGGGGAAAAAGCTCAGAGGGAGCCCCTCCCTCCTACCACCAAAACAAAGTTGTGAGATTCCCCTTTATGCCCTCAGACTGCATACTTTTGTGACTCCCTTTCCCCTCAAAAGATTCCTTTCAGGCCGGGCGCAGTGGCTCACGCCTGTAATCCCAGCACTTTGGGAGGCTGAGGCAGGCGGATCACCTGAGGTCGGGAGTTCGAGACCAGCCTGACCAACATGGAGAAACCCCGTTTCTATTAAAAATACAAAAAAATTAGCCGGGCATAGTGGTGCAAAGTACTCGGAATCCTAGCTACTTGGAAGGCTGAGGCAGGAGTATCGCTTGAATTCGGGAGGTGGAGGTTTCAGTGAGCCGAGATCGTGCCATTGCACTCCAGCCTGGGCGAGAAGAGCAAAACTCCTTCTCAAGAAAAAAAAAAATGTGGTTTAGGAAGAAGTAGTGCACAGTGTAGTTATAACCCAGGCTGGGCTCTCTCTACCCTCTAGGGGAAATCCCATCTAGCTCAAATGCCTCTAGGGACAACTCTATCTGAAGTACTTTTTTTTTTTTTTTTTTTTTTGAGACTATGTCCCACTCTGTCGCCCAGGCTGGAGTGCAGTGGTGCGTGGTGCTATTTTGGATCACTGCAACCTCCGCCTCTCCGGTTCAAGCAATTCTCCTGCCTCAGCTTCCCGAGTAGCTGGGATTACAGGAGCGTGCCCAACTAATTTTTTTTTTTTTTTTTTTTGAGACGGAGTTTTGCTCTTTTTGCCCAGGCTGCAGTGCAATAGCATGATCTCAGCTCACTGCAGTCTCTGCCTCCCAGGTTCCAAGCGATTCTCCTGCATCAGCATCCTGAGTAGCTGGGATTATAGGCACCCACCACCACACCTAGCTAATTTTTTTTGTATTTTTAGTAGAGATGGAGTTTCACCATGTTGGTCAGGCTGGTCTCAAACTCCTGATCTCAGGTGATCCACCCGCCTCGGTCTCCCAAGATGCTGGGATTACAGGCGTGAGCCACCGTGCCCGGCCTAATTTTTGTATTTTTAGTAGAGATGAGGTTTCACCATGTTGGTCAGGCTGGTCTTGAACTCCTGACCTCAAGTGATCCACCTGCCTGGGCCTCCAAAAGTGCTGGGATTACAGGTGTGAGCCACTGTCCCTGGCCATGAAGTACTATTTTAATAAAGAATAGTATCTGCAACAAGAATGGAACTGAAATATTACCAGTACACCATTTACTATTGAAATAAGACTTCTGAGACACTCAGGAAAACCTGAGCATTAAAACAATTTTTATTCTATATTTAAAAAATAAGAGTTGAGGAATTTATTACATTTATAAAATAGACCATTCCTCCTCTTTGCCTTTTTGAAAAGGGCAAATATTTTACCTGTATAAGACTGAAAATTCATTTTCACATCTGTTTCTATTGCCATCTTGTATTATTTGCAGAATTTACTTTTTGGGTTCCTTTGGATAAAGCAAGCACTGGCCTTGTTATAAAATGAGGGTTATCTCAGGTGAATTACAGTTCTTCAGATAACCAGTTTCAAGTACAAATGAGGACAAGAATGGCTGAAAACTGGTGCACCACACAACTGGGTTTGCCTTTTGTTTGAGAGTGAAAAGAGCTAAAGAAATAGGGATGGTAGGTGCCATGCTACGTGGTTTATATTAGGTGTCAGTAAAAAAAGAACTGAGTTGTATATATGGGAAACTTCAAAAAAAAAAAAAAAAAAAAAAGAAAGAAAGAAAGAAGCCATGGCCAGAGTTCACTTGTGTAATGTATTATTTAAGAAAGAAATAAGCCAAGCACAAATAAGGGACATACTTAACTTCAGCTGTAAAACAGATGAACTACATCAGTTTAGGACTAGAGTGACCTTATGATGAGGTGCAAATATGTAAATATGCATAAATATTACTTTATTGTGCTTGAAATTTGCTTTATTACGAAGAATTCCCAGAAATATTCTGATTTCCAATTATTTGTTTTTTTCTTGCATTTACAAGTTGTTCTTAGTTGCATGTTATTATGTATTATTTGTGGTCTGAAAGAACTATATTATCTTTAGAAATCATTGGTAGTTTCCTATTTTATACTATGTCTAAAGTTTATATAATTCGGATGTTAGAAAATTTTACAGCTACCTTTCCTCATTTTACAAATGAGATATGCAAAGCCTACAGACATTTGCCTTCCTCAAGGTAACAAACAGAAGGGTTCTTGCAGCAAAGGCAGGATTAGCATCCAGACTCTCGACTCCACTCTTTGAACCACATCTCACAGCCTCTGTGAATTGATATTGCAAAGAAGCAATATGACTATCTGGGCAACAGGGTCTAGCTTTAGTTTGTATGTCTAAAACAAGGGGCGCTAACCTTTGTTTCATTTTTCTTAAGAAATCAAAACATTCCATGTAAGGATTTATGTGACAAATAGATACAATAAAGATGAGTTTGTTTGGCATGAACAATGTTCCATGTAAGTGCATCTTACCAACTTCCATGAAATCCAGACAGTTCAAAGGAGTTAATAAGGTAAAACAAGCCTAACTTCTTCTTTTTTTTTTTTTTTTTTTTGAGATGGAGTCTCGCTGTGTCGCCTAGGCTGGAGTGCACTGGCGCTATTTGGCTCACTGCAACCTCCGTCTCTCAGGTTCAAGCCATTCTCCTGCCTTAGCCTCCCGAGTAGCTGGGACTATAGGTGTGCACCACCATGCCGGGCTAATGTTTGTATTTTTATTAGAGACGAGGTTTCACCGTGTTGGCCAGGCTGGTCTTGGACTCCTGACGTCAGGTGATCTGCCTGCCTCGGCCTCCCAAAGTGCTGGGATTACAGGTGTGAGCTACTGCGCCAGGCAACTAACTTCTTATTTTTAAGCATACTGCTGCCAGGTGTATTCAAAGGCTAAAGGGGAGCTACATTATGAACAAAAATTAATTTTAAAATGACATTAGCCTTTTAACAACAGATTATTTAAATAGTTTATTTTTGTTAATGATAGGAATATCTCCTCAGTAAGTTCAAACCATTTTATAACAGGGAAGAATAAGCTAGTGTTAGATCTGGAAAAGTTAATATAGCATTATCTTGAAATTTCAGGGGTAAAAAGTGGTTGACTGGAACTTCACCTTTTTTAACCAAACAATGTTAAAATAAACATATCTGAATAGAAAACTGTATCTGGTTCTTTTTTATGTCAAATGTAAAATACTTTAATAGAGAAAATTCCATTTTTCTGCATCTATTTAGATGATATTACAATAAAAGGCAGTGTGGATTGGAGAACATAGCTAGTGAGAATATTAGGTAATGTAAATTTAAGAAGAAATTAGCTTTTCCATATGAAATAAAATCAATGATCACATAAATTCAACATGATTATGAGGACTAAAGTAAAAATACACAGTACAATATAGCTTTCGGTTTCTTGTTCGGCACATATATTAATATATTTTCAAACATCAAACAATATAACACCAATATCTACTAAAATCTACTAGCACAGTAAGGGTTACTAAAGCTTAGCTAATTATTAACATCTTAAAAGCCTAGTTCCCATATGAATTCTGTAACCAAGAATATTCTCTGTGCTATGCAAGCTGGTTGAAGCACCGTCTTTTTCAGGATTCTCCAGAATTCATACGTATTTCAAAGTTAACTCATGTCGAACCCCACAATTCCTTATTGAATGTGGTTGATCTTCTAAACAGACCTTCATTTATGAGAACATAAGCATATACTCATCACAATTTTGAAAAGAATGGAAGTCCTTCATACATATCAGTTTTTAATTTTATCCAATCATTAATTTTCTGCAGAGTTGTTTTTTCTTGACTTAATATTTTTGCAACTTTTTTCATTTTTTGTTCATTTCTTTCTATGTATTTCAACCCTTCCAACTGCAGCTGATCCAGCTTTTCATTTCGACTTTCATCTAGAGGTATGTTTTCACACATTACAGGATTGAATCTAAAATAGGTGTCAGGAGGTAACAGGCCATCAAGCATTATATGGACTTCTGTTAAAGCAAAAAAGAAAAGGATAAGGGGATAAGAAAAGAGGGGATAAAGTGAGCAATGAACTGTTAATTTGTCTTTATTTAAAATTAACTTCTTTTTAGGCACATTACAAAGATTCACTAATTTCATTATTCAAACTGACAGTAGAAGTAATCCATAATAATGGGTAAAACTATAAGATAAAATTCATCTTCCAAAATACATTATTCTGTGAAATTAGTATACTTCTTCTATTCTCTCTGTGCTTTTGGTCATACTGTTCACCACTGCTGAAATGCCCTTTCCAACTTTCCTTTTTTTTGGGATCAACTTCATTGACATATCATTTACATCCAGTGCAACTCACCAATTTTAACTGTATAGTTTGACAAGTTTTGACAAATGTATACACTTGTGTAAGCACAACAATAATCATGACATAGCCATTTCCATCACTGTAAAAAGTTCCTTTAAGCCTCTTTATAGTTGGTGCCCACTTTCCCTTTCCTAGAATTTCATACAAACAGAATCAAAAGTATCTACCTTCTTTTATGGACAAAATACTTTTGAGATTCATCCATGTTGTAGCATATATCAATAGTTCCTTTCTTTTCATTGCTAAATGGTGTTCCATTGTATAGATACAACACAATTTGTTCTCTGCAGTTCTGGTCTGGCTCTCTTCAGTTTTTAGCTACTAGAAATAACCCGATTATAAACATTTACACATAAGTCTTCATGTGCATATGATTGCATTTCCCTTGGGCAAAAACCTAGGAATAAAATTGCTGGTTCATATGGTAAAGGGTATGCTTATTTTAAAAAAAACCTGCCACACTGTCTTCCATTTTTGTATTCCAACCACTAATATATTAGAGTTCTCACTGCTCTACATCTTTGCCCAAAGTTAGTATGTCAAGTCTTAAGTTTTGCATTATAGAGGTAGTGGTATCTTGTGGTTTAATTTTTATTTCCCTAATGACTAATTATGTTGAGAAGGTTTTCATGTACTTATTAGTCATTTGTATATCTTCTTTAATGAAGTGTCTGTTTAAATCTTTTGCCCAGTTTTTTCACTGAATTGCTGTGTCCTATATATATGACAGTGGTGCAATCATGGCTCACCGCAACCTCGAACTCCTGGGCTCAAGTGATCCTCCTGCCTCAGCCTCCCAAGTAGCTGGGACTACAGGTGTGTGCCACCATGCCCAGATAGTTTTTTATTTTTCTGTAGAGATGGGATCTCACTATATTGACCAGGCTGGTCTCAAACTTCTGGGCTCAACCGATCCACCCAAAGTGCTGGGATTACAGGTGTGAACCACCATACCCAGCCTATTATTTTATATATATATACATACATATGTTATATGAGAATTCTCTATATATTTTGAACTTGATTATATATTATACCTCATGATGGGTCAGATGCATGTTTTATCAATATTTTAGTGTATGACTTGCCTTTTCATTTTATAAAAAGTACCTTTTAAAGAGCAGAATTTGTAATTTGAAGTCTAATTTATCTCTTTCTTTCCTTTCTGATTCATATTTTCTATGTCCTATCTAAAAAAATCTTTACCCAAGGTCATTAAGATTTTCTCCAGCATATTCTTCTATATGTTTTATAGTTTCAGCTCTTAGATTCAGGTTTCCATCTAAGATCAGGAACAGGGTAAGATGTCTAGTCTCACACCTTCCAGTAAGCATTGTACTGGAGGGTCCTTTTCAGTGCCGTAAAGCATTAAAAGGAAATGAAGGGCATGTAGATTAAAAAGGAAGTAAAACTCTATAGACAACCTGGTTGCCTATGTTGACAATTTTGAGAAAGCTATAGAAAGCTACTAGAATAAGTGAGTTTAGCAAGTTTGAAGTTATATAAGGTCAATAAGAAAAATCAGTTGTATTTCTGCATATTAGCCATGAACGACTGTGATGCATTCCAAGTTACTTTTGTGTATGGTGCAAAGGGTCAAGGTCAACGCTGTGGATACAGGTATCTAATAGTCCCGGACCATTTGTTGAAAAGACTGTCCTTTCCCACTGAGTTACCTTAGCATCTTTGTAAAAAGTCTTTTGAGTTTACATGTATAAATCAATTTCTGGACTCTCTATTACATACCATTGATTTATATGTCTATCTTTATTCAAACACCACAGTTCCTTGCTTAATGTAGTTTTATAGTCTTTAAATCAGCAGATGTAAGTCCTCCAACTTTTTTTTCTTTTTCAAAATTGTGTCAGATATTCTAGGTCAGGGGTCCCCAACCCATGGGCTGCACAGCAGGGGGTGAGTGGCAGGGCCAGTAAGCAAAGCTTCATCTGTATATACAGCCACTCTCCATCGCTTGCATTACTGCCTCAGCTCCACCTCCTGTCAGATCAGTGGTGGCATGAGATTCTCATAAGACTGCAAACCCTATTGTGAACTGAGCATGCAAGGGATCTAGGTTGCGTGCTCCTTAGGTGAATCTAATGCCTGATGATCTGTCACTGTCTCCCATCATCCCTAGATAAGACCATCTAGTTGGAGGAAAACAAGCTCAGGGCTCCCAATTCTACATTATGGTGAGCTGTATACTTATTATATATTACAATGTAATAATACTAGAAATAAAGTACACAATAAATGTAATGTGCTTGAATTATCCCAAAACCATCCCTCCCCTCCCCGCCCCCATGTGCGGAAAAACTATCTTCCACGAAACCAGTCCTTGGGACCAAAGAGGTTGGAGACCACTATTCTGGGTCCTTTGCATATCCATATACATTTTACAGTCAGCTTGTTAATCTCTATCCCTCAAAAGCCTGCTTGGATTTTGACAGGAATTGTATTGAATCTACATATCAATTTGTGATGTGATACCTTAACAATATTGAGATTTCCAATTCATGAACACAGTACATGTATTGATTTATTTAGGTCTTTAATTTCTCTCAGTAATGTTTTATAGTTTTCACTGTTCAGATCTTGCATGTAGCCCACAAATTTTAGTTTCCTTGGCCTCCTTGAACTGCAAATTTTGTTTCCACAACTCCCACTGAGACTACCCCACTTTTCTGGTGCTATAGAATAGAAACTATGCTATAGTGTAGAAACTCTTTTCAGGCAGCAAGCTGGACAATAATAGTGATGACCTCATTCATTCTCCTTTCAGAGATCGCTGTCCTATGTTACCTGTTTTCTCATGTCTGAAAATCATTGTTTTGTCTACTTTTCTAGTTGTTTAAGGTAAGAGGAAATATCTGGTCCCTAATAGTTTATGATGTCCAGAAGAGGAAGTCTTAACTCTCTTTTAAAATGTCCAAATCCTATACATCCTTTAAGACCCATATCAAGTCTACTTTATGTCTTATAAGCTGTCTACACCAATCAAGTTTTCTCATTCCTTTTCTTAATTCATAGTCTTAATCACTTACAATCATTTACCATTTATTTAGCAATTCACCACAGATTAAACCCTATAAAATTGTTGTTTTTGTGGGCCAACAGCAATGTTGTTGTTATATCTTATAACAGCAATTCTTGTTATATCTTTTTCAAAGTTAACTAAGTTTATTAAATTTTTACTCATTTGTCTTATTAACTGGAGTGCAGGTACACTGAGGCAACATTTCATGTTTCTTGAAAATTCCAAATAAGCCCATTACATGGTTTGCACAAAGTACAGACTTAACTCTTATGCGACTGCCCGACTAAAGCCACTTGTCTCAGCAAATGGCTTATGGTAAGGATATTTTATTGAGCCATCACGGAAATGTGAATCAAAACCACAATGAGATCCCACCTTACACCTGTTAGGATGGCTGTTATAAAAAAGACAAGAGATAATAGGTGTTGGCAAGGAACTGGGGAAAAGGAACCCTTGTAAACTGTTTATAGGAATGTAAATTGGTACAGCTAGTACAGAAAACAGTATGGAGGTTCCTCAAAAAATTAAAAAGAGAACTACCATATGATCCAGCAATCCCACTCCGGGTATATGTCCGAAGGAAATGAAATTGTTATTTTGAAGGGATTGCTGCTCACCCATGTTCACTGCAGCATTATTCACAATAGCCAAGATATGAAAACAACCTGTGTCCATGGATGAATGAATGGATAAAGGAATTACAGTATATACACACACACAAGAATCCTATTCTGCCTTAAAAAAGAAGGAAATCCTGCCACTTGCGACAACGTGGATGAACTTGGAAGATATTCTGCTAAGGGAACTAAGCCAGACACAGGAAAATGAGTAGTGCACAGTAACATTTACATGTGGAATCTAAAATAGTTGAACTAAAAAAAACAGAGGAGAATGGTGGTTGCCAGACACTGGGGAGTAGGGGAAATGGAGAGATGTTGGTCAAAGGGTACAAATTTTCAGTTATGACTACCTACTAGAGATCTGACGTACAGCATGGTAACTATAGTTAATAACAATGTATTAAGTTTTGTTTACTTTAAATTTGCTACGGGAGTAAATCTTAAGTGTTCTTACCAGGCACACACAAAATAGTAACTACGTCAGGTGACAGATATGCTTATTAGCTGGATTGTGGGAATCATTACACAAGGTATACTTACAATAAAACAACATGTTGTACAACTTAAATATATACAATTTTTATGTCAGTCTGACCTCAATAAAGCTGGGAGAAAAAGAGTATTTTACTGATCTGGCAACAAAATTTCAGATAGTGAAAAATCTAGCACATGAGCTTTTTTTTGGTTTTCATTCAATGAATAAAAGTCCTCAGTGGGGAGTTTAAGATTCTCACTTATGTTAATGACTTGGCCAATAATATGCTGATATGAAAAGAATGAGATTCAAATACAAGCAGCTGTTAAGTGGTAATAATTTTTTTTAATTTAGTAAAACGTTTCACCCAATAATTAAAAACAAAATAGTAAAATGAGGAAATCTAAACCTCAAGGCAAGGCCCAGTGGCCCATGCTAGTAATCCTAGCACTTCAGGAGGCCAAGGCAGGAGGATCACTTAAAGTCAGTAGTTCAAGACCAGCCTGGGCAACACAGGGAGACCCCATCTCTACAAAAAAAGGTCTGAAAAATTAGCTGGGTGCAATGGTATGCACCTGTAGTCCCAGCTACTCAGGAGACTAAGGTGGGAGGACTGGTTGAGCCCAGGAGTTTGAGGCTGCAGTGAGCTATCATTGTCACTGCGTTCCAGCCTGGGCAACAAAGTGAGATCCTGTTTCTAAGAAACACACACACACACAAACACCTCAAGGCCAAAACCTGAAATTCAACATACACTCACTGAATGCCTACTATATGCCAGGCACTGGAGTCAACAGCAAACTGGGTAAGTCAAAGTAAACTGGATAAATTCTTGCCTTGCATTCTTGTTGGACAGAAGGATAATAAGTAAACAATCAAATATGTAATATATAATTACAATGAGATAAATGCTGTAAGAGAAAAAGAGAAAAAGAAGCAGACTGAGAAATTAAGAGTGAGATGATAAGGAAAATGGAAAAGCAGTCAGGAAAGGTTTCTCTGAGGTCCCTCTGACATTTCAACAGAGACCTGAATGAAATAAGGGTCAAGTGCCTATCTGGGGAAATAGCCTTATAGAGAGAGAGTACAGCAACTGCAGAGGCCCTGAGGCAGGAGAGTTCTTAGCAAGTTTGGTGACCACCAAGAATTATCCGGTGGTTGGACACACTGTAGAGAAGGTACACACTTGAAAGAGGGTTTTGAGAAGCAGACAGACATTATTTAATTTGTTTTTGGTTTTTTTTTGAGATGGAGTCTTGCTCTGTAGCCCAGGCTAGAGTATAGTGGCACAATCTTGGCTCACTGCAACCTCTGCCCCCAAGGCTCAAGTGATTCTCCTGCCTCAGCCTTCCAAGGAGCTGGAATTACAGGTGCACACTACCATGCCTGGCTAATTTTTTGTATTTTCAGTAGAGATGGTGTTTTACCACACTGATCAGGCTGGTCTCAAACTCCTGACCTCAAGTGATCCAACCGCCTCGGCCTCCCAAAGTGCTGGGATTACTGGTATGAGCCATCGTGCCCAACCTAATTTGCATTTTAAAAGGATGACTTTGGTCTCTGTATGAAGATTAAACTATAGGGGCAGCAAGAGTAAAAGCAAGAACACATTCTCATTCCAGTTTGCCTTGACAGTATTAAATAATTGAATGTCCTTTACTCTAAATCTTTGCTATCATGTATATGTTTGAACAAATCTGACTCCTTTTGTTGCTTTTCCCTTTCTTAACTGGCTTCAGAGTCTCCAACAAAATGTTGTGCTATCCAGCTTTAGGTACTTCTCCAACAGTAAGTGGGCAAAGGTAGCACTATCTCTCAAATGGAAAACAGTCTCTGTTCTAGAGTCACCTAACAAGAAACAAGTGAGAAAGGAAAACAACAAAATGTTTCCTCCCATGTACTTCCTAAATCCACAATACAGACATATCATATGCCTTTGCAGTTAGGACCAACAAATGCCACCAAAAAACTGCTAGAATGCTAGAAGTTGAAGTATTTTAAAGCAGCAAACAAGACTAACCTTCTGTATCTGTAGCACTGTTGATAACATTAGAAAGTTTAGTTTTCAAGCTTGTGTATGTTACCGTGTTTCTCACATCACTCTCATAACGTCCAGTGCCCAGGGATACTATGCACTCTAACGGCACATCTGGCCAAAGACATTTACACTCATGCATAGCTAATGCCGAAGGGTTATTCAGAAGCAAACCTCCATCCTGCAAAATACAAGTTAAAAAAAGAAACTTTTAAAACTGACTCACGGGGAAAGCTGAACTATGTAATAAGCTAAATAAATTATTTAAAACCAAGAGGTTCCTTAAAAGTGCATTTCTTTTATAGACTACAGCTGCAAAAAAATCCATGCGAAGACTCATTGGTCTCATAAAGAAACTTTTTATTAAGTTTTCCTTTCCTATTATGAAAGTTCTTTGAACTTCTTAAATTGCTTTGCATATTTTGCTAAAAAATATTGAAATGAACGAAATTACTTTTCAAGACACATTATCTTATTTAGTGGTTAATACAGGTTCTACTTAAAGCCTAACAGAAAAGAACTGTGGTTCTACCAAACAATTAAAATTAGTTCTTCTCTCACAAGTCAAATAAAACCAAATAATTCTAAGTTAGTTCAAATTCTATCAACAATACAATTTCAATGGATCACATTCATTATAATGCAGATATAACGTAAATAACAGAATAAACCTTATATTTCTAAGTATGTATCAATATCAATATTATTTTGAAGACTTCAAAAGGAAACAAAGGTATTAATAAAATATGCTGATAGAGCACTATAAAAATGTAGTAGAGTAAAAGTAGATAAAATTATGGTCAAACTATAATAAAATGTATTGTAGAACCATATTAAAATATATTACATCATAAACATTATATTGTATTTAAAATCTAGAAAAATACACTGAGCATGGTGGCTCATGCCTGTAATCTCAGCACTTTGGGAGGCCAAGGCAGGAGAATCGCTTGAGTCCGAGAGTTCAAGACCAGCCTGAGCAACATAGGGACACCTGGTCTCTACAAAAAAATAAACAAAATTAGCCAGGCATGGTGTACATGCCTGTAGTCCCAGCTATTCAGGAGGCTGAGGTGGGAGAATTGCTTGAGCCCGGGAGGTCAAGGCTGCAGTGAGCTGAGATCACACCACTGCACTCTAGCCTGGGCGACAGAGCAAGACCTTGTCTCAAAACCAAACCAAAATAAACCAAATAAAATCTAGAAAAACATATCTGATTTAAGATGTTTTAAGTGACTGCTCAGCCTCCTTCTCCTGTTCAGCTCCCATCCATGCCAGTTAACCGTCCGCTGAGTACACGGAAAGGCATTTCTTCAGTGGTAAACCACCTGAATAAACTCGAATGATTTTTGATGTCACTGGTGCTTGGCATCTCCCTGGAATCAGCACTATCACTGCTGAGAATTGTAACAGACCTTGGAATTACCCTAGTTCAGTCTCCCACATATAGCCTTAAACAGTTTTTGACAGAATACTTAAACATTTTCAGTAATATGGTGCATACAACCTTGTAAAGCAGCTCATTTCATTGTAAAATATTTTAATTTTTCAGATTATACAGTAAAATTAACTTTTTTGGTATGCAGCTCTATGAACTTTAATGCATATAGATTTGTGTAAATATTACCACAATCAAGATACAGAATAGTTCCATCACCCCCAAAAACTCTCTCATGCTATGTCTTTGTAGGCACCCCTCCTCCCACCCATAACCCTTGACAACCACTGATCTGTTTTCTGCCACTACTAAGGAGGTCATAGAAATGGAATAATACAGTATGGGACTTCTTTAAACTGCCTTCTCTTTCTGAGCATGTCATCGAGACTAATCCAAGTAGTTGCATGTATCAATAGTTTACTCCTTTTTACTGCTGATTGTATGGATGTACCACACAGTTCATGCATTCATCCACTGTAGGACCTCTGGGTTGTTTCCAGCATTTGACTGTCACGAATAAAAAAGTTGCTATACACATGTGAGTACAGGATTCTGCATGGACATAAATTTTCATTTCTCTGGAGTAAATACGAGTGCGATCGTTGGAGCATATGGTAAGTATACGTTTAACTTTATAAGAAACTGCCAAAACATTTTCAAAGTGGTTGTCCATTTTGCGTTCCCACCATCACTGTCTAAAAGTTCCAGTTGCTCTGCATCTTATTACAGTAATACTTGGTACTGTCCGTATTATTTTAACCACTTTAACAGATATGTGGTGGCATTTCATCATTGTTTTAATTTGTGATTCTCCAATGCCTAATGATGCTGGATGTCTTTTCACACCCTCATTTGCCATCCCTTTATCCTCTGCTGAAGTGTCTGTTCAAGTCTTTGGCTCACATTGTTAAATTCTGAGAGTTTCTTATATATTCTAGATATAACTCCTTTGTTGGACATGTGAATTTGCAAGTATTTTCTTCCTGTATGTCGCTTGTCTCCTCATCTTCTTGGCAGTATATCTGCAGAGCTAAATTTTTAATTTTGATGAAGTCCAGTTTATCAATTTTTAAATTTCATGTATGATGATTTCAGTATAATTGTAAGAAGTCTTCCCCCAACCCAGGTCACCAAGTTTTTCTTCTAAAAGTTTCATAGTTTTGTTTTACATTTAGAACTACGATCCATTATAAATTATCTTTGTATAATGTGTGAGGCTTAGGTCACAATTTCTGGGGTGTGTTTGTGTGTGTGGTGGGGGTCTAGGAGAAAAGACAGGGAGAGAGAAAGATGACCAATTGTTTCAACACAATTTTTGCTGAAAAGACTATCCTTTCTCCACTGAATTGCTTTTGTATCTTTGTCAAAGATCAAATGGCCATATATGTGGGAGTCTATTTCTGAACTCTCTATTTAATTCTATTTATCTACATATCTATCTTTATGCAAATACCACTCTGGTACAGTAGCCATGACTACTGTACCTTTAGAGTAAGTTTTTAAATTGACTAGTGTGATTCCTTGAAACTTTTTATTCTTTTAAAATTGTTTAGGCCAGGTGCAGTGGCTCATGCCTGTAATCCCAGTACTTTGGGGAGCTGAGGCAGGTGGATTGCCTGAGCCCAGGAGTTCAAGACCAGCCTGGACAACACAGTGAAACCTCATCTCTACTAAAAATAAGAAACATTAGCTGGGGGTGGTGGCGCACACCTGTAGTCCCAGCTACTCAGGAGGCTGAGGCAAGAGAATCACCTGAACCAGGGAGGCAGAGGTTGCAGTGAGCTGAGATTGTGCCACTGCACTCCGGCCTGGGCACCAGAGTGAGACTCTGTCTCTAAATAAATAAATAATAAAATAGTTTAAACTATTCTCATTCCTCTGCCCTTCCATATAAATTTTAGAATCTGACTATAATTTTTGAAAAGTCCTACTAGAGTTTTGATTGGCATTGCATTATATTTATGGATCACTTCAGGAATAACTCACATCTTTACCATGTAGCATCTTTCAATAATGGTATGCCTTTCCATTTCTTTAGGTCTTCTTTTATTTCTTTCATCTTCTGTTTTCAACATACAGATTCCCTATGTTTTGTCAGATTTATATCTAAGTGTTTAATTTTTTGGATCTACTGTAAACTGTACTGCTTTTGTTACAATTTTGGTTTCCAATTATTCTTTGCTTGTATATAGGAATATAATTGATTCTCCCAAGTAGTTTTCTTTGTGGAAAATCAACTACCCCCACCATTGGTGCTCTGGCTTAAAGGTCCCATTAAGAACATCATGTAGGATTTTGCCCTACTAATGAAGCATACTACTGTTACTAAAATTTCTCATGAAATGTGAAGAACACTCTTCATCTTTTCACAAATTTATGCTCAGTTATTTTAGAGGGAGTGGTAGTATTTTGCAAACCACAGATTATGATAACTCTTCATTTCTGGCATTATAAAATAACTTTCTCAAAAACTTGTATCCCAAATAATACTCTGGTTGGATCAATAAGATCACATTAGGAGGCAACTATTAATATATAGAAATGTTCCTAAATACTAACAACACTTCCCAGAGAAAGTTAATTGGCTCTTTAGTTATAGAATAGCCAGTCTGAGGCTAACAGACCTTTATTATGGCAAATGTCATTTATCACCAATGTGTAGCTTTGTGATACCCTTGAGATAACTGGGATATACAGGGCTGTGTTGACGTTCAGAAAAGCAGTTTGCCACGTCTTTCTATTGCTTGCTCTATTCTCCATTTTAGCATGGGTGGTTTGTTGCCACATTTACTTCAAAAACCTATTCATCCAACTACTCTTCAAAGTCACGCATTGAACTTCGTTATCAAAATAAATGGAATCATATAGTGTAAGTTTTTTTGGGTCTGGTTTCTTTTACTTAGAAGAATGCTTGTGAGATTCATCTATGTCTCTGTGAATGTCAGTAATTCATTCCTTTTTATTGCTGAGTAATATTTCATTGTTTGAATATACCATAGTTTATCCATTCACCAGTTGAAAAGAACTATTTTTAAATTTAGCTATCTTTATACATTTGTTGAAAGTCATAAATTGGATAGGTATTTATATTTGTATTGCTGAGCTTTGTAAAAATCTACTTAGATTCCTTCAATGCAGGTGGTAATAATTAAGCTATTTCCTAAAGGCCTTCTCAAGTACAAATTTTAACTTAATCCTTTCAACTTTTTCCTTTGTTTTCAATTAACAGATCATTAGAATGATACTTATCCCACAACAGAGGTAACATTTAATTTCTAATTTGGCAGAAAAGTTATTTTTTTACTAAACCATTTAAACCTTAAATTTTATATTTGTTATACTCTGTGTAACTTCTAATCAAGTAGGTATTTTAGATGAAACACATTTTCATTATATAAAAGCCTATATAAGGATGATCAGAAAAGACAAAAAAGGGAAAAGATGAAGAGGCAAACAAATTTTAGCAAGAAACGATAACTGCAAAATCAATCCCAAATCAAAAAACTGGCAGGTTTCCTGTAGTTGTGCTAACCATTTTTCAAAGCAAATTTCTGTTCCTTCAACTTTACTCACTTTTTATCAAAAAAGTACAGCAGTTAAGGTTTCTGGGCTCACTCTAATCTAGTGGTGAAGCATACTATCTTTTAAGCTCTGCTTATAGTTAGCCTACTCTTGTCAGATGGCTATTCTATCAGTAGGTCATTGGGCTAATATTAGGTCCATGGTAGTTCCTGTAGACCACATCCTGTTAATATTTTTTCTTTTTTTGGTAGAGACAGGGTCTCACTTTGTTGCAGCAGGCTGGTCTTGAACTCCTGAGCTCAAGCGATCCTCCAGCCTCAACCTCCCAAAGTGCTGGGATTACAGGTGTAAGCCACTGTATCTCAGCACTACAATCTATTTCCAAACATTTTTATCACCCACACTCTGTAACCATTAAGGAATCACTCCCCATTTTTCCTTCCTCATCCCATTTTCTATCCCTAATCAATGACCCATTTTTTATACATCAAGTCAGATGACAACTTCTTTGTTAAGCTGACCCTGACAGAATAAATCACCTCTATAGTACTTCTTAATCCTGTACATATATTGATGATTAAATTTTTACCTCATTCTATAACTGGGTTTACATTCTTTTTGTCTGAACTATTTGAGGGCAGGATCCAGGAAGCACAAACAATATGCCAACTATGGTTAAAAATCTTTATATCCTTCCCAGCTAGCACAGTGCCTAACACTGAGTAAGCACTCACTACATTTCTGTCCAGTTATAATGAAAATTATTAATTGTGGTTTGGTATAGGCATAATTTGGCAGGTGTTGGGGAGGCTCTTTCTGCTAAAAACACTCTTTACCTGGAATGTTTAAATAAAAATTTCATAATTTATTTATGTTTATGTATCCTAAGCTCTGAACAAAAACTTTTGTGATGTAAATAAAGCCTGGTAGGAATAATATGTATATCAGAATTGGTCATCAAAACCTCTAGTGTAAACTAATTTATCAGATTCTTTCTCCAAAGACAGGAATGAACAATTTAATTTTGAAGGTGGAGATGGAAAGAGAGAAGGAATAATTTTGTTTAAAAAGTAGTACTTCCATGTACATATTATGCTACTACTTGGGCAGATAGGGAGAGATTGGGAGCTACTCACAAAGAATTCTTCTCACTTTATAATTTTCTAGGACTTGTAATGAACCTTATAAATGTTGTAATAATCTTCTTCTTATAGTCAAAGGCAAATGAATCTCCCCATTCACCTACACATAACTCTTAATTATATCACTACTTTCAATAATTGCTCAAATAGAATATTAATTAACCTCTACTACAATGGATACCAAGTAACTACATTAAAACATATGTCAGATGTGACAGCTAAAAGGGATTTTCAAAATGAGACTGGTAATAATTGAATATAATTATTAAAAGAATTTAGGATGAGAAGGTTGTAGTACTATACTTTAAACTTGGCAAAACTTCTGAGTGGTTAGAAAGAATTAGGACTTTACTTGAACGTTTTCTTTGTTTAAGCAACCAAGATCATTCACACCTTAAAATATTCCCATCAATCTTCTGAGTTGTCATTTGAAGTGAAAAATATCCCATTTCTTCTTCAAGTCTTGGAAGAGAATACAGAGTAAGAAAAATATTTCCTTAAGTAGGTTTCTTAGGCTCTAGATTCCATTTTAATATTTTTATTAATTAAATGTGCCAAAGTTTCTGAAGCTTATTGATTTATATGAAAGTACATTTTTTGCCCATGTGGCAATATGCTTTACATAAAAATTTATGTAAATTATAAATAACATTTATTTATTCAAATAACCTTAAGAAGTTATTTTAATCTGTGGCTCAAAATAAGTTAAAGGATTACGGTCATCAATATAAAAATGTCTAAGCGTGAACAGAAATATCACTAATCTATCTGAAATGGAAAAGGAACCACTGAATTACTTTGGTAATATATATTCAACAGTACTGAATTAAACTTTAGAACTACTTTCTTTTGGATAAAGAATAAAGAGCAAATGAAATAACTTCTTTTGAAGTGTGGAAAACACAAGATCCCCAAATGTAATTATTTAGTATTTGAGACTTTCACTAATTGGCATAACTGCAAGTTTGTAGCACTATTAAGGTTATAACTTAAAAATTCTATTATATTTTACATACACTGTCTAAATTATTTCTCAATTTATGACATGGTACATAAGAATAGGGGAAATCGTTGTTAAAAATAGTAAGCCACATATTAAAATAAAAATTTTATTTTGACCAATAAGTCCTGAAATCAGTATCAGAAACTCAGCAGCCAGTACTTTCTGCCCAGAGTGGGTGGAAGAAAGAGAAGAAAGGCAAGAAGGGGAAGTGCCTTAAATAATTCAACAATGACTGATTCTGCAAAGTAAGAAATGGTTTGAACTGACTCCAAAGACAAAGGAATCCTATTTTAATCTCTTAACTACAAATATTATATTACTTAAAGATTAAAAAGAAAATAGGAATAGCTGGCCATAACATTTTAAAATATATATAAGCTATTGTATCAAAATGAGATAAAATTGATAAAAATGTTTTAGTTTAAATGATCCATTAGAAAGTTTTGAAGTTTATATTGCTGACATGTTGTTTATATAGATCTATGTATGAGTTTTTGAATGCCGTCTTAATATCTCTGTCAACAGCGTAAGATTTTTTTCTCAACAGATATCTGACCAAATAAAGAGAGTAGACGTACTTTAGGGACTAGAGAAAAACGTCAAGATTCCTCTCATTCTACTCCATCAAATGAGACTAATTTTAAATGAGACATAATATAAAAAATTATATATAAAAATGCAAGCTTTCAAAGTATCAGCTCTAAAGCTTTATTAGCATTTAGTGTAAGTTATGAATTAAGATTTCCATAAAGAGTTGGAAAAACTTGACAGAGGAAAAGCATAAATGAGTTTACATAAAAAGAATTTCCAGAAATAATATTCACTTTTACAGCTAGTGTACACATGAATTTAAAAGAGTATAATTACGGACAACATCCTAACTCTGTAACTTAACAGCTGTGATGCTAGTCCAGTTACTTAACTTTTCCTAAGGTGCGAATTCCTTGTTTGTAAAATGGAAATAACTCTACCTCGTAAGTAGCAAGGATTAAATGAGATAATGCATGCACAGCACTAAATAAGTGTCTGGCACACAGCTAACTTAATGAGTATTTACTATTATTTTACTGTATCCCTTTCTTCAAAATATGCCCACCCAAACTGTCAAGCAGACTGGGTTCTGCATTTTCAGGGAGTGTATATCGTTTTTACTTTTTATCATGTTTGGAAAGCTAATCATACATACTCTCACTTTTCCATCATAAAATTATCATAATGGGCTACGAATCACACTATATAAAACACAAAAACTTTCTTAAAATATGTTTGCATGTCAGAGGCTTGTTAAGAAAAACAACAAATAAAAATATCCTAAATTGTTCTTCTTTTGAGATATGAAGACACAAAGAAGAAAGTCTCCTAGGTTGATCCTTCTGAAGATCAATGACATTTAATAAGTGCTGATTCTTTTAATCATGTAAAATTTAAAAAAATAAGACATACAAGTCAACTTACTTGATGAAGATCATTTCCCAATGCATATTCTGCAAAGTAGCCTGGAGCAGCAGATGAGGCTCTAATGGCCTGCCACATTTTATACTGACAGCCTCCCAAATAATGAGAGTTGATTCCAGGAAAATGACCATAGTTTCTGAACACAAAAGCTTTGGGTGTTATCCCTCTATTTACTATGGTACTTACAGCAGCTACCTAGTGAATGAAAAAGTGAACAATTCCATCATTAACAGTAATATATTTGGGATCTGTAAAAATTAAATACTATTTAGTAGTATGAATGAACAATCTACAACTATATGTGTAACAAATATAATGCTGAAAAAAGAGAATCAGATCTTTTTAAACAGGCATTTCTTTGTGGGATAATAGATATAAAGACTGAAGCAATTCTGAGAAATTTATTATGAGAATAATAATAAAAGAGATTTATTTGACCATTACTCAATTTGATTAAAAAAATATTCAAAAAGGCAAACATTTCTAGACCTTTACATAATAATTGACAAAACAGTAGTAATGAATAAAAACTGCTTAAAGGCTGGGCACAGTGGCTCACGCCAGTAATCCCAGCACTTTGGGAGGCCAAGGAGGGTGGATCACTTGAGGTAAGGAGCTCAAGAGCAGCCTGCCCAAAATGGTGAAACCCCAACTCAACTAAAAATACAAAATTAGCTGGACATGATGGCAGGTGCCTTCCAGCTACTCGGGAGGCTGAGGCAGGAGAATTGCTTGCCCAGGAGGTGGGGGTTGGAGTGAGCCGAGATCACGTCACTGCACTCCAGCCTGGGTGACAAGAGTGGGACTCTGTCTCAAAACAAACAAAAAAAACTGCTTCAAGATAAGCACACTATTTTCATAATATCACTTACAAATTAGTCTTTGTTTCTGTGCTCTTTGAAAGTATTTTGACTTCAATAACTCTGAAATGTAACACTACACAATCAATGCTTTCAGGTCACAATTATTAAAACCTGGTAGTTGGGTAATGTTTATTAAAAAACTATAATGTCAACCATCTCAGGTCTCAAATTTTATCACTGTCAGTTAAATTTACATGAAATGTGCTGTTTTATTAATGATCTGTAATACAAACTTAAGAGGCTGACAGGTATTGATGAGGCCAAAGTTAGTGTCCTGTGCCAAGTCCTGCCAATTGTTTTGATATTTAATAAACAAAGGTCACATGCCAAATTCCTGTGAGTAATCCAAGTCTGTCTCTAGGCCACTATGGATAGGCGTTGGCCATATACTAAAATCCAGAGTCTTTCTATAGTTGGCATATAAATATGGTTGGATTAAGAAAACATATGAGTGGCTCTCCATTTATCATGATGATTTACTTCTTAAGATGGCTAAAGTTCCCCATAACTTTTATTCAAAACTGACAACTTCATAATTTAAACCAAGCAAACAAACAAGGAGCCTTGGAGATACAGGGGAACAAGCAAGAAGCATAGAGTGCACCCTAGTGTCCTCTCAAAAAGAGCTAAGTCATCTCTTCATCACAGCCTCTGAGGCCCTGCGTCTGATCTAATCGGCCTACTGCTCCAGCCTCATTCCACATGCAGCCCTTGGATTCCGAGGCACTAATCTTTAAGAACTCTATCATTTCCTGGAATTCTCTATAACTCTTCCTGCACAGGCCATTCCCTTTGCCAGGAATGCTGCTACTCAATGGCCTTCACATTGACATCTCAAATCTCACTTCCTTAAATTAGCTGGCCCTCATGTCTCTTTAAAAATATGCTTTCAAAGAACTGCTTTTATGCTCCATAGCACTTATGTATTTCAGGGAAACTACTACATGTCATCTGTGTGATTATTTCATTAATACCTATGTTGCCCTACAGAGCTGTGAACCCCATGTCTGCATTTGCCCACAAATGAATCCAAAGTGCCTAGCAGTGGGTGTATAATTAATACTTGCAGAATGAATCAAAGTATGAGTATGCCATAGTTAAGAGCAACAGAAAGAGCTGCACTTGTTTGATTTTTCATGGTTACAGTTCGTTATCTGAGAATAAATACAAGCTGCATGAAATTTCTAGGCACATAAATTCTATTCTTTAAACAAGTAATATTAAACAGAACTCAAGCAACACTCAGATCATTGGGTTTCAAACACACAAATAAATGAAGAGCCACATTGAGACACATCTAAGTGACATTACAATTTTAATGGGGATTCAATTTTTATAATAATATAATCTAATATAGTCATGCATTGCATATCAATGTTTTGGTCAATGATGGACCGCATATACAACAGTGGTCCCATAAGACTATAAACGGGCTTCTATGCTGTATTTTTCACTGTATCTTTCTATAGATATTTTTTATCTAGATATTTGTATATCTGTAGATACGTAAGTATTCTTATCATTGTGTCACAATTGCCTACAGTATTCAGTATAGTCACCTGCTGTACAGGTTTATAGCCTAGGAACTATAGGCTATACCATTTAGC
This sequence comes from Homo sapiens, assembly GCF_000001405.40. Lineage (NCBI taxonomy): Eukaryota > Metazoa > Chordata > Mammalia > Primates > Hominidae > Homo > Homo sapiens. The sequence continues at coordinate 108,490,229 of NC_000007.14, forward strand.
CTACATGTGTAGTAGGCTATACCATCTAAGTATGTCTAAGTACACTCTATAACACAGGTTTATAGCCTAGGAACTATAGGCTATACCATTTAGCCTACATGTGTAGTAGGCTATACCATCTAAGTATGTCTAAGTACACTCTATAATACTTGCACAATGACAAAATAATCTAATGACACACTTCTCAGAATGTATCCCTATCATTAAGTGATGCATGATTGTATTGTATCTAAGAGGCATATAAAATTTCTCTTTAAAAATCTAGGGTAAGAAGGCTGGGCGCGGTGGCTCACGCCCGTAATCCCAGCACTTTGGGAGGCTGAGGTGGGCGAATCACGAGGTCAGGAGATCGAGACTATCCTGGCTAACATGGTGAAACCCTGTCTCTACTAAAAAATACAAAAAATTAGCCGGGCGTGGTGGCGGCTGCCTATAGTCCCAGCTACTTGGGAGGCTGAGGCAGGAGAATGGCGTGAGCCCGGGAGGCGGAGCTTGCAGTGAGCCGAGATTGTGCCACTGCACTCCAGCCTGGGCGACAGAGCAAGACTCCGTCTCAAAAAAAAAAAAAAACTAGGGTAAAAAATGTCATAATGTTCCTTAAATCACTAGATTTGATTTTTAAAATTATGATGAAATAATTCTTATTTTCAGTCCATCTTTCATGTTCTTCCATTTCTGGTATAGTTTTACCGAATTTATAAAAGGTATAAGGATGATATCCCATCTCTTCATAGAATGACTCAATATATAAAGAATTAATACAATCTGTAATACCTTAATAAAAGGGCCCTCAGGGCCGGGCACGATGGCTCATGCCTGTAATCCCAGCACTTTGGGAGGCCAAGGCGGGCAGATCACCTGAGTTTGGGAGTTTGAGACCAGCCTGACCAACATGAAGAAACCCTGTCTCTACTAAAAATACAAAAAAATTAGCCAGGCGTGGTGGTGCATGCCTGTAATCCCAGCTACTTGGGAGGCTGAGGCAGGAGAATCACTTGAACCTGGGAGACGGAGGTTATGGTGAGCCGAGATCGTGCTATTGCACTCCAGCCTGGGCAATAAGAGTGAAACTCTGTCTCAAAAAATAAAAATAAAATAAAATAAAATGGCCCTCAGGACAAGTGCTTTCACCAGACCTTCAGATGGAACTAGGTGTTATATTTAAGAGACTCTAAGCTTACCTTAGGACATGTGGGGTTTCTTGCTGTTTCAATCATCAGTGCAGATCCCATCCTATCCCTTTATTAAAGGAGAAAAAAATAAGTTATATCAAAATGACTTTATCTCCTAACAACCAGGAAACATACAGTATGCAATTACTATTTGTCCATGGCTTTGTCAAAGTGCTATGAAGGAAAACATGTAAGACTCTCCTCTAGGAGGCTTATAATTCCATTAATGCACATGAAACAATATGCAGTTATTTATCAACCTCTGATTCAAACTGCAAGTATCTACAGTTCTGAGGTGGAGCAACGAACAGAGGGGCAGTAACTGGAAAAGATGCAGGAAGGTTGCTGGAGGAAGACATTGAAAGACTGCAAGGCAACATATTTAAAGCTAGGACATATACAGATTAAAGGCACAAAGGCAAAATAAATCTGTTGTTTTCAGGGTCCTGCCAATAGGATAAAGGAGCTGTGTTGAGATAAGACTGCAGAAGTATGCACGGGCTAGTTAGAGTAACCAGGTGAGGACAATGAGACTTTAAGCTTGTTTTAGTTGGTAACAGCCAATGTCATCAAGAAAATGGCTTTGAAAATCATCAGAGTTGGCATTTGAATTACTATGACATTACAGAAATTGTCCTTGGGCAGCAATTTTTGCAATTCCATAATAAGAGAATTTTATTTCAATGCAGACTTTTCCAGACTTAAAAATTATGTATTTTCCCTATATTGAATACAAAGACTATGGTTTCACCAGCCTTCCTCATGAGTAAAACCATTTTCTAATGTGTTTTTCAAACAATACTCATGTTTCCCAACTAGAATATTAGTGAACTTCATAAAAAGAATATTTACAAACTGCTCAGTGATCTACCCTTTATAAGCTTTAATAAATATCAATGTAAAATACTTTCCAAAATGGACAAGATCTTTTGTCTTTCCCAACCTGATCTATACATTTCTACTACATAAAGATCAATGCATTTTATCTTTTTAAGGTTCTTTGTCTTTTCACAGAATTCTTACTGTAAAATTACAAGAGAAATCCTAGGAGCATGCTGATTTCACACTTTTTGGCAAAGTTCATATTTATTTATTTTTATATTTGTTTAAATCTTGGTTTTCTCAAAACCTAAAATGCTTTTAGTGAATTCACTTATGAATATAAACTTGTAAAAAAAGCAATGGTAATTGTTTATTTCCGAGATGTCAAAATATGAAAAAAAAATCAACATGCCTAGATTCTACTGATGGCATAAAATAGTTCCCTTAAAATAACACAAAATTATCACAGCAAAATAAATAAATAAATAAAAGTCCTCTCAATAAACAATGGGCGAAAAAATGCTACGACAAAAAAGGCCAGAAGGTAGATATAGAAGAATATTAACAATACTGGCACCCAGTGAATCACAGTCCTGGTATCCATGTCATTGTATACAGTCTCTTCCTATACAGACTCTTGGTTGGCATGGCTTTCGTCCATGTGACCTCAACAAACATGCCATTAAACTGAGGCTTGATAAGTGCTTATGCACTGGGGCTTGCTCTCTGGGAACTCTGAAACCACAATGATGAGACGAAGCTTGGGTGAGAATGACCAGGTGGAGAGAGAGGCTTCCCAGGCCCATTGGTAGAGCCACCAAGTGAGCTCCGGCAAGAACAGAAGAAACACCCAGTCAAACCACAGAGTCATGAGACTAAATCATCATTGTTTTAAGCCACTAAGTTTTGGAGTGGCTTGTTCTGCAGCAAAGGCTGAGTTTGAAAAAGCAGAGAAAGAAAAAACAACTAACGACACTGATAAAATTTATCAATGCCATGATTAAAAATAAAGAAGTTGCCAGAAGAGCAAAAATGAGACAGCAATACATAAATATGCAAAGATACTCTCATAAGTAACAAAAGGAAAAATTTCATAGTAGAGAAGCTGGTTTTAGAATAAATTTTTAAATTTTCATTAAATAATAAAAAGTATTGATTGTATGAATACTGGGAATAGATATGAATTTTATATATATATATTTTTTGAGACGGAGTCTCGCTCTGTCGCCCAGACTGGAGTGCAGTGGTCTCAGCTCACTGCAAGCTCCACCTCCCAGGTTCACACCATTCTCCTGCCTCAGCCTCCCCAGTAGCTGGGACTACAGGCGCCCGCCCCCATGCCTGGCTTTTTTTTTTTTTTTTTTTTTTTTTGTATTTTTAGTAGAGATGGGGTTTCACCGTGTAGGCCAGGAAGGTGAATTATATTTTCTAATTGACACAAAAGATGTGAAAATAAGTAACATACAATGATAATGGATGGGAAGCTTTCACGATTGGAAAGATGTCAATGTTCCACAAAATAAGTGATACATTTCATGTAATTTCCATCCAAATACCAGTGGAATTTTTTTTTATGTGATAAAAGTAGCCTAAGATTAACTTTGAAAATTAAATGAAAATTGTGTAAAAGAATAATGAGAAAAGATTTGCTATGCTGTATCATTATAAAAATATTATGCCAAGGTTCAACAACTAAATCTACAGAATTTGTACGAAAATAAATCCACAGAGAAACCAAAAACTTGAACACAGATTCTAATATAGATAAGAATTTCAAATATGATAAAGATGATGTTTCAAATCAGTTAAATAAATGGAGCTGGGACATTTGGATTAACATCTGATTAAAAAAAAGCTTGATTCTCTTACAACACATATCAAAATAAGTTTTAGGTAACTTCAGAATTACATATAAACTGAAAACTTTAGAACTAGGAAATAATACAAATATTTACCTACCTTCAGAGTAGAAAAGACTTATTTATTTATTTTTAAATTTAAACTTTTAGTATAAAGAGTATGCATGCAGGTTTTGTTACATGGGTAAACTGTGTGACACTGAGGCTTGGGGTCCCAACAATCCTATTACCCAGGCAGTAAGCACAGTACCCAACAAGCGGCTCCTCAGCTCACACTCCCACTCTCCCTCCTGTCTAATGGTCCCCAGCATCAATTGTTCCCATCCTTATGTTCATGTATATTCAATGTTTAGCTCTCACTTATAAGTAAGAAGATGTGGTATTTGGTTTTATGTTCTTGTGTTAGGTTGCTTATTCTAATGGCCTCCAGCTCCAACCACGTTGCTGCAAAGGACATGATTTTTTTTTATAACTGCATAGTATTCCACAATGCATATGTGCCACATTTTCTTTATCCAATCCACTGTTGATGGGCACCTACCTAGGTTGATTCCATGTATCTGCCATTGTGAACAGTGCTATAATGAACACATAAGTGCATGTGTCTTTTTGACAGAATGAATTATTTTCCTTTGGGTATATGCCCAGTAGTAGGATTGTAGAAAAGACTTAAAAACATAAAAGTTAAAAATCATTAAAGGAAAAGATTTGGCTAAATGAAGATGTTTCAATCCTCTACATTAAAAAATTATTAGCACTTTTTCAATATATGGTTAATATATTTACAATACATTGAGGAATATCCCATAAGAAAATAGGCAAAAATTATGCCCTCAAAATTCACACACAAAAAATAAAAAGCCATCAAAAACCAAAACCTTTTTTTAAGTTTAAACTCATCAATAATGAAAGTGATACAAATTGAAACATGAGCTTCAAAATCTCTCAAACTGATGTCATTTTAAAAATTAAGTGTTTGGTGTTCACAAATATTTCATGAAATAGAAATACAAATTGATGTTGGCAGATGAATAAGCTAAAACCACTGTATTGAAGAACAAATTCAGCCATGTATGTATCAAGATTCTTAAAACATGCATATCCTCTGGCCCACAATTTTACTTCTAGAAATTTACTTTACTTAAAGATATAGCCAGAGATTTAAGTAAAGATGTTTATCTAAATTTTATTTTGAACTGCAAGAGTATCTGAAGTATCCTTTTCTAAGAGAGGATTTGTTAAATAAAAAACAGTATATCCATAAAATGGTGAAGAACCATTAATATATGTTTCAAAAAATATTAACTGACATAGGAAATAATCTGTGCATTATCTGAATTTTGTAAAGAGAATGGATACACACACACTCACAACTACACACATATACACTTGTCTATCTGTAAGAAATTACACAAAAAACACATCACCATGTTAATAGTGCTTTTGTTCTTAGTGGGATTATAAATTATTTTTATTGTTTTCTCGATATATTTTCTATTTCCTATATAATAATTATTTTAAGAAGACATCAACATTGGACCCAATAAATATGCTTCTTATATAGTGACCTACTAATATATTCTGAAATGTGAGAAGAAATTTAAAGTTTTCTATGACAGCATTGTTCATAATCCCAAAAAATTAGGAACATAAATGTCGTAAATGTCCATAAAAATCCTAAATGGAAATGATTAAGAAAGTGTAACATCCCACTCTGGAGTACAGTGTAGTCTTTAAAAATATGTCAGGAGATTTTAAGAACGTTTGAAAAAAGGAGAAGGATACGAATTTACAACTACAATCTAATATCAGCTATACAAAATGTATAAGGTCTAATAAACTAGAAGGAGATATATTAAAGTCTACAGCTCTGAATAACAGGATTGTGGATGATTTTATGCTTATATTTTATGATTATATATACTTTGGGAGGCAGGCCAATCACTTGAGGTTAGGAGCCTGAGCAACATGGTGAAATCTTCTCTCTACTAAAAACAGAAAAAATTAGCTGGGCATGGTGGTGCACACGTGTGGTCCCAGCTACTTGGGAGGCTGACGTGGGAGGATCACTTGAGCCTGGGAAGTTGAGGCTGCAGTGAGCCAAGATAGCACCACTGTACTCTACCCTGGGCAACGGGAGTGAGAGCGTGTGTCGAAAAACAAATAAAAATAAAAATAATTGAATATTTTAGAATGACTTGAGACACATTTAATATGTTAAGTAAAAACAACAGGATGCAAGTATCTCATATTTTTAAAAAAGGCAATTGCAACTTTTACATGCAAATCTCACACACACAAACCCCCCAAAACAATTACTAAACTATGATTCACCAAAATACTAACAGTGGTTATCTCTAATTAGTCAAATAATTTAATATTCTTGATATTTTTCAAATTATAATATGCAAGAATATAATTTAATATTGACATTTTTCAAATTATAATATGCACATACTACCTATATAATCAGAAGATTTAAAAAGAGTAATTGTAACTTACTTAAGAATGTTTTCCCATGTTTGACTGTCATAAAATGCATGGCTCCAACTCATTTTTACTGTTCCAACAATGACATTTTGTGAAAATACATCTGATCCTAATTTTCGATAAAGTTCCTCACATTCATCCAAGGGCATATGAAACAACCCCAACATGAAAGCTAATATGGCACCTGGAAAAAAGAATCCTTAGCTTTTATCAGTGTTAAGTTATAGCCCTTATGATGTAAGATTTCCTGAATCATAGTTTTGGCTTAAATTTTAGCGTTGATACTTTCTAGCTATGTCACCTGGGACAAATGACTTTCCTTCTCAGAGCCCCATTTGTTTCAGGGGTAAAATGGGAGTAATAAGAACAACCAAAATTCATGTGTCTTACTGGGTTAACAAATGTAAAGGGATTTACCAGGTCTCAAAAAGGATTAAATAAATGCTACCCCCAATAATGATAATAATAATAATTTAAAAATATTTACAAATGTGTTGTTTTACATTAAATTATATATAAGATACTATGGTAGATAATTCACGTTCTTTCTAACATCAATGAATTACTTAGTTTTAGTCACAGAATATGGTATATTTGACAACTCACCAAATCACTAAGCAATTCTCCTTCAAGTTAGTCCTAGGAACCAATGTAATTAAACATATTAGGTACTCTTGGATGTCCTTTTAAACAGCTGATTCCATATCTAGCTATAATAGGTAGGACACACTGCCACCTAGTGTGCCTAACTGGCATAACCATGAACAAAAGACAAAAAAGGAAGTACAAAATTTTGGGGTATGGAGAGAGGGCTGAAGAAGGCAAAGGACTATGATCTTAAACATAAGTGCTTAATGTTCTTTTCCTTAATGTACTGCCAGAATGCACCACTTCCATATAATAATAATTACCTGTGCTTACACCACAAATGTAATCAAAGAGCTGATGAACTGGCTTCTGAGTAAGTTCAACTAATTTTCGTAGGGTCTGGAGAGCAACCACGCCCCTACAGAAAAGATTAAAGACAAAATGACAATTCCTGTTTAAAGAAAAAATAATTTAAGCTGTTGAATAAAACAATCTAATAATTGCTTTTAGAGTTTATATGCTAACATGAAAATTAATAATATAAATCAAAATCAGTAAAAATTGCCTGTCCAAATTTTTAGTATTACTTTTGAAAATCTAATATCTAAATGATAAAAAAACCTACACTAAGGCAGCACATTTTAAAATTTATATTAGTATCTCTCTCTTGTTTTTTCACTGAACCCATCCTTCTGCAGAACAGTATCTCTTTAAGAATAAATCTGGCCAGGCAGTGGCTCATTCTTGTAATCCCAGCGCTTTGGGAGGTTGAGGTAAGAGGATCACTTGAGGCCAGGAGTTCAAGACCAGCTGAACAATATAGCGAGATCCCATTTCTACAGAAAAAAAAAAAAAAAGTAAAAAGAAGAAGAAATCCACTCAAATACACTTCTTAAGAATGCCAAAAACCAACAAACAACTAAATAAGAATACAAAGATATGCCAATATAAAATTGAAAAAAAAAACAAAAAACAAAAAAAAAAACAAAAAAAACTGGAAAACACTTAAAAACTCACTCACTGGTTTTGGAATGCCATACCTTGGTTTCCTCTCTTACTAACATAGTTGGTCACCTATGACTCTATACATTTTTGTCTTACATATTTCACCAGATTTTTTTTTTTGAGATGGAGTCTCACTCTGTTGCCCAGGCTGGAGTGCAGTGGCTCACTGGGCTCACTGCAACCTCCGCCTCCTGGGTTCATGCCATTCTCCTGCCTCAGCCTCCCGAGTAGCTGGGACTACAGGAGCCTGCCACCATGCCTGGCTAATTTTTTTTTTTTTTTGTATTTTTAGTAGAGACAGGGTTTCACCATGTTAGCCAGGATGGTCTCGATCTCCTGACCTCATGATCCACCCGCCTCAGCCTCCCAAAGTGCTAAGATTACAGGTGTGAGCCACTGCACCCGGCCACCAGTCAGATTTTTAAGCTCCCTTTTCTTTATTCATTTTTAAAAACTCTCAATAACTTCAGGTTAACCCTCTATATTAATGGTATATTAATTAATGTTGCTGACTTTGCTCATTTCTGAATCCTTGCCAACAGCAGTTAATAGCTTCATGAAGGAATGCGAAACGATGAAAAAGCTTAGGAGATATAGACCAATTGAGGGTGTATGTACCATGTAAACTGTCATGTGTGTATCATGACAATTTTTAACAGTGGGAGAATAAAAAAACGATGAAAAGCTCTATTCCCAACACAAGGTAGGGGGTAGGTAAGTCCTGGAACACAAAGGTAGTTAGGCATCAAAAAATTTTGAGTGTCAAATTGTGCTTGATAATGTTAACAAGAAGTAACTAGAAAATTATGTAAGATTAAAGTAGAAAACCAAAGATGCTGATTTTTTAAATACAACAAATAATGTGCATTTGAGGAGAGTTAAGATATCTTATGAAAGAGGTACATTATTAATTCAAGACAAGACATGATGAATTAAATGTAATGCTGGATAAAATATATTTAACAATGTGACCTCTATTATCACAAAAAGGAAATAAAATAGGCACGTATATGTTCACACAGAAAAAGATTAGAAGAAAATAAATCAAAATACTAAAATAATCTTAAGAGTTGTGAGCTATGGTTTTGGGGTTTTTTTCTCTCTCAGGTTTTTCTAACTACTCGTATAATTGGGAAACTTAACTATTTAAAAATGTTGTACTCATAAATTCCGAATGAATTTAAATACGTATATATCTGCCAAGTTGCCACAGCTGTCTGTGTCTACCACTGTAGGTTCTCTTATAACAAAGAAGTCAAAGACAGGGTTTTTTATTTTTTCTCTCAATCCCTCATACATTACTGCTTTCCGCACAAACCTCCCATCTGGGCTGCTTTCCCATATTCCCCTAAACCAAGTTTTCTCAACAGCAGAACCGCTGACATTCTGGGTTGGATAATCTTTGTTTTGCGGGGCTGTCCTGTGCACTGTATGATGTTTAGTCACAACTGTCCTCTTCAAACTAGATGCAAGTGGCAGTGCTCTAGTTGTGACAACTAAAAATGTCTCCAGACACTGCCAAATGTCCTTTAGGGAGCAAAATCACCTCCAGTGGAGAATTACTAACCTAAACCTAACTTCATCCTAACCCACCCCTAGATTTTCCCAAATTACCTCACACTGATTTCCTCCCTATATGACTAATACAACTCTTATTCTACAAGATAAACTATTTATTGGATACAAACTTCTTTTTCATCATGCTTGTCTGACCTTAGACATGTGAATGTTCTTCAATTTTCTTCCTTCCTTCCTATCTCTACATAAATATAACTTCTTTAAAAAGAAGTCTTGGTCCTGAGCATTCTTTAAAATAGTACTCTTCCTCTCTATCCCTTTACTTTGCTTTATTTTTCTTCATAGCACCCAGAATAACATATTTTTGTTTTTCTATTTGTTGTCTTTTCCTTCTCTACAATGCAAACACTGTATTGTTTTGTTTGCTCACTGTCCCCAGGATCTAAATCAGTGCTTACAACATAGTAGGCCCCCAATATTTGTTAGCTGACTCAATGAATGACACTACCTGTCCCAACTCCCCTGAACATTATGGCAGAGAGGATTCCTTCTGCTCCTTAGTGAAATGCCCCTACTCATTTAACTGCCATTTTCCCTATTTTTCACCATTTGGAACCAATTCTATGAACTAGAATAATCTCTCCAGTTATCACTTTATCTGTATCACATGAATGACATACACTTTCTTAAGATTATTTCACTTTCCTGAGAAATAGCCTCTAAGATCTTTAAAGATTTTTCTCTCTTCAGTGGGCTTTTGCCAACCGAGCACTTCTGTATGGATATAATCTTATATTAAATATGTTCAAGAAAGAACTGTCTTTCCTCAACACCAATCTGTTGAGATTCCCTGCAGTTTTGTCCCAGTCACACACAGGTTTACTGTTAGAGTGATCTTGACCTATGTCTACCATATCCTGTCTCCGAGTTTCTTAAAAGTTACTGATATTGGCATGGTGGCTCACACCTGTAATCCCAGCACTTTGGGAGGCCAAGGCGGGTGGATCACCTGAGGTCAGGAGCTTGAGACCAGCCTTGCCAACATGGTGAAACCCCGTCTCTACTAAAAATACAAAAGTAGCTGGGTGTGGTAGTGCATGCCTATAATCCCAGCTACTTGGGGAGGCTACAGCAGGAGAACTGATCAGTTGAACCTGGGAGGTGGAGGTTGCAGTGAGCCGAGATCACGTCACTGCACTCCAGCCCGGACAACCAGAGCAAAACTCCGTCTCAAAAAAAAAAAAGTTACTGGTACATTTTTCCTTCCTCCTGCCTTCCACTGCCACCATCTGAGGTTAGCTTCCTTCTCTCAGTACTTATTCCTTCCTTCATATTGATGTCAAAGTATAAAGGACTCGGGTGAATACAGAACCAAGGAATTTAACAAAAAGATACAGGGTAGTACTTGAACATACAGAAGAGTGGTTGGCAAGTTGGTTATACCAAAAAGCAAAATCAGAGAGGTAAGCTAAACCTAAGAACAATAGGCAGGGCATGTACTATGAATTACAAGGTAACAGTAGAGATGGCAGGGAACTAGAGAACAAGCTAGAAGATTTTGGGGAAAAGGTTTGAAAAACCAAGCCAAAAAATCTAACCAACAAGTTGGAAGGAACTAGATAAACAAAGACTGAGTAGGAAGCATGGATGGATTGCCAGTAGTAAAAATAGAGCTTAATAGTGAAATTATCTCCTTCTGAACAAAGAAAGAATTTATTTCTTATATGGCACCAGAACTGGCATCTCCAAGTGAAGACATCAGAAGTCAGGAAGTTAATATAGCCTCATTTTGTAACCATCACTTTATCAAGTAACTAGTTGATATATATGGGTAAGATAAGTGTAATAAAAGAAAGCTGGCTGGGCGCGGTGGCTCACGCCTGTAATCACAGCACTTTGGGAGGCCAAGGCAGGTGGTTTACCTGAGGTCAGGAGTTCAAGACCAGCCTAGACAACATGGTGAAATCCCGTCTCTACTTACAACACAAAAAATTAGCCAGGCATGGTGGTGGACACCTATAATCCCAGCTGCTTCGGAGACTGAGACAGGAGAATCGCTTGAACTTGGGAGGCAGAGGTTGCAGTGATCTGAGATCGCACCACTGCACTCCAGCCTGGGCGACAGAGCAAGACTCTGTCTCCAAAAAAATAAAATAATAAATGAAAGCTAAAATTATAAAACACTGTCAAGGTTTTATGAGAATAATGGTTGATAAGCTTCTGAACTACCAAAAAGGTCTAAAAAGGCCAAATATAAAAATATAAATACTAAAATCAAATCAAATCAAATACAAAAATATAAATACCAAATCAAACCAAAGAACTGAAGTATATGTCAGAGTAGCACTTAGATTAATAAAGTATTAATTAAAACAATTTCATGTTTTATTTTAAAAATTTGATTTTATTTATATCAAATCTTTTTTTTTTTAATTCCTAAAGCTGAATTGAATCTGTAGTTTTTAAGAATCATGTTCCAGCTGGGCGCAGTGGCTCGCGCCTGTAATCCTAGCACTTTGGGAGGCCAAGGCAGGCAGATCACCTGGCGTCAGGAGTTTGAGACCAACCTGGCCAATATGGTGAAACCCTGTCTCCACTAAAACTACAAAAATTAGCCGGGTATGGTGGCGGGAGCCTGTAAATCCAGCTACTTGAGAGGGTGAGGCAGGAGAATCGCTTGAACCTGGGAGGCAGAGGTTGCAGTGAGCTGAGATTGTGCCACTGCACTCCAGCCTGGGCAACAGAGGGAAACTCCATCTCAAAAAAAAAAAAAAAAAAAAAAAAAAAGAATCATGTTCCTAGCCTTACCTTGTTCCTCCACCATCAATTGAGAGAATTCGGATTCCTCTCCCTTTCACTGGATCCACATAGCCAATTAGGGCCAAAATTTCTCTAACTGCAGCCTGAAGAGTTTCATCCTTAATTTGTCTCAGTCGTAATAAATATGGAATAATTCTTTCCTATATTGAGAGAAAAGATACTTTGTTGCTTTTGTCAAATCAAGACTGAAAATGTATGATTATTATTAACCAATACATGCAGTTCACCACATGACAACCAAGGTGACAGTGTTCATTACTTTCTCAGTAATCTTATAAGACAGATTAGTTTTTGATATATTAATGTCAATTTTCTAGATTACATTTGTTCTAATATTGAGGACAAAAATTAACCAATATTCAAAAGTTTTCATTAAAAGATGTAATACTTAACTAGAGAAAATATAATTTATAGAAATTTACAAATTATTATAACAAAAGGTTAACATTATAAATTTTGTATAATATTTAGTCCAAATCCTGAGATTAAGAGGCTAAAACTGATTCACAGTAACTACTAGAAGTTAAACTGTTATTAAAAAGAAATAATGAACCATCTTGTATACATTGCATATGGGATTCAAGGTTGCCTCATAAAAGAATACAAACAAATGTTAACAAAGGTAACTGAGGTGAGAAGGTAAAAGCAGGCCACTACAATTAAATAATCAGTTTAAATAAACCTGAGACTTCAAGATTCTAAGCACTCAACATCATATTGTTGATCACAGACAAGAGCTTAAATCCTAGAGTTCTATGTTGCTTACCAAAGATTCTCTAGCTTCTGTACACAGAAGCATCTTACATAGTCAGTACCGCAGGTTTAATGGAATGGCTGAGTGGCAGCTATAATTCTGCTGTGCAACCTTCTGTAAATCAAACAATTTTCCTAGGTATCACTCATTTTGTTTCTTTTTTATGATCAATCAACCTGAAATACTCTAAATTCTTTCTCAATATTTTTTCCCCTAATATTGAGCTGTGAGGCCCCACTAGAGGAACTTGAGCAATGGTGGAGAATAATGCAAATTTCCATTTCCGGTTAAGATGAAATACTCTGTTACAGATCAACGCTCACATCAACAACAAGAAAATCTTGATGAAATACAAGAAAAGTACCATCTGTTTAAAGGCATCAGACAGAGAGCTGCTGAAGCAACAAGAACAGATGGAGCCAAGAATCTGGAGAAGGAGTAATTGCTAGGAAGTGAGCTGGTAAACTATAGCTTTTCTTCCCTTGAGGCATTTGCTGATTCCAGGAAAAAGTAAAGGACCAAAAAAGTGAGTCTGACTCAGACAGAGGGCCCCAAATAAAGGACAGAGAAACCAGCTGATCGTTTAGCATCTAAGGGGTTTGGAGTGAAAAAAATGGAAGACCTGAAGGGCTTCAAACACATGGTTGGCTTTACCTCAAGACATTTGCTGAATTCTAAAATCATGAGGTGTGGAAGGCAAAAGGTAAGCCGAAGACCTCTGAAAATCAGAGTGGAAGGCTTTGTATTCTTGAGATTTTAGGACCCAATGAGATGGTGGTTAAGTGAACACACCCTGGAAGAATATGCCCAAAAATCAGGGCAAACTAGAGGTCTTACCCAAACTGTAATACAGCCTTGATCCAGATTTGACCCTAACTGAATTAAGGCTATCAGGGCTCCACTCAAATGCCAAACAGAAGAACAAATAAACCCCAGAAAAAGATATAATTTGATATAATCTAGAGCTTATGCAATTTTTTAAACTTACAATGTCCAGCATCCAGAAAAACTATAACGTATGTGAATCCAGTACCGAATTACAAAAACCAAGAATTGATGTTCATATTAGAATTACCACAAAAACATGTTGAAATAAAAATAACAAAATAAAATTATCAAAATATATCAGATACCTATGAATTAGTTAAATAAAATCATTCCAATGGAAGATGTAAAAGACACCCAACACTGAAAATTTTTAAAACACAGGAGGAAAATAAAGATGACCCGAATAATTGAAAAAATATGCCATATGTCATGGCTTGGAAACTCAACAAAGACCCAATTCACCCTAAATTGTTCCACATATTCACTGCAATCCCACCATGTTTTTCTCTTTTAAAAATTTTTTTGTAGATAAGGTGATTCTAAAATTCATATAGAAATATAACATGTCAAGAATAGCCATGCCAACAACATTGAGAAGAACAAGGTTGGAGGATTTATACTACCTAGGTTTATACAGCTGCAAAAATTGAGCCAGTGCACTATCAGCACAACCACACACAAATATACCAGTGGAACAAAATACTGTGTCTGGCTGGGCATGGTGACTCACGCCTGTAATCCCAGCACTTTGGGAAGCCGAGGTGGGTGGATCACCTGAGGTTGGGAGTTCGAGACCAGCCTGACCAACATGGGGAAACCCCATCTCTACTAAAAATACAAAACTAGCTGGGCATGGTGGTGCATGCCTGTAATCCCAGCTACTAGGGAGGCTGAGGCAGGAGAATCATTTTAACCTGGGAGGCAGAGGTTGTGGTGAGCCAAGATTGCACATTGCACTCCAGCCTGGGCAACAAGAGCGAAACTCCATCTCAAAAAATACATAAATGAAAAATACTGTGTCTAGAAACAGATCCATATATACATCTCATTTATGATAAAGGTCTTTTCAATAAATGGTGCTGAGTCAACTGGATAAGTGTATTTTTTAAAAGTCAGGACTTCTGACACACACCACACAACCAAATCTATTCTAGATGAATACTAGATAGAAGAGTAAAAGGCAAAGCAAGGTTTCAGAAGAAAACACAAGAAAATTTATATATATATATATATATATATATATATATATATATATATATATATATATATTTTTTTTTTTTTTTTTTTTTTTTTTTTTGAGACGGAGTCTCACTCTGTTGCCAGGCTGGAGTGCAGCGGCGTGATCTCAGCTCACCGCAACCTCCGCCTCCCAGGTTCAAGCCATTCTCCTGCCTCAGCCTCCCAAGTAGCTGGAACTACAGGCGCACGCCACCAAGCCCAGCTAATTTTTGTATTTTTAGTAGAGACGAGGTTTCACCACGTTGGCCAGGATGGTCTTGATCGCTTGATCTCGTGATCTGCCCACCTCAGCCTCCCGAAGTGCTAGGATTAGAGGCCTGAGCCACGGCGCCTGGCCAAAAATACTTTTATGACTTTAGGATAGGCAAAGATTTCTTAAACAGGACACAAAATACTAACTATAAAGAAAAGTATTTATAAATTGGACAAAATTAAGAATATCTGTTCATCAAAAAACACAAGAGTGAGAAGGTCAGCCACGGAATAGGAGAACGATTTGTAAGACATACACATACATACCGCACATATGACAAGTGAGTTACAACCGTAATATATTTTTAAAATTCTACAAATAATGAAGAAAAAGTTGGTGAACCCAATGGAAAAATAGGCAAGATCTGGAATAGGTACTTCACAAGGAAGTATAAACATGGCCAATAAACCCTGGAAAAGATGCTGAATATCATAGCTATCAATGAAATAAAAAATTAAAACCATAATTTAGTATCACTTAACACCCAACAAAACTGCTCAAATTAAAAAGATTTAAAAAGGTTGGGCACAGTGGCTCACGGCTGTAATCCCAATACTTTGGGAGGCCGAAGTGGGCAGATTACTTGAGGTCAGGAGTTGGAGACCAGCCTGACCAACAGGGTGAAACCCCGTCTCTACTAAAAAACCAAAAATTAGCAGGGTGTGGTGGTGCGCACCTGTAATCCCAGCTACTCGGGAGGCTGAGGCAGGAGAACTGCTTGAACCCAGGAGGCGGAGGTTGCAGCAAGCCGAGATCGCACCACTGCACTCCAGCCTGGACAACAGAGCGACACTCAGTCTCAAAAAAAAAATTACAAAATAAAGTGTTGGAGAGAAAGTAGAACACAGAGGCCTCATAGAATTCTGGTGAAAGAATAAATTGGCACAAGCACTATGCAAAACCATTTGGCAGTATCTACTAACGTTACAAATATGCTCACTCTGTGAGCAGCAATAGTACTCTTAGGTATATACTCCAAAGAAACGAAGACCTATGTTTTCCAAAAGATATAACCCAGAAGTACTACTACTAAATATTCCCAAACTGCAAACCATCCAAATGTCTAGCAATAGAGGGAAAAATGAAAAGTATACCCAACAATATAGAAGGTTCTCACAAACATAATATTGAGTGAAAAAAAAAACCAGACATATAAGAACACATGCTGTATAATTCATAGAACATGCAAAAAGAGGCACAACTAAATTATGCTGCTAGAATTCTGAAAAACTGATCAACCTTTTTGGGAACAGTATTTGGAGTGTTCATAAGATTGTTTCTCATTCAGGGTGGTGGTTATATAGATGTATTTCATGTGTGAAAAATCATGGAACTGTAAACTTACGATTTGTGTTGTTCTCTATATATAATATTTTTATAAAAAGTTTTTTAATAAACCCAAAGGATGTATGAATCCTTGTGACAAATTCAGCATTTTAAAAAAGAGAAGGGGAGAAAATAGATCATAGAAACAGGCTCGGTGAGGCTGGGAGCGGTGGCTCACGCCTGTAATCCCAGCACTTTGGGCGGCCGAGGCAGGTGGATTACCTGAGGTCAGGAGATCGAGACCATCCTGGCCAACATGGTGAAACCCCATCGCTACTAAAGATACAAAAATTAGCTGGGCGTGGTGGCGGGCGCCTGTAGTCCCAGCTACTCGGGAGGCTGAGGCAGGAGAATCCCTTGAACCCCGGAGGTGGAGGTTGCAGTGAGCTGAGATCACACCACTGCACTCCAGCCTGGTGACAGAGTAAGACTCTGTCTCAAAAAAAAAAAAAAAAAAAAAAAAAGAAACAGGCTGGGTGAGGTGGCTTACACCTATAATCTCAGTACTTTGGGAGGCAAGGCAGGCAGATTGCTTGAGCCCAAGAATTCGGGATCAACCTGAGCAACATGGTGAGACCCTCTTTCCACAAAAAATACAAAAATTAGTTGGGTGTGGTTGTGCATGCCTGTGGTCCCAGGTACTCAGGAGGCTGAGCTGGGCTGAACCTGGGAGGCAGAAGTTGCAGTGAGTGAAGACTATGGCACTGCATTCCAGCCTGGGTGACAGAGACTCTGTCTCCCAAAAAAAGAAAAAGAAACACATTTAACTTAGAAAAACAAGGAGTCCATAATATTTTTTTTAAAGGTGCAAAAAAATTCATTTAATCACTGAGGCAGCTATTAAAGCAACACCTTACTTTGAAAACCGGTAACTAAAATACTGGCAAACCGAATCCAGCAGCACATCAAAAAACTTATCCACCATGATCAAGTGGGCTTCATCCCTGGGATGCAAGGCTGGTTCAATATACGCAAATCAATAAATGTAATCCAGCATATAAACAGAGCCAAAGACAAAAACCACATGATTATCTCAATAGATGCAGAAAAAGCCTTTGACAAAATTCAACAACCCTTCATGCTAAAAACTCTCAATAAATTAGGTATTGATGGGACGTATTTCAAAATAATAAGAGCTATCTATGACAAACCCACAGCCAATATCATACTGAATGGGCAAAAACTGGAAGCATTCCCTTTGAAAACTGGCACAAGACAGGGATGCCCTCTCTCACCACTCCTATTCAACATAGTGTTGGAAGTTCTGGCCAGGGCAATTAGGCAGGAGAAGGAAATAAAGGGTATTCAATTAGGAAAAGAGGAAGTCAAATTGTCCCTGTTTGCAGACGACATGATTGTATATCTAGAAAACCCCATTGTCTCAGCCCAAAATCTCCTTAAGCTGATAAGCAACTTCAGCAAAGTCTCAGGATACAAAATCAATGTACAAAAATCACAAGCATTCTTATACACCAACAACAGACAAACAGAGAGCCAAATCATGAGTGAACTCCCATTCACAATTGCTTCAAAGAGAATAAAATACCTAGGAATCCAACTTACAAGGGATGTGAAGGACCTCTTCAAGGAGAACTACAAACCACTGCTCAAGGAAATAAAAGAGGATACAAACAAATGGAAGAACATTCCATGCTCATGGGTAGGAAGAATCAATATCGTGAAAATGGCCATACTGCCCAAGGTAATTTACAGATTCAATGCCATCCCCATCAAGCTACCAATGACTTTCTTCACAGAATTGGAAAAAACTACTTTAAAGTTCATATGGAACCAAAAAAGAGCCCACATTGCCAAGTCAATCCTAAGCCAAAAGAACAAAGCTGGAGGAAGCACACTACCTGGCTTCAAACTATACTACAAGGCTACAGTAACCAAAACAGCATGGTACTGGTACCAAAACAGAGATATAGATCAATGGAACAGAACAGAGCCCTCAGAAATAACGCCGCATACCTACAACTATCTGATCTTTGACAAACCTGAGAAAAACAAGCAATGGGGAAAGGATTCCCTATTTAATAAATGGTGCTGGGAAAACTGGCTAGCCATATGTAGGAAGCTGAAACTGGATCCCTTCCTTACACCTTATACAAAAATCAATTCAAGATGGATTAAAGATTTAAACGTTAGACCTAAAACCATAAAAACCCTAGAAGAAAACCTAGGCATTACAATTCAGGACATAGGCATGGTCAAGGACTTCATGTCCAAAACACCAAAAGCAATGGCAACAAAAAACAAAATTGACAAATGGGATCTAATTAAACTAAAGAGCTTCTGCACAGCAAAAGAAACTACCATCAGAGTGAACAGGCAACCTACAAAATGGGAGAAAATTTTCGCAACCTACTCATCTGACAAAGGGCTAATATCCAGAATCTACAATGAACTCAAACAAATTTACAAGAAAAAAACAAACAACCCCATCAAAAAGTGGGCAAAGGACATGAACAGACACTTCTCAAAAGAAGACATTTATGCAGCCAAAAAATACATGAAAAAATGCTCATCATCACTGGCCATCAGAGAAATGCAAATCAAAACCACAATGAGATACCATCTCACACCAGTTAGAATGGCGATCATTAAAAAGTCAGGAAACAACAGGTGCTGGAGAGGATGTGGAGAAATAGGAACACTTTTACACTGTTGGTGGGACTGTAAACTAGTTCAACCATTGTGGAAGTCAGTGTGGCGATTCCTCAGGGATCTAGAACTAGAAATACCATTTGACCCAGCCATTCCATTACTGGGTATATACCCATATGACTATAAATCATGCTGCTATAAAGACACATGCACACGTATGTTTATTGCGGCATTATTCACAATAGCAAAGACTTGGAACCAACCCAAATGTCCAACAATGATAGACTGGATTAAGAAAATGTGGCACATATCCACCATGGAATACTATGCAGCCATAAAAAATGATGAGTTCATGTCCTTTGTAGGGACATGGATGAAATTGGAAATCATCATTCTCAGTAAACTATCGCAAGAACAAAAAACCAAACACCGCATATTCTCACTCATAGATGGGAATTGAACAATGAGAACACACGGACACAGGAAGGGGAATATCACACTCTGGGGACTGTGGTGGGGTGGGGGGAGGGGGGAGGGATAGCATTGGGAGATATACCTAATGCTAGATGATGAGTTAGTGGGTGCAGCGCACCAGCATGGCACATGTATACATATGTAACTAACCTGCACAATGTGCACATGTACCCTAAAACTTAAAGTATAATAAAAAAAAAAAAAAAGAAAGAAAACCGGTAACTAGCTCTTTTTCCGGCTGGAACCATGGTGGGTGTAGAAGAGAAGAAGAAGGTTCCTGCTGTGCCAGAAACCCTTAAGAAAAAGCGAAGGAATTTCTCAGAGCTGAAGATGAAGCGCCTGAGAAAGAAGTTTGCCCAAAAGATGCTTCGAAAGGCAAGGAGGAAGCTTATCTATGAAAAAGCAAAGCACTATCACAGGGAATATAGGCAGATGTACAGAACTGAAATTCGAATGGCGAGGATGGCAAGAAAAGCTGGCAACTACTTTGTACCTGCAGAACCCAAACTGGCATTTGTCATCAGAATCAGAGGTATCAGTGGCGTGAGCCCAAAGGTCCGAAAGGTGTTGCAGCTTCTTCGCCTTCGTCAAATCTACAAT
Source organism: Homo sapiens (assembly GCF_000001405.40). Lineage (NCBI taxonomy): Eukaryota > Metazoa > Chordata > Mammalia > Primates > Hominidae > Homo > Homo sapiens. The sequence continues at coordinate 108,510,587 of NC_000007.14, forward strand.
GGAACCTTTGTGAAGCTCAACAAGGCTTCGACTAACATGCTGAGGATTGTAGAGCCATATATTGCATGGGGGTACCCCAATCTGAAGTCAGTAAATGAACTAATCTACAAGAGTGGTTATGGCAAAATCAATAAGAAGCGAATTGCTTTGACAGATAACGCTTTGATTGCTCGATCTCTTGGTAAATATGGCATCATCTGCATGGAGGATCTGATTCATGAGATCTATACTGTTGGAAAACGCTTCAAAGAGGCAAATAACTTCCTGTGGCCCTTCAAATTGTCTTCTCCACGAGGTGGAATGAAGAAAAAGACCACCCATTTTGTAGAAGGTGGAGATGCTGGCAACAGGGAGGACCAGATCAACAGGCTTATTAGAAGAATGAACTAAGGTGTCTACCATGACTATTTCTCTAAGCTGGTTGGTTAATAAACAGTACCTGCTCTCAAATTGGAAAAAAAAAAAAAAAAAAAGAAAACTGGTAACTAAATACAAATAAATTAAGCATTTCTCTTTCCTTTCCTGTAAAATTTGTAAAATTTGCCTTTGAGAATACCCAAATAGCTTCAGTTGATGAAGGAAGGCTCTTCTTTACAGAAGAATGTCAATTATAATGTAGGAGTAACAGAATTAGACATTGGTCATTCTGCAACTCTAATGAAATTATTAGTTCTGGAAATGATTAGGTTAATGGTTGATGAGATAATGCTTCTAGCACAATTGTCCAATGAGAAGCAGATTGTCATCACTTTAACACGGTGGTCATCCTTAGCATTACTAATGGTTGTTCAACTAATTGTCATGTGTGTCTTGATATGATGCATTATGAGGCACATGACATTACCTACAATGTGCTCTAACAACAAAATGTTTAACTCAATCAAGCCATTATATTTAAATTCCAGTGTTCAGGAAATGAAAAGGAAAGAGGAACACTTCAAATAACACTGAGAAGGAAGAAGGCAGGTACATCCAGAAAGCGAGTCTTTCTGCCTGTTAACCAGCCTAATGTCTTCAATTAAATCAGTTTTAAAGGTGCAGGTGAAGAAGGTGTGGCTGAAGGACTGCGTTATATTTTAAGTGACTTGGAGAAATAGTCAGATGCAATGTGTGATCTAGACTGAACCCTCATTTGGATCTAATCAGTTACATAAATAACATTTTCAAACTGGGTACAGGATAAAGGGACATTTACTGATATAGAAAGGTATACATTATATGCTAAAAAACCAGATTATAAAACAACATATACAGAATGAGTTTATTTTGGTATATATGTGCATAGAATGATTTCTGAAGGAATACTGTGCAGACATTACTAATGTTCACCAATACACTGTTTGCTTCCCCTTCCAAGCATACAGAAGGTTGTACTTTTCAGGCCCATGCAATCGGACAGGATAAACAGATTGTGAGTAGAAGAAACCCGTGGCAACTTCTGCTGAAATATTATTTCCTTGCCACAGAAATCAGAGAGGAAGACTCAATTAAAATACAGACAACAGGACAGGATCTAAGTAACCACCACACGGAGGTTCACTGTGCCAAAGAGTCACCCAAACCCACAGTTAACTTTGCATGAGCCAGAAATAAAACTGTTTTGTTAAGTCACTGAGATTTCGGTGTTGTTTGCTATTAGAGCTTAAGGAAGCTTAATCCAATGAACACAAATAAACTCTAATACATTACAGTGGTAATCTGAGGGTAAAATATATTATTTTTATTTTCTTATCTTTTCTTTCTTCTAATTCCCTACAATGCTTTGTGCTGCCTTCTTTCTAAACAGTCAAAGTTCTTCTTTTTAATTAAAAAACATAATGAAAGGAGACCACCTTCATCACAGTGAAAAAATTATCACAGACAATTCCCTAAATGTGGCTGCCATAAATGTAGCATACAAAATAAGTAACTCATTTTTTTTTAGGGCATTACGTATCAGACATAATTCCCTGTATTTAGCTACCTTAAATATGGTAGACACATAAAAAAGTAAAATTGATACAGATGTTTTATAAAAATTCTATCATTTTTAAAAAGCTCAACTCTTGATAATAACAAAAAGTTTAGCTGGAAAAGTTCACACTAGAGTGTACATGCTGACACGTTATATGCAATTTGTCCAGTTCACTGTTTTTCAGATGATTATTTAAGGGAAGGGTGACAACTTTTTTCAGACTACCTAGATTTTTATTCATAATTGATCTGAATATATATTCCTATATTACATTTTTTCATAGTATTGAAAGGTCCTTAGATTTGGGATTAGTTATGCAAGATAAAAGAGTCCTCAGAGTTTCAATTAGCAAGACTATTTAAACTGCAACTGAAAACTACTCAGAAATCCATCAGTAGTACAACTGGCCTTGTAAAAGAGGTTGAAGTGAGCCACCTTGCCCCTTCTGCCATCTAAGTAGGTCATGAGAAGCTGCTGTCTAGGAGGAACGGGACTCTCACCAGACATCAAATTGTTGGTGCCTTGATTTTGGACTGCCCAGCCTCCAGAACTATGAGAAATAAATTTCTGTTGTTTATAAATTACCCAAGCTAAGGTATTTTATTATGACAGCCCAAATGGACTAAGCCAGTATGTAATTCTATTTAAGATCTTTGCTTTCAGTATATCACTGAAATGTGAAATATACTTAAAAGCATATGTATATTTGAGAATCTTATCTTTTATGTAAGATTATATAAATATAAAATATAATCCCAAATTATAGGACCATAAAATAGTGAAGCTACCTATAATAATGTATGTGTTATACAATACACAAGTAAGGATGGGTACATTATTCAAAGACAATTTTTCAACAAGGTAATTGTTAAAAAGTAGAATAAATGTGTTCTAAGTTAAAACAATTTTCTGAATGCCAAGCTAAAAATAAGCACTAATAGATTTCTAATGAAATGTAAGCAGTATCTATCATTATGATATTTTCAAATTTTTCATTAAATATTACAAATAATCTTAATAATATAGATGTAAAGAGACTCAATCACATTAGTCATATTTTATAGCACTTCTCTGAAAACAGTCCATTTAAGTGGGTCTAAATTATCTTCATTATTTTATAGTTGAAAAAACTGAGGCAAAGAAAAGCTCATTGTTTTACTTAATATGATTACTAATTCAATTATGAGTAAGGTCATTCAAATTTTTAGACTTTCAAATACGAAAGGACCATGAAATAAAAACAACAGCCTCACATATGAATTATGTCTCCTATCTTAAAAGAACAGTTACATAGTATAAATATTTACATTGCACTAAAGAAAAATCTGGCAGCTGTTAGGCAATTCAACTAATAAACTGATTATTTTCTATTTTATAAATGTTTAATTTCAAAGTATACATATTGGTGCTAACAAAATAAAATGAATTGATTAGCATAATGTATGTCACAAAATAAATAGGGTAATTACTGAATACACATCACATGTATAATAAAAACCACAAAATTCAAATGGAAAAATGAAAGGCTTTGCCTTCTCCATTTTAGATTTTTTTTAGTACTTCTATTCCAAGACAAAACTAGATTAAATAAATTAGAAATTACCTTGACAGCCACTCCTTTTCCTTCAGGAAATTCTAGAAGATGAAAAGTCAGTTCTTCAACCCTAGTAATGCAGAGCTTTGGGTCAGTTGTTCTTCTTAATGCCTGAACTAATGCCCGGGTCCTGTTATCAATACTCACCCTTGCGATAATCTACAAAGACATATTAAATAGATATGATTAGAATACAAAACTGCTCTAAAGAACAATGAAAGTTTCTTAGTTCTCATTAGGAAATAAAACTTATAAATTTGACAAAAAGTAATAGAACCGAAAAGCACACTGAACAACTTGCCTTTTCTCGCTGAAGAGATAAACGCTTTTTCTCCTCTGCATTTCTGTCTTTGCTGACAGCCTGATCAGTTTTAGCAGGCTCTTCCTGTTCTTCTGACTGACTCTTTGAATCATACTTTAATTTGGGGACAAGTCCACCAATATAACCACCTACTAAAGCTTGTACACCTTCCGTGGGACGAGAAAGAAAGTTAGCAATACTTTGTTTAGTTGAAACTTGAAGAACATCAGGTATCGCAGAAGGACTTGTAGGCTTGTCCACCGTATGTACAGATTCTGAGCCTGGCTTATAAGCCAGGATGCCAGGATCTGGAGATCTTAATTTCCCCTCTTCTACCTTTTTATCTTCAAGTTCTGATTTGTCCCGGAAATGTTCATTTTCCTTTTGTTGAGACATTTTTTCCTTACGTTTGAAATATGAATTAATATGATTTGATAAAAAGTAGAATGAGTCTCCAAATTTTGTGGTTATAGAACTTGTGTAATGAAAAAGACTGCGTTTACCTATATCTTCTTCTTTGTCTATAATGTGACTTTTCTCTTCTGGAAAAGGACTCTTTTCTGCTGATTTGTCACTATATTTTTTCAGAGATTTGATGGCTTGTTTGATGTTTTTCTGTTTTAACCAGCCACTATCCGATACTTTTCTTAAAATTTGGGAACTTGGCTTAAATTGAGCTAAACGTGAAATCATTTCATTTTGATTGCCAAAAACAGCCTTTGAAACAGAGTTCAAAGTACTTTTAATACGGGACATACAAATGTTCACTTTTGTAAGTCCCTTGGGAGCAGAAGTGCTAAGTTTCAAAATCCCAATATGTAAACCATGGTTGCTTGGAGAGTAACAGTGCTTACTGCAAGAATGTGCTTCACTTTTGGTCCATTTACATCTTATTATGTTTGTATGAAAACCTCTTTGTAGACTGATGTGGCTTATCCTCCAGTAATGCTTAGGTGAGAACAAGAAATACAGTTGCTTGCTTCTCTGCTTCCCACAAACACTTCTTGCATTACTAAGGAGGTAAATATATATATCTACAGTCAGATTAATAGACATAACTTAAAAATCATTTATTTTCTATGACATTCTCTCACTTCTTGAACGCTTCATTTAAGAAATGCCATAATTCATGGTCTTACCTGAAATGGCAAGAAAAAAAATTAGAATTCAAGTTAAAAATTGAAATTGGGTATAACAGAAAACACAAGACTATTTGGACTAAACTCAGCAAGCTGTCTCAAAAAAAGCAGACAAAATATTCCTATTATAGCTGATAGAAAATTCATTTTTAAGCTAATAGAAAATAATTCACTTTCAGTATAGAGGTAAATAAAAAAAGAAAATGAGGAATAGAATGTTTAGGGAGAAGAACTAATTTAGGGAAGTTTCCCAATAGATAAGTCTTCCGTTGCACAACACATAATTTAATATGCAATTTAGATACTATGCTTTTTTTTCCCTTCCTCATTGTTAAATTCTGGACTACTTTATGTGACACTAGACTTTAATTCCTTGAAGAAAAAGGTCAGGTCTTATACATTATTCATTGCAAACGATTTATAGAATACTTAATCTATACCAGACATGGTGCTAGATGCTGAAGCCACACAGTTACAGGATATGAAAGAATTTCCAGACTAGAGCTGCTGATAGCCATGTGAAAAAGATTTCACTACCTAAGTAATAAGTGCTCATTAAATCAAGTAAGTCAGGCTAGAAGAAACTACAGCATATAACATAGAAGGGGTTCTTAACCACTATGTAAAAAGAACACATACAAATAAGAAAAGAATAATCCAATTTAAAAATGTGGTATTGGTAAAAGAAAAGACAAATAGATCAATGGAACAGAATAGAGAGTCCAGAAACAGACCCAATTAAATACAGTTAATTGATCTTTGACAAAAGAGCAAAGGTAATACAATGGGGCAAAAATAGTCTTAACAAATGACAACTGACATCTGCATGCAAATTAATCTAGACACAGACTTTATACCTATCAAAAAAATTAACTCAAAACAGATTACAGATCTAAATGTAAAATGCAAATGTATAAAACTAGAATATAACATAGGAGAAAACTTAGATGACCTTAGGAATGGCAATGACTTTGAGACAATATCAAATGCACAATACACAAAAGAAAAAATTGGTAAGGTAGACTTCATTAATATTAAAAACTTCTGGCCAGGCGTGGTGGCTCACGCCTGTAATCCCAGCACTTTAGGAGGCTGAGGCAGGCAGATCACGAGGTCAGGAGTTCAAGACCAGCCTGGTCGGCATGGTGAAACCCCATCTCTACCAAAAATACAAAAAATTAGCTAGGCATGGTGGTGCACGTCGGTAATCTCAGCTACTCGGGTGGCTGAGGCAGAAGAATCACTTGAATCCAGGAGGCAGAGGTTACAGCGAGCCAAGATCGTGCCACTGCACTCCAGCCTGGGTGATAGAGCCAGGCTTTGTCTCAAAAACAAAACAAACAAAAAAAAAACCAACCTTCTGCTCTGTGAAGGTCAATGTCAAGAGAATAAGACAACGAGGCAGAGATTGGGAAAAAATATTTTCAACAGACATATCTGATAAAGAGCTGTCATCCGTAATATCCAAAGAACTCTTAAAGCTCGACAATAAGAAAACAAACTCAATTACAAATGTGCCAAAGGCCGTAACAGACACCTCATCAAAGGAGATATATAGATAACAAATAAACATATAAGAAGTTGTACCACATCATATGTCATCAGGAAAATGCAAACTAAAATAACCATGATACTACTACATATCTATTAGAATGGCCAGAATACAGAACATTGAGAACACTAAATGCTGGTGAGGATGTAAAGTAAAAGGAACTCTCACTCATTGCTGAAGAAAGACAAAATGGTACAGCCACTTTGAAAGATAGTTCGGTAGCTTCTTACAAAATTAAACATACTCTTAACATGACCCAGCAATGGTACTCCTCGATATTTACCCAAAGGAGCTGAAGACTAAGTCCATAATAAAATCTGCACGAGGATGTTTACAGAAGCCTTATTCATAATTGCCAAAATTTCAAAACAACAAGATGTATTTTAGTAAGTGAATGGATAAACTGTGGTACATCAATATACGGTATGTGTATGTGCCACAGACAGACAATGGAAAATTGTTCAGTGCTACAAAGACATGAGCTATCAAGCCATAAAAAGACCGTGAGAAACCTGAAATGCATATTACTAAGTGAAAACAGCCAATCTGAAAAGGCTACATACTGTGTCTTAGTCTGTTCAGGCTCCTACAACAAAATCCCATAAACTGGGGAGCTTACATATATATGTAATATGGGGTGTCTGTGTGTGTGTGTTTTATAGAGACAGGGTCTCACTCTGTCACCCAGGCTGGAGTGCAGTGGCATGATCATAGCTCACTCACTACCACCTCGAACTCCTGGGCTCGTGCAATCCACCTGCCTCAGCCTCCCAAGTAGCTGGGACTACAGGTACACATGCCTGGCTTAGGTAGCTTATAAACAGTAGAAATTTATTTCACACAAAATTTCTCACAGTTCTGGAGACTGGGAAGTCCAAGATCAGTATTAACAGATTTGGTATCTGCTGAAGGCCCACTTACTGGTTCACAGATGGCTGTCTTCTTACCGTGTCCTCACATGGTAGAAGGTACTAACTAGCTCTATGGGTTGTCTTTTAGAAGGGCACTAATCTCATTCCTAAGGGCTACACCCTCCTGACCTAATCACCTCCCAAAGACCTACCTCTTAATACCATCACTTTAGCGGTTATGATTTCCACATGAATTTTGAGAGGCACAAACATTCGGACCATAGCAGTATGATTCCAGCTGTATAACACTCTAGAAAGGCAAAACTATGAAGACAGTAAAAAGATCAGCTGTTGCCAAAAGCAGTGTGTAGAAGGAATAAATAGGTAGGGGACAGAGGACAGTATTTTTACTGCCCTAAAAATCCTCTGTATAGTATCATAATGATGGATAAATATAATTATACATTTGTTCAGACCCACAGAATGTACACTACCAGGAATGAACCCAAATGTACACTATGAACTTGGGGGACTGCGTGTGAATGCAGGCTCATCAATTATAATAACTGTACCACTCTGGTGGGTGATGCCGATAATGGAGGTGGCTATGCGTGTGTCAGGGTAGGGGGTATATGGAAACGTCTGTACCTTCCTCTCAATTTTCCTGTGAACCTAAAAACTATTCTTAAAAAAGTCTTTAAAAAAAAGCAATCTGCAGTTCTATATAAGCTATATGCACATGAATATATATATATATATATATATATATATATATATATATACACACACACACACACATATATTAAGAAATTAAAAAATGAAAATCTACATATGCAGTTGAAATCTTATGGACACACATATACATACACATATTGATTCTGAAAGGATAAGCACCTGTTTGTTTATTCTTATGAACTAAGGCATGGGACCAAAAGGGAATGAGAACGGTTTTTACTTTTTACTTTTCTAGTGTCTGAATTATTTATAATGAGGTTTTATTTTGTAATTAGAAAAAGCAAAATATTTAAAGGACTGTAACAGAAGGTACCATGTGAATGAAAGACAAAGTGAGATAAAATCGAGGGAAGTTTAAAAAAAAAAAAAAGAGGTTAAAAACTGGCCAAATTTAAAAGAGAATTCATCACGTGTAAAGATGAGAAGGAAAGGAGAGAATTCTAAATAACGGTAAACAAAACAAACACAGCCAAGAGTTTGAGACCAGCCCAGATAAATGGTGAAACCTTGTCTCTTAAAAAAAAATAAATAAAACAAATTAGCTGGGCATGGTGGCACATGCCTGTAGTCCTAGCTACTCAGGAGGCTGAGGTGGGAGGATTACTTGAGCCTAGGAATCTGAGGCTGCAGTGAGCCACAGAGACCCCATCTCTAAAACAAACAACAAAACTACACACACAGAGGCAAACAGAAGAAAGCATGTAAGAAAGCACAGATAGTATGTGCAGAGATTACATGTAGTCTAGTTTTACTGCAGGACCTAGAGAGATTGAGAGAGAGGTAGATGATGCCAAGAAAGATGGAACTGAGAACCTATTCCAATTGTCCAGAAGATAACAGCCTGAAGTAAAATCCTTCCTTCTAAATTGCATGTGCCATTTAGAATTATCTAAAGGAAGAGAGAGAAAAAAAGCAAAGCCTGCCTTGTCTTCCAGGCTGAAGGAGCCCAGGGAATTCTACCACAAAATATGGCTCCCTGGTATAAGTATTTTGAATTAAAGCCCCATCAGAGATCAACAGATGCTAGAAGAGACTTTTTCCCTATCTACAAAAAGACCAGACAGATTCCCCAAGGGGAACAATTGTTTTCCCTTCTCCTCCTCAGGGAGAAGGGAAAACAATTTTATTATTTGCTGCAGAAAAGAAGACTGAAGAATGTAACCACACCCAAAGGACACTTTCACAAGATAAAGTCTGTCTCTTAGGCTCATTCAGTTTTCAAAGAGAATACAAGTTCGTCTCTGTCCTTCCAACTCTCCGTCCATTCCTTCTCCCTAGTAATCAGTTATTGCCGCTCGAGAGAATTACCTCCATTCACCATCTTTCCTTCCCCTCTGAAAATAGCTATATAAGTATGTGGGCCCCACTGGGATATTTAAGTAATCATTGTGATTCTCACCTGTGCACATTAATAAATTTGTATGCCATTTCTCTTACTAATCTGTTTCTGTCAGCTGATTTTCAGCAAACCGGCAGAGGTGGAAGGGGAAATTTTCCCTCGATCCCTACAAGGCTCTTCTGAACTCCTTGGGACTTACAGTCAATAAGATAAGCCAAGTTAACATAAAAGCTCTGCAGCCCCAATGACACAAAAACACTTAATATAAAATACTTGTGGATAAAAAGCCATGCTCTGTTTTCACTTATATGTAGGAGCTAAAAAAAATTGGATCTCATGGAGATAGAGAGTAGAACGATAGATACCAGAGGCTAGGAACAGTGTGTGAGGGAGAGTTGGGGGCTGGAAAGGAGGGGATAAGAGAGGTTGGTTAATGGGTACGAACATACAGTTAGAAGTAATGAGTTATAGTATTTGAATAGTACAGTAGGGGGACTATAGTTAACAATGACATATTGTGTTATTTCAAAATAGCTAGAAGATTTGAAATATTCCCAAGAAAAAATAAATGTTCAAGGTGATGCATATTCTAAATACCGATTTGATCATTACACATTGTATGCATGTATCAAAATATCACATCTACCCTATAAATATATACAAATATTATATATCATTTAAAAAAAAATTCATGCTCAACTTGAAGAATACTGAGACTGTAAAATGAAACCAGAAAAATAACTGTGTGAGGTAATGCATATGTTAGATTTAGTTAGTCCACAATGAAAATAATACTTAAAAACATCATGTTGCACACCATAAATACATACACCTTTATCTGGCAATTTAAAAAATAAAAAATAATTTTATAAAATAATAAAGCCATGCTCAAAGTCAACAGTAAAAAATCTCCAGGTTTAAGAGGACCCACAGGCCTGGAACAGCAGTCATACTATCCTCAAGGTGCAGATACCCTATGGGCAATGGGATCCTACACCAAGCAACCACTATGGAAAATGAACTCACTGAAGTTACAAAACATGCAAAGAAATGCACCATCACCTGCAGAGAGGATCAGCAAATATAGCCAGAAAAAAAAATGTGTAACTAAGATTTAGAAATAGAAAAAAATTAAGTAGGTCTAAAATGTTCAAAGATGAAACAGAAGGAAAATAAAGAGTCGAAAAGAGAACTGTACCAAGAATAAACAAGGACAGCAAAATCTTAGAAATGAAAACTCCAGCTATGTGCTAGCTACAAACACACCTATAATGAAAGGCTGAAAATACAGGACTGGGAAAAATGTTATACCAGACCTAAACTACCCATCAGAAGGTAAAAAGCCTTTGAAGGTAAACATAAGGGAAAGGCATTAATTATGGATAAAAAGGAGACATTACAAAATAAAGGAATGATCCACTTACTTATTAAACTTCAGGTAATCATGTAGACCTTGGAGGAGAAGACAATCTATTGAGAAATAAAACAAATAATAAACGTAATGTATAAAGTCAGCCTGAGAAGTGCCATGAATTAAAATAAAGCGGGAGGAGGGGAAGAAGGCCACAGAGTGCTATTTTATGGTGTGATCAGAACTGAGTTGACATTTTAGTGGAAACCTGAATGAAGGGAGGAAGAAAATTATTAAGAAAATCTGGGAAAAAAGCATTCTAGTCAGAGAGAAAAAACAACCCACAATTTGGAGACAAACAGCAAGAACTACAAGGTGGTTAAAGGCAAGTAAGGGGAAAAAATAGAATGATAAAGATGAACCAAACCAAAAATAAAATTCTGCAGCTCTCCTAAACATCTGAACAGACCCCTCCTCTTGGCCAAGGGCATTCCAGAGTTAACCTGAAAATCTAGTTCAGGCCACGATGGAAGGGGGGTTGGATGTGCCTCATTATACCCCTCCAGCATTCACATCAACACAGATCTTAAGTCTGATAAGAAACATTTACAGGCCGGGCGTGGTGGCTCACGCCTGTACTCCCAGCACTTTGGGAGGCCGAGGTGGGTGGATGACGAAGTCAGGAGTTCAAGACCAGCCTGGCCAATATGGTGAAACCCCGTCTCTACTAAAAATACAAAAATTAGCCGGGCGTGGTGGTACGTGACTATAGTCCCAGCTATTCGGGAGGCTGAGGCAGAAGAATCACTTGAACCCGGGAGGCGGAGATTGCAGTGAGCCAAGATCCTGCCACTGAACTGCAGCCTGGGTGACAGAGCGAGACTCCCTCTCAAAAAAAAAAACAAAAAAAGAAAAAAAAAAAACATTTACAATCTATTCACTCTGCAGCCTGCTACCTGGAGCCTTCATCTGCATCATAAAACCTTGGTTTCCACACCTCCTTATGGTAACCCAAACATTTCTTCTACTGATAGTAACTCTTTCAACCAACCGCCAATTAGAAAATTTTTGTATGACCTGGAGGCCCCGTCCCCTTTGAGTTGTCCTGCCCTTCCAAATCAAACCAATGTGACTGATTGATGCATTATGTCTCACTAAAATGTATAGAGGCAAGTGGCATCTGACCACCTTGGGCACATGTCAGCAGGACCTCCTGAGGCTGTGTCACGGGTGCGTCCTTAAACTCGACAAAATTTTCTAGATTGAGACCTGTCTCAGATATTTTGGGGTCACAGACCCCAAAATTCAGGCAGGAAATGGAGACTAGGCTATGGTAAGAATTTTGCATTGTTTCTTTCCAATATGACGAATTTATGAAACCACCTATCAACTTGGCATTAAAATACAGTACAAAAGGCCAAAATAAGGGAACTATTACAAGATTAGACAATTTCATAATCATGAGAGATTTAATACACCTTTCTCAGAAACTACAACTATCAAGCAAAAATTACAAAACAAAGATGACCAACAAAATCAATAAGTTTAATTGCCCCCAAATCACAACACTAGTAAATGCAAGGTAAGTGTTTTGAGAGTACATTCAGCCAGAAGTTAGATGGCAAAAACACAGGAAGAAGAATGTAAAGTGAGATGCTATCATCAACTGAAAAAAGAGCAAGGAAGAATAGAGGTAGTATAAATACAATGGAGGTACGAATAAAACAAAACGGAGAGGCTGGGACCAAACACTTAGAGAAGGGAATGGAGTTTTAACTAGAGGAATTAAGGGAATTGTTAGATGGAGACCCAGCTAAGGATGGAAAGAATGAATTTACAGAGTATGTCACTTAATTATTAATATAACAGTCAAAAGGGTGACAACAGTCTGAAGGTAACAGTACTGAGGAGAGCAAAGATCACCTGGTGGCCATCGAGCAGACCATCCAGAGGGAAAGCTCCTTATCTGAGGAATTCAGAAACAATTAGACTTCTCTATTAGCTAAAGCCGGCATCTGGTACCAGGATTCTTTCCCAGAAATTTATAAGTAACTAGAATCTCTATACATGTCCAGAATGTATGCATGTCGAAACTCACTGTGCAACTTTTGCTGATATCAAAGCACCAAAATGTCTATAAATGTAATCACTGATCATGACCTACGTGGCTAATATGGTCCAAGTTACCCTTCAGCTTCTGCTTTAAGGTCCATAAATACCCCTAAGAAAAAATCCACTGCGGTGAGCTGTCCTCTCTTGCTGAGGCGCCTGGCTGCACTCTTCTGCAGCACTCTTTCTATCCAATAAAACTTTCCTTTTCAAACCTACGGTGTTGTCGGTAAATTTTTCTTACTACCCTACTACCCCAAGCTGACCACTTTCTGATGCTGGGGCTCTGACACCTCACCCAGCAAGTACTAGTGTGGGGAAGAGGGCCACTCTGAACACTTTGAAAGTAAGGGAAAAAAGAGAAAACAACAAAACACAGGACTTGACAGCCAAGAATGGGGTAAAGAGAGGGAAGTGTTAAGAGAGCTCTAAGGTTTTAAATCTGAAAAATACGGAGAGTGCCATTTGCGAATATGAGAAAACTGTGAAGGGGACAATTTAATAGGAGAGAAAAACACATTTTCTTTTGGATTCACAGGATGAAGTAACAGTGGGACATTCAAATGGAAATGTACACAGACTGTGGATTTACTTGTGGAATTACCAGCATAGTGGCAGCAGAAACCACAACATTAGACGTATTTACCAGATGATAGTTTACAGTAATAATACATGACTATTTTGGGATCAGGCAACCTGAGTAAAGCTTTTCTTCCTTGAAAAATGTGTATTTGCAATACAAACTATATTTTCCATAATATTTCAGGATATTCACATGCCCACTGAAGTATATTTGGGTTTCAAACACGAAACTCTGGTTTAGGGAGAGCGACAGGGGTAGAGCCTTGAGTGCCACCCAGAGCTAGGAAGAGGAAGAAAAGACTCTAAAGGAAACAAAACAGGAGAAAAGCCACCCTGAAAAAATCAGGACACTGAAAACCAAGACAGGACCAAATTTTTTCAAGTAATGGATAATGAACAGAATAAAATACTTGAGTACTGCAGAGAAAGATAAGAACTAAGAAATGACTGGCCAGGTGCGGTGGCTCAGGCCTGAAATCCCAGCACTTTGGGAGGCCGAGGCGGGCGGATCACCTGAGGCCAGGAGTTTGAGAGCAGCCTGGCCAACATGGGGAAACCCGTCTCTACTTAAAAAAATTAGCCGGGTGTGGTTGCGCACGCCTGTAAATCCCAGCTACTCGGGAGGCTGAAGCAAGAGAATCGTTTGAACCTTGCAGTGAGTCGAGATCGCACCAAGGCACTCCAGCCTGGGCGACAGAGAGAGACTCCCAACAACAACAAAAAATGGCAGGACAGGAAGGTGTCTATGGCTCAGCATTCTAACTCTGACCTTTTTACAAATATATATTCCATGAGTGAAGCAATATGCAGCTTCAGCACAACCCCTCTAACTGGGGTAAAAAAAAACAACTCAAAGTACAGGCTGTTCTTGTAACAACTTTGCATGTGAAACAAGTGAATAGCTAAACTAGTGAAACTGGCCCTTTCATTCAACATCACTCATTAAAAGGGCGTTTACAAGATTTTAATTTAGTCCTGATATAGAAATAAAAAAAGAGATCAACATTAAGAAAAAGTTGATTATAATTACGAAATAAAAACATGTTCTTATATTGAAAGGACAACTAATTTGCATAAGCAATTTAACAAAATAGCTAAAATGGGCTTGATACAACTGCCTCACAAGGCATAAGCTCTTAATGTTTCACTGTTTAACAGCATTTTCTTAATACACTGAAACATTTGTCATTTTTGAACTCTCAGAAATTAGGACTGCAGAACCAGGATACAACTGTTTTGGAATTGAAAACAGTATTTTAAGCAGGATTATATGATAGTCCCTTATGTCACAACTCTCCTGAGTTTTTCCTATGAGTCACCATTTTAAAGTTATCATTGTATTAGGCGTGGAAAGCAGGTTCCTTCCAGCACAATGATAGAAATGACACAGGGATAGGAAGCACTGCAACACAGTGATTCATACACCTTATCCACTTAAGCAACAGCGGTCAAGGATAGAATCAAATGTGGATGGGGTCAGAAAGAGATTACTGACAAAAAATATCAGGCAGTAGAATCACCAGGTGCACACTGACAGTCGAGAATGATGTAGACTAGGGAAACCCTCCTGAGAGTGACCAGTTAACTACTGGAGAACACTACAGTCCAGGGGAAGGCAGACAGACTCTGGAAAATTGAGGAGGGAGTCGTGGGGATGGGACAGGGGGAGCAGGGCGGGACCTGCGAAACCAAATACGGTTTGCGCTTCTGGGGCAGCAAAGCCCACGGGGGCGGAGGGCGCCGAGTACCAATGAGCTCCAGGACCTGCGGGCTCCTTCCAGCGCCAGCTCCTCCCCAAAGCCTGGCGTGTCCCCACCCTCTCGCTCGGGAAGTGCCCTCCAAAGAAAGAAAGGACGACCCGGAGCGCCGGACAAGGGTCCAGAACGATCAACCAGCCTCCTATCGTCCCGCCCCTGTCCCCTCGCGGCTACTTACCGGGATGCAGGCCGCAGTCACTAGGGCTGCAGCGGCGACTCGCTCGTTCCCGGCAATGACGTCCACTCCAACCGGCCTGCATCAGCTGAGCTTCCAACACAAACACTGGCGCAGCAGCTAGGTCGCCACCCACTCAGCCCCGCCCCGCTCCGCCCCCAGCGGAAGTGACGCGCTAGAAGTTTGGGTCTACCCGCGGGCCGGGGTGAGGATTTTCCGCCTCGCTCAGGCCTCTGCCTCCTTGTCAATCTCCGTTCCTCCCCCGCCCCGAGATATGCGCAATAGAGCATGACGGAGCGCAAGGCGGGAAGCCGCGACAGACGTGTGTGCGTGCGTGCGTGCGTGCGTGATGCGCGAGGCGTGGCTTGCTGGTGGGGCGTGCTGTGCCTTGGTTGGTTGCCGGGTGTGAGAGCGGTGGGACTTCGTTTTGCCTTCCTGGGCGGGACCTCGGAGCAGTGTCCTGGTTTGCTTGTTTGCGGGCCGCTATTCCCTTTCAGCAGAGATAAGCCTCCCTCTCCGCGTCCCTGAAGCCCCTGCCTGCGCTGAGTTCCTTGGAGCTGGGGGCTGCGATACCAGTCTCTTGGAGGGTGGTGCCCGGCGCGGCCGCGCCCCTTTCTCTATATCCATTCCTGGGCATGGCCACCCAGACTAAATGTCACTCAAAAGCGAGTTGACATATATTACTGTATTGGAAGTTAGCATAAACCGCCCCACAAATGGTCCCACACGTAACACATCTTTTTAAAATTGTGGCATTTCATACGTACCACAGGGGCAAACTACAGCCCTCAGGGCAAATCCAGCCCACCGCAGGTTCTGCTGTACTAGGAGCTAAAAATGGGTTTCACATTTTTCAAAGGTTAAAAAAAAAGTTTTGCGACAGATGACAATTATATGACATTCATATTTGTGTCTGCTTTTTAAAGTTTCATTAGAACATAGCTTTGCATTCCTATACATGCTGTTAATTAAAGCTTTTATACTACAATAGCGAATTTGGGTAGTTGCAATAGCCCCTTACCCTCTTGAAGTGACCTTGCAATTACGTTGAGGTCGGGAAAACAGATCAGTTTCAACTAGTTATCAACCTCAAAATGTTATCAAGACTTATACTGTACTCTCAAGGCTTACCCACTACCCATGGGTATGTATGCTTTAGCCCCCTGTAAGGTTATTGTAAAGTCCTTAAGGAAGGGGATTCTTTGACCTGTCAAATGTAGTGGATGTTACCCTGATAGTTGTGTTGTTTTGATTTTTTTAAATCAAGGAGGGAAAGCCAGCTTGCTATGTTCTTGGGACACAGTGTCTGGATTATGTACATCATAATGCCTGGTAAACCCCAGCAGTGGATAAGCCAGACATGTTATTTAGCTACAGGAGAGTTAAAAGATGTATGCACCAATTAAGCCTTACAGGCGTGTGGAAGGAGCTTTAGTTTTTGAGACAGATTCCTCCTTGTTGCTAAAGAAAAATTATTCTGACACTTGTTAAAATGTCAAGGAAGACATTTAGAACTATTGCAATAGGTGCCATGACTATCACCATGGGGGAGAGAGATTGGCCTCAAGTTTTAATACAACAAAAACAGCTAGGATTTATAACCAGCAAGCAGACTGAGGGGTCAGTTCATGGAAAATTACTAAGAAGTGATATCAAGGGTCGGGGATATTCTTGTTAAAGTGACTTACAAGATTCTTGCTGAAGACAGGCGGAGATGATCAATTATCAAGGCTAGGAGATACTCTCTAAACTGACTTTGCAAGATTCTTGCTAAAACTGGACTCAGCAGGCCTAAGACAGGGGCCCAAGGATGAGGCCTAGTTGGGAAGAGGGCTCAGAGGAGCCTAACTAAAGTATGGTCAAGGAGAGAGCACCACCATTCCCTCTCCGCTTATGCTCTTTCATCCCCTAATTTAGTCAGATGTTATTAAATATCCAGATTTTCCTCCCATGTCAGAAATTTTCAAATAACGCCCAATTCCTGCTTCTCCATTCTTATCCTTCCTCTCCCTCCCTTGTCTACCACCATACCTTTAATCAGTCATGAAGTCTGATGAGTTTTACCGCAGAATTTCTTGAATCGTTCCTCTGCTCCACATTCGCATTTCCACTGCTCTAGTTCAGGCTTTCATCCTTGCTCTTCAGTTTCATCTAAACTGGTTTTCCAGCCTGTAACTAACCTCTGACCCAGTCAGTCTCTTCTGTGCAACCACGGTAATCTTTTGAAAGTGCAAGTCCAATCGTGTTTTCCCGAATTAAAAAGCTTTTGCTGGCTGTACATCTTCACAGAATATACCGAATGAAATTATAGGTTCTGACCCTGCTGACCTTCCAGCCTTTACTTTCACCACTTGCCTCTCACTCTCTATCCTCCAGCCACACCTGTACTTCCCCAGATACTCTTGTTCCTTTTCATACTTAGTGCCTTGGTCATGCTGTTGGCTTAGCTCCCCTTCCACCTTGTCCTCCTAAAGATTTGTTTGTCCTTCAGCCAGGAAAATCTTACCTCACTACTCATAGAATGAATCATTCCTTCCACCTGTGCTCACTTCTCTTATTGCCCTTGCTGCACAGTATTATAATTTA
This sequence comes from Homo sapiens, assembly GCF_000001405.40. Lineage (NCBI taxonomy): Eukaryota > Metazoa > Chordata > Mammalia > Primates > Hominidae > Homo > Homo sapiens. Next base: position 108,528,612 of record NC_000007.14, read on the forward strand.
TTTGTTTATATGCCTGCCAGTTTCCTGCAGTCAAGGAGCGTAAGGTAAACTGTATTGTCTGGATCTAGCGTAACATCCAACAAATAGTAGACTCTCTAAAATTCTGTATTATTGAATTGATTTTTAGTTTCATTTAGATTACTAGTTTGATAAGTTAAAAATGGAAAATAAAACCCATTTATGATTCTTTTGATGTTGGGCAGTTTTGAGACAAAAGAGAATTATATTTAATTTCAAACAAATTCAGTAGTATGCAAAATTGGAGATTATCTTGTGTATAATAGCAGACTAATGCCTTCAGGAAATCATCTATACTTGAAATAATGCTAAATACAGTAATTGTTCAACGCTATATTCTTTGGAAGCTGGGTAAAAGAGACATCACATTGCCCTGTATCAGTTACTTGCTATGCTCATTCTATTTATAAGGTTTATTATTGATTTATCTATTTTAGCTCTTCTACATCCATAGTCACTCCTTTCTGGTCTGGTTCATAGCTTTTTAAAAGAGCTGCTAATATCTTTATTGTTCAAATAAAACTTAACATTATAACCAAAATAAATTAAGCCATATTGGTGCAAGATATCTCTCCAGATCACCTAAGGGAGGGATATGCCAGAAAATAATTCTAGAAGAATAATCACCATGGTAGGCTGAAGAATGGCCTTCTAAAAAATGCCCATGCCCAAATCCTTAGAACCTGTGAATATGCTACTTTACATGGCAAAGGGGACTTTTTGCAGATGTAATTAAGGGTACAGATTTTAAGAAAGGAAAATAATCCTGGATTATCTCTGTGGGCCCAATCTAATCACATAAATCCTTAAAATCAGTACAGATGTGGCAAAGCGAAAGTCAGAGAGATCAAGATAATGAGAGGAACAATTTGACAAGGAATGCAGGTTGCCATAGGGAACCAAGAGCGGCTCCTGACTGACAGCCAGCAAGGAAATGGAGACCTCAGCCACACAGCCGCAAGGAGTTGAATTCTGTCAACAACCTAAATAAAACTGAAAGCACACTCTTCCCCAGAGGTACCAGACAAAAGCTCAGGTAAGCTGACACCTTGATTTCACCCTTATGAGACCTGGAACAGAGGAACCAGTCAACTCTTGCTGGACTTCTGACCTACAGAACTGTGACATAATAAACTTGAGTTGTTTTAAGCCACTAAATTTGAAGTGTTTTGTTTCAGCAGCAATAGGAAATTAATATAATTATCTTTATATAGTTTGAAAACATGAAAGCAAGGATTTTCTGTTTTGATCCTTAGCACCAAGGCACAGCAATTATTAATAAAGTGTGGCCCGGAGCGTTGGCTCATGCCTGTAATCCCAGCACTGTGGGAGGCAGAGGCGGGTGGATCACCTGAGGTCAGGCGTTGGAGACCAGTCTGGCCAACATGGTGAAACCCCATCTCTGCTAAAAATACAAAAATTAGCTGGGCGTGGTGGCGGGCACCTATAATCCCAGCTACTCAGGAGGCTGAGGCAGGAGAATGGTTTGAACCCGGGAGGAGGAGGTTGCAGTGAGCCGAGATCGCGCCAATGCACTCCAGCCTGGGTAACAGGGTGAGGCTCCGTTTGAAAAAGAAAAAAAAAAAAGTTAATTGTTCAGTAACTATTTGGTGAGTGCATATTGAAAGAATTGAATTTATTCATTCAGCCATTATCTACTGAGTGCTTACTATGTGCCTGGCACCAAGCTATTTGCTGGAGGTAAAAAATTGAAGCACTGTCACGGAACTCAAAATATAACCTTAGGTAATAATACTATTAATGTAGAAAGAGCACTAATGGAGACATGAACTGGATATTATGAGTCTAGAGCAGGAATACCTACCCCAGCCTGTGGTGTTGGGAAGGAACTTCTGAACCAAGTCTTAAAAGATGTTGCTAGCAAGACAGATGGCAGTAGTGGAGTGGTAAAAGTGGGAAGAGAAAGGAGAGAGCTTTACAGAGAGAAGTGATGTTTGTAATAAAAGGCAATAAGGCAGGAAAAAACATAGTGCATGAAGGGAACTATGTGTTCCATGTTTGTACTGGAAATGTAATATAAGGATTGGGTGAGAGCTGAAGAACTTGGACCTGATCTTCTGGGTGATCAGAACCACTGTCAGATTCTAAGACAAAAGAATAACATGGTGGAATTTAAGTTTTAAGTACATTTTTTTGGTACCATGAGAGGGCAAGATTTGAAGAAGATGAGGAGTCCTGTTGTTGTCATATTTACTGTTTTCCTATTTAACCTTTTAATAAAAAAATCATTCTTTCTCCACCTTAAAAACTGCCTTAAAGAATTTGCCTATTTATACCTGCAGTTCAGGCCTCTCTATCAGGCTTGAGACCAGTTTATCCAGCTTCCTGCTGGGACATCTTAGAGGAACTAAACCAGTGGGAAATAAACCAGTTATATATAAGGTGATTTTCTGGGTGAAGAAAGAATAGTTTTATTAATAGACAGGTTATAGCTAAGGTTTTGGCACAAGAGTAGCAACATAAAATTAAGATATTAAGGACACATAATTGTATTTTCTCCAACTTACTTTTGAATCTGAGTTAGATTTTACCTTTTACCTAATACTTTTGTAGGTTATTCCATGCCTTGCTTATTTCTATGACAACTCATCCAGTTGAAAAGTTGGAATAAGTCTAAAAATGCCCCCATATTCAATTGCATGTTAATTTCTTTTCTTTCTTTCTTTTACTTTTTTTTTTTTTTTGAGTCAGAGTCTCACTCTGCCGCCCAGGCTGGAGTGCAGTGGCGCGATCTCGGCTCACTGCAACCTCCACCTCCCAGGTTCAAGCAATTCTCCTGCCTCAGCCTCCCAAGTAGCTGGGATTACAGGTGCTTGCCACCACGCCCAGCTAATTTTTGTATTTTTAGTAGAGACGGGGTTTCACCATGTTGGCCAGGCTGGTCTTGAACTCCTGACCTCAGGTGATCTGCCCGCCTCTGCCTCCCAAAGTGCTAGGATTACAGGTGTGGGCTACCACACCCGGCCTCTTTTACTTTTTTATTTGAGATGGAGTTTCGCTCTGTTGCCCAGGCTGAAGTGCTGTGGTGTGATCTTGGCTCACTGCAACCTCTGCCTCCCAGGTTCAAGTGATTCTCCTGCCTCAGCCTCCCAAGTAGCTGGGGTTACAGGCATGTGCCACCACTCCCGACTAATTTTTATATTTTTAGTAGAGACAGGGTTTCACCACGTTGGCCAGGGTGGTCTTGACCTCCTGACCTTGTGATCCGCCTGCCTCAGCCTCCCAAAGTGCTGGGATTACAGGCATGAGCCACTGTGCCCTGGCGCATGTTAGTTTCTTATAGGCAAGTATCAATGTTTGCATTGCTTAACTTCAGACTTAAGGCAAGGTTGGAGTCCTGTCCTCCCTCACCATTTACTGGTTGTGATACTGTGGGCAAATAATTCCCACAAGCCTCCCTTTTTTCATTAGTAAAATTTTCAGTATCCCAATTCAGTAATGTAAGTGCATTATGATCTATGGTCAGAGAATGAGGTACTGTGATCAAACAGCATGGTCAGACTACTCCAAACCCCTCAACAGGGTCCTAGTGTGAAAACAGCATCTCTCATAGAACCACAGAATTTGTTTTGGGGAAAAGTTGTTCACGGAAGGAGAGAAATACAGGGCAGAAAAACAAAAAGGCCAGGCAACACAGCAAGCAGATAAACACTGGTTGGAATGTATGAATGAACCAGTGCCTAAATGCGATGGAGCAAGTAGCACTTTTCCTTTAATGCCAATCTATAGTTTCAAAGAACTTAGAGGTTTGTTGGGGACCAACAATGTTTGGAAAGGACAGTGCCAGGGATGAACATGTGCTTTACTGTAGGCAATACTTAGATTCCAGTTCTAAGCTTTGCCACTTATTTGAACAAATTACCCAACTTTTAAGTCTCAGTTCCAAAAGCTGAAAAAGATATCATTTATGAGGACCTTTTCAAGGACATTTGGACTCAGTTTGAGACAGAATGTCTATTTTTTAAAAGGCAGCAATACTTGCTTATATTGTATCATAAAATCATTCAAGTATAGACGTTACAGCCTATGAATCAGAGTTATTATTTTATCACTCCCAAAACAATAGTGAGCAAGATTCATAACCTCTCTGACTCTTACTTTTCTCATCCAATAAATGGGCACACTAATACTCATAAGGTTTGTGGAGGATTAAATGAAATAATACATGTAAAATGCCTAGTATTTATAAAACATATTTCTTGTACACATTTAATGACCTGATTATTGTGTTAGTCTTTGAATATGCCCTAGTCAATAAAACAGATAGTCCTAGCCCTCGTGACCTACACAATTTTGTAGAATGCACACAGAGGATAAACAGTAAATTTGGCTAATATTATTGGCATACCAATACTAAATGGGGCTGAAAAGAAGTTGACAGTGTTTCCAGTTATATTATTTGAAGTAAGAGGCTAGCTTGAGTCAATGTAGTAGGATGCTAAATTCAATTCAAAAGAAATGGCATTTGTGAGCACCAACTATATGCAAAACAGTGAGCTAGATATAGTTCCTGCCCTTGAAGGTTTGGTAGTCTTATAGAAGAGTCAGATGTCTACAGTCACCATGAAACAAGGAAAAATGAAATGTGTTATGTAACAGAAGAACCAACAAAGTACTGTGAGAATTCAGAGGAAGCAGTTATTGATTCCAAAAGGGGGTTAGAGATGGAGTTGTCAGCTTTAGCAAAGTAAACATTGCATGGAACATATTCATACTAAAAATATTATTTGTTGTTTATCTGAAACTTAAATTTAACTGAAATACACATCGTGTATTTCATCTGGCCACCCTAATTAGGGAGAGCTGTTGGCTGCTGAAAAAGGTACATTTTATACTATTTTCTGTATTTAAAGCAACTGCTTCTCCAACTAACAAAAGAAAAGAGTAGTAGGACTATATATTTGAGTGTATAGTCTCTATTGACTACATAGGTCATTATATTTACAGAGTTTTAAAATTTCCACCAAACTTTTTGGCTTCACTTTATGCCAAGTAGAAAATTGAGATGTATATATTCCATATAACATATTTTAAATCTAAATAGTTCAAGATACTTTGTTTTTAATTTTGTAATTTTTGTGGGAACATAGTAGGTGTATATATTTATGGGGTACATGAGATGTTTTGATACAGGCACGCAATGTGAAATAAGCACATCATGGAGAATGGCGTATATGCCCCCTCAAGCATTTATCTTTTGAGTTACAAACAATCCAGCTACACTCTTTAAGTTATTGTAAAATGTAAAATTAAGTTATTATGACTATAGTTACTCTATTTTGCCATCAAATAGTAAGTCTTATTCATTCTTTCTATTTTTCTTTGTACCAATTATCCATCCCCACCTTCCCCCAACCCCCTGTCCCCCACTACCCTTCCCAGCCTCTCGTAACCAAAACTCTAAGATACTTTCACTAGATAATTTATTTAGCTTTATAATACTTATACAAATATCTTACATTTCTTTTTAAGCATCCTAATTAAATAGTATTTATTGCTGGTATGTTAATATGGTAAAGATTGAACCACTCTCAAGGGCCATTCAATTAGACTTTAGAACAAATTGGTATAGTTCTAATGTTTGATTAAAAAATAAAATTTTGGGGATATTGGGACGTGGTATAAACTCAACTAATTCTCACTAATTCCAAAACAACTCCTTGTACTGGTTACCCCTATACAGCTCTTCCAGCTAGTATTAATGTGATGCATGCGATTGGCAAGTTCCTGTGGTTGCTTGACATAGGCTTTAAATATGTATATTCAGAAAGTAGTTTTACAGTTTACCAGGTATGATCAATCTTTTGGGAAATGAATTCACTCTAATCAGACTCATAAGAGATTTTAATTAGCCAGAATGTCAACATCTTTGCTTACATTGAGAGATGGGTGGTTTTTTATTAATATTTGCTATCGAGGACATTTTTTTAATTTTTTGCTTAAAAAAAATCAAAATACCTGGGAAAGAGGCTGGCACAGAAAAGTGGTTGGGAGAGAGTGTTCACAGAAAACTTAGAAATAGTTGTGGTAGACATTTTCACAAGAAGTCTCTCAAAGTTTTTCTTTGTTTTTAGGTCTGTGTTGGCAACATTTGATGATTTTTTTTCACTCTTGCAGATCAAGGATAACTGTGGTTTAGATTTCCCTATTTACAGCCCGGTGTGGTGGTTCACACCTGTAATCCCAGCACTTTGGGGAGGCCAAGATGGGCGGATAATGAGGTCAGGAGATCGAGAACATCCTGGCTAACACGGTGAAACCCTGTCTCTACTAAAAATACAAAAAATTAGCCAGGCATGGTGGTACGCGCCTGTAATCTCAGCTACTGGGGAGGCTGAGGCAGGAGAATTGCTTGAACCCGGGAGGCGGAGGTTGCAGTGAGCCGAGATCACGTCACTGCACTCCAGCCTGGGTGATAGAGTGAGTCTCCGTCTCAAAAAGAAAAAAAAAAGATTTCCCTATTTACATAGTTGATTTTGCTAACTATTATGTTTCTAAAACCGTGTATTCCTGGGGTGTTTGGATTTACCTTGAAACGTTGGACTCAATACGTGGTTGCTTGCTTAGCTTGTTATTGGTCACAATTTTTTTAAATGAAATATTCTGTTGTAGTCCATTTTTCACACTTCTATAAAGAACTACCTGAGACTGGGTAATTTATGAAGAAAAGAGGTTTAATTGACTCACAGTTCCGCAGGCTTTACAGGAAGCATGACAGGGAGGCCTCGGGAAACTTACAATCATGACAAAAATGGGAAGCAAGCCTGTCTTACCATGGCGGAACAGGAGAAAGAGGAAGAGAGGAAGTGCCACACATTTTTAAACCATCAAATCTCATGAGAACTCAATCACTATCATAAGAACAGCATGAAGGAAATCTGCTCCCATGATCCAATCACCTCCTACCAGGCCTCTCCCACGTGTCAAGGATTACAATTTGAGATGAGATTGTAACTGACTTTTCCATATTTGTCTCTTTCCCTCTCATTCTTTCTCTCAATCTCGCCTGCCCCAACTCTTGGATAAGTGTTTAGAAATGTCAATCTCCTTTTTTAAAACTTTATCCATTTTTGCCTTTTTACTCACTATATCTTCATCTTCTTTAACATGTTTTCCTAACAGATAATAATCCCTAAACTATAATTTACAGGTTAATTTCACATTTTTCTTGATTCTTTCCTAAGGACATACAGAGATGCTATGCTCTTTATTTTCACCAGTGAGGTATTTATAAACTTATAAATCATGTGGTAGGAAGTTACTTCTCGAAAACCTTCCTTTTGATAACTAATCTTCTGTATGATATATGGGTTTTGTTGACTTCAGTCTTAGGAAGTGACACTTCTGAACTTTTTCTTTAGAGTAGGAAGTTTATCTTAATTGGGGGACTCTAACTTTCTACTTGTAAAATGCACACATAATTGTAACCAAGGAATAAAAGAAAAAACTAGAATTTTAACAGGATGTGTGTTATATTTCCCAACATTATGGAACTTAAAGTTTTCCTAAACTTCATTTTGAGGATGAGAATAACATTAATAGAATAGTCATAGCATTTAGGAAAGACTAAAATAATTAAGATCTGGTGACTATATTTACTTCATTTTGAATTTCACAATTGAATTTCACTCTGTTGCATGATTTGCTTTTTACTAATATTAAAATATAACTATTATGACATAGTAACTTTTAAAATCTCATCTGGTTCTCAGTTGCCTATTAATGATATTTAGAACCATATTATCATTTAGACTTAGCAGTGATCCTAAAAATCATCTATTCTAAATCTGTTACTTACAGATGAGTTCAATATTTCAGTGATACCCAATGAGATTAAATGACTTACCCATTTGCACATACCTAGTGAATTCAACCAAGGTAGGAGAATACATGTATTTTAATTCTTAATTTTCCTTTTTCTCCACTGAACTTTGATGCTTCTAGAATATAGGTACTATTATGAATTATTTTTGTACCAAAATTGAGCTTTTTGTTTTAAGCCAACTTTTAAAATATTTTGCAGTTTTATGAAACAAGAACCAATATTAGCTGTGAGAAGTGACAAAGTATTGTTGAATTTCTTACTAAGTTTTTGGACTTCTAACAAACTTAATTAAAAATATAGATTATAAAAGAAAATAACAAATACTTTAACAAAATAACAAAATTAAGTCAACTTAATAGAGGCACCAAGCAGCAGAAGCAGTATTTTTAAAATACAGAATTAAAATGACGTGGCAGTTAGTGTTTGTCAGATGCAAAGAATTACTGTTAGCCTTCTAAAAATATGGATTTCCAGACCTTGCTCCTGGGAGTTCTAATTCAGAATGTCTAGGGTGGTGCTGTCAACACTATATGACCGAACAAGGGATTTATAACTTTTTGGTTTACAGACTCTTTTGGCAATCTGGCAAAGTCAGTGGAACCTTTCTTGGAATATCTTAGCTTGGACTGAGTGTCCACTGTTGGGGGTTCAGGTAGGTTTGACGAAGGAGAATGTCAAGTCCCTCAGAAGAGTACACGTTTGAGGGCTGAGTAGCCCTGAGCAGGAATTCACTCTGTGGCCAGAGTGTGTCCAGTGAGCTGGTGAAATTGGTAAACTGAGAGAATTTGATTTGCAACTGGGCTGAGGTGCTTCTTGGGAGACAAGGCAATTCAAGTGAAGAAAGAGCCAAGCACTCTGAGTTTGATGCTGTAACAAAGCTGAACAAAGCCTGGGGTGCGGGATAGCTCTCTGTATATAGACTGATAGTTATAGTGAAGTGTTTCTCCAGTTCATGCCTCGAGAACAAAGACTGTCAATAAAAAGTGTAAGAACTCTTCTGTTAAACCTTGTAACTTGTTAGGAGCACAAGTGGCATTGCCACATGTGACATATAAAGCTGGGGCCCATTCTGTATGAGGACCCACAGTCCACCACTTGGCCACCAGCCATGCACAAACCATGAGAGTAGAAGAGATGTCTTATGGCAATTCAGGCTTAAAGTGGTTAGGGAAGAGGTTAGCAGCAGTATAGAAATCCTTCATCAGCAGATGGAGTCATGAATTTTAGTCTGTTTTGTCCACTGCTGAATATTTTGTGTTTATAATTGTGCCATTCACTTACTAGGTACTCACTGATTATTTGTTAAATAAATAATGAAAAAACAAACTAATGAAAGAAGCAATGACTTTATAGCCGCAGGTTGGTTAGTGTTAGAGAAATTTAGGTTACAACAGACCTTGTATGATAATACTAAGTCACTGCTTCTAAAACCCAGATCCAGGAAAATGTCAAAACTGAAAATTTTAAAAGGAATTTCAACAGAAAATCCAGATTAAGGGTGGATCTGCTTTCCCCAGCCCACTGACTCAAATGTTAATCTCCTTTGGCAACACCCTCACAGACACACCCAGGATCAATACTTTGCATCCTTCAATCCAATCAACTTGATGCTCGGTATTACTGGGAGCACAAGTCATTTAGTATTGGTAATCACATCACAGCATTTATTACTGGTGAAAGAATTGTTCTATATTCTGGGTTTGCAGCAGTAAGACAACCAGGAAAAAAAAAATCTGTTCTCTTAAAGAGAGAAATTAATTCCAAAATTTCAAAAAAAAAAAAAAAAAAAAGGTATGTAATGCCAGAAAGTAAGAAATGGTATGAAGCTCAAATGCCCGTGGTCTCCACTCCTGCCACCCTGCCTTCTGTCCCCCAGCCTGCACTGATGGCCTCATGGGGAGTTCCCTATAATCAGCTGACAGAGGAAGAGAAGACTAGGGCCTGGTTCACAGATGGTTCTGTGTGATAATGCAGGCACCACCCGAAAGTTGACAGCTGCAGCACTATAGCCTCTTTCTAGGACATCCCTTAAGGACAGTGGTGAAGGGAAATCTTCCCACTGGGCAGTGGTGAAGGGAAATCTTCCCACTGGGCAGAACTTTGAGCAGTGCACCTGGTTGTACACTTTGCATGGAAGGAGAAATGGCCAGATGTGCAATTATATCTATATTACATCTACCATCTATGGACTCACGGAATGCCTTATCCACCATCATGTTATTCCACACAGCATTGCCTCTGACCAAGGCACTCATTTTATGGCTAAAGAAGTGTGGTAGTAGGCTCGTGCTCATGGAATTCACTGGTCTTACCATGTTCCTCATCATCCTGAAGCAGCTGGATTGATAGAACAGTGGAATGACCTGTTGAAGGTCACAATTACAATGCCAACTAGGTGACAGTCCTTTGCAGGGCTGGGGCAAAGTTCTCCAGAGAGCCATGTATTCTCTGAATCAGCATGCAATATATGGTATTGTTTCTCCCATAGCCAGGATTCACGGGTCCAGGAATCAAGGGCTGGAAGTGGAAGTAGCACCACTCACCATCACCCCTAGTGATCCACTAGCAAAAGTTTTGCTCCCTGTTACTGTGACATTACGTTCCGCTGGCCTAGAGGTCTTAGTTCCAGAGGGAGGAACGCTGCCACCTGGAGACACAATGATTCCATTAAACTGGAAGTTATGATTGCCACCTGGACACTTGGGCTCCTCCTACCTTTAAGTCAACAGGCTAAGAAGGGAGTTACAGTGTTGGCTGGGGTGATTGACCCGGACTATCAAGATGAAATCTGTCGACTACTCCACAAGGGAGGTAAGGAAGAGTACACATAGAATATAGGAGATCCATTAGGGCATCTCTTAATATTACCATGCCCTGTGATTAAGGTCAATGGGAAACTACAACAGCCCAATCCAGGCAGGACTACAAATAGCCCAGACCCTTCAGGAATGAAGGTTTGGGTCACTCCACCAGGAAAAAAACCATGACCTGCTGAGGTGCTTGCTGAAAGCAAAGGGAATACAGAATGGTGGTAGAAGAAGGTAGTTGTCAATACCAGCTACGACCACGTGACCAGCTGCAGAAACGAGGACTGCAATTGTCATGAATATTTCCTTCTTTTGTTAAAAACACGTTTATGCATGTATACACTTGTACTAAGAAAACATCTTCATTTTATTTCCTTTCTCCTTTATCATGGGACATAAGATTTATTGACTTCACATCAGCATTTAAGTATGTTAACTTTATGTAATAGTATTTGGGTTGGGGATTGATGCGTTTCTGGTTGTACAAAGAATAGTCGTATTATGTTAGGAGTAATTATGACCTTATTATTGTCTTTACTTAAAGATTATGTATGATCTCAGGAGATTTGTATGGGTTCAAGTTGACAAGGGGTGGACTTTTGATGGTTAATACTGAGTGTCAACTTGATTGGATTGGTAGATGTAAAGTATTGATCCTGGGTGTGTCTGTGAGGGTGTTGCCAAAGCCCACCCTTAATCTGGTGCATACCATCTAATCAGCTGCCAAAGCAACTAGAACATAAAGCAGGCAGAAAAACATGAAAAGACTAGACTTGCCTAGCCTCCCAGCCTACATCTTTCTCCTGTGCTGGGTGCTTCCTGCCCTGGAACATCAGACTCCCAAGTTCTTCAGTTTTGGGACTTGGACTGGCTTTCCTTGCTCCTCAGCTTGCAGATGGCCTATTGTGGAACCTTGTGATCATGTGAGTTAATACTTAATAAACTCTCCTTTATATATATATATATATATATATATATATATATATATATAGATGGATGCATGTATAGATATATATGTGTGTATATATATAATATATGTAGCTATCCTATTAGTTCTGTCCCTCTAGAGAACCCTGACTAATACAAATGCCCATTACGTATTTGTTGATAAGAGAATTAATTAATCCTCCAAGGTATGGGTGGGAGAAATAGGTTCCACAATGCATATGAATAGTCCACAACGTGGCTTTTGATCTATACATCTATTAAAAAAACCCAGTTTTTATTTTATTATAACTTTTATTGCATCACAATGCAAGTATAAGCCATAAATCAATTTAGTCTGCTCAGTGAATATCTCTATATTTTACTAGTCTCAAGTGATAAGATAGCTTTTCTACTCATTTACTGACCATGATTGCCAAATACAAGACACTCCACTAATGACATAGATTTTTGTGTATTCTGAGAAATGAACTCTAACATGGTCATGAACTTATTTAGCCATTAAAGTTTTTTTTTTATTTTCTTGTTTTTTTATTTTTTTGAGACAGAGTTTCTCTCTTGTTGCCTAGGCTGGAGTGCAATGGCGTGATCTCAGCTCACTGCAACCTCCACCTCCCAGGTTCAAGCAATTTTCCTGCCTCAGCCTCCTGAGTAGCTGGGATTAGAGGCACCTGCCACCATGCCCAACTAATTTTTTGTATTTTTAGTAGAGATGGGGTTTCACCATGTTGGCCAGGCTGGTTTTGAACTCCTGACCTCAGGCGATCCACCTGCCTTGGCCTCCCATAGTGCTGGGATTACAGGCATGAGCCACCATGCCCAGCACCATTGAGTTTTAATATATATACAATTTAGTATTTACAAGCCATTTTATTTATAAGTGTGCACTCTAGTTAATGACTTTTGTTAAGGCATTTGAAAAATACGTTGAAAATTGTTCTTTGGAGCTAAAAATAAGGCTGGAAGTTTAAGTTGTTCAAGTCAATTTCCAGTTACTCTGCTCTTTATTTTCTCTAGTAATCTGAGCAATTTGGCAACACCACTTTAGAGCTAACATGAAAAGACCTAGCTTTATAGAAGCATGGCATCCATTTGAGCCTAGTAATAATTTTTAATATGCCCCAAGGAGATGAATGTTTAATGGCAACCATTTCTATTTAAAAAAAAAAAAAAAGAATGATCATTCCTTGAGCAGAAAAGGAATCTATGAGTTTAGATATTGACTGTATTTTCTGTTGCTATACAATTATTCTGCATTAAAGAATTAAAAGGAAGATTAAAAACTCACAATAGACACATTCAATTACTTCACGTATAATTTCCAATTAAATAAGTTCTAACTAAACCAAATTAGTTGTTAGGCTTTTACCAAAAGTAATTTATGATCCAGGTGGTTTAAAAAGCGCTAGAGACTTGATTAAATTTAGCATTCTTATGTATATGCTCACTTTTGTTGTTTTGCTAATGATTCTCTGCAAAAACAGTTGCAAAGCTCAAAGTAACTTTTAAGTTGTATGGGGCTCTGTAGGCATCCAGTGAAAAGGTCTTTAATACAGCAGTAAGACAGAATTCCTCAAGAAGCAAATCCCCTGTTGCAGGTTCATTCAATCATATAAATGCATTTCAAAGCATCCTGAAATTGAGCCAGCCCATTATGTTTACCAGCTAAAACTTTACAGCTTAACCCTTAAGTTACAACTGTAATATTTCCTTATATGTGAAGATGTTTTTCTTTTCTCTTCAAGATGACATTCAATAATCTGACAGTCCTGTTCATTGCAGCACCTTGAACACAAAAATAAGTCTGAATTGGCTGAAGATCAGGAAAAAAAACCCTTAAATTCAAACAAATGTTTTGGCAAGAACTTTCATAGTTTGTCGAATTTGTATTGCTATTCTGTCACTGTGGAGGGGATAACAGAATTGCTTAGGATCTATATCTATATCTATATCTAGATTTAGATATAGATATATATTATGTAGCATGGTGGACTTGAGTGGCATTTTTCCAGGTTCTTTCCCAACTAATTTGTAATATCACAAATGTCTATAAGGCTAGATGGTAAAGATGTTTGCCTCCATTTATAAAATAATCATGGCACTCAGGTTATCTTTTTCTGCATAACAATCCTGAAACTTAGTAGTTGAAAAAAACAAGCATTTTATTATATTTCACAATTTCCCTGGTCAGATATTTAGGCATGGCTTGGCATCTTCTGTTTCTTTTTTTTGTTTGTTTTGTTTTGTTTTTGGAGACAGAGTTTTGCTCTTGGTGCCCAGGCTGGAGTGCAGTGGCACGATCTCGGCTCACTGTAACCTCCACCTCCTGGGTTCAAGCGATTCTCCTGCCTCAGCCTCCTGAGTAGCTGGAATTACAGGCATGTGCCACCACGCCCAGCTAATTTTTGTTTTATTGGTAGAGACAGGGTTTCACCACATTGGCCAGTCTGGTCTGTAACTCCTGACCTCAAGTGATCCATCTGCCTCGGCCTCTCAAAGTGCTGGGATTACAGGCGTGAGCCACTGTGCCTGGCCAAGCATCTTCTGTTTCATATGGCATTGACTGAAGTCACTTAGTGGCATTCAGCTGGCAGATGGGCTGGTCTGGAGAATTCAAAATGGCTTCCCTTACATATCTGGTGCCTTGGTGGGAATGGCTAGAAGACTAGGCTCAAAACTTTTTTTTTTAAATTTAATTTATTTTATTTTATTTTTTTGAGATGGAGTCTCGCTTTGTCACCCAGGCTGGAGTGCAGTGGCACGATCTCGGCTCATTGGAACCTCCGTCTCCCAGGTTCAAGCAATTCGCCTGCCTGAGCCTCCCGAGTAGGTGGGATTACAGGTGCCTGTCACCACGCCCGGCTAATTTTTTTGTATTTTTAGTAGAGACTGAGTTTCACCGTATTAGCCAGGATTGTCTCGATCTCCTGACCTCATGATCCGCCCGCCTCAGCCTCCCAAAGTGCTGGGATTACCTGTGTGAGCCACTGTGCCCAGCCAGCTCAAAACAATTGACTGGAACAGTATCACAGGGCTTCCAGAGCATGGTGAGCTCAGGGTTGTCTGACTTCTTATATAGCAAATTGCTTTCCCAAGAATGAGTGTTGCAAGAGGCCCAGGCAGAAGCTGCAAGGCTTTTTATGAGCTAGGTTTGGGAGCCCTAGAACATCAAGCAAGTCACTAAGGCCAGTCCGGATTCAAGAGAAGGGAAGAATAGGTTCTGCCCTCTATCTCTTGATGGAGTAAGGCATGCTTAGCCAGGAAGAAAAGAAGTTGATGGTGATCATCTGCCATCACGATGGTACTACAAACATCACAACTAGGGACTGATGATAAGCAGTCTATCACCAAATGATTACTTTCCAAGAGAAAGTCGTCTTTAAAATGTTGCAATTTGCAGTAGCTGTGATCTTCAGTTTTGCATATCTAGGTCTGAAATATCTCCCAGTATTTTTTATTGCTATACTAAATTGTTCCAGCCAAGGATATCCAAGACCTATGTGATCAGGATTTTCCTGGGTTGGCCCTATTTTTTTTATCCCAGTGATAGTTTTGACCATCTGGCATGCAAAATTTTGTGGGATATTTAGGTAAACATACACATAGGTAAACACAATGTATTGCACATCAGAAGTTAACAGCAAATCATGCCAGTTTGAGCTAGGAAGTTATACAAGTCACCACTGGGACCTCATTTTCCTATATATAATGGGGGGTAGGCTGGGCTAAAATATAAAAAAAATTATGAACGACTATATGCCAATAAATTTGACAACTTAGATGAAATGGATAGTCTTTGAAAAATATAACTTACCAAAACTAACACAAGATCAAAAAGAAATTCTGAATAATCTTTTTTCTATTAAAGTAATTGCATTTGTTTTCAAAAACTTCTCCACAAAGAAAATTCTAAGCCTAAGTGATTTTCCTGATGAAGTCTACTAAACATTTAAGGAAGAAAAGGAGACAATTCATGGTCCAAACTGTCAATAATCTTCTAAATAAAGAAGGACATTGGGCCAGGGACGCTGGTTTACATCTGTAATCCCAGCACTTTGGGAGGCCGAGGCGGGTGGATCACCTCAGGTCAGTCAGGAGTTCAAGATCAGCCTGGCCAACATGGTGAAACCCCATCTCTACTAAAAATACAAAAATTAGCTGGGCATGGTGGCAGGCGCCTGTAATCCCAGCTACTCAGGAGGCCAAGGCAAGAGAATTGCTTGAACCTGGGAGGCAGAGGTTGCAGAGAGCCGAGATCGCGCCACTGCACTCCAGCCTGGGTGACAGAGCAAGACTCCATCTCAAAAAAAAAACAAAAACAAAAACAAAGAAGGTCATTGATATAGAATAGGTAAACAACAACAACAACATATGGGGAGTAAAAAACGCTTATGAAACAAACTCTCCATAAATTCTTTAGTAATTAATTAATTAATTAATTAATTATGAGACAGGGTCTCACTCTGTCACCCAGGCTGGAGTAGCAGAGGTGCAATCTCAGCTCACTACAACTTCTGCCTCTTGGGCTTAAGCAATTCTCCTGCCTCAGCCTCCTGAATAACTGGGGCTACAGGGGCACATCACCATGCCCAGCTAATTTTTGTAATTTTTTATAGAGACGGGGTTTCATCATGTTGCCCAGGCTGGTCTTGAACTCCTGGGCTCAAGCAGTCTGCTAGTCCCAAAGTGCTGGGATTACAGGCATGAGCCACTACGCCTGGCCTAGATTCTCTGTAAATTCCACACTTGAAATGCAGTAATGCAAGTTTAGAAGGAAGAGGCAATCAAAGGAAACTAGTAGAGATATTTTCAGAAAAAAAATAAATTATATTTAGTTTTATTTTTGTCTTATTTAGAAAGATATAGATTGCTATAGTTTGTTGAATTTGAGGCTACCTTTTTAAAAATAGACACACTGCCAAGAATGACAAAAACAGTTGGATTGCTCCATAAAATGAATTGATATAAGATTTAAAAAGACCAGTAAATGAAGCATAGCATTATTAATATTACTATGTAGTGTTAAGAATGTCTATACTGTTTTTAAAGTGTAGTGAAAGTGACTTTTCATGTCTAATAGATTAGTATAGTTCCCAGAACAATTGTAAACCGCAAATTTTTGTTATTTTGAGGGAGTTGGCAGCAAAACATTCCACAGCATTAAGATAGAATGGCAGCTTCTAAGTCTCAAGTGACAATTTGCTGTCAGTTCCATTGTGAAAAGCGTGACTAGTTCAAATATTTACAGACAATTTTAGGAATAATATATCTGTGAAGATAGAGAATAAATTTAGGTAGAGCTTAAGCTTCATAGAATAAAATCCTAATCAAGAGATAAGTCATTCAAGATGAAGATAATTGTCTAGAAAAATATCTATTTAGAAAAATATCAAAGTCTTGACTTAAAAATTCAATTTAGAATTTAGATAATTCCAACATAAGGAAGATTTAGGAGTGGCTGATAGATCACCTTTTGTACTGTTGGGTTATTACATTTTTGAGTTTCATTGATTTATTTGTTAATCATTCTATATATTGCAATTAAAAATAGGAGTCTTAGAGTCAATATTTTGTGACTTTCTGAGTGGGACCTCAAATAGAAAATAGTGATATGTGTATTTTTAACCATCTTAAATTTCTTTTCTCTCATTTAAGTCTTATATTTTCTAAATTTCCCATCTCCTTTGACATTCTAATTTCTATGGTTTTTCCTCTATTTGCTCTTAAAATGGATAGAGTTGAGATACACAGTAGGGCAAAAGAGCCAGCACAGAGTTAGCAACAGGTTTTGAGATTGAGTAATGTAAAGTTCCCATTAGGTTAACGATCTACAATATTTATTAAATAGTAAATAGATCTAAGCATTTACTAAATAGTACTTATTAAATAGCATTTATTAAATAGTAAATAGATCTAAGCATGATGCAGTTCACTTTATCAACCATCTGTCAATCAGATAAGGCCACAAGAGATAGCATATTATTATCATCCTGTTTTTCTGTAAAAATTTGAGGGCTTGCTAGGTGCCAAAAACAAGTTTTGGCCTCCACCTCTTAGGAACTTGCAGAGCAGTCACAGAGACTGATACATAAAGAGGCAATTACACAGCAAAGTGTGATTTAGTTATAATAATGAATAGAATGTGTTCAGACAGGCATAAACAACCAGTTGGTGTGTACACCTGGAACAGGTGATATTTGAACTGGTTCTTCAGTGATACATAGGACCCTTACCCACACCGCTGCCCCTGAAAAGTTCTGGTTTCAGTTTTGCTCCAGATTAACAACAACAACAAAAATAGGAAGAGGAATCGTAAGGGGACGAGGAGGAAGAAGAGAAGGAGAAGGAGGAATTTGTGGGATCATTTTATCTAAGTTTGGAAGCAAGTTTTCCCATATCAAGAATTATTGTTTAAAACCAGGGTGCTCCATTCTCTATTCTTAATAGTGCTGTCGCCTCACTTAGTATTTTGCTATTGCTAAGGAATGAGCAGTTTACCTTTGCATGACTTGAGCTGATGTTGTTGTCTATTTTTTATTAAAAAGCTTTGTTTACAGTACTCTTCAGAAATACATTACTGTGATGATACCTAGTAATGTGCTTCTACCTCCTCACTAAATTATATTACCAATGCAAACCAGATGTTTCAGTCTCGCTTGCATTGGTAATAAAATAAATCGGAGCTGGATCCCAGCTCTATGCCCCTCCTATATTAAGGAACATTGTTTTCCCTTTGTGTTTTATCATTTCCCAAATTAAGGAAACTATCCAGGTGGACTGGAAGTTGATATGCTGAAGGGTGTTTCAAAGCACCAAGTTTTAACAAGGCAAAACAAATGCTTCTTGAGCATATTATTTAATGTTCCAAAAAAGGAATAGACATTTCTTATTTAATGACATTCTGGGAATTGTTTGAACAATTTGTATAGTGTCCGTCATCTGTCACTCTCTACTCCCTCAAAAATTCTTTCTCATCTTTTAATACCACACTGATGAACGGATTAACTTATTTTTCATCCGTGGTTCAGGTACATTCTAGTCTCATGCCAGTGAATTCATTTTCATTTAGACTAACCAAGGTAGCAAGCTCAATGAAATTAACCTCATTTCACATTTATAATATTCTAGTTCATTGTGCATATTTAAACACCACACATCTTTATTAATGGAAAACATGAACCATGCACTGAATAAAACTAAAGATTAGGTTCTCTCTGAAATTAGCTCCTACTCCATTGCTTCTCATTTTGAATTATATTTCTGTAACCAAAAGCAAGACTTGAACTTACATATTATTTTCCAGCGATCCAAAAGAATACTTACTTAATCCCTAAATTTATTTTCTGATATTCTATATAGTAATTTGAACATTAAAAGTTATTTTCCCTAAAATTATGAGGCAGTATTCGTCTAAGATTTGTAAGAATTCTGTGTACAGTTTATCAAGCCTGCTTTTAGATATGGGACACTTTTTCTTTTAGTCCTAGTTCTATTCCTGATTAATTAAAATCACATAGTTGAGCTGTTGTTTGTGTATTAACCTGTCTAGAATAATCGATTTTCCATTTCTATGTTTCAGGGTTTTTAGATGATAAAATACGTAAAGAGCTTTTGTTTCTCTAAAGAATGGCACAAGGTAAGATGTAAGCTATTATTGCCCTGAGCAGTGGTGTTTAAATTTTGAGGGGTAATTTATCCCTTTCTTAATCTTAATAGAAATTGTGAAAAATGCCTATGCACATGAAATTTTGCATTAAATTTTAGAGGATCCAATGAGCCTCCTAAAAGCCTCCCATGGTCCAGTCCCCAACCCTGGAGGGAATGCTACTGCACCTTTTCTAGGTACTGGTTATAACATGCCAGGAGAGATTTAAAGTAGCATTATTTACACTACAATTCAAGTTAATAATTTAACAGGACCTGCCTGAATAATGGGACAATAATATACTCATGGAGCTGCAAATTGGTTAATTTATATGCTGACTGTCTCAATGTGGAGCCAGAATTAGACCCAGCAAAACAGCTCTTGAAATATGGCTTAGTAGGTGCTATTGTTCACCTGAAAAATATTTATGGAGCTCTGACTTTGTACTAGGAATTGTGCTAGACAATGAAGCTAAAAAGCTCATAAAAAGCTTATACTTTGGGGATAAAAAAACAAGTAAAGAAGCAATAATGACACTGGATGATAGAAATGATAATAGGATTAAGTAAAAGGAGCTAACAGACTAAATATGAAGGTTATCTGGAAGGGCAAATGAAGGCTTTCTAGATAAAATAACGAATAGGTCAGCCCTTGTATTAGTCTGTTCTCATGCTGCTAGTACAGACATAATCCAAGACTGGCTAATTTATAAAGGAAAGAGGTTTAATTGACTCACAGTTCCACATGGCTGGGGAGGCCTCACAATCATGACTGAAGGCAAATGAGGAGCAAAGTCATGTCTTACAAGGCAGCAGGCAAGAGAGCTTGTGTAGGGGAACTCCCCTTTATAAAGCCATCAGATCTCATGAGACTTATTCACTATCATGAGAACAGCGCAGAAAAGACCTCCCCCATGATTCAATTACCTCCCACTGGTCCCACCCAGGACACATGGGAATTATGGGAGCTACAATTTAAGATGAGATTTGGGTGGGGACACAGCCAAACCATATCAGTCCTGAAGGATGAATAGGAGTGAGCCCATAGCTCTTACACATATTCTTAAAAACCCAGTGTTCTACAAGCCTTATTGCAAACAAAACAAAACAAAAGCCTGCAGTCCTAGTTCATTTTCTGCTCTCCAGAGTCAACCGCTTCTAATCATATTGCAGATTCTTTGTGTATTTACCTATATTTCTCAAAATAACATGCTTAATACACACACACACACACACACACACACACACACACACACAAGTACTTTTTTTTTTTTTGAGTCTCGCTTTGTCACCAGGCTGGAGTGCCGTGACAGGATCTCAGCTCACTACAACTTCCACCTCCCGGGTTCAAGTGATTTTCCTGCCTCAGCCTCCTGAGTAGCTGGGACTACAGGTGCACACCACCACGCCCAGCTAATTTTTGTATTTTTAGTAGAGACGGGGTTTCACCGTATTGGCCAGTATGGTCTCGATCTCTTGACCTCATGATCCGCCCGCCTCGGCCTCCCAAAGTGCTGGGATTACAGGCGTGAGCCACTGCATCTGACCTATATTTTTAAAGTTTTGGATTTAGGCACTGTCTTTTTGACACTCCACTATGGTAGATGAGGATTTGCTCTGTTTAATTACCTTGTCATTCTACCCCTTGCTTCTGACCCAACCACAAACATGAGCATACACACACACCCTTCTATGTTACCTTCTATCTTCCCAATATACATTGTGTAAGTGGTTATATTGTATTTACATTATTTTGACCATGTAAATGCAGTTATGTATGAAGAAATGACAGTTTGATCTTCCATGCACATTTCATGTCAATATTAGTCTGGATTCTTTGCATAGTTTTCTCTGTGCTTTATCATTAATTTAACCCTAAATTCTACCCCAGATGAGTGAGTTTCCTCTCCAGATATTCAACACATTAGTTAATCTAATGATTTCCATCTTTGAAGAACTTTATGTTTCATTTGAAGAACTCGATGTTTCTGAGCCTCCAGACCTATTGTTGTCATTTGGACTGGTGGCTCTCTAGTAACGTTGTATTGGGGCCCTTCCTTCACCACCAGCTTGGAATTCCTTTTGCTTCTTTCTTGATTTGAATTTCCTTTTTTCCTATTTTCATCTCTAGATCAATTGAATAATAAACTATCATCTAGGCAATCATTCCAGAAGATAAACAGTTTTTTTATTTTCTTTTATGGCCTTATTTCCCTAGAATACATTTTCCAACAGCTTCCTTAGAAAGGGTCCAGAGGAGGCAATTTTTTGAGACCTTGGATATACAGAATCAATTCTATGTTTTTCCTTCAGAATTTTCAGATTATTAATCTTTCTTTTTACTTTTTGCTTCCAGTGTAGCTAAGAAGTTTGGAGCTACTCTATTCTTGACCCTTTGTGTCTTTTTTTCTTCTTGCTGAAGGTCTGTAAAATCTTCTGTTTATATTTATAGCTCTGACTTTAAAAAATAATGTGCCTTGGTAAGTACCTGTTTTTGCCCATTGTTCTCAGGACATAATGGGTCATTCCATCTGGAAATACATGTTCAGGTCCAGAAAAGTTACTTGCATTATTTCTGTTACTATTTTCTTTGCTCCATTTTTTTTTCTATTACAATTCTCTAAAATGCCCATTATGTGGATATTGAGTCTCCTGGATCTATTGGATTTCTAGGACTAATGTAACAAAATAGGACAGCCTGTGTGGCTTAAACAACAGAAATTTATTTTCACAGTTCTGAGATCAAGGTATCAGTAAGTTTGGTTTCTCCTAAGGTCTCTCTCCCTGTATTACAGATGGCTACTTTCTTCTGTGTCCTCACATGGTCTTTCTAGGATGCCCTTGCATCCCTCATGTCTCTTTGTATGTCCGAATTTTCTCTTCTAATAAGGACCTAAGTTGGATAGCAATAAGGCTCACCCTAATGGCCTCATTTTAACCTAATCTCTTTAAAGGCCCTGTCTCCAAATACAGTCACGTCCTGAGGTACTGGGCTTTACGGCTTCAACACATGAATTTTCAGGGGACACAATTCTTATTTGGGTCTCTTCCTTTCTATCTTTTGGCTTTTTTTGTTCTACTTTTTGGGAGATTCCTTCAACTTTAATCTTCTAACTCTCCTATTAACTTTTCATTTATAACATTTTAAATTACTAGAGCTCTTTACGTTTTTATAATATTCCTTTTCTAAAAGGTATCATGTTTTTGTTTTCAGAAATGCAATATAGCCTTTGCTCAGAAAGAACATGAACTATAGTTGGGTTCTTTCCCCTATGTTTTCTTATGACTACATAATCTGTTTTCGCTAAGTTGCTGTTTTTTACTTATTTATTTGGGCCATGCTATGGTCTGAATGTGTCTCCCAAAATGCATGTGTTGGAAACTTCATGCCCAGTGCAACAGTGTTGGGAGGTGGGGCTTTTTGGAAGGTGCTTAGGTCATGAGAGCTCTGCCATCATGAATGAATGAATGTCACTATATAAGGGGCTTGCAAGAATGTGTTCCCTCTCTTTCACTCTTCTGCCATATGAGGACACAATGTTCATCCTCTCTCACTCTTCTTCCATATAAGGATGTGGCAAGAAGGCCCTCATCAAATGCTGGCGCCTTAATTTTGGACTTTTCAGCCTTCAGAGAAATGTTTTTCTTTGTAAATTACCCAGCGTCAGGCATTCTGTTATAGCAGTAGAAAATAGACTAAGACGTCCACATCTTTATTATTAACTGCTCTTCTCAATTGTCTGTTGACTATCAGTGGACAGAACATTTAAAAGCTGGTGAAAAACTCTGTACCTATGGATGAGTCTTGCCCTGAGTTTCACTGTACAGCAATGATTCTCAACTTTTGCTGTTCATTAGAATCACCTGGAAAACATTAAAAAATATAGATGCTCAGGCTTTAAACCAGACCAATTGAATGAGATTCTCTGAGAGTGGAGCCCAGGCCAGGAAAAGTTTCTAAAACTTCCCACGTGATTTTAATGCACAGTGAGTGTTGAGAATCACTGTTGCAGAGTGGCTTAGCTGGACCCAGTTGGAGTCCCCTACCCGATGTTAAATATTTTTGTTCTTTTTTCTTGGGGCTTGTCAAATTCTCCAGAGAATACACCTTCAGTCTTATGCCTGGAGGGTATACACTTGGTTGCTAGAGATCTGGGAACTGAAACTGAGTATGTGATAGAGGCTAGGTGGGGTGGGGGTTGGAGCTCACCATTCAGTATATACACTTTCACTTAACCTCTGTTTTCAGTATAATGCCCCTGCCCAGCTAGAGACCCTCTGTTTTAACCTCTTTAGAGAATAAACTTCCAATCTTTTGCCAGGTAAGGAGCGAAACAGCTACCAAACTGTGTAGGGTGACTACCGCTTCTTAATAAACTTTAACCAATCCTCTTTTTTTTTACATGCCTTAAGCACCCCACACTCCCCAATTCCAGAGGTATCTGTTGATTTCAATTACTAAGGCTTTTGGGTTCTGTAATAATAACTGGGTTTACTTGTTGGCTTTCCTTCATGTTGACAGGAATCTCTGGACCACAAAGACAGCTACTACTCATACATCTACTTTCCAGCTTCCAAAATGTTGTTGTGTTTGCTTCCTCTTTCACTTTGCCCTCGTGGGTTTTACCTTTTAAAAGTATCTCTTAGGCTGGGCATGGTGGCTCACGCCTGTAATCCCAACACTTTGGGAGACCAAGGGGCATGGATCACCTGAGGTCAGGAGTTCGAGACCAGCCTGGCCAACATGGTGAAACGCTGTCTCTACTAAAAATACAAAAATTAGCCAGGTGTTGTGATGCACACCTGTAATCCCAGCTACTCGGGAGGCTGAGGCAGGAGAATTGCTTGAACCCGGGAGGCAGAGGTTGCAGTGAGCCGAGGTCACGCTATTGCACTCCAGCCTGGGTGAGAGAGCGAGACTCTGTCTCAGGGGAAAAAAAAAAATCTCTTTACCGTTGTTATAGTAGGATATGAGGTGGGAGAAGAGCTAAATATATTTGTTGCATTTGCTATCTCAAATGGCAAATTACATAAACTCTTCATACATAAAATAGTACTTTATTATATTCTAGCTTGTACATAGATTTCTGTATTTCAGAAGAGTTGGTGAAGAATGAAAAACTAGCAGTGGCATAAAAAATAGAACTAGTAGAAATAAATGAAGAGGCATTCCCATCAGGAATGGAGCCACTAATTTTCTAAGGCTCTGTTTCTTAAAATGTGGTCCAAGAATCACACACAATAGTATTACCTGACACTTAGTAAAATGCAGCAACATTTTTTCCTAGGTCTACTAAATTACAATGTCTTCAGTTGAGGCCCTCGATGCTGCTCTCTTAAATTTTTTTTTTTTAATAGACAGGGTCTCGCTATGTTGCCCAGGCTGGTCTCAAACTCCTGGCCT
The DNA here is from genome assembly GCF_000001405.40 of Homo sapiens. Taxonomy (NCBI): domain Eukaryota; kingdom Metazoa; phylum Chordata; class Mammalia; order Primates; family Hominidae; genus Homo; species Homo sapiens. The sequence goes on from NC_000007.14 coordinate 108,553,276, forward strand.
CAAGTGATCCTCTTGCCTTGGCCTCCCAAAGTGCTGGCATTACAGGCACTGAGCCAGTGTACCTGGCTGATGCTGCTCTTACTAACTCTGTCCTACAGCTCTGTCTCTAGTTCTTAACTTAGCTGAAGGCCCTCCATAAACCAGCATAACCGTAATTGCACTTCTAGTGCTCCCAACTATATTTTGCCTAATTCTGTCCAGGAACCTTTATTTGTACTTACTCTTTGGAACTCCACTTCTCCTTCCATGGATTTGAAATTTTGAACCTTTGTTTCCTGTGATTGAATTGTGACTGAATTGTAAGAACTTCAGTTTCCTTTTGCCCATACCAAAAACATAGGTCCCAGTTCCTGAAAACTCAGTCAAGAATAAAATCCAGGGGTGCTGCTCTCAGACATAGGGTAATTTGACAGAGGTAAGCTCCTGCTCGTAGTAGTGGCAGAGAACCTTGCTGAGGATTGCCAGAAGCTTCTGCCCTAAAAACAAGAGGGCATATTTCCCAATGGCAGCTCCATACTCTTCCTAGCCCTGCAGAATTCCTGTTGTCCATCAACCTCTAACTGCCCTTTCTCTGGTTGCCACTGAGTGACCATGAAATAGAAATACTCATGTGATTGATGGCAAAGAGACTTAGAATTTGCAGACTTTTCAACCATGACATATACTATATTTTGAATGTGTCCTTCAAAGAGCATGTATTGGAAACAATCCCCAATAAGGGCAGAATGAATGGATTAGTGATGTTATTTCAAGAGTAGATTCATTATAAAAGGGTGAGTTTGGCCCCCTAACTTTCCCTCTCTTTGCCATTCTGCCATAGAATGAGGCAGCAAGAAAGTCCTATCAGATGCCAGTGCCTTCATCTTGGACTTTCTAGCCTCTAGAACTGTGAAAACAAAAAACAAAAAACAAAAAACTTTCTATTCTTTATAAATTACCCAGTCTCAGGTATTTTGTTACAGCAGCATAAATTGGATGAAAACAACATGTGATGTGTATTTACAGTGATCTTTATATGCTTTTCTCTTAATAAAATATTGGGAAGTAATGCATGCAAAAAGGATAGAAAGTCTTCATTGATTAGAGTAGATTTTTCAAGATGAGCTGCATTGAGAGTGATGTGGGTAAGATAGGAGACACCAAGATAAAGGGTGGAAGCCCTGACGTAACTGACAGATTAGAGAGTTTAAACTTAGTGCAGACTCATTTTAGGCAATTCCAGGTCAACCTCTAGCTAGAGAAATTAGATTAAAAATACTGTCAAAAATATCATGGAAATTAATAACACTTTAATATGTTAAGTTTTTTACATTACTAGTATCCAGAGAGGAAAGAAATGACTATGGTAAGCAATTTCAGTGCTATATTATATATAGATCTTCAAGTAGCCTCATTTACCTGCATCATCCATCCATCCATCTAGTCTATTTCTCTGAAGTGTACTGTCACTTTTTCATTTGTGACTCAGAGAAATCATCTTTTCCTCTTTATTTTCATACCTAACTTCCTTATTCTTCACTACTGTAGTCTGTTTCTGGTGTATGTCCCCCTTCTCAACACCTTCCTTTTACGTTTTAGCTGTATCTATCAAAACAAAGAGAAATAGAGAGATTTTAAAAACAATAAATTGTACTGAATATTCCAGATTTCAAACATGATCAAAATCCATTTTGTGTTTAGTTTAGCCATAAATTTTCCAGGCCTTATTTACACCTCTAATCCACAGATAGTCATTAATCACTTAAAAATTTTCATTATAGAGCCTATTTGATTGTTGTTATATATAATACTGGCTTTTGCACTGTTAAAATATACCTACCTAGGTTAGAGAGCCAATATGCTAATTAGTGACCATTAAAAATGGTCAAACCCATTGATTACTTACAAACAACATTTTTTTTTTTTTTGAGACAGAGTTTTGCTTTTGTTGCCCTGGGGGAGTGCAATGGTGCAATCTTGGCTCACTGAAACCTCTGCCTCCTGGGTTAAAGCAATCCTCCTGCCTCAGCCTCCCAAGTAGCTGGGCTTACAGGTGCCCGCCACCATGCCCAGTTAATTTTTTTTGTATTTTTAGTAGAGGAGGGGTTTCACTGTGTTGGCCAGGCTGGTTTCAAACTCCTGACCTCAAGCGATGCACCCACCTCAGCCTCCCAAAGTGCTGGGATTGCAGGCGTGAGCCATTGTGCCCGGCCCCAAACAACAGATTTTTAACACCTTCTTTCAAAGGAAAAAGACAGCATAAACTTTAATGTTGTATTAGTCTGTGTTCATGCTGTTATAAAGAACTACCTGAGACTGGGTAATTTCTGAATAAAAGAAGTTTAATTGACTCACAGTTCCACAGTCTGTATAGGAAGCATGGTTGAGGAGGCCTCAGGAAGCCTACAATGATGGTGGAAAGGTGAAGGGGAAGCAAGCACCTTTTTCTTTTTTTTTTTTTTTTTTGAGACAGAATCTCACTCTGTCACCCATGCTGGAGTGCAGTGGCATGACCTTGGCTCACTGCAACCTCCACCTCCCAGGTTCAAGCAATTCTTCTGCCTCAGGCTCCTGAGTAGTTGGGATTACAGGCGAGCACCACCATGCCTGGCTAATTTTTGTACTTTTTGTAGAGATGGGGTTTCACCATGTTGGCCAGGCTGGTCTCGAACTCCTGACCTCAGGTAATGCACCTGCCTCAGCCTCCCAAAGTGCTGGGATTACAGGCATGGGCCACTGTGCTTGGCCCAAGCACCTTCTTCAGATGGCAGGGCAGGAGAGAAAGGAGGAAGTGCTACACACTTTAAACAACCAGATCTCGTGAAAACTCATTCACTATCATGAGAACAGCAAGAGGAAAGTCCACCCCATGATTCAATCACCTCCCACCAGGCCCCTCCTCTCACACATGGGGATTACAATTTGAGATTAGACTTGGGTGGGGACAAAGAGCCAAACCATATCATTCTGCCCCTTGCCCCTCCCAAATCTCATGGTCTTCTCACATTTCAAGACACAATCATGCCTTCCCAACAGTTCCCCTAAGTCGTAACTCATTCCAGCATTAACTCAAAAGTCCAAGTTCAAAGTCTCATCTGAGATAAGTCAAGAACCTTCTGCCTATGAGTCTGTAAAAATGAATCAAAAACAAGTCATTTATTTCCAAGCTACAGTGGGGGTACAGGCATTGGGTAAATGCTCCCATTCCAAAAGGGATAAACTGGCCCAAACAAAAGGGCTACAAGCTCCATGCAAGTCCAAAACCAAGCAGGGCAGTCATTAAATGTCAAAGCTCTGAAACAATCTCTTTTGACTCCATGTCTCATATCCAAGGCATGCTGATGCAAGGGGTGGGCTCCCAAGGCCTCGGGCAGCTCTTCCCCTGTGACTCTACAGGGTAAAGCACCCACAGCTGCTTTCATGGGCTGGAGTTGAGTGCTTGGAGCTTTTCCAGGTGCATGGGGGAAGCTGTCAGTGTATCTACCATTCTGGGGTCTAGAGGACAGTGGCCCTCTTCCCACAGCTCCACTAGGCAGTGTCCCAGTAGGGACTCTGTGTGGGGGCTCCAACTCCACATTTTCACTGTGTGCTGCCTTAGTAGAGGTTCTCCATGAGGGCTCTGCCCCTGCAGCAGACTTCTGCCTGGACATCCAGGCATTTCCATACATACTCTGAAATCTAGGTGGAGGCTTCCAAACCTCAACTCTTGCCTTCTGCACACCCACAGTCCCAACACCACATGGAAGCTGCCAAGGTTTGGGGCTTGCACCCTCTGAAGCAATAGCCTGAGCTGTGCTTTGGCCCCTTTTAGCCACAGCTGGAGCTGGAGCAGCTAGGATGCAGGGTGCCATGTCCCAGGGCTGTGGGCCTGTCCCATGAAACCATTTTTCTGTCCTGGGCCTCCAGGCCTGTGATGGGAGGGGCTGCCACAAAGGTGTCTGAAATGCCCTGGAAGCCTTTTCCCCATTGTCTTGGCTATTAGCATTTGGTTCTTCTTCACGTATGCAGATTTCTGCAGCCTTTTATTCCTCCCCAGAAAATGGGTTTTTCTTTTCTACCGCATGTCCAGGCTGCAAATTTTCCCAAGGTTTATCTGCTTCCCTTTAAATGTAAGTTCTAGTTTCAGGTAATCTCTTTGTTCATGCATATAAGTATATGCTGTTAGAAGCAGCCAGGTCACATTTTGAATGCTTTGCTACTTAGAAATTTCTTCTGCCAGATACACTAACCCATCTCTCTTGACTTCAAAGGTCGACAGATCCCTAGAGCAGGGGCACAATGCCACCAGTCTCTTTGCTAAAGCATAGCAAGAGTGACCTTTATTCCAGTTCCCAATAAATTCCCCATCTCCATCTGAGACCTCCTCAGCCTGGACTTCACTGTCCATATCACTATCAGCATTTTGATCACAACCATTCAACAAGTCTCTAGGAAGTTCTAAACTTTCCCTCATTTTCCTATCTTCATCTGAGCCCTCCAAATTGTTCCAACCTTTGCTCCTTACCCGGTTCCAAAACTGCTTCTACATTTTCACATATCTTGATAGCAGTATCCCACTCCTGGTACCAATTTTCTGTATTAGTCTGTTCTCACACTGCTATAAATAACTACCTAAGACTGGTTAATTTCTGAAGAAAAGAGGTTTAATTGTCTCACAGTTCCATGGGCTGTACAGGAAGCATAGTTGGGAAGGCCTCAGGAAACTTACAATAATGGTGGAAAGGCAAAAAGGAAGCAAGCACCTTCTTCACTTGGTGGAGTGGGAGTAAGTGAAGCAGCAAGTGCTACACATTTGTAAACAACCACATCTCGTGGAAACTCATTCACTACCACGAGAATAGAAAGGGGAAATTTCCCCCATGATCCAATCATGTCCCACTAGACCCCCCTTCCTCCAACACATGGGGATTACAATTTGGCATGAGATTTGGGTGGAGTCAGAGTCAAATCACATCAAATGCCTAAAATGAGAATCATATTTAAGTTCTTTTAAGGGCAAAACCCATGTCATTTTCAACCTAGCAAATCTTGAAAAATCCACTTTATTAATCAATAAAACTTTCCTGCCCTTTTAAGGGCCACTTGTAGATAGTTTTATGTGTATATATGTATATGTGTGTGTGTATGTATATATATATATATATATATATATATATATATTTAGACAGAGTCTTGCTCTGTCACCCAGGCTGGAGTGCAGTGGCGCAATCTCGGCTCAGTGCAACCTCCGCCTCCTGGGTTCAAGCAATTCTGCTGCCTCAGCCTCCTGAGTATCTAGGATTACAGGCACGCGCCACCACACCTGGCTAATATTTGTATTTTTAGTAGAGATGAGGTTTCACCGTGTTGGTCAGGCTGGTCTTGAACTCCTGATCTCGTGATCCGCCAGCCTCGGCCTCCCAAAGTGTTGGAATAACAGGCTTGAGCCACCGTGCCTGACCTCTAATTTTTTAATCTTTTATTTTCTTTTAAATATTATTGTAATATCTATTTCAAATATACAGAAATATCTAAATGTGTGTTCATTGATATAGCATATCTGTGTGGTTATCATGAAATACAAAGTAGTTTTGATATTTTTATCCTCTTAGATATAACATGTTATTAAAAAGTAAAGGGAATAACATGTTAACAATTCACTCAACATATTTTGCTTGCTTATGTTAAAATATAGTTTAAAAGACATCTATAAGAACATTTAAAATACATTTAAGATCTGTCAGTTCCATTTGCTATAGTGAAATATTCATCATGTTTCTATTACCTGAATGTATGCTATCAAGCCCTTCTGAAATGTATGTAATGCTGACAAAAGTACAGTGCTGTATCACAATGCTTAAAGGGGGAACAAAACACAGATAAATACAGTCATGGATGGAAAAGCTAACACTTTGGTAAAAGTTACTGCATAGATACATGAGATTGAGTCAATATCACAGCCAAAAGCTCTGGGATGCAGGGCAGCCTGGAGGCCCTTGACATAGGGTATGGGAGCTAGACGGAGTCAAAGACAGAATGAAAGTCTGAATAGGAATGTTTGCTTTAGAAAATGACTTCTTTCTAGCATGAAAATACGAGAGTGTTTTCTCTTATTAGACGAAGGTGTAGTCTCTATGGAGAGAGGAAATAAGTGAATACATTCACTAGTGATGCAGGAGAACAAAGGGTCACTGAATTTAATTAGACATTGCATACTATTCGTATACATGCCACAAATACCATTAAGAACCTGAACCTTGGAACCAAACAACTGATGTGCTAACAGATTAATGATGTATTGTTCCTTCTCCTTAAGTTTTCTACAAAAGAGATTGTGAATGAAGTGAGATTACTATTTGTATTAGTTCATTCTTACACTGCTATAAACAAATACCTGAGACTGAGTAATTTATAAAGGAAAAGAGGTATAATTGGCTCACAGTTCTGCATGGCTAGGGAGGCCTCAGGAAACTTACAATCATAGCATAAGGGGAAGCTGGCACATTTTACATGGTGGCAGGAGAGAGAGAGAGTGAGCGAGAGTAGGTGGAAGAGCCCCTTATAAAAATCATCAGATCTCATGAGAACTCATGATCATGAGAACAGCATGGGGAAAACTGCCCCCATGATCCAATCAGCTCCCACCAGGTCCCTCCCTCAACACCTGGGGATTACAATTTGAGATGAAATTTAGGTGGGGACACAAAGCCAAACCATATCACTATTTTAGAGCTTCTTTTATTAAAACTTTAAATATTTATAGTTTGATCTTAATATCTTCAGGTTATTTCAGAATTGTTTGGGGATGTGAATAGCTCTAAATTTATTATGTTAAAACTATTTATTAGTTCATATTAGCTTTAAACCTACTCTCTTATAAGATTACATGTTGTCTTGTACAGTACTGCCTGGTTCTTACTTTCTCTGATGGCTTAGTAGGCCACTTCTTTAGTTACAAGCTCAAGGCAAGGCATGAAGGACCTTGTTTGCAAAGGAGAGAATGATGTACAAATGATGTCATTCTCATATAGTTCATATTTTACAGCAGCACAGAACTAAAGCAGTTACCTGCTTGCTCACCCACAGCCTCTTTTTCAAAGGGAAACTGCTCCTTTTCAAGGCTTTACTGAGGTAGATGAGTCTGTTCTATACCATGTGACCCTTCCCCATCATATTCACTGGATGCAACTGCAGCCTATAAGACAGGACCCAAAGGATGCCAACTCACAGGTTTACTACAGACCCACTGGCTTAAAAATATATGCAAGGTCCAGTTGGATCCCTCTTTTGGAAATCTGGAATTTAAAAACCGAATGACTGAGCTAATTAACAGAGGAAGCTGAAGATTCATAATGTAGAGAAACTTAGGGGCCTATTTGTAAACTGAGATATAAGGTTTGGCTGGGAGAGAGAGTTTGAAACAGATGCCATTCAGGAGGCAGTTGACATGAGGGAGCCTCTTTTCCAGATGTCTTCCAGAACCAATTACTATGGGGCACAACTGTACTGCAACTTTTTTTCTTTTGTGACAGGGTCTCACTCTGTTGCCCAGGCTGGCGTGCAGTGGCGCAGTCATGGCTCACTGCAGCCTTGACCTAGGCTCAAGAGATCCTCCCACTTCAGCCTCCTGAGTAGCTAGGACTAAAAGCACCGACTACCATGCCGAGCTAATTTTTAAATTTTTTGTAGAGATGGGATCTATGTTGCCCAGGCTGGTCTCAAACTCTTGGCCTCAGGTGATCCTCCTGCTTTGGGCCCCCAGAGCGTTGAGATTACAGGTGTGAGCCACTGTGCCTGCCTGTACCGCAACTTCTGTGTTTGGATTCCCGAGACCCTGGTTTGAGCCTTTCAGTTCTGTTCTTCCCTGTTTCCTTTCTTGAGCTGGATTGAGTTTCTGTTCCTTGCAACCAAAAGAACCCTAACTCAAATCCTCTCTTGCATTAAAATGTTGCTTTGGTCACTGACTGAAACCTTAGGCATGTGCCATGGTAGTGATGAGAATGAAACACATTCTAAATTTGGAAACAACATACCATTTTTTTTTTTTAAAGACACGGTCTCACTTTGATGCCCAGGCTGGAATGCAGTGGCACGATCTCAGCCCATTGTAGGCTCTACCTCCTGAGCTCAAGCAATCCTCCCACCTCAGACTCCTGAGTAGCTGGGAATACAGGCACGCACCACCATGCCTGGCTGATTTTTTTTTTTTTTTTTTTCTAGAGACAGGGTTTCACCATGTTGGCTAGGCTAGTCTTTAACTCCAAAGTTCAAGCAATCTGTCTACCTGGTCCTCCCAAAGTGCTGGGGTAACAGGCATGAGCCACTGCAACTGGCAGGATGAGCTAATGATTGTTTTGATTTTCTAAATGAAGCATGTGATGAGATCCTCATCTTGGGCAAGCGGGAAGGAGAGGCAGGAAAGGAAGGGAGGAGTGAGAGACAGAATTTGAGTGTGGGGTTATGAACTTACTAGAAAAATACAGTAACACTGCTGGGCTCATCTGATTTGTGGTCATGAATTTATAATCAAGTCTGTCCAATCGTGATTTTTTTCTATTCTACCGGCTCTTCTGATGTAGGAAGAGAAAAGGCAAAGAGATATTTGAATTCAACCAGGAATGTAATTTAGGCAAGTGAGAACAATAGGCAACAGAGCAATGTTGTTCAAAGTTTTACCGGAGAATGATTATTATGGTCCAGAAAGTCAGAGTAAGGATGGACGTGAATACAGAAAGGGTACTGTTTTTCAGATTTTGAAATATCTGCAGTACACTTAACAGCTGAGCATCCCCAATTCAAAAATCTGAAGACTGAAATGCCCTAGTGAGCATTTCCTTTGCGTGTCATGTTTGTGCTCAAAAAGTTTCAGATTTTGGAGCATTTTGGATTTTCAGATAGTCAACTTTTACTTATAATTTATTAAAGAAATAAAGCTAGTTTAAATTTTTTCTGAGGAACCTGTAACTTTCAGAAAATTACTACAATGTACACTGTTGAAACTTAACATATCATTACTTTATTGTGACTCAAGATTATTTTCATCTGTATTAAATTAAGTATTTGCAAAATGCAACATAGGAATACTTAATAACACTGTAATAACTCTATCATCTCCCCATAATTTATGCAAAAATTTTAAGTTTTTCCCCCATCGTCACCTAAGACATTTCTAATCTTTTATAATTAGTTGACTCACTTTCATATAGTACCAATTAATATTAGCCTAATGAAACTAAGTCAAATATGGCCAAAAATAATCATCATGCATTTACAAAACAATATTATTTGCCAGTCAGAGTCAACTTTTATTGAGCACCTCCTATATTCCAGAACCAAAAACATGTTTGTTCCTTACAAAATTCTCAAAGCCACTCTTTAAGGTAAGTAATAGTACGTTCTACTTAACAGATGAAAAAACTAAGAATCAGACTGATACAACTTCCTCAACATCATAGGCAGAAACATAATTATACTGACTGCCAATTTTAAGAAAACATCTATTTGTTACATTTGTGTCATTACTACAAAATCTTTGCTTTTACAGTTTTCTTAAAATCATGTGAATATAAACAGTATTTTTATTTACATTACCATTACTTCTCTTTTCTAAGAGAAATTCTTTGTCTCCCTAAGATCATGACCACTTATGTATAATTTCTTGCTTATAAATTTTAATAAAATATACGTAAGTGGGAATGTACAGTATTAAGTATTACTCTATTATTCTGGAATTTAACAATGAATAAGCACATATTTTAAAGGCCACACCTACTAAGAAACAGATACAAACTGTAATTTCTAAAATATATTTAAAATTAACCTCATTAAAATTTTTGGTTTATAAGTTTAACTGTATAAATACAGAAAGTTTAGCTTAGATGACTATGTATTTGATGGTTAGCCACATATAAGTTACCGAAATACATATTCTTTCAAGTTTGAAGTACCTCTCCTAAGAACTGGGCTAATGGGTGGTTCCTTAGTTTAGTTCAACTGGAATAAAATTATAAAAGTTCTATCTTGGCCAGGCGCGGTGGCTCACGCCTGTAATCCCAGCACTTTGGGAGGCCAAGGTAGGTGGATCACCTGGGGTCAGGAGTTCGAGGCCAGCCCGGCCAACATGGTGAAACCCCGTTTCTACTAAAAATACAAAAATAAGCTGGATGTGGTGGTGTGTGCCTATAATCCCAGCTACTCGGGAAGCTGAGGCAGAAGAATCACTTGAACCCGGGAGGCAGAGGCTGCAGTGAGCCAAGATCAGGCCACTGCACTCCAGCCTGGGTTACAGAGTGAGACTCCATCTCAAAAAAAAAAAAAAAAAAAAAAAAAAAAAAGTTTATCTTCCTTTCTATTACAGATAATATAACTGTAATATGTAACTATAGCCAAAAGGTCAAAGACCACAGAATTCAATAAATACTGAAAATAATACATGGTTAATATCATCAAATTCTAGCCAACTTCTAGTATTACGTATATATTATCTTACAGAAAATGTGTTCTAATAGAATTATCTTAATAAAAAGGGAAGGGACTATAAATAACCAATTACAAATCCAGTAAGTGCTTATTTTACAAATTAGGGACTGAGGCACAATCATAAGTAACTTGCCCAAGTCATATGCCAGTGGTAGAACCAGGACTGATTCCTGAACCTGACTTCTAGTCTGTGCTCTTTGAACACTTCTTTGTTTTCTCATGTTATAACTGAATCCTTCTATGTGCTAAATTTTAATTTGGAAAATTATCAAGTAATAAAACTGCTTTTCTCTCCAGCCCAACTCTCTGGTTTTTCTTAAATAAGTATTACAAGAATAGGATACAGTTCATAACTTTACAACACTCTCATAGGTTCATTAAGATGAGAACTTTATACAGGAAACAGTTCACTTTACATGTAGTTTGGTTTGGCTGGAAAAAGCTTATTTAACAGCCATAGTTTTAAAACCTAGTTATTCTATATCATAGTGACTTCATATGTTGTAAAATGGTTTTCTATAATCTTGACGTTTTCTTCAGATAGCCAGTTTTCCTGCTTTAGCTGCCTTATAAGAGCTTCCAAAGACTTCAATCTACCTAGAGTTTGTTGCTCTTTTAACTCTAGAAGAGTTATCTTTGAATGTAGCTTAGAGACTTTCTGCCAAAGATGTTCCTTATTTATATCTTGTCTGCAGTAAGAATGTTCGATTTGTAAAACTTCTGTCCCATAGTCTACATCCTTATACAAGGAGTCTTCAATGTCTGTGTCTTCCATTTCCGTGGTTTCTTTTTGTGCAGATATAAAAGAATTAACTGAGGGTTTAGAATTTTCAGCAGGTACAAAAATGGCAATAACAGATTCTTTATTTGTGTTTAATTCTTCAACTGTTTGATTAATTGTGCTGAATAAGAATGGATTTTCCTGTGCTGACTTTATTTCCATGGAATTACTTGTAAAGTTTGGATTAGCAAGATGACTGGTAGTTACTTCAAGAACTTCTTGAGTTTCCAAAGATTGATGAATACTTTCTGAATTTGAAGTTGTCAAAGTAATAGTTGTAGAATTTAGATTCTCAAAACATGTGTGAAAACCACCTCTACCTGTATCTTGGTTAACTGATGTTTCCAAGGTAGATTCTGGTTTCCCAGTATGTTGTTTAACTAGATTAAGAGTTAACATGTTATTTTGTATACTTCCTGTTTTGGGAGCTGGTGGCTTTACCAAGGAAGATGAATGAAGTAATTCTGGATGTTGATGGGGCACATCTGTGTTAACTATATTTTTCTTTGTCTCATTTAATACAAATGATTCTTCTGACTTGGCTTTTGGGCATACTTCTTTCTCATCTTCCAAGTTTTTCTTCTGGGATTTTTTTTTAGAAGGGTCTTTTCCCTAGAAAATAATATTTTCATGTTCTGAAAAAGATGACTTTTATTGGCTTATTATGCTAGTGCTATTTAATTATAATATTGAGTAGTACACTGGCCAAGCAAATTTATTTAGTTAAAAAAAAGCTCAGAGTATATATACCTTAAAGTATTTTCTAAAAAGCATTAATCCCATTCAATATACGGCAGAAACATTTCAGATCATTCAAAAGACTAGTATATTGGGAGGCCAAGGCAGGCAGATCAACTGAGGTCAGGAGTTCAAGACCAGCCTGGCTAACATGGTGAAACCCCCATCCCTACTAAAAATACAAAAATTAGCCGGGCGTGGTGGCAGGCGCCTGTAATCCCAGCTACTCAGGAGGCTGAGGCAAGAGAATGGCTTGAACCCAGGAGGCAGAGGTTGCAGTGAGCTGAGATCGCACCACTGCACTCTAGCCAGGGTGACAGAATGAGACCTTGTCTCAAACAAAAAAAGTATAAAAAATAAAACTCATGAACTTGTGTTAATAACTTAATAATGTATATCTCTTGCTTCTCTTAAGCTGTGCTTCATGAGTTTAATTTTTTTTAATTATCACTTTTAGTAAAAGCACAAATTAGTGCTCCCTTTTTTCCAAGTATCTGTTTACCCAAGTTATAGTTCCCTCTTACTCTCCCACCTGATCACCTGCCACCCTGAAATCTGCCACTCTGCTCAGCATTACCCCTCTCCCATACTGCAATACCTGATTGTCTTCAGGCAAAGAAAATATTGTTGGAACTGCAGTTTGTTTTAAATATCGAATACCCCATCTGATGTCAAGAGAGTCAGGAGTAAAATGGTCACTACATAGAAACTGGTATTTACTGGGAACCCATGAATCTCGCTTCATATTCTTTAACCACTTTTCCAGTCTTTCTTTGTCATGTAGAGGAAATCTGGAATTTAAAAAAAAAAGAAGAAAAAAGGAAAAACTTTGCTATATTTTTACAATTTTGCCAAATTCCCACCCTATATATCTGGGTAACCTATGCATCAAGTAAGTACTACAAGAGGAAGGCAACCATCCCTACCAAATAAGAGCATCTTCATGACAACTAGTACCATTATCATCTCTGCAGTAAGAGGCCTAAGATGTAAGACATGTAGCCAAGGCTCTTATCTGATAAGAGCTGAACATAATTCAGAGTCCCTTCAAGTAAAATATATGTGTTCCTATAAAGGACAAAATCTATTTGTATTTTCTATGGATTATGTTCCATTTTTATATTGCTGTACAGTTTGCCTAGAACTAGAAAAAAGGTTTGTATAAATTATAAATTCCTATTCAAATGTATTTCATAATACCACCACATGTCAAATGGCTTGTTGTCTATAATTCAAGGCAGTATTAAGCTTTACAATCTTATTTAATATTTAAAAAATAAGATGTTATTTCAAACAAATGATTTAGCTGAAAAAGTACTGAAAATATTCTCTTTACTAGCATCATCTTTAATTCTATCTATAAGTAATCTAGTCTAATAGTACTACACTTCTATAACCAATGAACTGGGAACTCCAAATTTCAAGTTCTGAAGGAGAAACTGATAGAAGAAAAGAATGGAACATGTTAAAAGGGACAGTCTCAGATATTTTATATGAAACAAATCAAATACAAATGGCAAGACAGCGCTGTATACATTTTGTTCCTGTACCTGACAATAACCTGGATTTAAAGTTGGTGCTAACATTACAGTGTATGGCAGAATTTGATAGAAAATTTTTCCTATCAATCTAAAAAGGTTTGGGTCAAGGTATACAAAACAATATTTGAAAATGGTTTATATTCCATTTGGTACTTTTCCAAGAACAGAGTCCAAGACACCACATAATTTCCTGTTTTTAAAAATAGTAACAATATAAGGTTTCTCATATAAAATGTAGCTGTTATACACTCCCTTCCCGCAATCCCAATCATTTAGCTTATGTTTTGTAGTAGCATCATTTTTTCCCCCTAAATTCTGGTAACTTTTTAAGATGCCATGGAAAGTCTGGGTACTCTGTAAGATATAACTTTTAATCCTGATATCCTCATACGGAAAAAAATCAGATAAACTACCTTTGGAAATTCCAACCACAGAAGCAATATTAATCATGTTTTAAAAATATTTTAACTTTACAAATATTAGGTTGTAAGTATGACAAGCATAACCAGAAAAGGAATTTTAAAGGCAGACAAATTTTCTTTTAGAGGACCTGACTTCTTCTGGCCATTGGTAAATTCATTTCTTTTGTTACAACTGAAATGAGAATAGGCCTTTTACAATAATGCTTTTTACTGTAAATTCATGTATATGGATGCTGTTTGCAAATTATTTCCATTGTACCTATATGCTAAGTTATCAACTCATTAAAAAAAACTTTGTGAATATCCTTATTGTTTACTGGATTGTATTGCTTCAATAGGTAAATCTCTAAGAAATCTTGATCATGTTTCCTGAATAAATTATGTCTTTATATTGGTTCAATTCATTTGATAATTTTGTTTCATTGTCTTATGTAATTCCCCAAAAGGCATAAGATAATCACAGTACAAACTGGACACTATATTAACTGAATTCCCAAATTCATATACATTTAAACTACAGTTTGCTGTAGTGTTAACATGAGCAAATTCAATTCAAGTTTGACGCTACTGGAGAATAAAACTAATTCAATTTTTATTTTGTGGATTACACAAGAAAATTTTTTAAAAACCCTAGAAATAATACAACTTTTACTAAATTCACATTTTCAGTGAAAAAAATCTTTACAATTCACTTGCATTATTTTTTCCTTCCTAAAAAGTTACTGTAAGGTCCACAAAGTTTAGTTAAAAATTTCAGTGTGGGGTTATACCCCATCTCCAATATCAAAGGCCAAATAAATCTGGGAAATACGGGGTTAAATCAAGTTCAACATGATCTTTTGCTACAAACATTCTCAGAGATAGAGCCATTAGTACAGTAGTATTTCCCTATAAACTGAAAGTGGATTAGATTGTTTTCCTCCCCCAAACATCTCTTTGCATCTTGAGGCTGGGCTTCAAGGGAGACAATCCTGGAAATATTGCCATGGATTGTGAATTACTTGGGGTTATCAGTTTTTTTTTCTTTTGAGACGGAGTTTCGCTCTTGTTGCTCAGGCTGTGGTGCAATGGTGTGATCTCGGCTCACCTCAACCTCCACCTCCCAGGTTCAAGCGATTCACCTGCCTCAGCCTCCCGAGCAGCTGAGATCACAGGCATGCGCCGCCACGCGCAGCTAATTTTGTATTTTTAGTACAGACGGGGTTTCTCCATGTTGGTCAGGCTGGTCTCAGACTGCCGACCTCAGGTGATCTGCCCGCCTCAGCCTCCCAAAGTGCTGGGATTACAGGCGTGAGCCACCGCGCCTGGTGGGGTTATCAATTTTTTTTCCATTAATTAAAATACTGGAAAGCAGCCGAATCATTAATGAATAAGTCCTTCAGGTCTAAAGTAAAATGAGCACAAAACAACTGCTGAAAATCTGAACCAGGTTAGATCTAAATGAATTGTTTTTAAATACAAGAAAAAATGGAAATGCAGTATTTTAAATATGTTGCTTTTCATGTGTTATTAATCATGTGAGTACTATTAACATCTCCATGTTACAGATGAGATATGTGAGACACCAAAGCTTAAATACTTTCCAAGAGGTCATTAAGCTACAGAATAGTGGAACCAGGATCTAGCATTGAAGCCTGGACCCCTAATTATTATACGACACTGCTTGTCTGTACTTCTGAATAAAAATCAGTGCTTCAGTAGTTTGATGGAAATATATCGTGGCTCTAGTAATTCAGAGTAACAGAATAAAACCTTGTTCTCCGCAGAGTATCTACAGCCCTAAGCAGAAGACTAGTTTATAATTCTGGCTCTGACACTAAACTTTCAAGGTCGGTTACCTAATCATTCCGGGCCTCAGTTTCCTCAGGAGAAAAGTGGGATGAAATTATACCTATGCGACCTACCTCGCGGGGGGTGTAAATTAACTTTGCGTGCACCTTTCCACTTCGCAGGTTTCACGTATCTTAAATGGTGGTTAATGTTGTTCAATGAAATGAGATCACGTGAAGTGGGGAAAAGACTGAAAACCACAGAAGCCCGCGCAAACTTTACTGTTTTAACTGTTAACACCCAAACAGGCTCCTGGGCCTCGCCACCAGCCAGCAGTCCTCGCGCAAGAAGGGCATTGCTAGCTAAACTGAACTAGCGCCTTCCCTCCGTCTTGCCGCGGGCGACGGGCCACGTACGGAGAGCTGAGGACTCACTGGCAGAGCGGACAGGAGACACCCAAGCCCAAAGGCCACAGGTCCAAGGCCTCACGGCGAGGCTGACGCTTCTGCTCCAGAAACAACTTACGGATAAAAACTCAGCTTCCGGTCTTTATTGTTTCGTCCCCGGCGGTTCTTACAACAAATCGCTGCGCAATAGCGGGGCATGACTCGGGTGAGGCCCCTGGAGACCGGGGCCGGCGACGGATGCAGGGCGGCCCTCCTCACTGAGGATGCGCCACAGGTCCAGGCCTCTCGAGCCCCTGCGCCTGCGCTAGCATTCTGCCGGGAAAGCCGCCTCGTCTGTCGACTCACTTCCGCCTCCTCCGGTTTAAGCACCGCCTTTTCGGGGGTTGAAGCCGGAAGTGGCGCACAGCCCTAGCAGCAACAACAGTTTTCCACGTGCGCGTAGGGCGCCGGGATCACGTGGGGAGGCAGAAGCCAATGGGGAAGCGTTTCGTGTAGGTCTTCTGAGGTGGTGGCGCCAGCGGCTACCTCCTGCCTGTGAGGAGCTGGCTGAGAGGGGACTGGGCGCCGGCGGGGAAGGAGGAGCGCTAGGTCGGTGTACGACCGAGATTAGGGTGCGTGCCAGCTCCGGGAGGCCGCGGTGAGGGGCCGGGCCCAAGCTGCCGACCCGAGCCGATCGTCAGGGTCGCCAGCGCCTCAGCTCTGTGGAGGAGCAGCAGTAGTCGGAGGGTGCAGGTGAGGGACGAGGCCGGGGTCGTGGGGAGGGGAGTTCGGAGGGTCCCCGTAGCCCAGGCCTGTCTTTGTGAGCTGACTTGGCCTCGGTGTCCGCCACGGTCGCCGCAGGGACAATGGGCTGCATGTTTTTGGCCGAGAGAATGGAAGAACGGAGACAGCCGCATCACAGAATCGTGTTTTGGGTTGTGGCGCCGGCTTTCACGGGCGCCGGATTAGAGCCCGGGTCTCGGGCAGCTTCTGCGGCGGGGCCTGGGCGGGCAGGGAAAGTGCCAGTCGCCTTTAGGTGAAGGTTGGAGGGTCTAGCCCAGCCGCCCACCGAGGCTGGGGAATAAGGCACGGGCTGCTGGCTGGCGGGGCCGTCTTGGGGATGAGAAGTCTGTACAATACAAAACTAGTCTGCTAAAAAAAAATCATTAGATGTCCACCTTGAGACCGTGGAATAACGTCTGCTGAACCAGTGAGGCGCCTCCCTGTCAGTTTTAGATCCGCCCTTTGACTAGGGAGCAACCTGCAGTTGACGCAGCGTCCATGGGACACACTGTTGTGTTCCTTAAACCGAGAAGTGGTTCTTGATTCTTGGTACCCGTGACTACGAGTAACTCTCTGGAAATAAGTAATCTACCTGCCTGCTAATTACTCTCAGGAAAGGCCGCTGGAGAGGAAGCCAGGCAATTTCCACAAACCGTAGTGTTTTTCGTCAGCCTTATTATGGCATTATAGGTTACTAAGGACTCTGGTGGTCCCGTATTCAAAAAACAGGATCCATCCCTTCGTTTTGAATCTCAAGTCATTGAATACATATTGTCAAGAATTCTAAGTTAACATTTCTTTAATGGTTTAAAGGTAAAAGAAATATTTTAACTACTGAGTTTGTGAAAGTAAGAATCTGCCTTAACCACAGTACAAACTATCAAAGTTCATTTTTCTGGCAGCTTTAGCAGAAATCTTAAATTCTGTTCATCATGAGTTTTAAACAATATTTAGCCATGCTTCCTGGTTAAACATTTGGGATCTTACATTTGGGAAAAAGACAACATTCTATTGTATTGTCAGTATTAGTATTGTGATATTAAGATTCTCTATTTGCAGTCCTTGGCTCACCTGCTGAAATGAAAGCTGAATTTTTGGAGCGAGATTAATAATACTAATTTAGATATACTGGGCTATTTACCTTGGTGCGCCACCTTTTTTTTTTAATGTTTTTTTTTTCTGTGAAGTTAAATACATTATTACTTTCAGGATATGAAGTCTTGAAAGGAAAGTTGGGATCTTATATTATTTGGTTTTCTTTTTTTTTCTTACAATGCTTGCATATGATGAATCTTCAATATAAACTGGTTAAAAGTCAGTTATTGATAATTTTCTATCTCCTCTGTGTATGGCCAGAGTATTAGTAGACAGACAAAGCCAAGAATTATTTTTGTTCTCAATAAGGTTAAGCCAGTTTGAGAGTTATAAAACTAAAAGTGAAATTACATGTGG
Organism: Homo sapiens; assembly: GCF_000001405.40. Classification (NCBI taxonomy): domain Eukaryota; kingdom Metazoa; phylum Chordata; class Mammalia; order Primates; family Hominidae; genus Homo; species Homo sapiens. The sequence goes on from NC_000007.14 coordinate 108,571,586, forward strand.
ACAGGTAATAGATACTGTATGCTTACTATTTTGATACTGCATTAGGTTTACCTTGTGTTGGATTTCTTTTAAAAGAAAAACGTTTTAAGATTAGCTCCATCCATAACATTTTTTTTTCTTTTCTGTTTTAGGATATTAGAAATGGCTACTCCCCAGTCAATTTTCATCTTTGCAATCTGCATTTTAATGATAACAGAATTAATTCTGGCCTCAAAAAGCTACTATGATATCTTAGGTGTGCCAAAATCGGCATCAGAGCGCCAAATCAAGAAGGCCTTTCACAAGTTGGCCATGAAGTACCACCCTGACAAAAATAAGAGCCCGGATGCTGAAGCAAAATTCAGAGAGATTGCAGAAGGTAAATAAATGACAATCTCTGAAGTGTCATGGGTATTAACTAGTAAGGAGAATGATAGCTAAGAAGTGTTTGTATTTGAAGGTTTTGTGGAGATGGGAGGTGGAGTGGGATTTATGTATAAATATTGGGTGATTCTCTGAGATTATTTTCTTATCACAGATGCTTTGATTCCTGAATAAATATATGAAAGAATAATAGATAATTTTATTGGTATACGTATCTAAAAATATTGAAAATCTATTCTATATTATTTATAAGATCACTGTTGCTTCTATGACAAAAAAGAATTTTAGGTACCCAAAATTCTTATCAACTAACTTATGAAACAGAATATTTTACATTTTAAACATTAAAGACTTAAAAATTAAACTAGACTCTAAAGTGCTTTATTCACTTGATCTGCTTTTCAAAGCCATATTTGTCTTCAAAGAAAAAATTGGAACAAATTTTGACTTCAGACTAGCTCTAAAACAAATTGCACCTGCTGAGCATTCAGTAATTATTGTTGGATGGAGGTAACTGAGTAGGGAGTTAGAATTAAACAGTTTACTTTAGTAAGGAGGTGCAAAATCTTAATTCCTATTAATTGGTTATAGTTGATGGTTTAATTTTTTAATACAATTAATGATTTCACACGAATAATATGAAGATTAAAGAACTCTGATTGTTGCCCACATGTTTATTTGTAGTAATGGTAACATTTAATAACTTTATTGAGTATTGCAGATGGCATTGTGCCAACTGCTGATAACTCAGCAGTTAATAAGACAGTTTCTGCTTTATTTTATAATTTTGATTAACTTGATGCTTATATTTGTAGTGTTTTGCTTTTATTTCTGATGCGAAATTCTTCCCTAAAATAATAGTATTCAGTTCACTTGCTTGAAGAGATTTGAATATATGTAATTTTGAATATTTTACCTTCAGTTACTAAAAATATTTTTGTCACTTTCAGCATATGAAACACTCTCAGATGCTAATAGACGAAAAGAGTATGATACACTTGGACACAGTGCTTTTACTAGTGGTAAAGGACAAAGAGGTAGTGGAAGTTCTTTTGAGCAGTCATTTAACTTCAATTTTGATGACTTATTTAAAGACTTTGGCTTTTTTGGTCAAAACCAAAACACTGGATCCAAGAAGCGTTTTGAAAATCATTTCCAGACACGCCAGGATGGTGGTTCCAGTAGACAAAGGCATCATTTCCAAGAATTTTCTTTTGGAGGTGGATTATTTGATGACATGTTTGAAGATATGGAGAAAATGTTTTCTTTTAGTGGTTTTGACTCTACCAATCAGCATACAGTACAGACTGAAAATAGATTTCATGGATCTAGCAAGCACTGCAGGACTGTCACTCAACGAAGAGGAAATATGGTTACTACATACACTGACTGTTCAGGACAGTAGTTCTTATTCTATTCTCACTAAATCCAACTGGTTGACTCTTCCTCATTATCTTTGATGCTAAACAATTTTCTGTGAACTATTTTGACAAGTGCATGATTTCACTTTAAACAATTTGATATAGCTATTAAATATATTTAAGGGTTTTTTTTTTTTGACAAATTCAACATTCAACGAGTAGACAAAATGCTAATTATTTCCCTGATTAGGAAAGTTTCTTTAAAAAACACGTAATTTTGCCTAGTGCTTTTTCTCTACCTGCCCTTGGGCTCACTAATATCACCAGTATTATTACCAAGAAAATATTGAGTTTACCTGATTAAACTTTAAAAGTTAATTGTAGATTTAAATTGTGTGAACCTAATGATTTTTGCAGTGAAACCTTTACTAATTCAAAGTTGCATGTTCTATGACATCTGTGACTTGCGTTGCAGAGTGTACATGAAACTGTATAATTGAGTCATTCAGTAAAGGAGAACAGTATCTTGGTTAATTGCTACTGAAAGGTTGAGAAAGGAATGGTTTGATATTTACCACAGCGCTGTGCCTTTCTACAGTAGAACTGGGGTAAAGGAAATGGTTTTATTGCCCATAGTCATTTAGGCTGGAAAAAAGTTGAAAACTTAACGAAATATTGCCAAGAGATTGTTATGTGTTTGGTTCCAGCCTAAAAATGATTTTGTAGTGTTGAAATCATAGCTACTTACATAGCTTTTTCATATTTCTTTCTTAGTTGTTGGCACTCTTAGGTCTTAGTATGGATTTATGTGTTTGTGTGTGTGTAGTTTATCCTCTCTCTCATCTTTATCTAGAGATTGACTGATACCTCATTCTGTTTGTAAAACCAGCCAGTAATTTCTGTGCAACCTTACTATGTGCAATATTTTTAAATCCTGAGAAATGTGTGCTTTTGTTTTCGGATAGACTTATTTCTTTAGTTCTGCACTTTTCCACATTATACTCCATATGAGTATTAATCCTATGGATACATATTAAAACAAGTGTCTCATACAACATTGTATGTGAGAGAAATATAAATATTTACAACCTGATATTCGTTGTTGTTTTATTGTTAAAAGTTTATTATGCAACTCTGGAGGTATAGAGGGCATATAAGCTATGGGACATATGCTGATCACAGGCTATATTCATGAAGTTACTTTTGACCAACCTGAAAACTGATAGGATTTTGTTTGTCATTTGGTAATTTCTACTGCATTCTTACCATCCTTCTCTCACAAATTTTGATAGCTTGAAGATCTTTTTAATTATAATTTTGTTGTATTTGTTTCCTAGGAGCAAGTGTTCCTGCTGCCAGTTCTTTCCTCTTTAGGCGTGGTTGAGAAAAAGCAGAAACTTTACATAAAGCTGTATTTCTTAATCATCTTTAATTTGAAACTTAAGAAAATGAATTTATTCTGTTATATTTATGTAACTTATTTCCTGGAAGTTATATCTACTAGTTTTGTTTGATAATAATAAAATTAGCTATACCTTGAATTTTGGGCTGAGGATTATCTGTAGCCTATTTTAAAAAAAATCAAGTTTTGAGACATTCCAGTAATATATAAAGCAGAAGAGTGTGGCTTGGGAGATAAATCAGAAAAACCACAATCAGGATGTCCTGGAGAAGCTTTAAGGATTGGATTTGGGTGAGGGTGCAGAATTCATTCATATTAATTTATTGAAGAACTGCATTGGAAAGCTCTGCTCTTAGCTACTCCCTCCAGGTAAACAGTTGTTAACAAAAGTAACTTTTTCCTCAGGCAAGGGACTAAACAAGTCTTGAAAGAATGGGGTTATTTGGGGGAAGACTTACCCATTGAGGGTATTAGGGTGTGAGGTGAAGGCAGAGTAAAGGTGAAGTGAATTTTCACTTGAAGGTCAAGGGGGTGCTGGTGAGAAATGGCAGCACTCCCAGAGTAAAGCCTCCTTATGTTGGCTTGGTGGGAAACAATTTCTCTGCATGCAGACCACATACTCACCTGTGGGTACCTGCTGGTTAAAAAACCCTGACAATTTAGCCGGGTGTGATGACATGCACCCATAATCCCAGATACTCTGGAAGCTGAGGTGGGAGGAGTTGAAGGCTGCAGTGAGCTATGATTGGCCACTGCCTGACAATTTACTGAGAACCATCGCTTCTATTCAAAAAGGAGGTCTAATGCAGACACATAACTGCTGAAGAAACTGCTTTTCTCAGCTATCTGTGCAATTTGATCTAATCCTTCATAAACACATACTGATGTCCAAAGAATGTCAGACATTTAAGGAAAACTGATAGCTAGGAAAAGAAGCCCCAATGATTAGCCCTGACAATGTAATTCAGAGATTGAATTTAAGATTCTAGTATCAGATTTTTTTAATAGAATATTGCATCAACAGATAAGGACAGTTCTTGTCTTAACCTGCTTACTTCAGGATTTCTTTAATGATGGTGTCAGAACAGATGAAGTAATGTGAACTTACATTTGGTTTACATTTACATCTAACAACCAAAGTCAATGGGAGGTAACAGATGTGTGGTACATGTGTTTCCTACCATGCAGGCCTACTTTTTCCTTTGAAATTCATATTCTTCCTCATATCTCAACTTTGTTACTCAACTCCCTCGCAAACTTCTCTCCAGAGGTTGCCCTAATGTGGAGCTACCTAAATTTATTGTGCAGTTCTTTTTACTGTTACTCATTATGATACACCGTAACTGGTGAGCAGGATGGTGGGGGTGATTACATTCTTATGGAAAAAGACAAGCAATAACCATATGAATAAATTATAAACTGATAAAGTATGGAAAAAAAATGTAGCACAGGAGAGGAGAATTGTGAGGGCAGGCAGGTTGAGGATGTGTTGCAATTTTTGACAGGATTGTCAGTGTTGGCCTCATTGAGAAGGTAAATTTGAGCAGATGCTTGAAGGGAATTGTTTGTACTGAAGGTGGAAGCATATGTGGGAAGTTGTAGGAATGGCAAAGAAGTGCGCATAACTGGAGGCCAGTGAGCAAACCAGAGTAGAAGGAGATGAATTCATAGATAAGAGGGGTTGAAAGCAGCCCTACAGATCACCTAGGGCCTTGCCAACCTTTGTAAAGGATTTGATTTTGGAATGTGATATGGTGGCTGAGCTTGGAGCAGATAAATGACTTGATCTTTAAATCATTTTAAAAGGGTCACTCCACGTGCTTTGTTCAGAATAGACAGAGGGGCAATGGTGGAACAAGGAGAGAGTTTGGAGGCTATTTCAGTATTCTAGGATGAGAAATTGTTGCAGCTTGTGCATCGCACGAGGGTGGCAGCAGTGGAAGTGGTAGGAAGTGGTTGGATTCCAGATGTATTCTGCAAGTACAGCTACCAGGATTTGCTTATGGATTAGATGTAGGTGTGAAAGACAGAGGAGAAAACTATGATTCTAAGCTTCATGTTCTGAGTAACTGGAAATACAGAGTTGCCTTTAAGATGGGAGAGGCTGCAGAAAGAAATTTAGGAGGAAAAATCAGAAGTTCAGCTGAGATATATCAAATTTGAGATGATGAGTAAATGGGTGGAGATATGTCTGAAGTTTGGGAGAGAGAGTGAAGCTGGAAATATGCATTTTGGGATTGTCAAAACATGTGATACTTAAAACTTTGAGAGTAGATGAAATTACTGAGGGAATGTGTAGAGACATAAAGAGCAATTGAATAACTGAGTCCCCTGGTACTCTAAAAATGCAAAAAGAAGATGAGGAGCCTACACAGGCATCTGATAAGCAGCAGCCAGTGAGTAATGAGTTTTGTGTCTTGGAAGGAAGTGAAATAAATATATCAAGAAGTAGAAAGCGGCTGGGCATGGTGACTCACGCCTGTAAACCTAGGACTTTGGGAGGCCGAGGCAGGTGGATTGCTTGAGGTCAGGAGTTCGAGACCAGCTTGGCCAACATGATGAAACCCTGCCTCTACTAAAAATACAAAAATTAGCCAGGTGTGGTGGCAGGTGCCTGTAATCCCAGCTACTTGAGAGGCTGAGGCAGGAGAATCACCTGAATCCAGGAGGTGGAGGTTGCGATGAGTTGAGATCATGCCACTGCACTCCAGCCTGGATGACAAAGTGAGACTCTATCTCAAGAAAAAAAAAAAGAAAAGAAAGAAGTAGAAAGTGATCAACTTTGTAAAATACTGCCACTAAATCCAGTAAGACGATGATTGAGAACTAACCATTGTTGTTTTTAGCAATACTGATATCAAAAATGACCTGGATGCCAATTTCTATCAAGTTTTAGGGGTGAGCCTGATTGAAGCAGGTTTAAAACAGAATGGCAGCAAGATTAAGTGCTCTTAAATCATTTGACAAAACATTTGTGGACATAATTTTTATCGTGGACTTTTTAGTAGAGTATCAGCTATGATTCAATCCATGTAGCAATAGCTTATTCTTCAGAATGATGTTCTGCAGGAGTAAGAAGTATGCTATGAAAAAAAAAATCATGTTTAAATAGATTTGTGAAATCTGGGTTGGGATTCAAACCTTGCTAAATATGTTTCTTTTTAGGTGAGTGCTAGGGTTTGAATGGTTATGTCCTCCCCATATTCCTATAGTATTAGTAGATAGGGCCTTTGGGTAATTAGGTCAGGAGGCAGAATTCTCATGAATGGGATTAGTGCCCTTGTAAAAAGGGCCCAAGGGAGATCACTCATTTTTTTCTACATGTGAGGTTAGAGAAGATCTATGAGGAAGAGGGCTGTCACCAGACAGTCAATCTGCTAGTGCCTTCATCTTAGACTTCTTAGCCCCTAGAACTGTGAGAAATAAAGTTCTGTTTTTTATAAGCCACGCAGTCTATGGCATCTTGTTATGCAAGTCTGAACAGACTGAGACAGTGAGCTGCTCAGAATTCTCAACATACTAATCTATGTTGTGAATCTTTGGTAGCGATACCAAATATTGTTTGCCCAATTTATTGGACCATGGAAACATTTTTACTAAGTACCCTTAACCATATCCAAGTGTGCCACAGTAAAAGTTTGGTAAATACTGGCCTAAATAAAAGTGAAAAAAAATCATATAATAAACCTTTGGAACATGTGCATGAACACATACCAAAGCAAGGATGATAGCATATATTATGTTGGTACTTGTGTTGCATTATTAAAAAAAAAGTATTTGAATTTACTATGATTGAAAAAGATTATCCTATCAGAGCCCATTATGATGGGCTTTAGCCTACATTTCATCAACAAGCTTTTCTTCTTTTGATCACTGTTGTAGCTACTTGAATAATATTGTTTCCTCAGGAGTATTTTATACCTACAATAGCCATCATCAAGCAAATTATAAGAGGACTATTATGTAAATGAAAACTCCTTTATTATTCTCCCAAGAAAATAAAAGCTAATAATTTTTGTTGTTATAGTTTTACAATAAGACAGTATTTGCAGACAGAAAAATCAAACTGTGACTATTAAGATAAATGGGAAATCATCTTATAGTCTACTAGGGTTTGGATGTTTGTCCACTCTAAACCTCATGCTGAAATTTGATCCCCAGTGTTGGAAGTGGGGCCTAATGAGAAATGTTAGGGTCATAGGGGTAGATCCCTCACAAATAGTTTAATGCCCTTTCTCAGGAGTGAGTTCTTTATTAGTTCCCACAAGAGATAGTTGTTAAAAAGAGCCTGACACCTCCCCTGTTTCTCTCCCTTGGTTCCTCTCTCGTCATGTGATCTCTGTATACGCTGGTTCCCCTTTGCCTTCTGCCATGAGTGGAAGCAGTCTGAGGCCCTCACCAGAAGCAGATGCTGGAGCCATGATGCACAGCCTCAGAAGTGTAAGCCAAATAAACCTCTTTTCTTTAGAAATTACCCAGCCGCAAGTATGTCTTTATAGCTACACAAAACAAACCAAGACAGTCTAATCCTTTTGGTGGTGGCAGTGGCCCATCTGGAACAGCTGCTGAAGGAACGCCAGTTGCAGTGGAGGAGGCGAAGCCGGGCTGTGCGCTCCATGGAGACTGCAGGAGCCGGGAACAGGTGGGAGCCCTCTGCTCCCAGGCACACCTGCAGCCACCCTGTGCTCTTAGGGTGCCTGGGAAGACCCCTCCCTCTGCAGGCTTGGAAGTGCTTGCTCCCATTCCGTGGACTCCCTGCTCCCAGTGCCTGCTCCAATTTTGGACCAAAGTTGAGGCCCAGCCCACGTGCTGTTGCAACTTGGCCAGGTGTGCATGTGCTTGGGGTGGCACTGACACACCAGCTTCCTGCTGCCTCAGTCCTCACTGGACTTTGGGTGCCAATAAGCATGGGAGGGAGGCTGAGGTGGGGCTGAAGGTGGCTCAGCATGGGCCTGCAGGTGCTCCTCAGCATGGACAGCCATGGTGCTGTGGCCAGCATGTTGATGATGGCAAGAGGCAGACAGGTTCCTGGCAGGAAGGGGCCAGTCTCCAGTGAAACCTCTCCTTCAAGCCAGGAACAGTGTGAAGCCTGGGGGCTGGACTGCCAGTTCCAGGTGTAGTCTGCCTCCTGAAGTGAGAACTTATGGTGCTTTTTCCAGACCCCCTCCATGGCTAACCATGGACTAAGCAGCACACGCTTCCTCCCTTTTGAGCCCACAAAAATCCCAGATTCAGCCAGACTTACACAGATGTGGGGACTACCACTTGCAGGAAGGAGCTACCTACTTTGGGTCTCCTTAACTTGTAGGGACTACCTGCCTGTGGAAAGGAGCTACCCACTTTGGGTTCCCTGAGAGCTGTTCTGTTGCTCAATGAAGGTCCTCTCTGCCTTGGTCACCCTCCAGTTGTCTGCATACCTCATTCTTCCTGGACATGGGACAAGAACTCCAGATCCACCAAATGGCGGGACTGAAAGAGCCATAACACAAACAGGGCCGAAACACACAGCCCCCCATTTGCCATGTTGTGGGAGATGAAGAGAGAAGAGCTGTACCCTTTGGGGAGCCCAGACCTAGGGGCTCCCTAAGCCAGGGCTGTGACACCCTCTTTGGGGCTCTATAGTTCCTGGTGTCTCCAAGCTTCTGGGTGCCACTGTGTTCCCCTTGTCCAGACGTGAGTGCCTGCAGCAGAAGCTGTGTGTGGTACATCTGGTCCAGCTGTAGCCTTGCACAGAGCTGGCACCTGTGCCGGCACCCGGAGCTGTCCACCCCACCACAGCAGCTGGCATGCCTGGCTGTGTGCAGTGGCTGGACCCTATGCTTGCTCGCTCACACACCCCTCACCATGCTGCACCTGGCTTGCCCTTGGCTCATTTGGGATCTGGGCCAGTAGCACAAGCCGAGCACTGTCTCCATGGCCAAGTGGGCAGAATGACCCCAGTGGGTGTGAGCAATACTCAGGCAGAAGGGGCTGCCGGCCACAGAGGTTTCCAGCTGGCAAAATGACACCCCAAGGATCCCGTAACACTTTTACTCTACCTCTATACATATTTTGGTGAAATATCCTTTGGTTGTGCAAAATAATGTGATGAACAGAAACAGATTAAAATACTAATATAAATGAATAGTTAATTACAGAGTCTTGCTGGAATCAACAAATTTTTTTACTTTGCATATATGCATAAATGAAAAATTACTCATCTTGTACTCCATGTACACTTTTATAATAAAGTTTCCAGTAAGTGCCTACAAAATGGTCTCATGTTGTGGGAGAACCCAAAGGATTCACCAAAAAATAAATCATTAAAAAAGGAAAAGAAATGAAAAACAACAAATCTAGAAAAGCAACGTATAGAGTTTTGTTGGGAAGAGTTGCAAAGAAATGAGCAGTATTTGGTGGGGTAGTGGGGTCAAAAGAAGTTTCCTTACTAAGCAGTAATAATTAGTTTAACATATTTATGAAAAATAATATCAGGTGCTGAAATGATGGAGCAGTGTCTTCAAAGATCTGAGGGGAAAGTGCTTTTGAACTGAGGCCTAAATGGACACATTATTAATAGAGGATGAGACCAAATGAATGCATTTTGAAAATGTAAGAACTGAAAGATTACCACCCACATACCCTTTATGAAAAAAAACTGGCTTTTATTCTACATGGCAATGTACAAAAAAAGGAACAATATTGAGGACAAGAGATGATGGCAGCTGAGTTATACACCCTCAGGAGAAAATAAAACTAGAAGGAAATTGAAAGTATATATTAGAATTTGACACTTGGAAGTTTCTTTTGGGAAACAAGAAATATTTTGTTTCATGGATCTAGTTGCTCAATTTACAATGAAGTTGTTTGCATTATTATATTATAAATGTTTTCCAATCAGTGTGTAAACAAAGAAGGGAGGATTTAATTATATTTATAGGATAATCATGTGAAATGCACCTAACATATCAGGAAATGGAAGGAGAAAGGAAAATGGAAGGTGAAGTGTAAGAAAAGATTAGTGTATTAATTCTATTATCTTTCATAGTAGGTAATCAATTGACTCTGTCTAAAGTTATAAATCAAAGACTGGTGATTTAAGCACATTATTTTAAATTTTAATGACAATCGGAAGATCTGACAACAGACACAGGTAACATGATAGCTTTTAAGGAATGTGACTGGGAGTCGGGAAGATTTACTTTGCATTTTACTTCAATTTGTAATGTTTGAATTTTTGTTTGTGAATGCCTGATTCCCACATTAGTGTATTTTTAAGGAAAACAACAACCACAAACCCTGGTGTATCAGTGAGGATGCCTGCAGCAGCAGGTAACAGAAAACCCTAAACTAAATTTAATACATAAAATAAGCTGAGCAATAAAAGACTTACTTTCTTCTCTAACAAGAGGTACAGAGGTCAGGCAGCTCCAGGAATGGTATTCCAGGAATCTGGTTTTGCTTCTTAGTAGCTGTGTTGGCTCTGACCTCTCTGTGTGTTGGTCGCATCCTCAGGCTGGTAATAAAATGGTTGTTATGAGAAATGAAACCTTTTCTAGAATGTCCTCACAACACTTTCCCTCCCATCTTTATTGGCCAGAAATGCTACCTGTTGCTACAAGTCCATGCCCAAACTAATCACTAGTAAGGGGAATATGATGACCACAATTGATGTAGGTCAACAGTTAAGACCCAGAATGGTGGTCTGGTCTAGTCTCCCCTGAAACTCATCATTACATGGAAAAGCGTGGTGTTTTAGTCTGTTTAGTGCTACTACAACAGCATATCACAGACTGGGTAGCCTATAATAAAGATAAATTTGTCTCTCACAGCCCTGATGCTGGGAAGTCCAAGATCAAGGTGCTGGCATCTGGTGAGGGCTTTCTTGCAGTGTCATAACATGGCAGAAGGTATCATATGGGAGAAAGAGAGAGAGAGAGAGAGAACTCAGCTTTTTGTGAGGGAACTACTCCCATGATAATGGCATTAATTCATTCATGAGGACAGACCTCTCATGACCTAGTCACCTCTTAAAGGTCACACCTCTCAACATTGTAACATTGGGGATTAAGTTTCCAACATACGAACTTTGGGAGACACATTCAAATGGTAGCAGGTGGATACCAAGAAAAAAAGACATTATATTATAGGGGAATGAGAGAAGGATGTGTATCCTACAACCAGTTGAATATTAAAACTTAAAAACAGACCTCAGTGGTTTTTAAATCTTTATTTTCTTTATGATTTCTTCTTCACTATTAGATTATTTAGATGTTTTTAAAAAGGATTGGGCTCTTTTTGTACCCATGAATGATGGCTGGGTTTTTTTTTTTCAGTTAGAAACAAACCTCACCTTAAGTACTGTGGAATCTTGGCCTTGGTAGATGACATTTTTGGTTCCAACTATTTGGGACAGATTCCAAAGTTTCATGATGTAATAATTTATGATTTTTTTGAAGTATAAAATTGAATTGCAATTGTATGCCTTAATAGTCTACTCTTCACTCAGGTAGTAAGTGAGCATAGCTACCAATTCAACATCTATGTATAAAGATGTCTTTGGGTGGTTTGTAAATAAAATTATCTTTATCTTTGGGTAAAGATTACTTTATGTAGGCATTGATAAATGGTGTTCATTACATTAGAGATCCGAGTGTCTTTAATCAAGGTCAATACTATTTTTTTTTTTTTTTTTTCCTGGAATTGGTTGTGATCATGGCTCCTTTACTCAATCAAATCTTTTGCTGCCCACCTTTCTCCACTCTGCCTCATCCTGCCATGGTCACCTAAATTTCCCTCATCAATTTGAATACTAGCTTTGAATTTGAAACTACTGGCCTTTAGGGAGTCAAATCTACACCTGGATTATTTCCCTTAGCCTTGGCCCTGGAAACTCCTTGTTTTCACTCTCTCCCAAACAACTGATGCTGTTGAGGTCCCAAGGATGCCTCTGGTCGAGTCTTTTTGAGTTGTGACACATTATGCAATTATCACTCACTAAATCTGCAGTTTCAATCAGTATTGCAGACACTTTCAACTATTCAACTTTAGGATTAATTTCATATTATTTAAATATAATTTCATATAATAATTACCTGAAGAAACATTACATGATTCATTCCATATATTAGGGAAAAGTCATTACAATTCTCCACTGACATTTCACAATTTACTTTTAGTTACAACTAAGTGTATTAATATGTAGGTAATAATTTAAAAGTATTACAATATTTTCTTGTTTTAAGTAAATTTTACCTTAGCATTTTCTAAATGGTTATTCTAGGATAGGTCTTAAATTACATATTTCATAATTAGAAATGGAAGGAATGGTGTTTGTTAATGAATATCATTTGGTTCTTCTATTGATTTTTATCTTTTAGGTAATACTGGTTCTTATTCTCTGACACATAGATCAGTAATATAGGCCCATGTAAATCTGGGACATGAGATATGGAGAACAACATTTTTCTTTGCTTCTCAGGGAGGGTTATGATCCATTCATCTCTGTTCCCTTCTCTGTGTAGGTAAAAGAGTCTATTAGTCAGCATCAGTTAATTGATGTTGTGATAACCACCCCAAAATCTTAGTGACTTAGCACTATAAACATTTTTTTTTCTCATTCATACAAAATCTGCTGTGGGTCCAGGTTTCTTTCCATGGCAGCTGTCTCCCACCTGATGAGACATCAGTGCTGACTCATAAATTGTGGCTCTACCAGCTTAATGCAAGGCTTTTTTGGCTATCAGAGAAAGAAATAAGAGTCTCCCATTGTCAAATGCTTTGGCCCGGAAGTGACACATATACTTCACCCCACTGGCCAGGTATGGTCTTATGATGCCATCTAAGAGAAGGGATCTGGAAGTATAATCTTCTATGTGACTGGGAGGTAGAGTAGAGTTGGAAAATGGTACATGTTAGCAGTATCTACCTCAGAGACGTACTTTGTAGGTCACAGAAAATTTTTCAGGAGACAGATGATCTCCAATTTTGCAACACTCAATATACACATCATACTAATTGTGTGAAAGTAAATAGGCCTACACCAATGGAATGTATGTGTTTTCTATACAAGAATAGAATAGGTAAGGGCAATAGAACATGCTAGAGTAAAATATATTTCAAATTCATTTCCTTAAATGATGGAATAGTACTATCAAAATTAAATATTTCTAATAACTTTATTATAGATAAATTCTATATTTTGTATTTTTGCATAAGAATAGCTGTAAACCAGCATTTTTCCAAAGTGTGCTCTATTTATGTTAAATGAAAATAGGAATTTTATAGTGAAGTATGGGAAACTCCCAGTTTCAAAAATTTCCTTATTACATGAAGATTTCTCAGAGTGGTTAATATACTAATTTTCTTTGGATGTCCTGAAGCAGATATAGTATGAGGCATTTCTAAATATATATATATACATATATATACATATGTATGTATATATGTGTGTATATATATGTATATATGTGTATATGTATATATATGTGTATATATGTATATATGTGTATATATGTATATATATGTGTGTATATATGTATATATGTATATATATATGTATATATATGTGTGTATATATATATGTATATATATATATTCAAGAAACCTTTTTTAAAGGAGCATCTCTCTGGACCAATTAGGTAAAAGAATAATTCTGTGTAATGCTCTTCGGAAACTCTAGACTAGACATACCTTTAAAAACCTAATTAAAGAACTAACTTTTGTAGTAAGGGTAAGGGCAAACCCCTAAAAACTTTACTTTAAAAGCTTGCCATGAACAAGTGTTAGGATGAATGTTTCTCATGGAGCTACTACGGGCACTAAAGCAAATTTACTAAAAGAGTGATTTGATGAGAAAATCATGACCTTAAAGTGCAAAGTATGTGTGTATAGTATTACCTTGCTTTTGTTTGTTACGAACACTAGGAAACTCCAGATTAAAGTTAGATATTGGTCCTAAAGACAGAATACTTGTGATTTAAGAGACACAATATGCATCCATCTTAGTGAGCATGAGCATAAAAGTCCTTCTTTTCTTATTCCTGGAGTGCTTATTAACTTCTGTGTTTGCCTGCCACCTGGAAAATGATATAAAATTATGAATATAAAAGGCTAGTACTGGGGAAGTTAGAAACTTCACCTAGATGGGAAAAAAGGGCAAAGATAATTGCGCCCACTCATTCATAGCTGGTGCTCTTCTTTCTTCATGAAGAAATTGAAGTAATCTAAAAAGAATTCCCCAAGTTTCCCCATCATCCTTCCATAGCAGTGGCTTCACTTTCTCTGCCTTTCTGTAAGTCCCACTATCAGTAACAAACTATTAATAATCCCACTTACAGCTGTCCCCTCCACTGTACACTGGATCACATCACTCAGGGCTTTCAAGGGCACTGCTCCAGAGATTATTTCCCTCTCCCGTCTCCCTTCTTCTCCTATGTTACTTTTTTTTTCTTTCCATTCAATAATTCCCCAGCAAACAAACCTGTTGCTATTTCTGTCAACAAATTTTTCTTTGGACCCCACTTATTCAACCAATTGTGGTCTCATTTCTTTGCTCTCTTTTGTAGCAAAACTTTTCCTAAGAGTTTTCAATCCCACCATGCCACCAAAACTTCCCTTGTCAGGGTTATCAATGAGCTGCACATTGTGAAAGCAATGTCAGATAACGAATAAATCTGTCATTTCTCTGACTTAATCTTACATACACTTCAACACTTTCCTCCTTGATAGTCTTTCTTTACTTATGTCCCAGAACACTGATCTCTGGGTTTTTCTTTCCTCCATTGGTTGCTTTTTCTCGGTGTCTTTTGTTGATTCCTCTTCCTCTCCTTTGCATCTTCTCAGTTCTGATTCTTTCTGTCCTCTCTCCCCTCCAGTTCTTTCTTATCTCCTCCTTTTCCCTCTTCTCCTTTTTGAGTCTCTTCCCCTTCCCCGTCCCCATTCCCTTTCCTTTCCTTTCCTTTCCTTTCCTTCCTCTTCTCCTTTCATCACTTCCATTCTCTTCTACTCCTGGTTATACTCGTTCCTTTGGTGAACTCTTTCATCCCATAGTTTTAACCATCAACATGCCTGCCACTTCCAAATTTTTATCTCTAGCCAAGATTCATATATTAAAAACTGCAGATTCATATATCCAACTGTCCACTTAACATGTCTAATGTGGTATTGTGGATATTCCAACTCTGACCTGCTCCAGCTCAGCTGATTGTAAAGCCATCCTTCCAGTTGTTTAGGTTAAAACCCCAGAGTGATTCTTGATTTCTTTCATGCTCTTAGCACTCACACTCCATAGGCAATCCCACTGGCTTTGCCTTCAATGTATTTTCAGTATCTGACAGCTTCCTTTCAACTCCAATGTTAGTACCAGCATCATCTTTCATAGGGATTATTAGGTAAAAGAAAGTTTTCATTCTCTACCCCTTATTAGTCTGTTATCAAGCCAACAATGAGAGTTATTCTTTTTAAAGGTACATAAGAACTTGTTATCTTTCTGCCTAAAGCCTTCCATTTACTCCCTCCCCATTCCCAGTAAGAGCTAAATCATTTACAATAGTCTATGAAGTCCTACACAATCAGCTTACCTTCCCTTTACCTCACTGATTTTATCTTTGACTGCTTTTCCCCTTTGTATTAGCCAGGGTTCTCTAGAGCAACAGAACTAATAGGGTATATATTATAAATAAGGGGATTATTAAGGAGAATTGACTCACATGATCACAAGGTGAAGTCCCATGATAGTCTGTCTGCAAGGTGAGGAGCAAGGAAGCCAGTGGTGGATCAATCTGTGGCCAAAGGCTCGAGAACCCCTGGCAAACCACTGGTATAAGTCCAAGACTCTTAAAGCTCAAGAACTTGGAGTCTTATGTTCCAGGGCAGGAAGCATCCAGCACAGGAGAAAGATGAAGGCCAGAAGACTCAGCAAGTCTACTCTTCTGTCTTCTCCTGCCTGCTTTATTCTAGCTGCACTGGCAGCTGATTAGATGGTGCCCACCCAGATTGAGGATGGGTCTGCCTCTCCCAGTCCACTGACTCAAATGTTAATCTCCTTTGGCAACACCCTCACAGAACATCCAGGAACAATACTTTGCATCCTTTAATCCAGTCAAGTTGACACTCAATATTAACCATCACACCCTTCTTCATTCTGTACTAGCCAGACAGGAATCCTCACTCTTCCAGGAACACGCCAGGCTTGCTTTCTCTTTAGGGCCTTTGCACTAGCTGGTTCCTCTGTTTGGAGCATTCTTGATTATACAGCCAATCCCTTCAGCTTCTTCCAGTCTTGGCTCACCTGTCACCTCTTCAATGGGGCCTTTCTGGCCACCCTATTTAATACCACACTGTGTCCCTCCTCCCTCACACTCTCCATCCCTTTATCTTACTCTGTTTTTATTTTCACACAGCACTTATCACCTTATTTCATTACTTATTATGTTATTATCTGTTTCCTCCTGATAGAATATAAGCTACTTGGAGGTAGGGATCTTCCACTGCTGTGTCTCAAGTGCCTATATCTGTGACTGGTATAGGGTAAATTTTCCATAACTATTTAGTGAATAAGTAAATTCGACGTCATATGTGTATATCTCATAATTTGATTTTCTGAAAAGTTACAAAATCCTTTACTTATATGATAAACTAGACTCATCTGCATTGGGACATCTTCCTTATACCAAATAAATGATATCTGTTAATAAAGATATTGGGATACAGGTTTAGTCATCCACAAATTTTTTTTAAATTTTTTTTTAAATTTTTTTTTTTTTTTTTTTTTGAGATGGAGTCTCGCACTATAGCCCAGGCTGGAATGCAATGATGTGATCTTGGCTCACTGCAACCTCCACCTCCTGGGTTCAAGTGATTCTCCCGCCTCAGCCTCCTGAGTAGCTGGGATTACAGGTGTGCACCACCACACCTGGGTAATTTTTGTGTTTTTAGTAGAGACAGGGTTTCACCATGTTGGCCAGGCTGGTCTCGAACTCCTGGCCTCAGGTGATCCACCCGCCTTGGCCTCCCAAAGTGCTGGGATTACAGGCGTGAGCCACCGTGCCCACCTCACAATATGTTTTTTTAATCCCAAATGATAACATCTCTTTTTCTATAACTTTTCTATCATTATTTTTCTTCCAGATATTTTAGTGTGAGAAAATAATTTTCTGTTCAAATGCCATTGTCCAAACTGTCAGAGATACTATCTTATAAGGAATTATTATTGGAAGGAAACAAAATCAGTTTATATATCAATACTGGTGGATCTTGAGATACTTAGAAAACTAGGTCACATCCCCTCAGTTATGAGATCAGAGGGGAACTTAAAAGAAAGAAGACTTTTACCTTGTTAGAAAGTTAAAATCAAGTGTGAACTCTTTTTATGTAGACATCTTCTGTGTGAGTTTATTTTTTAAGGACTTTTATTTATCTTTTTTTTTTTTTTAAGAGACAGGGTCAGCCAGGCAGTGGCATGATCACGATCATAGCTCACTGCAATCTTGAACTCCTGGGTTCAAGCCATCCTCCAGCCTCAGCCTGGACTGCAAGGCATATGCCACCACACTTGGCTAATTTTTTAATTTTTATGTTCTTTTTTTTTTTTTTTTTGTAGAGACAGAGTCTCACTATGTTGCCCAGGCTGGTCTTGAATTCCTGGCCTCAAGTAACCCTTGCATCTCCACCTCCCAGAGTGCTGGGATTACAGGCATGAGCCATCATGCCCAGCTGAGGACCTTTAAAAGAGCAACTCCTCCCTGTCTCAATTCCTCTGAGCTGCTTGTATTGGCACAGTGACATGCAATTGAAATTTCATTTTCAAGCCATAATAAATGGTATACTGAAAATTTCCCCTATTTGTTAGTTACAAACAAAACAATTCTGTCTTTTCCTCCACTTCTAGAATATTTTCAAATTGGTCATATAGGAGGTCAAAAGAAATCTCTATGAATTCATGTTTGACAATCTATAAAGTATGTTTCAGCTGGGACTGCTAACAGAAAAGACTGATGTGAACCTGATATCACCAATGGCTACTTTATGGGACCTGAAAAGAGCTTCATAGAGGATTTCAGAGCCATTTAGCCCTAGGTCCAGCTGTGCCTGAAACCATCTTTCCTTGAACACTTCAGTTATATGAGACAAAAAAGTCTCCTTTTCACTTAAGCCAATTTGAATTGAATTCTAGCACTTGCCACTCACATGGACATTTTATCAAGTGTCAAGGGCAACAAGGAGTTACACTGAGTTCCCCCAGAGAAGGAAGGAGAAAGATAGAAGCACAAGGGAAGCTAATGTTTAGATCACAAGATAGAAACTGCTGCCCAGGAGGAGAGAAAAAACCCCTGAGGTTGGAAGAACGCAGGGTGTCTGATTAATGAATGGCAGGGCTATCCTCCCACTCAGCTGCCCTGGAGGATTCCACAGAAATGGCACATGCATGCCTGTGATTTGTTCCTTAAGTGCCTCAGCCTTAAGAGCAGTAGTAATGCCTGTGACCAATCCTGTGGTCAGTGTAGGGTATAGGGCTCCCAAAATATTGTGCCATGGCCTAACAGGGTTATCCAGTTGCCTCAGTGTGCTGTAAATTTTTTTTTCATTTTTACTGTATTCCCTGATGTAAAAAAAGAGATTGGAAAGCACTAGAAGAGGATTGCCATGTGAGGTTTCTATCATAGAGCTTGTAGCAGACAAATCATCATCCCCCAAAGATGTCCATGTCCTAATTCCTAGAACCTGCGAATATGTTGGGTTACCTGGCAAGGGGGAATTAAGGTGGCAGATGGAATTAAGTTTGTTAATCAGATGGCTTCAAAATAAGGAGATTATTCTGGATTATCCATGTGGACCCAGTGTAATCACAAGGGTTTTTAAATGGGAAGGAGGGAGACGGAAGAATTAGAATCTCTGGGAGATGGCATCATCCTGAGAAAGACTGGAGCTGCCCTTGCTGGCTTTGAAGATGGAGGAAGGGGCCACTAACTGGGGAATGCAGCCAGCTTCACGAAGCTGGAAAAGGTAAGAAAATGAATTCTCTCCCATGGTCTCTAGAAAGGAAAATGGGCCTTCCTGACACCTTGACTTTAGACCAGTGAGGCCCACTGTGGACTTCTGACCTTTGGAACTCTAATGTAATAAATCTGTGTTGTTTTTGTCCACTAAGTATGTGGCACATTGTTACAGCTGCAATAGGAAACTCATAAAGTGTCCTATGGATGGAAGTTCTGTGCTTGATGGCAATGCGGGCAACAGCAAGAGGATCAGTAACAATGATGACAGATGTGGACTAAGGGCCAGGCCTGCCCAATTTTGCTATTATTGTGTTAGTCCCAGGATTCTTGTAGATTTCTCAGAGGGATGGCAGGTGCATCCATAATGATGATATTGACCATCCCATCAGCAGGTAGGTGGGAGATCCAAACCAGATTTAAGTTGATTTGGAAAGTTAAGTTCTTGGACCAGAATGTCATGGGACAAATTTATACCCAATAATATGCCTTATCGATTATGTATCATCAATTTTGAATCTTATTCACTTATACTCTCTTGAAGTCACTTTTTGAACCAATTACCAATATCATGTCTCTTTTTTTTCTTTTGAGACGGGATCTCACGCTGTTGCCCAGGCTGGAGTGCGGTGGTGTGATCTCGGCTCACTGCAACCTCTGCCTCCCTGGTTCAAGCGATTCTCATGCCTCAGCCTCCTGAGTCGCGGGGATTACAGGCGTGTACCACCATGCCTAGCTAATTTTTGTATTTTTAGTAGAGACAGGGTTTTGCCATGTTGGCCAGGCTGGTCTCAAACTCCTGGCCTCAAGTGATCCATCCATCTTGGCCTCCCAAATTGCTGGAATTACAGATGTGAGCAACCACTTCTAGCCTGAATATCATGTCTTTACAACTGTGTCTGTCTTTTTTTTCTGGAGAATTTCTGCTACTTGAAGTTTATGCACTTCTCCCATTTGATGTTATTCTCAGCAGCAATAACACTACTTCATCTGTGTTAATTGTCACTAAACTTTGGTGATCTCTTTTTCAACTTGCTTCCACTGTGAGCAGAACTCAATTAACTACAAAACTTGTCTCTTCTCCTATTATTGACCACCCCTCCTACTTGCATTAATGTCTTTAGGCTCAAAGTCTCCTCATCCCTCTTTCCATTCTCATTTCTGAGGACGTTCTGTTGTCTTGCTATCTTAAAGGCACAGAACATCATAAAAGATTATGAATTTATTCTCTATTATGGCTATATCCAAACTTCTTACTCTCTAAACTCTGTTGTTGCAGTTTGTTTAAAGCTTTCTTTTTATTACGCTCTCTGACTTTACTTTCTTCCTACTACTTTTCCACTGAATTATAAGCACCACATTATTAAAAATGATTATCATTTTGTTATTGACGGCCTAAAGCTTTTAATTAGAAGTTGATTTGTAACAGTTTATATAGTTGCTGCTGCATAATAAAAATGCAGAAACATTACATTCAATTTCATTTCAGAAAGAAGCATACTGCTAATTGGCTAGAAAGCTCTTGTATTGGTGGTATGCAGTCACATATTTGCCAAAGTCTCTTTTATTTTTCCATTTACTTTGAGTAGTGATGGGAAACTGTAGACTAAAGTCTCAGATACTTAATTTTATTTGTTGACTGCGACTGGGTGGTCGGTTGCTGTTTTTCACTTATCTTGAAGTATTTTCTATAATAAACTACCATGTAAAGAGTAACTTTGCAGTCTTAGTGCTATTATGTCTTATAAAAATCACTTGGTATATATTGTCCTAATTGCAGTTTAAGATGCAGCATTTGTTTTAATCAGCTGGATTAAAAAATATGTTGCCCAAGGGTGAAAACTTTTTTTCAAAATTGTCAGCTTCTTTATTTTTTTCACTATTACTAGGAAAGAGGATAAAATCATCCTTATTGTATTTGAGTTACTGCCTGAGGGACAGGGTTTTTTTCATTTAATTTCACTGATGTATTAGCATTTGTGACACAGCAGAAGCTGGAACATTACAAATGTCTGTAATTGTTTGCATTGCTGTAGGGAATATAATGTTGTTAATATCTATTACTGGACTAAACGAATGAATTAAGTAGCCAGAAACAAATATGATTGTCAAGCATGATTTAATTGGTGTATAGCTTTGGAACAGCTGCCAAATTTAATATGGAGGGTGGAGGAGGGTTTCACATTTGCAAATACCAATGTTAGACACCTCTGGTTCCCCACTAGATGGGGGCCGTGCTTTGCTGTAAAGCTGTGTACAGCCTGGATGCTGCAGTGTGGTTTAAAATGATCTACAGATTTTTTCTTTTCCTTCGATGTTCTGTTGCTGTCTTTCTATTGTTAGCTATTATCTGTGCCTCATGCATGCTTTTGCCCTTTGGAGTGGGCCATAAAAGAGAGGATTAAATCAGAAGGAGGGACCAGAGGGTAGAATGAGTGCCAACCTAAGTTCCACTGTGGAAAGGCTGAGATTTTCCTTTTATTTTCCTCACTGGTTTCCTCTGCCTTGCTTTTGGGTGTACGGTTGTGCCTGGTTGCCTGGGACCTGTCTTCCTTGGGTGCACCTGGTATATTTTGAAATATACCTTTTCAGTGTCCTGTTTCCTCGTATAGATTTGGATTCCTATTTGGGTTCATCAAATACTGTACTCATTGGGCAGCTTTTATGTATTAGGTACAGTGCCAAGCATTTTCACATCAGCCATCTCATTCTCACAATTCTGTGGAGCAGAGGTTATGATCCATTTTTCAGCCAGGTGGCAGTTAGCTATTCTGGAAAGGTAATATGCTAAGCATGTCTTCTAAATTGGCATGCTTGTGAACATTTCCACAATATTTCAATATTGTGGCCCAATAAATTCAGAGTATGTGGGGACAGACATTATTAAAAAGGCCTATTTGTTGTAGGACTTCCCTGATTCTTTAACAGTGACTTCTGGCCATTGAAAATCCTCACCCTGTCAAAATCCCATTAATGATATTTCTACTACTTTGGATGCAAAACTCTTCCTTACATGTCTGTGGTGTCTACGGATGTCCTAATTTAGAACAAACATTCTTCTGCAAGATCAAATGTTCCCATTAAAAATGCTACTCAGAATACTGCTAGTTCTAGCCAGCATCTTCACAGCACTTATGGGAAAGAAAGAGATCAGCAGGGAGCCAAATCCCCAGAACAGCAGGTGAATTGTCAATCTTCTTGGCAGGAGGTAGGATGGAAGCAACCAATGATGGCATCTTTATTGTGTCACTTTTATTTTTCTTTCTTTCTCTCTTTCTTTCTTTCTTTCTTTCTTTCTTTCTTTCTTTCTTTCTTTCTTTCTTTCTTTCTTTCCTTTTCTTTCTTTCCCTTCTTTCTTTCTTTCTTTCCTTTTCTTTCTTTCCCTTCTTTCTTTCTTTCTCTCCTTCCTTCCTTCCTTCCTTTCTCTCTCTCTTTCTTTCTTTTTTTTTGAGACTGAGTCTCATTCTCTTGCCCAGGCTGGAGTGCAATGATGTAATCTTGGCTCACTGCATCCTTCGCCTCCCGGGTTCAAGAGATTCTCCTGCTTCAGCCTCCTGAGTAGCTGGGATTACAGGCACACATCACCATGCCCAGCTTTTTTTTTTTTTTTTTGTATTTTTATAGAGACGGGGTTTCACCGTGTTGGCCAGGCTGGTCTTGAACTCCTGACCTCAGGTGATCTGCCTGCCTCAGCCTCCCAAAGTGCTGGGATTACAGGCATGAGTCACTGTGCCCGGCCTTGTGTCACTTTTCATAGCATATATATTAGGAGGTCAGTATCTTCTGCTACTTCATCAGGTTTAATGACTGGCATTACCTGGAAAGTTCTTCTCCTCTAATGTCAATTCCTAGATTACGGATTATGGCTTTCAGTTGTCCCAGGTTGTCCTGAATCTAATGGCTATATTTATTGGAAATCATGGATATTAACATATACTTTCTCATCTAAGGGCTGAATTGTGTGAGCTATTAAACAATCATGTTTCAGTAAATCAAATACTCCATTTCACATTGAGGCTTATCGATACGAGGAAAATAAAACTGTGAGTTTTCAAATTCTCCAAGGACAAGGATCTTTGGAACTCTGCCCCTAGAAATGCTGGAGTCATCTTCAGATAAGACCTAACATCAGTACCCTCACTGACTGCCTGACTTGATGCTGGGCTTAGCTCACAGGCTCTTTTCCTTTCTCTTGGTTATTTTCTTTTTCTTTTTCTTTTCTTTCTCTCTCTCTTTCTTTCTCTTTTCTTTTGTCTTTCTTCTTTCTTTTCTTTCTTTCTCTTTCCCTCCCTCCCTCCCTCCCTCCCTCCCTTCCTTCCTTCCTTCCTCCCTCCCTCTCTGCCTCTCTCTCTCTTTCTCTTTCTTTCTTTCTTTCTCTCTTTCTCTTTTTCTCTTTCTTTCTCTTTTTTTGTTTTTAAATCAAGGGGCCTTTCGGCCTTCTTTGCCCCTTAAGTTTGGTCGGTACCAATGCAGTTCACAGATTTCAGTGGTGAATCTTGATATAAAGTATTGGAGTTTTGATCCTTTCTTTCTTTCTTTTTTTTTTTTTTTTTGAGTCTCACTCTGTCACCCAGGCTGGAGTGCAGTGGCATGATCTCAGCTCACTGCAACCTCCGCCTCCTGGGTTCAAGCGATTCTCCTGCCTCAGCCTCACGAGTAGCTGGGACTACAGGCGCCCACCACCACGCCCGGCTAATTTTTGTATTTTTTAGTAGAGACGGGGTTTCACCATGTTGGCCAGGCCGGTCTTGATCTCCTGACCTTGCGATCCACCCGCCTCGGCCTCCCAAAGTGCTGGGATTACAGGCGTGAGCCACTGCGCCCGGCCTTGATCCTTTCTTTCTTAGAAGGCCTCTGAACTACTTGTGCAAATTTGTTCACATCCTTCAGGACACTTCAGAAGTCTCTCTTTGCCACAACCCCCATCATATACATGTATATTATTTATTATATTTCTGCATCATTGGACATCTTATTATCAAAAGCCCCAAACAAGCAAAAACAACTTCTTGTAACAGGATACTAAATGCAACACTTCTTGTTGTGTCAGAGGAAGGCCGAGGCCACAGGCTGGGAGCAATACGGCGATGTCAAGTAGTCTCGCAGTCTAAAGCAATGGACCAGACATGCAAAGACATGTGACCTCTGGTTCTGCCGCCATTGTTCCAATGCCCACCTCAGGTCTACAGAAGAGAAGCAAGGAAGATGCAGAGTGAGGATGACTTTGTAGACACTTAACCTGGCTCTGTTGTCCCTACCCAACATGCACTTCAGGAAAACTGAAATCTGACCGCTGTTGAAAGATCTCATGGGAGAGGGTATGGCTAGAGCTGCCCCAGAACTTCGGGGAAGGAGACAGGACTGTGCTGGGGATGGCCTCTTCTTCCAGGGTTTGGGGAGCAGGGGTGAATCAGTATTTGGCTAGGTATGGATACTGTGGAAGGCAACTGGACTGGGTTGCCTTGAGAGGGTCTTCATCCTAGAGGAATGCTTTCCAGGTCAAAGTGACCCCAACATAAGAGGAGAATACTGGGAACTAGGGGGCTGAGCAGGAAGTCCAACAGCACCTGCTGGAGGAGTCCCCCAGCATCAAAGGAACTACAGAGAAGAGATCCTTTGAGTCATGGGGAGTGGTCTCTAAAGATACTACTGAAGTCCTACACAAGAGTTCTCTTGGGCCATTTTCTCAGCCCAGTGGGCCCCAAAGCAAGATTACAACTGTACCCAGGTGTAAAACCTTTTGGGACCTTCTCGCTCCTCCTTCTTCTCTCACTGTGGCTCCATCCAGAGGTCCCAGAGTGTCATACTAAGTATAGCAAGGATGAGAAAGAAGTGGGATGTTCTGCACTTCTCCACTGCAGGATTTTTGGCCTGAGGAAGGAAGAAGAGAGTAAAACTGGATAAAAGACTAAAGTGTTAGTAGTAAATTTGGTCAGATATTTTATTGCCTAAAATGCTCAGAGGGCTTTAAATTACCTGAGACTGACCTGAAAATATACAGGACCTGCTTAGGGTTTCCTTCAAGGACACAGAAGAGCAAGCTGTGAGAGCCAGCGCGAGTCACTGAGGGGAGCAGGAATGGCTGCCCTCTGCTTGCGCCCTTTGAACTTGTCAATCTGTCATAAGGAAATCACATTAATGGGATGTTTTTCTGCTACAAATAGCTTTTGTTTTCACATTTTAATTACAGGGCTAGATTTTTCTTGATTTCTAAATTATTCGAAGACCTGGGCAAAAAGGAAAATGAAAAGTAATGTTGTTTCAAAAGATGTCCTTGAAATTCCAAGCAGCCTGTTAGTTGGGAGAGGTGGGGTAGAAAGGAGAGACCATGTATGTTTGTCCCCATATTTCCCACGACATGACCAAACTGGACCCATGGGTCCAGTTCGTCTAACGATGAATTCTGAACCCTGTAGATGTTTTGTTCTACTGGGAGGCACTATTCAGGAGGCATTGACTGTTAGGAAGTAGCTGAGGCTGGTCTGATTTACTCTGGCAACAATGTCCTAAGGAAAATCTCCGGGAGGTACTGGGTCTGTCTACTACCTTTACTGCAGTCCTGGTATCATGGGTGAGTGCAGATGTCCGAACTCATCAAACTGCACTCATTCAGCTGTACACACATGTACAGTTCTTTGTATATCTATATCTCAAACACCTGCTGGTGGGCAAAGTGAGTAAATCCAGGGCCTGGGAGTGAATTTAAAACATTTTGCATAGATTTATTCTTTCCACACTTTTCAGAAATCAGAATGATAAGATTTAGAAAGAATTACAGAGATAGACTTTCACAACTCAGTTTACCAACTGTCTTTTTTTTAATCAGAATGGTTCCTCCCCGCATTTTTAACGTATAGCTAGTTTTGAAGTCAGAAGGAAGAGTACTAAGATTTGCAACTTAAAAGAAATGTTCATAGTTTCTTTCTATCTTGTCCAACTCTTTCTTCCTTGGAGTTTCCCTTGGAAAACACAGCAGTACATAGTTGCCACCTCCTGTTTCCCCAGCTTTCTCAGTAGTGGAAATTAATTCTAATTTAGCTCTTTTAATGAACTTACTAATTTGTTCAGAAAATGTGTTCATAAACTTCTACAACCATGGACTACCCTTAAGCAATTAAACATGTAAAAAATGAACATTTTTCTGGCCTATAATGACTGAATAAAGTAGCTCAGGGCCTAAGGGGAAAGGGAGGCTCCCCTAGCCAGCACTAACTAGCAATATTAATTGATAATCCTTAGCAGTTATCCTTAATTAAACCTCATAACACTCTTGTGGGGAAGATGTCTTTTTTTGTTGTTGTTGTTCAGATGAGGAAACTATCCAAAAGAAGCAAAATGGTAAAGTACCTGCTTAAGCCTTTGGCTTTTTGGTCATGTCGCAGGAAGTATGGGGACAAATATACATGGTCTCTCCCTTTTACCCCTTCTTCTCCCAACTAAAAGGCTGCTTGGAATTTCAAGGACATTTTTTGATACAACTTTACTTTTTATTTTCCTTTTTGCATAGGTCTTTGAAGAATTTAGAAATCAAGAAAAATCTAGCCCTGTAATTAAAATGTGAAAACAAAAGCTATTTGTAGAGAAAAACATCCCATTAATGTGATTTCCTAGTGACAGATTGACAAGTTCAAAGCAGTAATGCATGTTGCCATGGGCACCAGATTCTGTTTGCTCGGCTGGCTCATTTTACTTAGCTGCTGAAGAAGGAGAGTCGCATTCAGCCAGGGATCACTGAGCATTGTAAGAATAGATTTGTAATTTTTATGTAATACCCTCTCTTTATAAATCTATACAGATAACAACTGTGAACAGCTTATAGTCACTTTAGGGGCAGAGTTTTCAGAATCTCTTAGGAATATAGATTGCAAAAGTAGGGGTGGGGGCAGGGAGTGCTTTTTCTCCCTTCTCAAGCATCTCATCCATAAGAGGCTGTAAATAAATATTTGTAAAAAAGATGGGGGATGGATGAATGGTAACTCATTGTCATGTGCTCGCTACCTGAATTAAACTTTGGATTTGTGGCGGCAGGGGGTGCGGGGTGTTGGGACAGAAATTGTGATGAAGCAAAGAAAAGGCAGGGGAAAGAGAAGAATATCAGAGAAGGAAGCAAACATTCTGGAGTGGCTTATAATCATTCAGACACAGGGACACAGAATTAAATCTGCCTGTGTGCAGAGGAAGAGGGAGAGAGGGCAAGAATGAGTGAAACAGATGGAAACCCTAAGACCACTGGAGTCAAATACACAAAAGCAGTTATGCTGATGATGTTCTGGTGTCAACTCTCATCCCTCTTCCTTCATTAGGTGCTTAGAGCACCTAACAGGGAGTAAGAAATGGGGGAAAAACTTGCCCTATCTGCAGGTACAGGATTGGTTCCTTGGCGTTGAACCAAAGAATGAAGTTTTGCTTCATTTGTTTCAGGTTATCGGGGCCAGGTGACTTTCGCTTTGAATTATGCATTTTTCCTTCCCTGACAAATGAAGCCTCCTGCCAATGCCTTCAAATCAGGAAAGGCTCCTGCTTCTCGCATTCAGCAGCAGGCATTTCACAATTTAAAATGATGGGTCCAGAATTGCAGTGAAAGTGGCAATATTTCATAGTGATTTTCTCCCTTCCTTCTCACTCCTACCCCCATGTTCAGTGTTGTCTAAGCAAATTCTGGCAGTGTCTTTTGTATCTGCATGATGCTTAAGTAAGCAAAAGACGGGGGAAAGCAAATGTCTTCCAAATCTTCATTTATCATAAACACAAATTGTAGCTTCAGCTCTTTTGCTTGATGCAAATAAGCTGACAGATGTGTATCATTGGCAGCAAATCTTATAACTGACATGGCCCCAACTGCCGCTAAACATATGTCTATATTTTTGCTGGGAAGGGATAAGATTGGGAAGGAAAATTAATTGGTGTTAATGCTCCCTGACCTCTTGGCTCCACTTCCTCCTTCTCTGCTTCATTCCTTCCACGCACCTTTTCAGAGCTCCAGTCCCCAGAGGGCTAATGGCTTGGCTGTTCCCAGGGTTCAGGGTACCCCTCCTCAGTTTACCTGAATTTCAGGCTATTCATTCTTCCTCTCCTTCATGCATTTCCTTCTCAACTCCCCCAACCACCAACTGCCACCAGTTACTCATCTTTTTCAGTTATTCTCTGGCCTTTGTAGGTAAATGATTGATAATGATTTCTGAGAGTCTGCTAATTCACAAGTATTAATAGAAAATAATAAAATCGAGCATTGTTCTTCAAACATTCCCACTGCAATCCTCTAATGATAGAAAAAAGTGAATGAGTATCTCTAACGGGGCTCAGAGAGGTAGGATGGAAGGTGTATTAGTCAGTTCTCATGCTGCTTATAAAGAAATACCCGAGACTGGGTGATTTATAAAGAAAAGAGATTTAATTGACTCACAGTTCTGCATGGCTTGGGAGGTCTTAGGAAACTTACAATAACGGCGGAAGGCACCTCTTCACAGGGTGGCAGGAGAGAGAATGGGTGCAAGCAGGGGAAATGCCAGAAGCTTATAAAACCATCAGGTCTCGTGAGACTCACTTAATATCACAAGAACAGCAAAGGGGAAACTGCCGCCATGATCCAATTACCTCCACCTGGTCCTGTCCTTGACATGTGAGGATTATGGGTATTATAATTCAAGATGAGATTTTGGGTGGGGACACAGCCAACATCTGACACAGCCATATCAGGAGGTAAGAGAGTAAGTCTGGGGGAAAGAAGCCTTGGGAGAAGGAAGTCTTGAGGGAAAGTTCTTAAAATCTGTTTTAAATTGCCTACCCTTTAAATTACTTGGCCTCACCCTTCTAAAATTTCTAGCAAAATTCACGTTGTAGAAAGACATGCCTTATTCATCCTGTGCTTTTTCAACACACCTGGAACACTGCTGTGTACTTCTGAAGGTGGGCAGAGGTAAACCTTTAATTCAAACAAATAAATCTCCATTTATTATTGATCTTAGCCTTTAACAACTTTTATTAGTATGTTTATATCACAAAGGTAATATTTGCTTTTTTTCTTCAAATAACACCAAAGAGTGCCAAGAAAAATGTTCTGTCTTCTTAATCCCATTCTTTCAGAGATAATCACTAATAATAATTAGCTAGTTATTCTCTCAGACTTTGAAAAATGCATATCATTATATGGTCTATAATTTATTCTAAAATACTTAAGTATCTGTATTTCAGCTTTAATCAATACCTTAGGGCTGATTAGTTAACCTTTGACATGCCCTAGTCAAGGCAAATACTCCAGAGATGATTAGTTACCAATAAAAAACTAATTAGAAGGCCACACTCTAGAAGAACCTAGAACACACTGCAAGCTTTCCAGTTATTTTTAAAATTTATTTAGTATAATGGATATTAGAGATATTTTTTCCTTAGTAAAATTACTAGAGATTAAGATGTGTGAATTGGCTAGAAATATTATATAGGTACTCCTGTCCTTGGTGAATAGGGAACAAGAGTCTAGTTAAGTCCAATTCTATACACTTTGCATGGCATGTTAGGTCTAAGAGTCCATTCTGTCCTCTGTGCATTTAAAAGGGAGAATTTTATCATTTACTTCCAACTAGGTTTACTGAGTACTGTAGGTAGACTATTGTCACATCTGCCTCTGATAAACCTTTAATACAAGGTCAGTTGGAGTGTCTAAAGGAACAGAGAACTGGCACTTGGTCTTACAAGGGGAGATGGTGACTATGTTTGTGCCTGCCTGCTAATAAAATTTTTGTTCCCTCAGCAAAAGTCCATCTGAGACCTGCTTTCATTGCACTGCCTCGTGAGGAGCTGTAGGAGAAGATATCATAACTATTCCCCACTTCTAATTGTTAGAAGCAACAGCTGTCTATCAAGAACAATCTGAGGATTGTGCACAAATTGATTTGGGTCAGTTTCAAACATATGTATAGTAAGATGAATAAATAATAAACAGACATGAAAATATATACTCCTTTAAAAAACAACAAAAATGGGATTATACAATATATACGGTCTGCTCAAAATCTGTTGTGGGGTAAATCTCTAATTCTGGGAATTTTGGGTACCTGCAGGATACTGGTGGAAGTGATTTTTGGGTAAGATGGACTTTTATAAAATTTCAAATTTCTATCATCCAAGTGAATGTTTGTTCTGCTGATGGGTTGAATCATCTCTTCACAGTTGGCCAGGCATTTAATTTTTTTTTTTTTTTTTGAGATGGCGTCTTACTCGGTTGCCCAGGCTGGAGTGCAGTGGCACAAACTCGGTTCACTGCAACCTCCACCTCCTGGGTTTAGGTGATTCCCCTGCCTCAGCCTCCCGAGTAGCTGGGATTACAGGCACAATAACCACACCCAGCTAATTTTTGTAGTTTTAGTACAGACAGCGTTTCACCATGTTGGCCAGGCTGATCTCAAACTCCTGACCTCCAGTGATCTGCCTGACTTGGCCTCCCAAAGTGTTGGGATTACAGGCGTGAGCCACAGTGCCTGGCCCGGAATTTAAAATTTTTTTGTATTTTCTGATTTTCATAGTACAATGCATTCATCATGGAAAGATTAGAAAAATAATTTTTCTTTAAGAAGAAAATTAAAATCATCCATAACTTCCCCATTGGGAGATATGTTACTGACAATTTGATGTGTTTCCTTCCAGTATGAGTGTATGTGCGTAGATATCTTATAAATAAAATCAAACTGCAGGTACAGTTTTCTATCATGATTCTTTTACTTAACATTATATAGTAAGCATTTCCCTAGTTCATTAAAATGACTTGAAAGCATAATTCTATGGTTGTCTAATAATTCCATCATCTAGATATCACTAAACATTTCCCTGTCATTGGACACGTAGATATCTAGATGTTTATTTATTTATTTATTTAGACAGGGTTTCACTGTGTCACACAGCTGGAGTGCACTGGTGGGATCTCAGCTCACTGCAGCTTTGACTTCTAGGGCACAAATGGTTTTCCCACTTCAGCCTCCTGAGTACAGGTGCACCCCACTATGCCCAGGTTAATTTTGTTTACTTTTTGTAGAGACGAGGTCTTACGATGTTGCCCAGGCCGGTCTCCAACTTGTGCACTCAGTAATCCTTCCATCACAGCTTCCCACAGTGCTGGGGTGTGAACCACCATGGCTGGCCTAGATTTTTTGTTTTAACATGATCATGTTGTGATGTATCTTAGAATGGAAGGTTTTACTCTTATCTCTAATGCTAGAATCTTGGGTATTGTTTGGAAAGAGTAGTTTTTTATAAACTGTTTCAACCTGCTCCTTCATCTATTATCCTCCAAAAAATCAACAGAAAACTCTGTGACCTCGTGCTTTGCCATTTAGAAATATTTGAAAGGTTTTTAGAAAAAAAATTAGGATGTTCTAAATACATGTTAGAAGCTATGCTTTTTTAAAATAACAAAACAAAACAAAACAAAGGAAAAACATCTTTTTGTTCTCTTCCTAGTTCTATCAAGTGCTGGCTTTCGATTCCAGTCTGACTTCACTACCACAGGAGCTTCTTGCTCAGGCTTCTGTTCCGGCTCCATTCTCTCCCTGCCATTATAATGCCATCCACTGCAGCACCATCTCTTCAATCAGTGAGTTCATCCTTTCCTCCCTCACTTCTATTTTCTTGAGAGGAAATAAGCATTTTTTTTTCTTTTTTTAGGCAGAGTCTCGCTCTGTTGCTCAGGCTGGAGTGCAGTGGTGTGATCTCAGCTCACTGCAACCTCTACCTCCCAGATTCAAGCGATTTTCCTGCCTTAGCCTCCCAAGTAGCTGGGACTGCGGGCATGCACCGCTATGACTGGCTAATTTTTGTATTTTCAGTAGAGATGGAGTTTCACCATGCTGGCCAGGCTGGTCTCGAACTCCTGACCTCAGATGATTCACCCGCCTTGGCATCCCAAAGTGCTGGGATTACAGGTGTGAGCCACTGTACCTGGCTGGAAATAAGCATTTAATACTTATGTGTGATGCCCAGCAGATGCCAACAGTATTCATGGAGAGTCCCATTCCCAAGCTCTACAAAGTAGGGGTGAGGTAGAGCTAACCATCCTGTTTCACAGAGAAGCAGAGGGATTCACAGCTGTTCTCTGCCAGCCCTCATGTCTCACGATTCTGTGAAGTGACAGTTTCCATGGGCTCAGAGTAGTTGTTGCGAAGCTTTCTAGAGTCCTCTGACCCTGGAAGCTGCTAATTAAAGTGCCACCAAGATGCTTCCAGCGACTCTGAGCTAGTTACACGTACATATTAAAGAGCTGACCTTCCCCCTTCTTGTCTGTCGTACCCCACTGTGAGTGCTGTGGGTGGTCAGCAAATAATAACAGTTAATAACTTTCTCTTATTCTTTCAAAGCTCTTCAGAAATGCAAATTGCTGCCTTCAGAAGGAAGCACACGGGCCTATGAATTTTATATCAGCAGGGATTACCAATGAGTCATGCTTGATGTTGTAAAAACTATTCAGGTAGGCAGGCAGGTGCTGCAATAAGAGAATAGCATCCCTTTCCTGAATGTTCAGTTATTGAAGTGCACGCTCGCATGGGTATACACACAACCACACATGCCCAACTCACAAAAATAGACAATTATATAAAATATATGCCAAAATCTCCACAGAAAGGAAAGCTAAACTCTTTAAAACCAAATGCTTATCACGCTGCCGAAGAGAAGTAAATCTGTAAGGTGGTAAGCAGTGTTAATATGTGGGCGAGTGCCAGAACACATGCAGATGTGTGTTATTTATGCCTTTAATTGTTATTTCCAGTAGGTATCTGGCTGTCAGTGCACATGAGTTAAGTACCGTAAAATAACAGATGTCACACATCTCACAAGAACAACAGGGAGTCAATATACGCGGCAGAGTAAATCTGATTACCTTAGATAGTAAGGAAAAGAGAAAGAATGCAAAACCAGATGAGCCTATGGCTGTAATTTAAAAAACAAATTATTCCATTTGAATATGTTCTATAGTAATTATGCATTTATACTGAGTACACTAAGAGAAAAGCCATCTTGGAAGAACAGAGCCGATTTGGGTAATTGCAGTGAATTCTTATAATTTTATGTTGTCTTGGCATCCATTTTGAATACAAATTTAAGTTTGTTATACCAGAAGCGGAGCTCGATCACCCTTGACACAGTTTCTGGTTCTACACCACACCCAAATGGGCCCAGACGTGGCCAGAGATAAGAACCTAGAGGCATCTCTTCTGCATACCAGGGCTCCCTGCTTTCTCATTGGTTCCTTTAAATGAACCAGTCAGGCATTTGCCTGTGAACTGAAAGTGCCCCATACCCTATTCGTATATATATACTGCTGGCTGCCCTCTCTGTCTCTCTCTGCCTGACTCTTTGTTCTTGCCTGATGTGACCCAGGGATGAAGACTGTTCTTGACTCATTGTGCCCTCCCTACTCAGTCTCTGTAAATAAAAATCTTGGAACTTGTTTCCTATGGTGGTGGTATGTTGGATTTGCACCTTCCATCTGAAGAACCAGGGGCTGCCCCAGGCTGGGTTTCTTCCAGGAAGCCAGGGAGAGCTCAAGGTTGGGCTCCCAGTGCCAGGGCAATGGTTGGGCAGGTATAAGCTGGATGCAGGTCAGACAAAAGCCATAGGGCATCTGCTGGCTTAAACAAGTTTCCCATGTGAGGGACCATCTCTCTACCCACTTTTGGTCACTGATCAGACTACTAGGCACTAGGCCATCAGCCAAGTAAAAGAAGCATCCCCTGAAAGGCCCACTGCAAACATCCACATAGAGCTTCCCTACATTTCCCATTAGGGCAGGATTGCTAGCTGCCCTTGTGCTGGAACCCCAGTTTAGCTGGGGACTCTCAGTAACAAAGTTTCTCTTAATTCTTAAAGGAACCAAGAAAAGGGGCAGAATAAGTGAGAGAATGAACGAGAATGAAAAAAAGAATAGAACCAGTCGGCCAGTGACATTTTCTAGTGAAACACATATGGGATGCAAGAAAAGGACTCAGAAAAGCCTTGGGAGTAAATATTGAAATGATCTTGAATGATTTGGCAGGAGAAGATGTGTCAGCAGGGCTTACCGTATAGCTCCGAAGGATGGTGATGACGACACCACAGACCAAGATAGTTTACAAAGGCTTAATGGAGCTCAGATATTTGAGAAAAAAAAAAAAAAGATTAACCATATTCAGCTGAGAAAAGGGAACACAAACACATCTGGGGAAAGTAATCTTAAATAAAGATACTCAGATGGAGAAAAACATGTGTCAAGCCTGGACCTGGAGTAAAAGCAGACAGAAAAAATTTGAGTTGCAAGGGATTACAACAGCTCAGAAAGGTGAGAAGTCCCTTCTGTGGTTTTAAACGCAGAGGTGTCTCATTATGAAACCTTGATAAAGGATTTCATGTCTCTTTACAAATGCAATGAGATCCTCGTTACATATCTGAATAAATGAACCATGCCCACAATATACAATGCATTTTGAGGTTTGTGAATATGCAAAATGTAGCTGAAACTGTTCTAACTCCAACTATCATTTCTAGTCAAATGATTTTATAGAAACTTGTTTATCCTAAAGTGTAATTTTCAGATTGTAAAGAACTATTTAATAACAATCACGTTTACTATGTGCTGGGCACTTTTGTGAACACTTTACATATTTAAGTAAATAAATCCTCAGAACAGGCCCCCTCAATAGGTGCAATTGTCCCCCCACTTTCAGCAGATGAAGAATCCAAGTTACAGAGAGCTTAACGACCTTCCCAAGGTCACACATTGAATAAATGGTGATTCAGGGATTCAAACCCAGGCAGAGGATCTCCAGAGCTCATGCACCTTTAGCACTACACTAGACTCTCTGTCTGTGGCAGAAAAAATCTAACTAGATAATTCCCTTTAGTTTGGAGGATAGACTTGATCTGTGAATGAGACTAGAAGGGCCAATGAGATATCCCCAGCCTCTACCATTTATCTGGGACTATATCTTCCTGTCTACTCGCTTCCAAATATCCAGTTCCCCCTTAAAGGTAATCTGTGTGGCCTGCAGGACATGGGGACATGGGGTCTTATGTTATATTTTGTGCTCCAGCACCTGGACATGCATCATCTTTGGCGCATTGAGCTGGAGTGGTCGTGGAGAGACACAGACATGCTGAAGACTATGAGGAGCCTATATAGACCTAAGAATTCCTTATGACTTTTGTGATTTGATTGAGAAATTAGAACTGCAGTTAATTTTAGGAGAGTGTTTAAAGTGACCACAGTGGATAATTTTGGAAAATTCTCCGTGTAAACATATATAACTATGCTACATGTTACTTACAAAACATTCATTTCTTTGGGGACACTATTTGTCTCCCCAGAATCTTGAGGCATAGATGGTTGCCCCAATTACTGTGCTTTTAAGGAATACATAAGATTATGATTACATCAGAATACATTTCTCACTGGGCTGCCATTGTGCTCTTCTTTTTTCCTCTCTGGCCAAAGTCTCTTAGAAGTAGAGTTACTACTTTTTTTAGACAACAAAAGCATACTGCCTCTGGAAGACCATTGTTTAAATCCAAACTCAACGTAGGGTGAGTCTTGTGACTGATCAAATTTCCCTCTGTGCATTGGCAGCTATGAGCCTCTGAGCCAGAGTTGTGACCCAGTCCTAGTAAATATATCATCACCCTTTATTGTCTTAACATCTCTCCTATCCTTACCATTTGCCCAGTTTCTTTCTTTTCTTTTCTTTTTTTTTGAGATGGAGCCTTACTCTGTCAACCAGGTTGGAGTGCATTGGCGTGATCTTGGCTCACTGCAGCTTCTGCCTCCCAGGTTCCAGTGATTCTCCTGCCTCAGCCTCCTGGGTAGCTGGGATTACACGCACCTGCTACCATGCCCGGCTAATTTTTGTATTTTTAGCATAGACGGGGTTTCACCATGTTGGCCAGGCTAGTCTTGAACTCCTGATCTCAGGTGATCTGCCTCCCTCGGCCTCCCCAGGTGTTGGGATTATAGACGTGAGCCACCGCCCCCAGTCCATTTGCCCAATTTCTTGACTTACCGTTTTACTGGTGTATGCTGAATTGTATCCCTTTAAGATTCATATGTCAAAGTCATAACCCCTGGTATTTCAGAATGTGACTGTATTTGGACATAGGATCTTTAAAGAGGTAGTGAAGTTAAAGTGAGGTCATTAGGGCAGGCTCTAATCCAATATGACTGGTGGTGTCTTATAAGGAGAGATTAGGAAACAGATACACAGAAAAAAGACCATGTGAGGACACAGGGAGAAGGCAGCCATCTATAAGGCAGAAAGAGAGGCCTCACTGGAAATCAACCCCAAAGGCACCTTTGTCTTGGACTTACAGCCTCTGAAATTGTGAGAAAATAAATTTGTCTTGTTTGAGCCTCTCAGTCTATGGTATGTTATTATGGCAGTCTGTTATGGACTAAATTATGTTCCCCCAAAATTCATATATTGAAACCCTAACCTCCAGTGTAGACTGTATTTGGGGATAGGGACTTTAGGGAGGTAATTAAGACAGGTGGGTCCCTAATCTGATAGGACTGGTGACATAATAAGAAAAGGAAGAAACACCAAGAGAGCTCCCTCTTTCCATGTAGAGAAGAAGCCAAGTGAGGACACAGTAGGAAGGCAGCCGTCTACAAGCTAGGAAGAGAGTCCTCACTAGAAAACAGTCCCAATGGCACTTTGACCTTGGACTTTCAGCCTCCAGAACTGTGTGAAGATAAATTTCTGTTATTTAATCCACCTAGACTGTGGTATTTTGTGTTGGCCCTAGCAGACTAACAGGTAGCCCTAGCAAACAAATACATTTACCTTGTTCTATTGTTTGGATGTTTTTAGAGGTGCCTTAAATCTTCATTGGAGCAAACCATGTTTGTGTTGATCTCATTTGTAGATATGAAAAAGGAGTAAGTGTTAGCCTGTTTTAAACTGCAAATGCAGTGATTAAAAAAAAGGTATCAAAATGTGCAAGCCAGCAAAGTGTGGCTAAAAAAATGTTTTTATTGATTAATAAACTTCATTCTCTTAAGCAAAATGAAGTATTAACCTCATAATTATTAAACTCCAATTTTTTTGAGTGAAGCTTATGGTTAAATAAGCCAATAAAAATGAACTCTGCTTTTTTGGGTGCAGAAGGTAATTTGAAGAAGATGGACCAGAAAACTGAGCTTGAGTCTTAACCTGGCACTGCTGTTTCTGCCATTCGGAGAAGCTGACTGGCCTCTTCAACTCTTGCATGGGAGCCTTAGTGGTGACTCAGCCCAGGGACAGTCCAAAAAAAATCCCTTTAATGTGAACCTGCTGCCAGCCACATGTACCTTGAGGGTGGAACATCTCAACCACAAGAATTACCTTCTTTGGGAGTGGGAGAGTTGGAGATGAGATGGACTAAAGTTTTGGTGTCTATTGATTCCTTTCCTTCATCTAAAGTTTAACCTCTTTCTCCCTTTCAAGAGATTGGAATAGAATTCTCAGTTCAATAGGCCCATGTGATGAGGTCAAGAGAGTTGTGTTCAACATTTTATCTTTGCTTTACTTCTCCTGGCTCACTAAGGGATCATTCACAATGAGAGGCTGGAAGTAAGCTGATAAAATTAAAATGTAGCACATGGCATATCCAGACAGAAATAACTTGTGCTAAGAATTGTGTCTGGCTTACCTGGTTTTGCCTACCATGGGCATCTTCAATTAACCAGCTAAGATAGCTGGTATAAGTATTCAAATATAGTAATGTCTAGACTTATTATTTAATCATATATATGTATGTGTATGCATGCGTTTGTATGTGTGTCTATCTATCTATCTAACTATATATCATCTGTTGATCCGCCATAATCTCTAAAGGCTATAAAGTATATTAACCAGGATTCTTTAGTTATAGGTAGCCTAAGCTAATTCTTGTTAATGCTAGCAAAAAGAAAATTTATTGGAGGTATTCACCATAGAATGTATAAGCTTAGAAATATGTTGGCTTCCATGCTATCACAGAACAATAACAGAAACCAGAATAGTTCGGCAGATCTCTAGGCAGTGGAGATTATCTGACCATCTTTTATAGGCTCTGCTCCTGCAATGAAGGTGCCCTAAACTTAATTTTTAAAAAACTATCCTTGTATCACTTCTCTCTATGTTCAAAGTCCAGGGAGAGAGAATTTCATTCCATGACTTGGTGCCAAATCTCTGGTTAGGGTAAGGTACAGTTTGACTAAGGCTGCATGGAGAGGTGGAGAAGTAATTCTCCCAAAAAGGACTTGATATAACACTAGGAAGAAGGAAGCATTCTTGGTTGGCCAAACAGTAACGATAACAATGACAATAATAACAGCAAGAAATGTCCACTGTATTTTAACTCCTTGTTTCTGATTTGGTGATCTGATGAGGGTGGCTCCTCTCCAGTGTGTCTTAGGATGTTTTAAATTCAATTAAATTTGTTTCCTTTTAGAGAAAGGGTCTCACTCTGTCACCCAGGCCGGAGTACAGTGGCACAGTCACACTCAATGCAGCCTCAAATTCCTAGGCTCAAGCAATCCCACCACCTCAGTCCCTGAGTAGCTGGGATTACAGGCATGTCGCCCTGCCTGGCTACTTTTTTATTTTTTGTAGAGACGGGGGCCTTGCTATTTTGCCCAGGCTGGTCTCAAACTCTTGGCCTCAAGAAATCCTCCCTATTCAGCCTTTCAAAGTGCTGTGATTACAGGCATGAGCCACTGTGCCTGGCCCTCATAGGCTGTTTTTGGCACCCCCTATCTGAAAGAGGATGTCTACCTGTTGCTTTAGGATTCATGCCATTTATCACAGAGAGTGGTTAGCCTTTATTTATGCTCTGCTCAAAGCGAATTTAAAGTACAGAATTACCATCAGCTAATTTGCAAGGTATAGTATCCTTCCAGGATCCTTTGGAAGCTGCTGGATGCCTGCTGCACGAGTTTTGGAGGAAGCATGACTGTGGGAGTCCCCCCCCTTCATCCTGCCCTGGGTCTGTGTGCTCTCGGCTGGCTGTCTCTCGTGGGACAATGAGGCTACTCTTCTTCAAGGCTAGATGATAAGGGCTTCTGGTCCTTCTTGGTGGAAATGGCCACTTTTGCATGGAGGCTAAGCTCAGGCCATTTTGGTTTAACCAGAACATGCCCACACCATGTAGGCTATCACACGCTACTTGAGAGGGAAAGAAGATTCTGAGGGTTTATATAGTATGAAGAATGTCTTTTCTCAAATTAACTCTGAATCTGCTCTGAAGGGGGGTGGGCATAGCAGTGAGAAACTGTGGGTACACAGGAGAAAGTGCAGAATGTACAGGAAGGCCACCTGGATGGGTCTCTGAGCATCCCCAGGAGTGCAGGGCTTTAGGCTGGCAGGGCTTCCTTGCCTCACTGTCAGAGCATTTCTGTTCATTCTCATCCCACATCGCATAGCTTCCCTTATTAAGTGCCCAGAATCCTTGTGCTTTCTCTCTCAGTTCTTGTTAGAGTGGATGGGAAGTAGTCTCATAAACATATATCAAGGTGTTAGGAACTGCATGGGCTGCCCCTTCAAAGAGAAATTTCCTTTGAGAGGGGTTAGGATGATTTATAAAACAACGAAATTAATCCTTCTGGTGGGATTTTTAGTTACCATAATTGTGGGGGAAAATATTATTGGATAACAGGGGACTTCATATCCTTACAAAACACAGGATCTTGACCACTTCCTAATTCCGCCCATGTACTACCTTATTTACCTTACCGTGGGGCATTTCCAAGCTACTGTGGAGAGAGGAAAATAATGTGAAGCACGAAAAGTGGCCAAGCTGCATAACAAGTTCTGTGCCTTCAGGCAGGAGCTTGTGGAAGGAGCCATAGAAAAGTTGATTCAGAGGGCATTTAGCCAACAGAGCATTTAAACCCTCTCTTAGATCCATTTAAACCCAGAGGATGTCTTCCATGTTCTTGAGCTTTTTACAATTCTACAAAAAGCTAAACCAATATACACTAGGGTATAAGAAGAAGCGACAGAAATTGACTCAGGAGCGTTTAGTAAACTAACTGAAGGCAATGATTATGCTTTCAATGCCTTTGTATCACACCATTCAGCCTGATTCATTCAATGCATTTAGCAAACATTCTCTGAGCATCTTCTATGTGCCAGATGCTGTGCTGGATGTTGGAGATTCTAAATCATTAAGATGTGGTTCCTGTCTTGAAAGAACACAGAACCTAGTGGAGAAGATGGAAATTATGGGCACACGACAGTTACAAAATAATGTGAAGTCCATTCCTAGTTGTAGAAGTAAAATGCCATTGTATCATTGAGAGTAGAAAAAATTAATTCTGTCTGGCTTTAGAGACACACTGGCATTTGAGCTCAGCCTTGGAGGACAAGATGGTTTCTCAGTAGCTCATTAGCTTGGCATCCTGAATATAGCAAAGACTTAATAAATGTCATTGCCTAATAACCTCAAAGATAGAGGAAACTAGAATTCCTTGAAATTTAAGTCCATTGTTGTTTTTCCATTTTCTGCCTGGATTGAGGTAGACCCATTTCTCATTCAGACCCCTACCTGGTGTGGCATCACTGGACTCCTATAAATCATCCATGTTCCTGAGATTATCACATGGACCCTACCTAGGACATGGGAGTGGAAGCTTGCCATATGATGAATACCAAATTAGCTGTTGAAATTATCATCTCTCCTACTTTTTTCCATTGGAGGGTTTTATATTTTTAAGTTTATGACCTTGACACTTGTCTTAGTC
This sequence comes from Homo sapiens, assembly GCF_000001405.40. Lineage (NCBI taxonomy): Eukaryota > Metazoa > Chordata > Mammalia > Primates > Hominidae > Homo > Homo sapiens. The sequence continues at coordinate 108,612,401 of NC_000007.14, forward strand.
TGTTTTGTGCTGCTATAGCAGAATACTTGAGAATAGAGATTTAGTTTTTACCGTTCTAGAGGCTTGGAAGTCCAAGGTCAAGGGGCTCACATCTGGCAAGTGCCTTTGTTTTGTGTCATCCCACAGTGGAAGGCAGAAGGGCAAGAGAGCGTGAGAAAGAGCAAAAGTAGGGCAAACTTACTGTTTAACAAACCCACTCCTGCCATAATGACATTAGTCCACTCATGAGGGCAGAGTCATCAGGACCTAATCACCTCTTAAAGGCCTCACCTCTAAACGTGGTTGCACTGGAGATTACATTTCCAACACATGAACTTTGGGGATGCATTCAAATCATAGCAACATTACATTCATAGCCCTAGCAATTCAACTCGAAGTACATTCTGATGACTGACTAAAATTTATTGCTGTGGTGACACTTAATCTGGCACCAGTGATAAGTCAATTCTAGGGCTGTAAGTTTTAGATTTATAATGAAATTTTGATTAAACTGGGCTTTTTAAAAATAGTGGTATTTATTCTGTGAACTAGCACAGTATGTAGAAAATGAATGGTGAAAAACCCACTACAAATCCTTCTGTGTAGTCATTAGCGACTCTATATTTAACAGTAATAATTGCATTATCTTTATGTACTTAATTTCTGTTTTCAGGCACCCTAAAAAAGTAAACAATCGAATGTTGGAGAAAAATGTGCAGGCCACTTCCACAGGTTGTTTTTGTCTGCCTCTAGATAGTACTATACAACACCTGAATGAAAGAGAACAAACTCTACGAACCATCAGATATTTCAAAAATATCTGAATTTGGATGATATAGAAAAATCAATGAAATAATCGGTGGAATCTGTCAATCTTTATTTAAACTTCACACTGGATATTAAAGCCTTTGCTGTTCGTTGTCAGCCTTTAGAGTTCAGAAAGAGTGAAATTCTAATTTTCTCCACAAGGTGGGAGTAGAACACTAAAAGTGTTTTGAAATGGCCCTCATGAAAAGGTGTCATATATTTATTTGTGTTAAGAAAAACCATACTCTAGCAAGAAATAAGAAAAAAGAATTTTAAAAAGTCTACTAAAAATTAGTAATCTTTGTGTCCTCATGTTCACATTAATTTTAGCCTCTTTAGAGTTTGTAAATTTTCTACAAATTTCACCTTCAAACTAAATACAGGGTTTACAAAATGGACAAAGAAAAGAAACAACAATTGCCAGTGAAGGGAAATACTACACATTTCATCTTGAGTCGTAATATGTGAAGTCTCAAGTGTTTTGGTAGTGATTATGAATTTTCTCAAGATGGTTGGCTGTCTGGCTGTCTGGCTGGGGAACGTATATTTTTGAGGCTTGAAGATCAGTAGAAAATAGGTTGGGCAAAATAGTTGCATGTGGTTAACAATTTGGACAGAGTCTAAACTTACATGAAAAGGTAAATATTTAATCTGTCTTTCTGGTCTTGTTTATAGAGCCTTTTATCAAGAGAGAAAATCAGGCCAGTCTTCTATTTCAACTCTAACTCAAGATTCTTTTCTTTCAGGAAAACATTCATGATCTCATTCCACCTGAAGCCAGTGCCTCTGTAATGTGTAGCAGAATCCTATGGAGAAGTTGTAAAAACACAAAATGTTGGCCCCACCCCAAGAGTTTCTGATTTTGCAGGTCTGGAGAGGGCCTGTGATACGTACTTCTAACAAGCTCCCAGGCGATGCTAATGTTGCTGGTCTAGAAACACACTTTGAGAGCCACTGTTTTACAATGTATTCACCCAGCTTATGCAATCAACTACTATCACAGCAAAGTCCAAAGAATGCTCCTTATTTGTTTGTTATACTGGAGTTTGGCTTGGCTAAATATTATTTGAAACTGAATGGCTGTTGATTGTGGCTCAGAAACTGTTTTCTTCATAGCGCTGCAATTGGATTTATTTATTAGAATTTGAGCTGAATGTTGTCGTACATTTTGGTTACATTGGTTTCTCAGGATATTTTATAGGTACATGTTGTCTCTTTCTAAGTGCACTGTCACTTGAGGTGGGCCTGGGCCTTTTGTTCCTGTTTGTCCTTACTCTTCCACGGAGCTAGCAGTCTCCAGCACAGGGGTGATCAGTTCTTAATCACTGAAGACTAATTAATCTTTCAGTATACATGCTATTTTAGTGAGTAATTTTTGCCAGAAATACTAGTGCTGATGTAAAATAAGGGTTAGGATTAGGGAAGGATTTGGCCTGAATAATTCAATTTATATGTATAAGTCAGGGTTCTCTAGAGAAATAGAATCAATAGGGTGTGTGTGTGTGTGTGTGTGTGTGTGGTGGTGGTGGCAGTGCAGGGACAGAGACAGAGAGACAGGGAGGGAGAGAGAGAGAGGGACAGAAAGAGAGAGAGAGATTTATGAGAAGGAATTGGCTCACACAATCACGGAGGCTGAGAAGTCCCTAGGATCTGCAGTCAGCTAGCTGGAGACCAAGGAGAGCTGATGGTATTGTTCCAGTCCAAGTCCAAAACCCTGAGAACCAGGAGAGATGATAGTGCAAGTTTCAGTCCAAAAGATGCCAAATTCAAGATCCAAGAAGAACTGATGTTTCAGTTTGCGTCTAAAGGCAGGAAAAGACCGATGTCTCAGCTCAAGTATCAGGCAGAAGGAGTGCCCTCTTAAAAAGAATCAGCCTTTTTGTTCTATTCAGGCCTTCAACTCATTGGATGAGGGCCACATGCATTAGGGAAGGCAATCTGCTTTCCGCAGTCTGTGCATTCATATGTTAATCTCATCCAAAAACACCCTTACAGACACACCCAGAATTATGCTTGACCTAATACCTGGGCACTCCACATCCCAGTCAAGTTGACACAAAATTAACCATCACACTATATATGTATAATCATTAGTTAAATGGAAATTGGTTCACTGTCCAAATTCCTCTACCTTTTGCCTCAATGAAAAAAAAAATGGTTGCCTGTTCACTCTGATGGTAGTTTCTTTTGCTGTGTGGAAGCTCTTTAGTTTAATTAGATCCCATTTGTCAATTTTGGCTTTGGTTGCCATTGCTTTTGGTGTTTTAGACATGAAGTCCTTGCACATGCCTATGTCCTGAATGGTAATGCCTAGGTTTTCTTCTAGGGTTTTTATGGTTTTAGGTCTAACGTTTAAGTCTTTAATCCATCTTGAACTGATTTTTGTATAAGGTGTAAGGAAGGGATCCAGTTTCAGCTTTCTACATATGGCTAGCCAGTTTTCCCAGCACCATTTATTAAATAGGGAAGGCAACCTACAAAATGGGAGAAAATTTTCGCAACCTACTCATCTGACAAAGGGCTAATATCCAGAATCTACAATGAACTCAAACAAATTTACAAGAAAAAAACAAACAACCCCATCAAAAAGTGGGCGAAGGACATGAACAGACACTTCTCAAAAGAAGACATTTATTCAGCCAAAAAACACATGAAAAAATGCTCATCATCACTGGCCATCAGAGAAATGCAAATCAGAACCACAATGAGATACCATCTCACACCAGTTAGAATGGCAATCATTAAAAAGTCAGGAAACAACAGGTGCTGGAGAGGATGTGGAGAAATAGGAACACTTTTACACTGTTGGTGGGACTGTAAACTAGTTCAACCATTGTGGAAGTCAGTGTGGCGATTCCTCAGGGATCTAGAACTAGAAATACCATTTGACCCAGCCATCCCATTACTGGGTATATACCCAAATGACTATAAATCATGCTGCTATAATGACACATGCACACGTATGTTTATTGTGGCATTATTCACAATAGCAAAGACTTGGAACCAACCCAAATGTCCAACAAAGATAGACTGGATTAAGAAAATGTGGCACATATACACCATGGAATACTATGCAGCCATAAAGAATGATGAGTTCATGTCCTTTGCAGGGACATGGATGAAATTGGAAATCATCATTCTCAGTAAACTATCGCAAGAACAAAAAACCAAACACCACATATTCTCACTCATAGGTGGGAACTGAACAATGAGATCACATGGACACAGGAAGGGGAATATCACACTCTGGGGACTGTGGTAGGGTGGGGGGAGTGGGGAGGGATAGCATTGGGAGATATACCTAATGCTAGATGACGAGTTAGTGGGTGCAGCGCACCAGCATGGCACATGTATACATATGTAACTAACCTGCACAATGTGCACATGTACCCTAAAACTTAAAGTATAATAAAAAAAATAAAATAAAAAAAAAAAGAAATAAGAATACAAAATTGTTCTCTATAAAAAAAAAAAAAAATGGGCCAACACTGTTCTGGGTGGCCCCATATAACTTCTAACTGTTTTGGTCATCAGTTTAGTGGGTGAATTGTAGCAATGTGATCTCGTTTATCTTTCAGGGGTAAGATGAAAATAGCCATGCTCACCTAAACAGATCCATTGACAAATTCAACTAGCATCCACAAAAACAAAAACTTTTGTAAACATGAAGTGCTATAGATATATTTAATAAAGACAATCATTTCCATATCATGGGTTTTACTGGTCAGATATATTTCTTTATAAACCACACTTCTAGAAATAAAAGAAGTGTAAGCAGAAATGCATGGATCCACTGAGGACATTATAATATAATGGCAACCATTTAAAGATACTGAAGATTAAAGCTGGTTGTTTACCAGCAAGGCATAGCGAGTGAAAGACTTTATATGATACATGTTCTAATTATTTTACAAATCAACTCAGGCGTAACAATCTGGTATGCCCCATAGGCTCTGCCACTGATTCCCTCATTCCTAAGTATGTGTAATTTCTATAAAACAATCAGAGAAATTCCAATTTCTAAATCATCATAGTCTTCTCTCTACCTTAGGTGAAAGTGCGGAATACCCACAGGGCCATGGAAAGACACTGCATTCTTTTCTAGTACTTAAACCATAGCTTCGAGGCACTGAATAATAAGCACTATTACTTATTTAATTTTATAATGGCTGTGGGGAGAGTGTTCATGAAATGTTTTGAGCTCCTCAAATAAAATACATGATACGCTCTTTTCAGGTGAGATTTTCAAATAGATTACAAAATAATTTTTTTTCTAAAAGCGTGGAGAGAAAAAGATAAAAAAAAAGTGAGGAGAAATGAAAGAATTTTATTTGACTTGCAGAATTTGCATTTGAATTATCTATACTTACTAAGATGGCTATGTCTAGTTGTACCTGTCTGATGGTAGCTTATAACTGTAAATGCTTAAAGATAAACAGATCATAGGTTCTGGATGAGGCCGAGCACAGGCTCTAAAAGTCGCATCACACAGCCACCTGCTCATCCTGGCTTTGGGCTCTGCCCCTTGAATGTTTGCCCATCTGACTCCATTTGTACCTCCCTCACTGCTTCCCTGATTCATTTCAGTTTCATTCTCATTTTGGCTATTTCCTCACTTCTAGTTGGTGCTTTCTAGAGTTTCTGGCAAAAGCATGGACTCTGAAGTCAGGTTGCCTGGGTTTAATTCCTGTTCTATTGCTTGCTCTCTGAGTCTCAGTTTCCTTCTCCCTAAAGGAGGGATAGAACCCATCTCAGAAGGTTCTTGTCAATATTCACTGAGATAAGCACAATTTCTGATAAATGTTCATGCTTATTACATGCCAGTTGTTATTATTATTATTATTATTTTTTAGGGTGTTTTTGCTTTTAGCTCAACCTTACGTTACTGTGGCTGTGTGAGCTGGTGTTGCTGTCTTCTGCTTAATTCTGTGGCACAATGTCCTGTCCTAGCTTTCTTCAATCTGAGTGTACCCTCTGCTTCTCTCCCTCAGTTCCACCCCTGGAAGCAGAAGGTTCCCGGGGGTTAGGAGAGCTGCTTCAGTATCATTGCTCTTCAATCTCAGACAATAGCAAACACCCTTCAGATCTTACCAGGTAAGAGATCAGGTTACCAGTGGAACTGACCTGTTGGTTTTGTCATCTGAATAAACACTATAGATCACCTCCTGAATGATTTGGCTTTAGAAATCCATATTCATCATTGGTGGGACTCGCTTGGCTACTACTACTCTATTCATCACTCATTGATTAATTGAAGGTATGCCTGCAGAATTCATGCCATGGACAATGATTCTAATGCCAGCAATGTGGATATTCAAGTTCTTTTGTTTCCAGTCATGTTTTAGGGTGACCGTGACTTGTTTTAATTGTGTATGCCGTCTTTTAGGGAACTCTCATTCAGTCGTTAGCTTGAAATATTTACTGTCACCCAAAAGCCAAGGATTTTTGTTGTCCTGTAGGTTAGAGGTTAGCCTTCTGGGGCCTGAAAGAGGAAAGCAACAAAAACTCAGAGAATTTATTTCCTGCTCATACACAGGAGCTGGGTGGAGAATTTCCTCCCTTGTAAGATCTTGTAGAACACATTTTGGTTTTCTGAAGAATTGGCAAAGAAAAAAGTAGAGTTAAATAATCAAGGAAATAGCACACTATGAACAAAAAAGCTTTAAAGGGTTTTTTACCTATGGAATTAGCCATAGAAAAGCAGCTCTGTTTTTAGAGATGAATCAGTCTTAGCCTATCCTTTAATAACAAATCAGTGAAGCATCTACACCTCCATTTATTTTGAATACCTGTGCTACATCACTGTAACCAATGGTATGTTCTTTTGTCCCACAAATGAGCTGAAGACAGGGCCTTACTTTAATATGGAATATACTGATTTTGTTGGGTTCTATTACCTTCTCACGCTGCTAAAAAGTCTTTTCATGTTCAAATTCCACTGTGTTTTCAATGTCAGTTTTTTTTCTTACAAAAGGAAAAGGGTCCCCTGTGGAAGCTTATGAAAGCTGACACATTTTCTTGTGAAATATCCTTCTGAGACCATATGGTTTATCAGTAAGCACATATTTTTAGACCTTTTAAAATGAGTATTATGAAATTAACATGAGATGTTTTTAGAAAAGTGAATGCTATTGACTCAGTAGGGCAGGATGCCTGTCTGCTTTGTGGTTGTTACTCTTTATAATTCCCTGTGAAAGACGTTTTCAGATAATTAAAAAAGGTATTTGGTCTATGGAGCAAAAAAACTTATCAAAAGAGGTTATATAACACATGCATGGCAGCTACTTGTCAAAGTTAAATATACCCATTTCTTTCCCCACAAAGCCGTTAGATCTATTACCACCTAATTGCTTGGAAAATTCATTTTCTTTTTCTCAAATCACAGCCTTAATTGAGGTCTGAAAGCTCACCAAGGGCCTTTTAAATCAGCAAACCTAACTTAAAAAAAATTCTCCTATAATTTAACTTTGTGGCCAGGGACATATTTTTTTTCTTTGAGACAGTTACGGCAGTCAGTACTAGTAGAAAAACCTCTTGCTTTGAGAAATCAGAGAACTGGGGAGCGTGTCTTACTGTTTCTGGTAATGCACACTGGGGCCAAGAGTTCACAGCAAAGTGAATAGATATTAATTGCAAACATATTATTTAATCATGCTGAAACCAAAATATTTTAAACCAACTTATGTGGGTGTTTTATTGTAAATGTTAGGATGGGAAACACAATCTATTCTGCATTCTGGCTATGGAAATCTGCCCTCCACGTGGCCATCTGCAGGAGTACCATATGTGTAACACACACAACTTTATTCCTTCTTACACCAACCCTAAAGTTTGCACAACAAGAAAAAATTTTCAACTTTGGTTTATGACATATCAGGGTGCTTTCAAGCATAAACAGTGATTAGAATATCTAAATTGATGTTTGAAATCAGGATTAATTTTAATTATATAAGAGAAATGAAAATAAATGTGATTAAAAAAATAAACATAGATGCAACCATTCAGGTCAGGGTTGCTATTTCAAGGAGTCACCTTGAGAAGCTATGAACTAATTTGAAATACTCTACCATTTCTCAAAATGTTTTTGAAACTCCTCATTTGGAATTGCCTCAGAGTTAGTTTTTCATCTGCGTCTCCTTATCACTTTAGAATTACATTTTTGTTACAGATGGTGTTGCCTTGCTGGGGCACTTTATTCACCAAGCTTCACTTGGAGTGAATTTTTGTGTTTAGAAACTTACAGGATATGGTGCAAGCAAGTCCAAATATTTTGTGCAACATCACCCTCTCTGGATTGGCTATGTGCCTCTTCTCCTACCCCAGGATAACTTAGATTTAAAATTGGGAAGGAGTAAGCTGGGTGACTGATATGCATTAGTTTCATTTCATCTTCACAAAGTCCTATAAAGCAGGTATTATTCATGTTATTCAGATGAGGAAACAGACTTAAAATGTTTAAGTAATTTAAGACCTCTTTAAACTAATGTAGACCTGGGAGTTATCTGGGACTAAATTTCAATTTTTTCTTCTACAGCTGTCATCTCCATTCAAGGTGACAACATCATTCTGGAATTACAAGTCCTGTTGTGCTTGTGAAAATTTACAATAGTTTTTAATTATGTTGACCATGTACATACCTATGTAAGTTTGGGCCAGTGCATCAGAGATATATTTCACATTCTGTTAGTGATTATGTAGTTGTGAGAGCTGAGGATAGGCGAACAAATGTCATTTGTTTATGCACAGCAATCACTGTGATAGGAAAGCCAAATAATATTGGGCACTGTTGACAGTAATAATGTTTCACATCCTAGTGTTATAAAAATTTGCCTCATTAAACAAGATCAAACAAATGAGCCAATAAGAAGAAAGCCCCATTTCTTCTTCTCCTAAGCAGACCTTAGGAGTAAATAAATGAATGAGAAGTGAGCCTGTGATTCTAATGTAAAAACCTTGGGAGAGATGGACCAGAGATGATTGGGCTTCTGCTTAGGATGATACGTTTGAAGACAAAAGAGCCCATGAGCTGGGTGCCTAGTTTAGGAGCCCATAAGCTGGGTGCTTAGTTTAGGAGGTATGTATGCCTGCTGCTTGCTCAGATGACATAATTCGGAAAAAAAACAGAAATTGGAGGTATGTAATAATCTAGTTACGGTTCAAAAGAGGGTACCATCTTTCCGTATATCACCAACCACATCTTCAACAGAAGCTTACATAGAAACATTGCTTACTATGTGCCAGGTGGAGTTACCTGCTTTGCGTGTGACTTTTCTAGTTTCAGCACTGAAAGTCCTGCATCCTTGAAGCCCCTAAGTCCCAGGCAAACCAGAACATTGGTGTTCGATGCCAGGTTATGTTTTAAAGCTTTATATTTGGTAACACATTTAATCTTCACAACAACCCTATGAGGTAGGTACTATTATTACGTCTATTTTGCAGAAGAGGAAATGCTTGCTTAAAGAGGTGAGGAAACTTGTCCAGGCTTCCATAGCTAGTAGGTAACAGAGTCAGGATTTGAAGTCAGGTAGTTTGGTTCAGTGTTAGGGTGCTTCTTAGAATACTGCCTCTTGAAGGGCTGCCCCTAAGAGTGTCCTGCTTTGTACTAAAGGGAGAAAAAGAGATTGTTGGGAATAGAATGATGGCTTAAAACATAGTCTTACTCTCATGCTGCATACATGAGATATACAGGCAAGAAAACAGGCAATCACTAGATCTGGGAAGGAAGAGAAGCTCTTGTCAGAAAGTAGAGTGAACTATTTGGGTATGTCAGAGGTTAATAACCCAACCTGATTGGTCAGGGATGACATGAAACAATGTGTAACGGCAGCAGCCTGTGGCTTGTTATGTAGGGACTGGTCAATAAACAGAATTATGTCATTAGGCTTCAATTCTGGCAGCTGTAGGAGAATTGACAACTATGACAGTGGCTGTTTAAAAATGGAAATGATTGTTAAGGAAGGATGTGAGCCACTTGGAACTTCCAGGGAAGCAGAGGACAGAATGGGGATATTTAGGATAGAATCAGTCACATTGTGATAATCCCCAAGGCCACGGTAATGTTGGTCTGAATGTCTATGTGGTCCCTGGAAGCCTGGGTTAAATGAACACATAACACTGAGGATATCTTGGTGGGAGATTCTTAGGCATATTCATGATAGGATGCTGATATGTTAATACTATCATCACCACTACAACAACCCAAGAAACAAACACAAATCAAAATAAAAACATGAGACTTGGAACGATTTTTCTGGAGGGCATGAATTATGCTGTGTTGTTATTATGCATAGGGATTAGCAGATTTCAGAGCTCTTCTCCGATGTGGAAAACAGTAAGCACTGTCATTGACTATAAACCTGATCAATAAGACGGTAATGTGATTAATACCTGTAATGCTCAGGATGGTCTTGGATTTCGCATTGAAAATCCCTCAGGAAACCTCTTAGTCTTGAGCAAACTGGACTGCTCTACCAGTAGGCTAGCTCTAGAGCTACTCAACCCCAACTCAACAGCTTGCTCCGAGCTCTGTGAGCTTGGAAAAATTATTTCACTTCTTTTTAGTCTTAGTTTACTCATTTGTAAAGTGGTCATGTTAAGGGTATCTACTGTAGAGTTGTTATGAATCTTAAATAGTACTTGTCTGTCCTTATTGCAGTCCATATACATTTTAGCTATCATTAGGAAATACAAAAATTACACAATAGAGATGGGTTTGTCTATGTTGCTTTGCTTTGTCCATACCTATCTAGTGCATTAAGTAGTCAGTTTTTCTGTTCACCAAGCCTTTCCGGCTTTTTGTTTTGGTACATAGTAGGATTCATGTTAGGTGTGACCACCTGACTTCCTTTGGTTAATGAAATAGGAGAAATGAGGTGTGATACATCTCAGCAGAATCTTTAAAAATGTTCATGTGGCACATCATGCTCTCTTTCCCAGGAATGTCCCAGATAATGGCTGCTCTGTTATCTGGGACATTCCTGGGAAATGGGTCCTAAACTAAGGATGAAGAAGCAAAGCCCTCAGTTGAACTGTAACAGATGTGAGGCATTAGTGAGAAGTAACTTGTTGCTTTAAGCTGCTGAGGAATTTTGGGTTTGTTTGTTACCACAGCATAAGCTAGCCTCTATGCCAAGGAATTGACTGACGGTCCCTGAGCAATGCCGTTCATGGAGGACTGTAGTCAGGCTGAAGCCAACTGACTTAACCCAGTTACTTTCCAATTGACTGTAAACTTAAGTTTATTTTTGGCTTTTCAGGTTTGCCATTTTATTAAACAAAGAACAAAATGACTGTGCATGCTTTATCATGGTTGACTTGCGACGGCATTGACGTTGATCTGTGGTGCACTGTGCTTGTGCTGTCTGTGGCCTTGCATTTGTTTGCTGCTTATGTGTAATGCCTTCATTTGGACAGTCATTTACAACCCTGGATGGTTATTAGACTCTTCTGGGGAGTTTATAAAATTTACCCATATCCAGGCTATATCCTACATGCTGTTTTGCAGGAGGTCCCCAGGTATTTCTAATGTACAGTAGAGGTTTCAGCCTCAACCAGATCATTAACTCTTTGGTGAGGAACTATGACCTGAAATTGCTGGATATCTTCTTTATGTCTATTGTAAACAGGAGGTCAGGATGCAGCGGACCATGGGGCAACATGAAGAATAAAGCATGACATGACTTAGTGGAGGGCAGCAGACCATTGTCCCACAGTTCTAAGTGCTATTTGGCAATTCAGAACAAGCATTCAGTGGGGACTGACATGATCTTTCCAGAAGGGTAATTCAGGGCTGCAGGTGCCAATTAAATCGTTGTGGAATTTAATGTTTCAAATGTCCACATCATTAATAAGATGTGGTAGAAGGAATCACGTCCTTGTGGGCATACTAAGGGAAGTTCTTCACTTTGGTAAAAGGGTGCGCCTGATCTACAAGCACTGTGGACACAGCTCATTTTTGGAGGTGACATCTTGTCTGCTACCGTTTCTTTGGCTTCGCTTGTTGCTGACCTTGACTCTCTTCCTATGGGATCAACTGTTCATTGCCTTTTTGATACTGCCTTCCTCCAACTGATGTGCATACCCTTGTCTGACTCTAGGATTTTATTTCTGTCTCTGTCCTCATTTGTGCAAATGAATGCCCCTCTGTGGTTTGGATCTTCTGATCCTGAATCCCGGTGGCCACATGGAGCCAGTGTTTGTTGAGTCTGGGGAGCACTGGCCAGGCTTTTCTCTGTGTTGCTTTGCTAACCTGGCATGTTTCTATTATCAGTTCAACCTGCCAGCTCATGCCCACCCAGGTGCAGTGGAGGCTGAATAAAGGCAAGATCCTCCTCCTTTTTGCAGCTTTTATTGGCCTCCTTGTCCTTTGATCTCGCTTATTTTTCTAAGCCCATTAATCGGAGCTATTATATATAAACATACAACACATATAAATACACGGACAGACAGAAGATTCAGCACTTGTAAAATTTTTCATTTGCCAGTTTTTTAATTGGATTACTGGCTTCAGGGTGGAGCCCTTGGGGGAAAGGGGCCAGGAAAGCATGCATTTCGAGGGTCAAATAAGCAGCAAATAAGCAGTTGAAGGCAAAGACAGATCCCCAAAATTAAGGGTGTCATTTTATACTGGATCCTGGCTCCCCAAAAGAGGGAAATACTGTGGGAGAGGACAGTGCAGAGCTTCTACCCTGTGTTTCATTGCAAGGCAGCTCAAAGCCAATCAGCCCATTTTGTAATCAGCCCATCTCTCATGGGAGTCTCATCTCCCTGGGCAGGTGGGAATGTTTCCTTCCAGGTGGCCAAGAGCGTGCTTTTCTGATCCAAGTGTGCAAAGAATCAAGTGCCTCTCCATAATAACTATTAGCCATCCCTTAAAGTATATTTCCTACCTAGTTATTACACACCAAAGCTCTCTCATAATGCAAAGTAATTTCTGATACCCTCAAAACTCAAAACCATCAGATAACACAATGCAAAACAGAGCAGGGCCTTTGATTTTGAGAGGGATCTATCTGCTTTTAATTCCTGGGATTTCATCAGGAAAACAGAGGGTTTTTTTCCCCAAAACGGGGTTTTTGGCACTTCCTCTGTTTTTCCCAATGAGTCCCTGGATACCAGAAATTATCTTAGGGCCTCTCATGTGCATTAAGAGTGGCAAGACAAAAAAAAAAAAAAAAAAAAAAAGGAGAAAAATAATTCAGCCGACTAAGAAGAAAAAAACCTTTTTCCAGAAAAACAAGTTCCAAGAAGAGAAAAACATAAAGGCTTTTTAAGTATACCTATAGCTCGTTTATCCACTTTTAATTAAACCGACTTTTAACGATAGTGCTCTTTAAAAAAGAAATCCTTTCAGATCTCTTGTTACCAGACTTTAGCCATGCCAAGCGGCCAATATTTCTAGTTTCTGAACTTTGCTAAAGGTAACCTCTCACGTGCTTCAAAGACATGGTAAGCAGTTTCTTTTTTTACAAGATTTAGAATCTCCACAAGGTAGTTCAGAGAAAGGAAAATTCAAGAGAGGAAATCAGAAGCTAACTATGGGGGGAAAAAACTCAATAAATGGCCAAGTTACACAAATAACAAACCAGAAAGGAGTCAATCCAGAAGCCAACAATTGAACCTAAGCCACCACTGTCAAAAGATAAAGCCTTAGCTACTGAGCTATATAGCATTGAGCAGTTTTCCATTACTTTTCCCAGAAGGAGCCTAGAGAAGCCAATTTCAAGCTTGCAAGGCTTTTAACTGCTCAAGAAAAATTTTTAGGACTAACTATGACATGAACCCCCAAATTCCTGTCCTCTGGATGGTGGAAACCAAAAGAAAGTATCCCCACATGGTCACAAGGTTAAGCTCTTAAGGACACAAAACAAGACAGAGGCATTTCGTACAGTATTGGTTTCAGGGATCTGTAGCAAAGTTTGTAAATGACCAGCCTGCCAAGCTGGCTTGAAAAGCAGGCTTATAGGGGTCTAAACCCATGTTCTAGCCTGTGATACCCCTTTCTCCATTACAGAACACAGAAAGACAAATTCTTAGCACAAAGTACACCAGATTTGCTGCAGCCTAAGACTAGTCTCACAAATCCTTTTTTCTATTCATCAAACTCTTGCAGAGGAGACCAATAGTTTATTTACTGTTTTACCCAGACAGAGAAAGAGAAGGAGAAAGAGAGAGAGAACAGAAACTTGGCTGGTAAGAATTTCTTACCCTTTCTGCTAGCATGCCAGGTTTCTGGATTCCCTTTCTCTGCAGCTTCCAGAAGAACGGAGTGGCTTCTGATGTCCCTGCTCGCTTGTGCTATAGCTGTGGGGTTCAATCCACTTTACAAGAGAAAATCACCCTTTACTATTTTATGGAAACGTAGACAAGATTCTTAATTTGCAAGATGCTGCCCAATGGGCTGCATGGGGAATCAAATTAACATTTTCCAACCAGCAAAATACACATAACAAAACAAACATTAGTCACTTGTTTAGCACCCAATATCAGCCTAGCAAAGTTCAAACTTTTTCCCGTTGGTCCCTGTTGTCTTTGATCCACTCCAGGTGGGGACAGGCAACCTCCGAACGGTAATTCACAATGGGGTTTCTGGGCAAGGGGAAGAGCAGATAGTCACCCTGAGAGACAGGCCTGTTTAGCCTTCTTTATGGCTCATTGAATGTGAGCAGACAAATAAGGAGGGTTCTCTGAGTTAGGCCTGCTGGACTTCCATCAGCAGCCCCTCTGAGATCCCTTCCATATATACAAACACACACAAAGACAAGTTGGACAGAAGGCCCTCCAAATTAGATCCCTAACCAAGAACTCCAAGAGTATCCCTTCGAAACAATCTGCCTATTCTTCTGAGAAACCTCCTCAAAATCTTCCTGATTGAGGAGAAGTCTACCAAACCAGGACTCTTCCTGGTTTGAAAGAGCCAACCGAGACCTCCCAGGAACTGAACAAACACCCTGCAATGAGGCTACAGACACAGATATCCCATGGTGGAGCTACAGACACCCCACAATGGGGCTGCAGATACCCCACCACAGGGTACAAAACCAGTCGGGAGAAGGAAGGAAGCATTGGCAGCGCCTAGGATACGCACCAGTTCAGACATCCTACGATGGGGCTACAGACAGACACCCTACACCCTACCATGGGGCTACAGACAGATACTCTGTGATAGGGCTGCAGTTAAGGGACATCTCCCCAGGACTATTTCTCCATTGCAATTAAATCTATGCACATTGGGTCGGCAGCACCCCACCAGTAGAGAGAGTACCAGAGTCAGCCCCCAGTCCAAGATAATTAGGCAGCCATTTGGGCTGGCTTCTGGATCCATCGCTGGATTGGGGGGGCCACTGAACTATGAATGGGTAGCCACAAGGGCAATCCAGGATGAGCCCCCAAATTTATAACCACCCAAGGGGTTCACCTTGGCAACTGCCTAGACAGAGCTGATTCATCAAGACAGGGGAATTGCAATAGAGAAAGAGTAACTCATGCAGAGCCGGCTGTGTGGGAGACCCTAGTTCTGTTTTATTATTACTCAAATCAGTCTCCCTGAGCATTCAGGGGGCAGAGTTTTTAAGGATAACTTGGTGGGTGAGGAGAAGCCAGTGAGCCAGGCGTGATGATTGGTCAGGGATGAAATCATAGGTAGTCAAAGCTGTCTTCTTGTGCTGAGTCAGTTCGTGGGTTGGGGCCACAGGATCAAATGAGACAGTTTGTTGATCTGGGTGGTGCCAGCTGATCTATCAGTGCAGGGTCTGCAAAATATCTCAAGCGCTGATCTTGGTAGCAGTTTAGGGAGGGTCAGAATCTTGTAGCCTCTAGCTGCATGACTCCTAAACCATAATTTCTAATCTTGTGGCTAATGTTAGTCCTACAAAGGCAGTCTAGTTCCCAGGCAAGAAGGATGACTGCTTTGGGAAAGGGCTGTTACTGTCTTTGTTTAGACTATAAATTATAAACTAAGTTTCTCCCAAAGTTAGTTCAGCCTACATCCAGGAACGAATAAGGATGGCTTGGAGGTTGGAAGCAAGATGGAGTTGGTTAAGTTAGGTCTTTTTCACTGTCTCAGTCACAGTTTCCCAAAGGCAGTTTCACCCTTTGCTTCAGTCTGACTCTCTACCTCTCCCCGCTTCTCTGAGGGTTTAAATAGATCATAGGCAGAAGTTAATTGGAGATAAAAGTTTACAGTTAAGCAGGCAGGTCATAGCACAATATCCATATAATCTAAAGTAACCAAGGCTCTCTCTCAGGATCATTGAAATGTACAAAGGTATTCTTCCAATGCATTTTTAAAACCTAGATAAATCGTGTGTCATATAAAATGCATTGTAAAAGGTTCCAATTGAGTCATTGGATTAAATGAACCTTTCAACACCTTCCAGAGGAAAAGAGATGATATTTGGTGTGATGGAGTATTCAATGCTTGGCTTCACACTTACATGCTGCAGCAATCTTCCAGGAAGGCTTTACTTAGAAAGAGAAATAAAAAGAAATAAACCAGTGAACTCATGACTCTGTATTTGATATAAAGTACCTTTTTTTAAAATCAAAACTTCCAGAATATTCCCAGGAAGGAAAATGATATCTAAAGCTTCTACTTTCCTTTGACCCACTACTAAAAGGATACCTAATTCATCCCTCCTCGCATCCAACCTTTAGTACTGCCCACTAAATGGCCGATTACTCATATGCTAAAAGCTGTCTGGATTTCTCTCTCTCCTTAAATAGCAAGTGTGGCATTTTGCTAATGTCACAATTAACAGGAAGCTGTAAGCCAGTCTCTGACCAGTGAACTAATACAGAAGAATAAGAACAGATGCAATCAACCTATTAATCAGGGTTCAGCGTTCTTTATTCTTCAACTATTTTTATTCTGAACCTATGTTTTAGAAAACTATTTAAAAGATTCTATTAATTTGGAATCCATTTATTACAGATAGTCATCCTTAGAGATACTATTTTCACCTGAATAATATTGTACTGTTACCTTTATGGAGCATAATTAATGAGAGAAATGTTCTGATTATTCATTTCACAAATTCCAAAGTCCACCTCTCTCATGCTCTTTCTTCCATCATCTCACTTTTAGACTTTCTGTCTCTCAGCCCGCCCACTGATTTGTCTGTGAGGTCCTCAGTTTGTTTTCCAATTTAAAGGTAACATTTTGGCCAGGCACAGTGGCTCGTACTTGTAATCCTAGCACTTTGGGAGGCCAAGGTGGGAGGTACACTGGAGGTCAGGAGTTCAAGAACAGCCTGGCCAACATGGCGAAACCCCGTCTCTACTAAAAATACAAAAATTAGCTGGGCATGGTGGTGGGTGCCTGTAATCCCAGCTACTCGGGAGGCTGAGGCAGGAGAATCACTTGAACCCGTGAGGCAGAGGTTGCAGTGAGACAAGATCATGCCACTCCACGTGAGCCTGAGTGACAGAGCAAGACTCTGTCTCCAAAAAAAAAAAAAAAAGGTAATATTTTGTTCAGGAATTCTTGTTTGCTTATTCTCCATTGTATATCTTGTATTAAGATTATTTTTCTTAAAATTTAAAATATCTAGAATAGGGTCCTTGCTCCTACTAAAATGATGCTTTTGCTTGTTTCATTTTATACTATGGTTATTTTTCTTAGAATTTAAAGTATGTGAGGGTAGAGGATTTCCTTCTGCTGAAATGATGTTCTTGGATGATGATAACAAGCTAAAAGAAGGAAGAAATCAATTTTTTTAATGTGTTAAAATGGTTATAAGAAACATGATCATTTATATCATAGCTTCTTGAAAACAAGCCATCATAGGCACTGATAAAATTAAAATTTATAAAAATTATTTTTTCCTCTTGGAGCCCTCCATTCAAATTTATATTGAGCAACTAACTGTCTTGTGCCTTATACACTGGCTTTAGCTCTCCCAGGCGGTCTTTCATTCCAGTCCCACTTGGACAGAGTCCCAGATTTTCTTGCAGGCCTTGGAGGGGAAAGGGAAAGAGAAAATGAGCTGGGATTCTGGCATGGAGAGGGCTGCTGTGGCAGAGTAGGATGGCCCTGTAGCTGAGAGTGGCAGGATAATCCCCCTCAGCCAAGACCAACTGCCTCAGTGAGACATAAGATAGGCTTAAATCAGACCGCAGGGTCTTAATGAAACTGGAAAAGGACAGGCCATGAATCCTACCAGCTGCCAAGTTTAACAGCAGTTGCCAGTCCAATGACCAGAAACAGGCTCAGTGGCACTTCCATGATGGCCTGTCCAGAGAGAAGCATAAGGATGGAAAATGTTAATCCCAGCCCTCTACTCCCTACTGTCAGGAGGATACAGAAAACATGCTTCATATACCCAGATGTCCCTGTGGGGAAGAAAAGACAGAGAACATCTAACCAAAAAAGACTGAGCTCTCTAGAGAGAAATAGATTACTTTACAAGAGAGAAATGAACTCAGTTTTTATCACCACTCAGTAGGTGGGTGCTAATGAGAAAGATTAGATTGCTTACAGACAAAATAAAGATGCTGAATTTCTTCTGCAGATTTGTGTGAAGTGAGAGAAATTTTGGAAGCCTCTGCCGTGTGTGGTATGTTTGTGTAGTGGGGATAGGTGGGAGGAGGGTTTGTCTCAAAATACAAAGAGGAAGTAGGAACATAGAAGGAAAAAATTAGAATTGGCACATGGAGGTTCTGGCAAGTAGTGACCAGCATTTCCACCTGCAACTTCCCCCCATTACACATGAACGCTGCCATCTATTAGACAAAATGGAATGAAATAGGGCTAACTATGAATATAAGCAACAGAGTGTGCAGAAAAGTTACTATTGACATTGTGTTGGGACTCATGGAAAACTCTATTGAAGATAGAGATGTCTTTGAGATGCAGCCTGAAAGGCAAGTAGAATTTCAAAAGGAGATTGTGCAAGAGCTCAGAAGCAGGGGAATACACATATGCAAAACCAAAATGTCCAGTTTTTCTGGGGTTTAAAACCATGGAGGGAAGAAGCCAGGAGCAGGGGATGAAAAGGCAGGATGAGGCCAAGCTGGGAGTCAGGACAAAGAGTTTGCACTTCATTCTACAGGATATTGAGGTCCACAAGTGGATTTTTTTTCACCTCACTCTTCTGCTGAAACTCCTCAATGACTCCTCTTAGACAACAACTTAATATACCCTGGAATGTCATAGCATGTCCTGCCTGGTGTCCCATGAGAAAAAAAAAGAAGTTCCAGGTCATATAGGTTTGGAAAATGTCCTATATCAAATTCTCCTTCATCAGATTCTTGGAGATTCACAATATGCATTTGCCTATTAAAAGCTTTAAGAAATCCTATAGTAAGGAAACCTGTTACCATTGTTTTCTTCATTTAACCCAGCATTTCCTGGACAAATGGATTATGAAATAATTTTTTTTCTTTTTTTTTTTTTTACATTTACCATCATTAATATCCCTTAAAATTAGTTTTCCACTTTGTCTCAGAATACTTGGATTCTTTGCATGGGAGTTGAAATTCTTCATGATCTGGTCATCTTTGTGAAATGAACTTCTCCTTGAGCATTTTCTGAGCTGCTGTATTCCTCCAGACTCACTTTCTACCTTCTCTTTAGAAACGTCTTCATTTTCTAACCAGGGAAGTATTTGTTCCTTTTTTTTCTCTAATGAACCTTTTATAGTATGTATTTATGATGATTGGTTTTCTTTACTGTTCTTTGAGCCTCTTGAGGATAGAATACATACCTTGTAAATTTCTTTATTTCTATTATATAAGACAGTGTCTAGCACATAGCAAGGATGCGATTTATATTAAATATATTAAACAAATGAATAATTCTACCTGGGTTCTACAGATAACTATGGTAGAGCTGTGGGAGATGAATTTGAGAAGACCGCGGAGGCAAGGAGACTTATGGGAACCTATTGCAGTTTTAAGAGAAGACTTAGGCCTGTACTGGCATAGTGGCAATGGTGATCAAAAGAGAGGGGCTAAGATTTACTGAGCATCTGTTATAGGCCAGACACTAGAGAAGCTGCTGTAAGTCTTATCCTATTCTCACAAACACTTGTACTGGGCATGTCATGTAAGCTAGTGTTCAGCTACACTAGTCCTTTCTGATAAACCCCAGAGCACCTGCCTGTTACCAGCTCTCTTTTATTAAGTTCTCTGTGCATATATAACCATGCTTTGTCCTGTGTGGCCTCAGTACTTTAGCCACACTTGAGTGTATCGAGGATGAGCATCATCAGTCTCCAAGGCAGCCATCCATAGGCTGGCCAGTGTCTGCAAGAGAGAGCACCAAGCTCTGTCCCAAAGACAGAATTGTATTTGGAGTAGTAATGAGATCTGACCCTGTCTTTCAGACAGCTGAAAAAGGAAACCCACAAAAAGGGTGCAGTGGGTAGTGGAAGCAGAAGAAAAATACATATAGAAAAGACAATAGAAGGAAGGCAATAGGAGAAGGAAGTTAGCAGGAGTCATAACATTAAGAGTAGAGGGAAGTTAGTTGGCATGGAATAGAAGGGAGCAGGTATAAGAAAAGCAGAGAGAGAGAAAGGGACTGTCACCATTTAGGCAGAGCTGCTAGTGTAGGGAGTAACAAACTCTCATCTTTAAATGGAGGAGTTTTTGTCCTGCAGGGTCATCAGAGCCACACCTGCCCTGTTTTGAATCATGACCTATGACATCCTGGTCATCTGGGTGGTGACTGTTTTCTTTTCTTCCTGTTTATTTATATTTTTAAAATTGTAAATTTATAATTGTTAAATGTATGGGGTCCGAGTGATATTATAATTTTTTAGTACAATATGTACAATAATTAAATCAAGCTAGTTAACATATCCATCACCGCAAATACTTAACAGTTTTTGTGATGAGAAGTTTAGAAATCTCTCTTAGCAATCTTGAAATGCACAACAGTCTATTAATAATTACATTCACCACACTGTGCGATAGAACTAAAATAAATCATATTCCTCCCATCTGAGATTTTGTACCCTTTGACCATCATGTCCCCATTCCTCCCACAGCCTTGCCGCTCTAACCACCATTCTCCTCTCTGTTTCTATGAGTTAGATTGTTTTTATTCCACATATAAATGAGAATATGAGGTGTTTGTCTTTCTGTGCTTGGCTTATTTCATTTAGCACAATGCTCTCCAATTCCATCTATTTTGTTGGAAATGACAGAATTTCTTTCTTTTTTAAGGCCAAATATATTATTCTATTGTGTAAGTATACCACATTTTCTTTATTCATTCACCCATTCATTGATGGTCATCTAGGTTGATTCCATAATTTGGTTATTGTGAGTACTGCTGCAATGAACATGGGAGTGCAAACATCACTTCGACAAACTACTTTCAAATCTTTTGGTTAAATATCCAGAAGTGGCATTACTGGCTCATATGGTGATTTTATTTTTGGTTTTTTGAGAAACCTGCATACTGTTTTCCGTAATGACTGGACGAATTTACATTCCCACTAACAGTGTACAAGGGTTCGCTTTTCTTTATATCCTTGCCAACGCTTGTTATCTTTTGTCTTTTTGGTAATAGTCATTCTGACAGGTGTGAGACATATCTCATTGTAGTTTTAATTTGCATTTCCCTATTGATTGGCAATGTTGAACATTTTTTTCATATGTCTGTTGGCCATTTCTATGTCTTCCTTTGAGAAAGTCTATTTCAGTCCTTTGCCCATTTTTCAATTGGGTTTTTTTGGTTTGTTTTTATCCTATTGAGTTCATTGGGCCCCTTATATATTTTGGATATTAACCCCTTATCAAATGTATGGCTTGCAAATATTTTTCTTCAATCCATAGGTTGTCTCTGCACACTGTTGTTTCCTTTGCTGTGCAGAACATTTTTCTATCATATGTAATATCTTGATAATATCCTGAGACAGCTAGAAATGTGCGTCTCTTCCTTGAGAGAGCCTAGCATGGCACTATTATTTTTATTATAATTTTTAAGGTGAGGAAACCAAGGCTCCTTGAGACTAGGTGTTTTGCTCAAGCTCACAGAACTAGTAACCATGAGACTAGAGACAGAAGCTGAAGCCAGATTTGTTTGGCTCACAGCCAATATTGTATCTGATTCAATATAAACTTTCACCAGCTGGGAAGCAGAGACTGGATTCAGAAAACACTGCAGAATTAGAATCCATGGTGCTTGGTGACCTAGTAGCTGTTTCATTTGCATATCATTAAACGAAGGTCTTATAATGTTTTTTCTTTTCTTCCATTTTTTTTTTAAAACTACCATTTGCACTGCAGGAAGATGATGCAGAATCATGGACTTAAAGGGCTGTGATGCTGTTGAGTCCAGTTCTTCTTGTTCTTTAAAAAAAACTTCTGAATCACTTGTGAATTTGCTTCAGCTTAACAGCAGAGACTTCTTAGATATAGTACCTGTTGAATTTTGGGACTCATGAAAAGAGAAGCTCTTCTGCTCTTCACTGGTCTAGGTAGGATAAGGAGGCAAAGCACCTGCCTGCACAGAATTCACAAAAACATTCCTCGTCTTTCATGATGGCAACACAGCATTCCTGTTGACAAGTCTTGGCCTAATGCTGCTTCTGTCTTCAGGGAGGACCCCACTTCCTCTTCCTCTTTCCTTAGATTTCCAAGCAAATTGTATTAAGTCAGCCTCCACAAATTTAAAGACAGATGAATGAGACAAAAGGTGGTCTGAAGTTTATCCTTTATAGGTATACAAAAAGAATTTTTTTGGGAAAAATCATAGTATGAAGAAGACTGGGGTGAACATTGTGTCTTCTATAGATAATGCTGTGTGTGAGAAAATGTGGATGCATTCAGTGTCTGTTCTGCATTGCAAATGCCATGAAATCGGGGACTAGGTCTTTCTTGTTTTTCACTGCATTTCCAGCTCTAGTTTAGTGTCTGCCATGTAATAGCTACATATTACAGACTGAATTGTGTCCTCATAAAATTCATGTGTTGAAGCCCTAACCTCCAATGTGATCTTATTTGGAGATAGGGCCTTTAAGGAGTTAACTAAGGTTAAGTGAGGTCAGAAGTGTGGGGCCCTAATCTGATAGGAGTAGTGCCCTTTTAAGAAGCAGAAGAGAGATCAGATCTCCCTCTCTCTCTCTCTCTCTCTCTCTATCCACACATGCACAAAAGAATGACCATGTGAGGATACAGCAATAAGGCAGTGTCTATAAGCCAGGAAGAGAAGCCTCAACAGAAACCAACCCCAAAGCATCTTGATCTTGGACTTCTCCTAGCCTTCACAACTGTGAGAAAATAAATTTCTGTTGTTTAAGCCACCCAGTCCGTGGTATTTTGTTATGGCAGCACTAACAGACTAATACACTACCCCCTAAATCTTTGTAAAGGAACAAAGGAAAGAAGAAAGACAGGAAGGAGAAGAGATTTATCTTTTCTACTTACTGTATTGTGTGGTCTTGGGCAAATCACTGAAGATGCCTCTATTTCTTTTTTTTTGAGACCAAGTCTTATTCTGTTGCCAGGCTGGAGTGCAGTGGCACAATCTTGGCTCACTGCAACCTCCACCTCCTGGGTTCAAGCGATTCTCCTGCCTCAGCCTCCCAAGTTACTGGGACTACGGGTGCATGCTACCACACCTGGCTAGTTTTTGTATTTTTAGTAGAGATGGGGTTTCACCACTTGGCCAGGATGGTCTCGATCTCTTGACCTCGTGATCCACCCTCCTCAGTCTCCCAAAGTGCTGGGATTACAGGCGTAAGCCACCGTGCCCTGCCCAGATGCCTCTATTTCTTAATGGACACAATGCAGATGAAAATAAGACCACCTTCTCAGGTTTTTAGGGAAGGGTAAATAGGAGAGTATATGTAGGCTACAAAATACTATTAAAATATTAGTTGCTCGCTTCAACAAAAGCACTCATTTGATGACTTCTTATTGTGAATTAGTGAAGACTTCTTGCTAGACTACGAGGTCCAGAAATAATCGTTCTTATTATTAACTGCAGAAGTAATTAACACATATTTAAATCTGTATTTTAGGGAATAAAAAATATGATTGTCATTTTTCTTCAACTTCCGTAGCTGTTTCTTTCCAGGCTTTTCAGAAAATAGTGACATAAGATCATCTTATATTTATATTTCAGTTGCTTTGCATGAAAATTTGTGGAACTCTCCCAGGTTTTCTGTGTTAAATGTCATCAACAATAAAGGTAATGCATGCCATTCCTTGCAATCTGGTATTGATGTCTTCCTTCTGTCCTGAATCCTTGTAAGAAATAAAAAAAAAAAAAAGATTTAAAAAATTGCCAAGAGGCACCAAGCGATCCATGAACTTTTAGGGAAGCTTTATGAAACAAGGTGTGGTGAATTTCAGTTATACAGGATGATTAAGTTGTAGAGATCTGCTGTACAACATGATACCTACAATGAACAATATTGTGCACTTCAAAATATGCTAAGACAATGGATCTTATGTTAAATTTTACCAACACACACACACACACACACACACACACCTGCACACAAAAGAACACAATATCATTTTGGAGGTGACATATATGTTTAGTACCTTGATTGTGTGATGACATCACAGGTATATGTGTATGTCCAAACTAATTAAATTGTATACAATAAATATGTGCAATTTTTGTATATCAATTGCATCTCAACAAAGCTTAAACAACAGCAAACCAAAATGTGTTCTGTTGGAATCAGTTTGCACTGGCTTGTGAGAGCCAATTGTTACATTTTTATGAATTTTATGAGCCTAATATTAAGCACAACTATTATTAAAAGCTAAATGATATAAACTTACAATTAAAAAATTAAATTTAAAACACAGGTTATTACTCAGAACATATCATTTTCTAATTACTGCACTCCATTTCATGATTATTAGTAATCTTGGAGTTGTTTACATTTGCTATGTCTGCCCAAAGGGAATAAACCTAATGGTGGGAGGCTGCATAGCTCCTTCCAAATGGGTGTGCAGTGATGTTACCTTAGTAGCTTGAAACAGGATGGAAACTGGCAAACACTACAAACCTGAGCTTTCCTGTTCTCTCCACTGGAGACCTGTGGTTAAACATTTACCCACAGATGACGGGGTCAACAAGCAGAAGTGGCTGCAAGTGGCCCTTCAAGGTGCTGTCAGGGTTGGTTTCTCATTCAGGATGGCCTGGAAAACAAACCAGCCACGTCCTGGAAGAACCCTTTTCCCAGTGTGGGGTGGGAGTGAGGCTGTACCAAACATAACTTTCCATGGGACCAGGTACTTCTCTCCAGCAGGTGGATGGCAACATCTCATGTGCTCCAAAGTCTCCAGAAGCTGGGCAGTTGGTGTTTCCAGACAAACACTGTAAGGGCTGGCTCCCCAAAACAGAGTACCTGGGGCAAGCCGCCTGTGTACTTCCCAGTGACAAGGCTATTTTCTCAGTTGGCTCAATAAAGAAGACAGAATAACATGTTGCAAGGCCCATGGGAATGCAAATCCCAGCTGTGGGCCCAGCAGGGCCATGGCCTAAGTATGCATCCTTCTGATGTAAGGGCAGAAACGGTGGGACCCAGGACTTTCCTTTCCTTCTTGCTTCTCCTGCTTTCTCTTTTCCTTAACAAATACAAGAGCCATACCATGTAATACTGTGCTATGTGCCCTGAATTGTGGTATAGGTGAGATGAGACACAAGACCAGCAACAGAAAGAAAAAAAAAACAAAAACAAACGCTTACAAATCTGAAAGCTATGTTAACAAGACCTAGCCATCCACATAGCATCTATTTCATTTTTTGTATCGCATCCTGAGAATTTCTTGCTTATGACATTCAAAAATTTGTTTTTACCTCATATTATTATTAAAAGATGGTTTGCAAAAATACATACATTACATCATGTTGGAATAAATTAAAAATAATTGGGGAATTTGGACAAAGGGAATATGTATAATAGAAGTAGAGGAATTCCAGAATATACAGATGCTAATTATGATATCATAGATCCTTGCAAGAGGTAGACAACAAGTTTTCTCTAGCAGCCATCATGAAGAAGAAAACACAACCATTATATTCACAGGGCCCTTAAGGCACCCACAAACAGACTGTTTAGGAAAAGTACAACTATTTCTGATTCTGCGACAATAGGACCATTTTTGATGTAGTGATTGACGTCCTCAATGACATCCTACAGTTAATATAACATTTAATTTCATTGTGCTGTTTAGTATAATGGCTTGATGTAAGCTGATATTAATTTCCATTGTTATGCATTAATGAATTAACAAACAACTTAGCTAGATTTGGTTATAAGTGTTATCTCTGTCAAGTTTTCCTTTCCTTATCCAAATTCTGCCTGACCCTCTTTTTTGTGTTCCATTGTTGTTTTGTGTCCTCATTTGGTATTTGCTGCAATAATCACTTTCTTATGACATTTATTATTAATTGCAGAAAATTCATGGTCTTTTGGTCTACACAATGATTGATGTTTAGATTCAAATTAATGAAATTTATATCAATTGTATTAATAAGAAAACTTGATACAGCCAACATGTTTTACAAAATTTTTGACCCTAACAACTTATTACTTGGGAATGCCTTTTTAAAATCCAAGGAACTGGTCTTGTAGTCTGCCATCTCTTGCTCTTATTTCTGTGTACCTTAGACTCTCTGAGGAGTCAGAGAAGATATATTCTTTTTGGCATGAAGAATAGCATCTAAATCAGGTCCAACATCACAGGATTCACTTTGGGCAGAGTATGGCAATTACTGTATTAAGTCTATGTGTCAGGCACCTTGCCATATGCTTTCTATATGTTGTTTCATTTAACTCTCACAGCACTGAAGGTACATATTTATTATCTCCATTTTACAGATAAAGAAGCTGAGGTTCAGAGAGGATAAATGAACTACCTGATGTCGCCCAAGGAGGAGCACGTCAAGATTTTCACTAGGTTGTCTTTCATGCCAAAGTGTGTGCTTTGAACTCCAAGTTGCCATGGTGTCAAAGGAGGGAACATTTGGGCTTTCCTATCAGCTTGCCCACATGGGGCAGTGGGAGAAGAAGTGATGGTACTTGAAAGCTGTCAACAGTCAAACATCAAAAATGGAGTCAAACTCTATTACAAACTTGCAGACCAGAGATGTCTCTTCATCAGTGCTCAGCCCAGCTACCCTCTAGGTTGGTCTTTCTGAGGTGGCTGAAATTCATTAATAAAGTGGTGCTGAACCTCTATAGAAAATTGATTTCATATTTCTAGAAGAGTTTTAGGTTCACTGCATAATTGAATGAAAAGTACTGTACAAAGAGCTGCCATACACCCCAACATGCACAGCTCTCTGACTGTCAGCGTCCCCCACCGCAGTGGTACATTGGTTAAAACCGGTGAACCTACATTGACACATCATTATCATCCAGGGTTCCTAGTTTACATTAGGGGTCATTCTCGGTGCTGTACATTCCAGGGGTTTGCAAAAAGGCATCATGGTGATCCTGTGTGTTACTTTTTACCATTTCACACATTTGCTCAGGCAGAGTTCTTTTGCAGACTGATGAAATCTCTGTAGGTTCAGAATCCAGTTTCAAGACACTTATTGCTATCAGTTCCCTTAGGAATGATGGCTTCTGGGGATTGACTTCAGGCTAACAAGGCACATGGACTGATGTATAAACAAGTGCCAACATTAATATTCAGTGGGAATTTTCTTTTCTTGTCACTAGAAAACCTTATCTCATGTAGCCCTTCCCATTACCAAGCTTTCCTGGAATCCAGGTTGCTAACCAAGAAATTGTGAGGCAAACATGAATATATGAAATCATGGTAAAATAAACTGAGTAGGCTTGATGGATATTTCTTTTGAGTTATGGCAGAAATTAAAGAATTATGCCTGCTTTACCGGGGAGTATGTATCTCTAGTGACTTTTATTATCTAGATTCCAGGTCTCTGGGTAAACTCTAACAAACGGTTATTTTTCAACACTGTTTTCTAAACTTCATACAGATTGCCAGGTCATTTTGTTAGCATTTATGAGTAAAATGTGGTCTTCCAGGTTATTCAAAGTCAAAGCTAAGGTTATAGTGACTTAGTCCCCTGAAGAGAGTTAGAGACACACCAGTCTCCTGCACTACTCACTTCAAAGTGCCTGTTGTGAGTCACTTTTGGAGAAGGCTAATCACATCGTATGTTAATTAACTTCAGTTTTAGAGGATGACTTTTCTGATTTTGTTTCCAACTTTTGGGAGTGACTCTCAGTCTTTGGAGCTTATTCTACACTGATTATTTAGGATCCGAAATGAAGGTGTCAAATATATGAAATACAAAAAAATCCCTTGACAAAATGGAAGTCTTATATAAATACAGCTAATTATAAAGACATAAATTCCATGGTTTCCCTCAAAATCCCTCTTGTACCAACCCCACCCCTGTCCCCAGCTTAGGTTGTTTATGACACTTTGGCAAAGTGAATTTCACCCTGGCTCAACTTCCATTGTATACCTATGTTACCAGGACAGTTTTATTCTCTTGGGTTCCTAAAACCAGGATCTGCCAAATTAAGTGTCACTTTCCATTGAGTATGGAACGTGAGCTGCTACCTTCAAAAAGACACCATGAGAAGAAATTTTCCCAGATTTCTAAGTGACAAGGTTTTGGCTTATCAGTATTACATTAATAAATGCAATGTCTGAACAAAAGAATATAACTAAAACAAAACAATTTATGATGTTAATTTACAATCAACATTCCTTTAGTTACAAAAGAATGAAACTAAGACAAAACAATGTAACCAATGACTGTGGATTTGGCTCCAAACTTTAGTGGGTTTCTCTCAAGCTATTCTTTAATAATGATAAATAGCAATTGTAAAATTAAAAAAAAAGAGAGACCTTAAAACTCACCTTCATCTCCTAGTTAAATTTCAGTTTGATACTTTAAAACTCATGCTTGATTCATGTCTCAAGATTATAAATATTCAGATGTCTTATATATTTTTTTGTACATAGCTGTTTAATGCAACAAAAAACATCCATCCTGCTGGAAGTCTCTTTTCTTTTCTTTTTTCTTTCCTTCCTTCCTTCCTTCCTTCATTCCTTCCTTTCTCCCTCCCTCCTTCCCTCCCTCTCTCTCTTTCTTTTTTCTTTCTTTCTTTCTCTCTTTCTTTCTTTCTCTCTCTCTCCTTCATTCCTTTCTTCCTTTCCCTTCTTTCTTCTTCCTTTCTTTCTCTCTTTTTCCTTCCTTCCTTCCTTCCTTCCTTCCTCCCTCTGTCCCTCCCTCCCTCTTTTTTCTTTCTTTCTTTCTTTCTTTCTTTCTTTCTTTCTTTCTTTCTTTCCTTCTTTCTTTCTTTCTTTCTTCCTCCTTCCTTTCTTTCTTTTTCTTTTTCTTTCTTTCTCTCTTTCTCTCTCTCTCTTTCTTTCTTCCTCCCTCCCTCCCTCCCCCTCTTCCTTCCTTCCTCTTTCCCTTCCCTTCTCTCCCCTCCTTTCCCCTCTCCTTCCTTCCTTCCCTGCTTCCTCTTTCTTCTTTTTTTAAATACATCCTATTTCCTTCTAAATGGAAGTCTATTTTTTAAGAAAAATGATTTTGATTTTGAGCAATAAGACAGGACATTTGGAAAGCAGTTTACTGCATTTTCCAAGCACAATGGTACAGGCTTCCTTAAATATGTCCCTTTGGAAATTAATGGCAAAATTGATGTCTCTTTTTCCTAATCATTAAGCCAGACTGGTAGAGAAAAAAGGGCTCTGTGTTTGTATGCCTCTCCTCTTCTCCTTAAATGCAGGGTCAAATTGAAACTGTAAAAATGACAGTCAAGAAAGTAATTACACTCTGTTTCTTGTTCTTGCCAGAGGAGGGGTTGTAAGTAAACAAGCGTGAGCCCAGTACTTCCAAGCTATGAAAGGATTTCTCCAGTACATTTTTCCCTCTTTGTGCAGACATTAGCTAAGGTAAATCCCATTTCATTTAATAACTGCCTGCATTAAGGAGGCTTTTTGAAGGGACTAATTTACATAAAGTAAGCTGATTTGAATAACCAGTGTTGGTTTGAATATTAAAAACAAAATATGCACCTGCAATTTTGTAAAAGAATTTGACTTGATTGGCACTGCCTCAGGTGTTTCTTCCAATATCAGGGAGGTTAAAGTTTCCTTACTACTTTTGTGCGTCAGTGAAAAGAGCTAAAGAGAGATTTCCATACAAATAAATCCTTTGGCAACTAATTACTGGGCACTTTGCCTAAAAGTTTGTACTGCCTTAAATTACAGAAACATGAAATCAAAGATAGTAGAAAAAATTAATCCTTCTGAAACTAAAGACTTAGTGTTTACCTTTATAAAATCCTACACTATGGTTGCCAATATTTAGTTCCATAAAGATTAAAAACCAAGAATTTCTTTATATTTGGAGGTTAAATACTTCTTGTAATACCCAAATAATTTTTTTTTTTTTTTTTTGAGACGGAGTCTCACTCTATCGCCCAGGCTGGAGTGCAGTGGCGCGATCTCCGCTCACTCCAAGCTCCGCCTCCTAGGTTCACGCCATTCTCCTGCCTCAGCCTCCCAAGTAGCTAGGACTACAGGGGTGTGCCTGCATGCCCAGCTAATTTTTGTATTTTTAGTAGAGACGGGGTTTCACCATGTTGGCCAGGATTGTCTCGATCTCTTGACCTCATGATCCACCCACCTCGGCCTCACAAAGTGCTGGGATTATAGGCGTGAGTCACTGCGCTTGGTCATAAATCTTTATAGAAAGTTTTTCATTTGAATTTTGCAAAAGGGCCAATATATAATAACAATGTATAGATTATATTTCATTTCATAGCATTTAGGCAGAGGTTCTTGAACTTTCTCTAGCCTCAGTACCTTTGGTGTCTAGTAATTTTTTTACAGAGTCTCTAGGCAAAAGAAATGCCCAATGGATCTGTTTATTAAGTAGTTAGGCTCAAACAACTTAATAACTATTTATATCCTAATACATGAATGCTATTTTGAAAAATAATTTATATAAAGGCAGAGAAAACTCACGTGTCATTCTGAAATAACTGCAACTATTTACCAAAAGTATGTATACATCTATTGGTCACTGCGGAAGTTCTCAAACCTTGGAAACAGATGAACATTATTGCTCTCATTTCTTGTTCCACATTGATTTTCATTTGGTAATTTTTATCACTGTTGAAAATGTTTTAGAATGATATGATGTCATCATAAGGACTGTAAATCCATCTAATGCTGACACTGAACGATCTTGGAGCTAGTAGTTTGCGCGGTGTCCTAGAGATGTCACTGTGTTTCTCCTGAAAACTAAACATCCTGTGGCACCTTTGTAAATGTGCTGTGGCTCCCCTGGGGGACTTCGTGCAGTTTTAGAAGGTTTTATACATCCCTTTTACAGTTTATTAACTATCTAAAGGTAAATTCTTGTCAGTGTTTTCAGTTCTTGGTATTGTTGTTAGTCATTAACTGCGGAAGAAATATTAACTGTGTGAATACATTCAATAAACATCATTTTACAATGATTTCCATCTACTTCAAGAATAATGGTAACTCTTTTCAAGTGAAATATGTCTTGGAAACATTGATTTAGTTTAACTTTCCAGAAAAGCAGTACATAAGCATCCCTCAAATATATCAGAGGCCAGGATGAACCCAGTCGTAGATAGGAATAAATGCCCAAACAGAAGCAAAATGCTAGGAAACTTCATTTTCTAGAGTGTTTGTCTGACTCACTGGCACAGCATTCCTGTTTTCTGCTTTGTTTGGAATTCCCATCCTCTGTGAACCCAAGAAATGCAGGGCATGGGTTCAGAAGATTAGTGCTAAAATAAACATCTCATTGTGGAGAAGAGTTGAGAACATACAATGGGTTTGGCCTTCCCTGTATTGTTATATGCACTTAAGTTTCAGATTAATAGTCTATTATCTAGAGAAGAACAGAGTTGTGAAGACTCGATGAAGAAAGGGCAGGTAACATTTAGAGTGCAGAATGAATAGTCTTGGAAAGGGCAGAACTGAACCAAACATGAAATACGCATGAAGCAGCACGACAATAAGATTAAGATCTGGGTTGGGGGAGGATGGAAGAGATAAAGAAAAAGTGGGATCTGCAGATTAAGTATACCCATTCAACTGGAGAAAACTGGACTACTAAGGGGTCAGCTTATTTCCAGTTGCTTGCTGACCAATTATTGGTTACCCTTTAGATTTTTTACTCTTATGACTAATAGTGTACTAGACATCCCCTTACATCAATCTTCATGAACATCTCTGATACTTTCCACAGGACAAATTCTTAAAAGAATTTCTGAGTCATAGAATATAAGTATGTTAAGACTTTTGGGACACTTTTTTCAAAGCATTGCACAGAAAAGTAATAGCAACTGAAAGTCCACCATCAGTGTATGAGAATGAACACCGAAAATCACACTGTAATCATCTGGCAAGGTCCACCCAAGACAGTTATACGTGGACATAGCAATAACAGGAAGGATTTTGTCACTTCTTCAAAGGCCAGAAATTAAGAAATATTAGATTTACACTAAAAAGTAAAAACTAAATAAGGTTTACTAATGATGTCTATTTTTAAATACTTCTAAGCATCTGTGAATACCCCACGCAGTGAGATGTTGGCAGCAAGTTCTAGATACTCCTCAAGGGTGGGATACCAATCCAGAGTAGCTGAAGGAATGCTCTCTCTTTGATTTGGTCTGGATACTTTTAGCTGGCTTAAAGGAGTCTTTGAAAATGACTTCATAGAACTACCATCCACACATTTGCCAGGCCAGACCTGGGAATGATCCCAAAATACCACAATTTGCCCTTACCCAGATCCAGCTGCCAACTGCTTATCAATTTCTATCAATTGTTTTTCTTCAATATCTTTCAAACATACCCCAGTTCCAGTGCCCTAATTTACACCTTTGTCATTTCTTGTTTCTTCATGTTCTTGCTACCTTCCACCTTATTCTTTTCTAATCTATCACACTGACACTGGAGTGAGATTTCTAAAATGCGTATCAGGTCATGTCATGTTCCTGTTCATAATTTTAAATAGATTCCTCTCACCTACAGAATAGAACCTATGCCTATGTTCAGTCTTATGTTGTCCTTTGAGCCATGGAGCCCTCTGCCATGTCACACAACTTCTATCACAGAGCACACCCTTATACTGGTCATGATTTTCATCCTTAAAACCATGGTTTTACCTTTGCCCATCTGAGGCACCATATTCGGTCTCAGTCTTATCCCTTACGCTTTGATTTATGATTTATGATTTATCATCATAGCCACAGCCTCTCTTTAACCTTCCCACATTATTCTCAGCACTGCCTCTATGGCTTTGATTTCTTTTGCCCTACTCTAACTATTATTGAGAATCTCCCTTTGTCCTTGTT
Organism: Homo sapiens; assembly: GCF_000001405.40. Lineage (NCBI taxonomy): Eukaryota > Metazoa > Chordata > Mammalia > Primates > Hominidae > Homo > Homo sapiens. Next base: position 108,645,496 of record NC_000007.14, read on the forward strand.
GCCATAAACTACCATGGAAAAAGATATCAAGAATTCTACTAGAATCAGGGCATCTGTTCAGAGTGAAACTACAAGTAATGCTGATTTGATACCTGTCTGGTGCTTTAAAATTCACCTTCACTATAGGCACAGCTGGCCCAAAGCATGGGTGCCGAGACCAGCTCGGTTGGGGAGACCCTAACCCAGTGGCGCTAAAGGAATTAAAGACACACACACAGAAATATAGAGGTGTGAAGTGGGAAATCAGGGGTCTCACAGCCTTCAGAGCTGAGAGTCCCAAACAGAGATTTACCCACGTATTTATTAACAGCAAGCCAGTCATTAGCATTGTTTCTATAGATCTTAAATTAACTAAAAGTATCCCTTATGGGAAATGAATTAAAGGAATAGGTTGGGCTTGTTAACTGCAGCAGGAGCATGTCCTTAAGGCACAGATCTCTCATGCTATTGTTTGTGGCTTAAGAATGCCTTTAAGCAGTTTTTCGCCCTGGGCTGGCCAGGTGTTCCTTGCCCTCATTCTGGTAAACCCACAACCTTCCAGCGTGGGTGTTATGGCCATCATGAACATGTCACAGTGCTGCAGAGATTTTGTTTATGGCCAGTTTTGGGGCCAGTTCATGGCCATATTTTGGGGGGTTTGTTCCCAGCACATGGGGACAGGCTAAACTTGTCCGAAGGGGCTCAGTTTCCTGAGTGTCAGGACTGAGGTTCTGTAGAACCAGAGCCAAGGCCAACCATGGTTCTTAGAGGCAAAACTCAATATATAAATCTTTTGTCTCATTTGCAGACTTTCCCTAGAAAGGTATCATAGGAGTGCTGTAGAGACAATTAAGTTTTTAGTAACAGAATGGTTTAGAAAGAATATTTTTAATTTGTTAAATTATTTTCAGTTGAAAAATGGTTTAGAATTTGAAAAAGCAGGAAAGCATTATTTCCTGCCTGATAGCTTAGTCTATTAATAAATAAACAATGTTTTAGGTAAGCTGGCTATCCTAATTTTAATGTTTTCATGCAAAAATGCAATTGGTTAATGAAAGGAAGCAAAAATATTGTTCATATAAATAACATTTATCTTATTAAAATACTTCTTAATGTTTGTAGTTACAGAAAATATCCAGAATAAATGCATTTTAAGCATTTAAGCAACAGTAATTGACATTACTGTTATTTACCTTAATATAATATAACTAAAATATTTATAATTTACCTGTTGAGTCAGAAGGGCTTTACAGCCAGTTATTTTATAAGAACTTAGTTTTGATTAGCTTTTGGATGAAAATAATAAGAATTCAATTTTTTTATGTACACAGAATATGAATTTAATATTGAAACAGAGTGGTGCTGTAAAATGCATAAAGTAGGCCTTGAAAAACCAAACTTGTGGCTGGGTGTGGTGGCTGATGCCTGTAAACCCAGCACTTTGGGAGGCTGAGGCAGGCAGCTCACCTGAGGTCAGGAGTTCGAGACCAGTGTGGTCAACATGGTGAAACCCCGTCTCTACTGTAAAAATACAAAAGTTAGCCAGGCGTGGTGGCGGGCTTCTGTAACCCCAGCTACTCAGGAGGCTGAAGCAGAAGAATCACTTGAACCCAGGAGGCAGAGGTTGCAGTGAGCCGAGATCACTCCATTGCACTCCAGCCTGGGTGACAGAGCGAGACTCTGTCTCAAAAAAAAGAAAAAAAGGAAAAGAAAATCAAACTTGTGTTTATATCTTTGTTATAATTTTAAAACGTAATATATAACACTTTAGGGTTGGAAGGGCTTTTATTGGTATTCAGTCATGCAGCTTATAATGTGTGGATGAGGATGACTTAATTAAGAAAGTATCTGGAGCCCCAAATAGGGTCATAGGTCTATTTTGTGAGGGAGGCATGGTAAGCCAGAAAGGGGTTACTGAATGGAGACAGAAGGTCACATAGATATAAATCCCAAACAAGCCACACTAAAGAGATGCTTTTCCAAATTTATGTGAATGTACCATCTCCATTTTCACTGAGTATCAGATAAATATTCACCAGATTAACAATTAATAAAACACTGAAGAGTAAGAGATTGGAGGGTACAAGAGTCAATGCTAAATGGAAAAAAAAAGAGAAAATATTTATGTTTAGGTGAACATTGATTATCAAACATGCTGTGAACTTTTTCCAGATCAAAATAATTGCCTTTCAGTAAGAAAAGCTTTCACTGACACCCTATCTTGAGTAATAACAGATACATTATAAAACTCATCTAACTGATTAGCAGTTTTTGGCTTTTAGGGTTTTTTTTAATAAGATAAAAAGACTGAAGTGGAGTAGAAGGGAGACCATCTGTTTCAGTGTTGAATTTTAATTTTCTATTATTAATATAACAATTAGCGATTGATAGTTATTACAGATAAAAGCTGTGTTCATAAATATTTAAAACAAGACAAGTGGGTGGTTGGGTTGGGTGACTTGGAGGAGATTTGGATCGATGCAACCAGAATTTAGTGGTTATATGGTTTGTGTTCTTCGTTAAATTCTAGAATGGCACAGGGATCTAGAACAGCATTAAATTAATTTCTTTTTTCACTCTCGTTTTGTGCAATTTCCCACATTATACCCTTTGCTATAATATGTGCCATGTTCAATTAAGGTGTGCTAGTATGTTGAAGTATTTTTCAACAACTCTGTTGAAATCTCATGAATGAGGTCAGCTCACAGGGTCAAACTAATACATGCTAAATGCTTGTATGTAATTTTTTAGCTTGAGATAGGCTGTGAGGCGTTTATTTGACGAACTCCTAAGAATAATTGGTTCTCCAACAACCTTGACAGAATAGGCTTTTTGAGAGTAAAATACGTCCTCTTTCATTTCTTTCCTGTAGCTCATTTTAAGTGGTATCTTATAACAATCTCAATTTTAAAGTTACTTCTATTCATCCAATGAAAGTAACTTGTTTCTTTTGATCCTTTTGGTTGCTGGGTCTTTAAATTGCTTAAAGCTATTCTCTCAAACTGTCACTGTTAATCATGCACATTTGTTTTGCCTTATGCTATTAGTAGGACGGAATTTTCTAACTTCTTTGCATGATCCTGTTATATTGATACACTTAACATCTGCCATAAATGATTTATTAAGATTTAGTGAAAATTATATTTAAACACATTTAAGATGCAAACTTTGTTGAAAGCATAAATGGTTTACTCACATTTCAGAACTTGCCAAACCTTTCTAATTATAATTAAGATATAATTTCATTTCATTATTATATTGGAGCCCCAAGCTGTCACAATGTATTTTTCCCTTTATGCAGCATTTTCCCTTTAAACACATTCATAAAACTTTCATTTTATCTAGGTGAGTACAGGCCTTTGGTTGCAATTTCTTTTTTAGGTCTGATGCATGTTTCAAAGTATGGAAGAGTTTGTGATTTTCAGAGTAATCTAAAAGCCCAGTCTAGAAATTTAACTTAACAGATGGAACACACACACACACACACACACACACACACACACACACACACGATGGAATTTGATGCTTTTTTTTTTTTAACAAAAAAATATTGCTCACACCAAAGGTTATTTTATTTAAATAGGTCAAATCACTTGGGTCACCGAAGCTAATGCAATAAGCCTGGACGTTTATGTAAAAGCGTTAGCTTAATGGATTAATATGCCTCCTCTGAATAAACAACCCTCTTGAGATTGTTTCAGCCTGTGAGTTCAATAAATTTACCACTCCTAAAACATTAGGCTTAAATAGCATTCTACTCTCCTGGGACTTTAGCCTCGCCGACTCAAAATCAAACTTTACAAGGGCTTCTAGTTACATTTCCTTTCCTATGCCACCTTTCCTTCCTTGCCTATGCTCTTACTCATTTTAGGAGACCTCGGGACTAAGGACACTCTCTTGTATCTGTGTATAGACGTGTAACAATTGAAACTCTATAATTAGTGACAGGAGTGTGCGGCAGTATCCCAAGGTAAAGAGCATCATTTAACTTTGGGTGATTCACTTCATCTCTTAGAGTTGAGTTACTTCATTCTTACGATAAGGATAGGCCCTATATTTTTGTGGGTAACAATGGTTAAAAGAAACATCTCCAGAGCTGCTAGGGGTAGATGGGTAATGAGGAAAGGCCTTTTCAGCTTAGGTGAAGCCAGTTGACCTGCCTTCAGTAAGTACTTAATAAATACTAACTAATATTATTATTACTAAAAAAAAAAAAACCTTATAATGATTTTTCATTTGCAAGGGTATTCAGAGCCCCAGTTGCTACAGCAAGGCAGAACACAGACAACACAGGAAGGATGTGCACATTAGGAAGAAATCTCCATTTCCGTTTTAGAAAATAAGTGTCACAGATTTGGTCTGCATACTTCTTTTTAAGGAGCACGTTGGAGCAAACATCCATAGACATCCTTCAATGAATGTTTGTTGCCCAAAACATATTTGAACAATCATTAATCAGAGACAGAATAATCTACAAGGAGTAATACAAACAAACAAACCACGGTTGCAATCTGGAGGTCCATGAGTGACGTTTGCCCTGCAATGTGTTTTGCTTGACTGCCAGGATGGTTTTAAAAAATGAATGTGAAGTACTTTAGGCAAGACAGTTATCCTTCAGTTTGTTATAGGCTCCACTAACTCCCTAATGCCTTGAAACTGTGAAGGTTTATATCTTTATATAGCTTTCTGGTCTTTGCAGCTGATTGAATTTATGTTCTCTGATAATCAGCTATTTGTATTAAGAGTCCTTTTATACCATCAGAGATGTATAAGCAAAGAGTGAGGCTGAGCCCTAACAGGAGGCTCTGTTAAGCCAGGTGGAAGTATCCTGACGAAATCCAAGAGAGACCCCTCCTTTAACTCTCTCTCGGTATTCCCATTCTTGAGGAGAAACTGGAACTTGCTGCCAGAATCTCACTGTGGAATATTCACAGATGCTTAGAAGTATATACAAATTAACATTATTAGTAAACCCTACTTCTTGTTTTTTAGTGCACATCTAATATTTCTCAGTGAATTAATTTTTGGCCCTTGAGGAGGTGGCAGAATCCCTCTTAGTCATTGCTATGTACAGATATAACTGTCCCAGGTGGACCTTGTCAGGCAATTACAGCACCATTTCTGTTGTCCATTCTCATACACTGATGGCAGACGTTCAATTGTTATGAATTTTCTGTGCAATGCTTTGGCAAACTGTATAAACACTCATAACATACTGGTGTTCTATGACTCAGCAATTCTTCTAGGAATGTGTCCTGTAGAAATTATCACAGATGTGCATAAAGATTTATGTATGAGGATCTCTAGCACCCTATTAGCTCTAAGAGTAAAAAATCAGAAACTATCTAAGTGTCCCAAATAAGTATATGTTAAATAAATTTCAGTATGGTAATCTGGAATTCCCTGCAGTCATTAAAAATCTTTACTGGAATATGTGGTAATGTAGAGAAGATGTTTACAATAAAGTGTTCTTTGAAAAAAGTACCTTATGAAATAGTACATAGGCTATGACCTTGCTTGGGTCTCTAAAAAGTAAATATAAAATCACAGAATAAGTTTAGAACTATGCCCTAAAATGTTAACAGTGGCTCTCTCGGTGATAGGGGTGTGGTTGATTTTAATTTTTCTGTGTGCTTTTCTGTGTTTTCTAAATTTTATTGTTGTATAATGAGAAAAATACTAAAAACAACTATTTTTAAGGGCATTCTCATGCTCCAATGGCTAACACTAGGCAAGCAGCACCCCTTAAAGTCTACTCAACAAGTCTGGTTTCTGGCTGTTTTCCCTGCCTAAGCCAGAGGACTTGAACGTCAGTTCTCTGGAGGGCCCTTTCAACTACATGGCCTAATTCTCTGATTTTAAGATAATCATGATTTGTAGATCTCTTGTCATCTCAAGCAACTTTTCAATTGTAGAGGAATTGGAAGCTTTTCACTGTCAGAGCTAATGGTCCATACCAGTAATGCCACCCTGTAGAATAATTATGCTTTTAAGAGGAAAATTCTCTGCTACCCTGTGATCGTTAACTATGGGATTGTTTTTTTCATTTCAAGAGGAGTGGCTCTAATTTAATGCTTCTGAATGATAGTGAAGGGAATGGATATTTGTTCTCAAAAGGGTCTTTTTAATAGGATCATTGCCTTGAAGCAATGTTCCCTTGGAAACTGCTTGATGTCTGTTTGTACATTTAGACATTTAGAAGTTGGGTGCATGTGTATGTCTGTGAATTCATATTGAAATGACTGAAGGTTAGTATAGAAAAGGGAAATGCATTTGTGTCCTAAAACCTCAAATTAAAAGTATCTGACCTTTTTTTTTTCAGAATAAGGATATAATGAAGAGAAGAAAAACATCCAATTATTGAAATTCTTTCAAATGTTTATGTGGTGGAAAAAATTTATATCTAACATATGTAAATCCTAATCATACTAGTTTTCAAGTTTTTTTCTTAGCCTCTATGCTATGGGTTATATGAAGACATTATTATATGTTACTGCAAAGTTGCTGGCTTGGTATGAGAGGCCTTGCATATTTGGTATTTTGGAGGCTTGGGAAGGTATTTGTCAACACCTAGTGCTTTGATGGAGATTATAAAATAAAAAAGATTAGATTCATTAGATGACATAATTTGCTTTAGAAATACACAACATTTTTTCATTTAGTGAATTCAGACCATATTCTATAGGCAATAAAGACACCTACCAAGTATTCAAGGCAACATCTAGCTCAGTGGTCCTGAATGGCCAGTGTGCATGTATGTCAGGAGATGTTCAAGGGGGCTTGAAAAGATAAGCAATTAATTGCTGAGCATTTTTAGACTGCTAAACCTTGCCCTGCCCAGAATTAGATGGAGGAGTACGCAGTCTTCGGTTATGTGAATTTTGAAAATTTCTTGGGCGTTTCTGCTTGAAAAGTAGTAACTTTATAAATTGATAAATGAAAATACCAGGCTCCAGAGATGTTCAGTGACAATACATAACATTACCAAACTAGTTTAGAAAACGGATTAGTTTCTCATTTATAAAATGAATTATTTTAATATAAAATTGCAAGGGAAGGGTAGGAAACAAACCTGAATATACCGAGCAGAAGTGCTTCTCAGCTTGCATTATGCTTTCCACCCTGACACAACCACCTCTTGTCACTGTTGATGGACTCAGTTGTCATGACTGCTACTGGCCCTGCTTTGTGTCTTATCCATCCATGTTTACCCTTTGGTACAGAAACAAGTGACATCTGAAAAAATAGCTCTGTCTCAAGGTGTAAACATGTTACTGCTGGAGGTTGTCTAGGTTCTTGGCATCTTGAACAAAGAATTGAACAAAATGCACAAACAAAGCAAGGAAAGAATGAAGCAACAAAAGCACAGATTTATTGAAAACAAAAGTATGCTCCATAGTGAGGGAGTTGGCCTGAGCAAGGGGTTCAAGAGCCTGGTTACAGAGTTGTCTGGGGTTTAAATATCCTCTAGAGGTTTCCCATTGGTTACTTGGCGTACACCCTATGTAAATGAAATAGTGGCCCACGTGCAGTCTGATTGGTTGTGGGAGGGGACCCATCAGAATCAGAGGTACTTTCAATTTTTCATCTGCCAGGCAGAAAATGGGGGCGCGGGCGCGGGTGCAGTTGTCAAGGGAGTCAACTCTCCTACTTTTGGTACTTTCGTTACTTGGATGCGGAAAGTTGGGGCTTTCCTTTTGATTTAGTTCTAGGAAGTCAGCATGAATCGGCCTTAGGTTCTCTGACTCCAGACTCTATTCTCTTGCCTCAAACATGTTGGAGGGGTTAAAGTGGGTGAATAAATGAGGAAGAGGAGACGAATGTGTATAGACTATTGCTTCAAGAAATTATCACTGAAGAAGGAAGAGTGAGGGTGGTAGTTGGGTAATAGAGAAAGGATGAAAGCCTTTTATGGGATATGGTAAAAAAAAAATTAATGGAGAAATGGTTGCAGAAATCTTTCTAGATGTTATTGATGCTATATCTAAAAATACTTTTAGGATTTTGCTGCGATAATGCTGCATAGCAAACACCCTCAAAGTCTAGTGGCTTTCAGCAGTAAGCATTTTTTTCTAACGGGGTTGGAGGTTAGATCTTACTTGCTGGACTCTGTTGGGCTTGCCTGGGCTTGGGTGCTGTCTGTGGGTTGGTTCAGCTTTGATCTACATGATTCTCATTCAGGGACCAGGGCCAATCCCAGGTATGCTCTTTTCAAGGAAGATGATGTAAGCACAAGTGTTTAAGCCAAACCACTGCAGCACATATAAAGCCTCTGCTTGCATAATGTCCCCTTACACAACCCACTGGCCAAAGAAAATCGCATGGCTTAGTTCAACATCAACGGGTCAGAGTACACCCCTCCTCCAGAATCAGGAGAGCAACCACGTATCTCTTGGTAATGAATTTCAGAGTTACACATGGCAAAATGATCCACTGCTCTTCATTGGCACCTCCCTATTAAACAGGGACTTAATATATTGACTCATAGTCAAGACTGGGTGCCCTTTAGGGTTCCCACTTAGTTCATGCTTACTTTGCTTACTTCATCGTAGCACCTATCCTTGCGCTATGCAATTAGGGTGTTCAGAGAGGCTTCACTGAGAGGGCGACATTTGAATAAATGTCCCAAAAGAGGCAAAGGAGAGAGCCATATAGATATCTGAGGAAGGATATTCTAGGCAGAGATAAAAGCAGATGCAAAGGCACTAGGAAAAAATGTACCTACCTATTGTGTTCAAGGATTAGCAGTAGACAAGTGTGGTGGGAATAGAATGAGGGGAAGAATAGTAGGAGATGAGGTCAGAGTGGTGAAGAGAATCAGTGGTAGACTGAGCAAAGGAGAGACATGCTCCAATCTAACTTTTAAAGGATTATTCTAGTTGTCATAGAGAATAGACCATAGGGGGTTGAGGGTGTAAACATGGAGGTTGGTTAGGAGACTGTGATTATACTCTTGACAAGAAATGTTGATGACTTGAATCACGGTGGTAATAACAGAGGTGATAAAAAGGGGCTAGATTCTAGATTTATTTTGAAGGCAGAGCCAATAGGATTGTATGGGTGCATGACAGAAAGAAAGTCAATGATGACTTCAAGGCTTTTGGAACAGCTGGAATGATGGAGCTGCCCATTGCAGATATGAGGAAGATTGCAGGATAAGCAGGTTTGGGGCTAAAATCAGTTTTGCTCATGATGTTTTGAGATTTTCATTGACCATCTAAGTGAAGACATTGAATAGGGAGCTGGTGTTGTAGACTATAATATTTGTTCACAGCTCTTTCTTTCCCCGTCCTCATCCTTGTCATGGCTTCCACTGGGTGCAGTATGTTTCTCTGTCTCATTGGTTCTGGGCTTGGCCACATTACTTGCTTTGGCCCATTAAATGTGAATGGAAGTGATAGTGTGCACACTTAGCTGAGGCATAGATACTATGGCAAAAATGTGGCAGCCCCTTTGAAGATTTTACTTTCTGCCATGAGAAAAGCATGCCCTTGAAGAGCAATTGGAACCAGAATGAGAGAGAGGTGAAGCAGACCTGAACTAAACCTGTAACCTGAGGTAGAAAGGCCTGGGCAAACCTGCAGATAAATGAGCAAAAATTAAGTATTTTTTAAAATCAGAAGCCACTGAACTTGTGAGTCGTTTGTTACAATGTTATTAAAACAGAAACATGATGAATGCTCTTAGATATTTGAGACTGGAGTTTATGGGAGAAGTCAATGCTAAAAATATAAATCTGGGAGTTGTCAGCTTGTAGATTGACAGATCACCAAGGAAATGAGTGAAGATAGAGGAGATCCCAAGAATGAGCCCTGGGACTCTCCACTGTGAAGTTGTCATAAAGGGGAGGAGGGGTTCGCAAAAAACAAAACAAAACAAAACACTTCCCCAAAAACCTGAAGAGTGGCCCATGGATAGGAGAAAAACTAGAAGAATGTGAGGTCCTGGAAAACAAGTGAAAAAAGTCTTTCGAGGAGGAGGGTGTGATCAGCTAAGTCAAATATTGCAGCTTTGTCATGTAGGTGAAAAACTGTGACCTAATTTAGCAACCTGGAGGTGACCTTGACAACAGTTTTGGTGAATTGATGATTGTGTGCTTAACAGAATGATTTAGTAGAGATTTTTTTAAAATTAGGAAAGAGTAAGAGGATAATTTTTGGAGCAATGTAATTTATTTGATGAGAGATTATGGGATCCAGTGCTCAAATAGAGGAGTTGGGTCTGGATGAAGCCATGGAAAAATCACCTGAAGTAACAGAGAGGAAGGTGCAATACTTGCAGCTGGGTAGATAGAGGTGGTGGCACTAGTTTCTAGAACTACTTTTTTCTAAGAGATGTAGGAAGGAAAGTAATTAACTGAGAGTGAAGATGAGGTGATGGAATTTTGAGGTGGAAGAAGAGATACAAAAGAATTTTCTAGGAGGAAGAGAATAAGTAGAGAAATACAGTTAATTCTCTGGGCAGCACTAAAAGTCTCTTTGAGATTAGTTATTATGATTTAAACATACAGCAAAACTCTTTTTCTCTATCTACTAGCTACCTTCAGCTTCATGGGTGCTAGGACAGAACTCGTGGGCAGTTGGATTTAACCATGATTATAGTTTTGCCAAGTTAGAAACACAAAGTAAGAGGATAAGAGAATTGAGGTTTTATGCAAAAGAGAGAAAATGGGCTATGGATTTAAAAATAGGTAAAAATGGAAGTAAATACATAAATAGGATGTGGGAAAAACTGATAGGTCCTAGTTGGGCTTGGGATAGTAGAGGGAAAGTGCTGGAAGGACAAGAGGTGGTGGTGGTGTGTCCAGAATTGGTGGGTTCTTGGTCTCACTGACTTCAAGAATAAAGCCGCGGACCCTCGCGGTGAGTGTTACGGTTCTTAAAGGTGGCGTGTCCGGAGTTTGTTCCTTCTGATGTTCGGATGTGTTCGGAGTTTCTTCCTTCTGGTGGGTTCGTGGTCTTGCTGGCTCAGGAGTGAAGCTGCAGACCTTCGCAGTGAGTGCTACAGCTCTTAAGGCAGCTCGTCTGGAGTTGTTCGTTCCTCCCGATGGGCTCGAGGTCTTGCTGGCTTCAGGAATGAAGCTGCAGACCTTCGTGGTGAGTGTTACAGCTCATAAAGGCAGTGTGGACCCAAAGAGTGAGCAGTAGCAAGATTTATTGCAAAGAGTGAAAGAACAAAGCTTCCACAGCGTGGAAGGGGACCCCAGCCGGTTGCCACTGCTGGCTCGGGCACCCTGCTTTTATTCTTTTATCTGGCCCCATCCACATCCTGCTGATTGGTAGAGCCTAGTGGTCTGTTTTGACAGGGTGCTGATTGGTGCGTTTACAATCCCTGAGCTAGACACAAAGATTCTCCAGGTCCCCACCAGAGTAGCTAGATACAGAGTGTCAATTGGTGCATTCACAAACCCTGAGCTAGACACGGGGTGCTGATTGGTGTGTTTACAAACCTTGAGCTAGATACAGAGTGCCGATTGGTGTATTTACAATCCCTGAGCTAGACATAAAGGTTCTCCAAGGCCCTACCAGAGTAGCTAGATACAGAGTGTTGATTGGTGCATTCACAAACCCTGAGCTAGACACAGGGTGCTGATTGGTGAGTTTACAAACCTTGAGCTAGATACAGAGTGCCAATTGGTGTAATTACAATCCCTTAGCTAGACATAAAGGTTCTCCACGTCCCCACCAGACTCAGGAGCCCAGCTGGCTTCACCCAGTGGATGCTGCACTGGGGCTGCAGGTGGAGCTGCCTGCCAGTCCTGCGCCAGTCCCGTGCCGTGTGCCTGCAATCCTCAGCCCTTGGGTGGTCAATGGGACTGGGCACCATGGAGCAGGGGGCGGAGCTCGTCGGGGAGGCTCAGGCGGCACAGGAGCCCACGGAGTGGGGGAGGATCAGGCTTGGCGGGCTGCAGGTCCCGAGCCCTGCCCCGCGGGAAGGCAGCTAAGGCCCGGCGAGAAATTAAGCACAGCAGCTGCTGGCCCAGGTGCTAAGCCCCTCATTGCCCGGGGCTGGTGGGGGCCCGCCGGCCGCTCCGAGTGCGGGGTCCGCCGAGCCCACGCCCACCCGGAACTCGCGCTGGCCCGCAAGCACCACGCGCAGCCCGGTTCCCGCCTGCACCTCTCCCTCCACACCTCCTCCCAAGCTGAGGGAGCCGGCTCCGACCTTGGCCAGCTCAGGAAGGGGCTCCCACAGTGCAGCGGCGGGCTGAAGGGCTCCTCAAGTGCCGTCAAAGTGGGAGCCCAGGCAGAGGAGGCGCCGAGAGCGAGCAAGGGCTGTGAGGACTGCCAGCACGCTGTCACCTCTCAGTGGGAGAGTGGAATGCTTGATATGGAGCCTATAGAGGAATCGCTGTTGTAGGTGGCTAGGTTAGGTGGAAGACAAGAACATTAGAGGAGATAAGTTCAGGTGTATTGAAAGGATCATCCAGCCGGATATTTAAGTCACCAAAAATGATGGTAAGTAGAGTGCTGGAAATGCAGTGAATAAGGAACTCAGTTCTTCAGGGAGTGAGGGAAAGGACCCAGGTGTGTAGATAATTACAACAAGGGAGGGCAGTGGGTTGACGGTCTGATGAGATAAATGGAAACTGTATCTTGTCAGGAGATTCAGGTCAAGTTGAGGACATTAAAGATACAGGGCATCTTGCTGATGATCGAGTATGGATTTCATAGAGCACATTGAAATTGTTTCAGGTGTTGGGATGCGTGGGCGATGAGTTCATAAATGGGAAAGTAGGCAGCTATCTAATAAGAGGATGAAGGCATAAGGGGTGGGAGAGGAAGTGAGGAGAGTGAGAAGCTGAGCTTCTTGAGGTGATCAATAAGTCAGGAATTAAGAGATAAGTCTGTTCAAATTTTATAGTAGATACAAAGGTAGTGAGAGTTGGTGTAGTGAACAAGAAAAGTGGGGTTTTATCTGTAGCATATGTAGTTTGGAAACCTTCCTCGTCTTGTCAAGGATAGTGTGGAAAAGGCAGAAGAGTGGTATTAGCTGATGCTTGAAGAACCCAGGGCACGGAATTAGGACGCCGTGGTGTGAGTGTTTGAGGTAATATGTAATGTTAGAGTCACCTGGCATAAGCAATTAATCAGGGTTCTTTGTTTCTGGGTACTTCAGGTTCAGAACACAGTGCTATTCTTCCCTAATCATAATGACTTTTTCCTGATTATGTCATAAAAGCCACGGTTCAGTAGCCAATTGTTTGACAATTAAGTTAAAAGCAAAAAACAAACAAAAATCATGTATTGATAGCATGTATATAAGACCTAGAGTTACAGGAGTACTTTATCTTATCTAATTATCAATCAATTTCTTTATTGTGTGGAGGTGTGGAGGGAGGCACTGTCTCTTACCTCAAATAAATTTAATAGAGGATTAAAAAAGTGCCCAAACTATTTAATGTGAGAGGAAGAAATCAGGCCATCTACCCTTTTCCTTCTGCTCTGACCATGATGCAGCCATGGGTCAATTTCATGAATTAGCAGAGGAGGAAGATGTCATCCGGTGAGTTGTCCATTCTTACTTTTAAGGGACTCTATGTGAAGTTTTTCACAAGATTCTACAGAATCATACCCTTGAAGAAGATTAATTTCGCATACCTCTTGGTGCAAAGATCCTCTTTTCCCCAAATGGAAGGCTAGAAAAGATTGATGAGGTCATTTTGGCTGATTCATAATAAAATTTTCCTTTATTTGCATAGCAATTGAGGCATTAATGTACTTTATTTTTATAAGGTACATTTTCAAAGCTACTTCACTTACAATGGTTAATTTTATGATAGAATTTAAACTTTTTTCCCACTTTAATTTATGGTGTTAAAGTGTTACATCTGAGTACTTTGCTTAATTGGCTTCCAGAGAGTGACTGACGGGCATGGCTTACATTAATCAGCTCTGAATCTCCATAGCAAAATTTCTTTTACCCTCTATAATAATTTTATGCTTAGGGGCTGTCAGGAAATAGTATCTATCCCTTTGGGAATCCCACATTCTAGAGAAGTGAATGTGTGGAAAGATAATAAACCATGTAGCTCCCTGGCACTTGTGTTCCTCTAGGATAGAATTCTTGAATAATTAGATCGTGATAGGTTGAGAAGCACCACTGTTCTATATTTAAAAATGAAATACGTTTTAGTTCATCAACAGTATCCTCTATTTTGGAGTCTTGAGATAGAGGTTGTGAATACCTCATTCATTTGTTCCTTTGCCTTTCCTGAGAGAGACCACATCAGATTTTTATTTGTTCTAAACATCAAGTGGAGACAAATGACCACTAGACAGAGAATAAAACGACAAGGGATGTGTTTGAATAAGTATAAGTTGCTTTGTGTCATTTCATTTCTGAAGTAGGTTCTCTTAGGCAGTAAATTATGTCATAGCTTTATTTGAAATAAATTAGGTTCATTCACCTCTCATGATTCAAATTATCAGAGTATGGGATAAAAGAGAGCTGAGCAATATCAGAGGTGGAGGGAAAGGATCCAAAAGAGGAGAATGAACTCGAGAAAGTAAATGTGTCAATCTTGGGAAGGAATGACACCTTCTTTTCTGAAACGAGGGAAAGGTAGGCCTACACATTGCCACATTTTAAGGTTGAAGTACAAGGAGTCAGTAGTGTTTCTGTCTGATGGTGTTATCTCTACAAACACTCATGAAATTTAATTCCTATATTGAATTTTGGTGCATAGAGGAAAAAATGTTACTTTCCTAGTCACAGGACAGCAGCATACTTTACCCACTTCAATGGTCTTCTAGAATCCAGGTGTTTGGCACTATTTGTCACAGGTGGGGAAGTCCACCTGTGCAGCTGTCCTCATCTAAGTCCAACTTTCCCACCAGAACAACTGATTCACAGTTTTCAGCAGCTTATTTGGTCTCTTTTAGGTTGTAAATTTTTGTAGAAACCAGCTCTGCCTTTTCAAGTGCTCTGTGTCCATGCTCTTCATAATAGCCCAATAAATATTTGATGCATGGTCACAGTTTGTTAACGGTGATTTCATTCCCAGAAGAATGTAGGTGAATTGCCAGGGTATGTACTCTAGTACTTCAGTTAGTAGAAGGTTATGGTGGAGTAACCTATCTTTTATTAATGCTTACAGTTATGAAATGCAACCTAACGATTAAGCGGGGGTGGGGGTATAAATTGGAAAGGGCTCTCGGGTGGAAATATCCTAAAAATCCACAAGAGGGGGATATATTGCCATTGAAGCAGAGAAGGGAGCTAATGAGATCTCAATTCCTAATTTTTCAGAGCAGAATATTTGAGTGTATTTCTCCAGTTGAAAATGAGGAAAGGATAGGCTTTACAATTTTCTTTTGGGATGGGAGATTAGATTTAGAGATGCTCACTTATTTGCAGACTGCTGGAATATGCATGACATGTCAAGGTTTAGGATGCATCGACAGCCTCAATGAGCCTATCTAAAAGCTTAAAGGATTTTTGTTTGTTTGGTTTTGATCTGATTATGGTTCTTTCAAGGATGGGTTACAAAGCTACCTTTGCTGTATCTCCCCTTTTCATTTTCTTGGCAGTGGCAGTAGAGAGTTAGTGCTGCCCAAATTGAGTTTATAGTCCTTGCTGGGAAGTGGCCTCACTAGTTTCATTGCCTCCTTTGGGCAAGATGTGGCAGCAGAATACATCATTTTGGTTTTTCAGGAGCCTTTACCTACCAAAAGACAAGGTGGAACTGCAGGTAACTGTATACAAGAGGAACAGAGGGAAGCTTGATTCTAAATAGTGTCTATTTGTACCTTGAGATCCATATTAATTGCCTGACCTCCTCATGTTTATGTGGTCAATGGGGACAGAAACCCTTTATCATTCCATGAAAATTTTTGCAACATTGTTACTGGATCACTTGTAAATTTTATTTAGTTTCTTTTCAGAACACTTTCTTTTCTCCTCCTGTGTGTTAACAAATGGTATCAGCCAATGATATTTTCAATCTTTGGCATTCCTGACTCCTCCCTAATTCGTAAAGCTATTTCTTTCCTTAGTTTTCTCATTACCCTTTTTAGCTTCGCATTCTCAAGTTCTTCAAGCAATCCTTTCTTCCTCCCATGTCATTGCTGTCCAGGGTCACCTCTGTGGCCCTGCTGTCTTAGGAAGGATGTATTGTATAGAGATTAAAAGCATGGACTGGAGACATTTTGTCTGGTTTACAATCTCAGCTCCAGTACTGACTAGCTACTGTGTGACCTTGGGTCAGTTGCTTAAATTCTCTGTGCCTTAGTTTCATGATCTGCAAAATGGGAAGAGTGATAAAGGCCACCCTCATTGGATTTCTATGAGGAAAAGAAGAGTTAATATATGTAAAGGGCTTAGAATAGAGTCTGACACATGGGAAATACTCTTTCAAACTTGGCTATTAGCATCATTATTGTTGTTATTAACCTCTTCCACCATAGACTTTCTTTGCAGTAATTCATTTGCATCCAAAGTCTCCACTGTCCCCTGAACATCTTCTCTGAGCCTTAGGTACCTTTCCTGGGGCTTTCTAGACATAGCCACCTGGACTGCTCCAATGTACCTCAGACTTAATATGTTCAAAATTGAACTCGTCATCTCTCACCTTCTCCTTGCAAACCTGCTTTTTTTTTTTTTTTTTCCTATTCCTTCTTTCAGCCAATGGTACCATTTCTTGTCTAGAAGCCAAAGCCAGGAAATAGTGAGCTATCCTTGCCTTCAATCCTTCACCTCCAATTCATTTAGTTATCAAATCGTATTAATGTACATATTAAAACTTCTTCCACATGCAAGCCCTTAATTACCATGGAGGCCCCGAACCAATCTCCTTGCCCCTGATTGTACCTTGTTCTTTTTACTTTGGCCAGAATGATTTTTTTTTTTTTTACAAATGCAAATCTGATTCCATAATTCCTCAGATTAAAAATATTCCATATTTTTTATAGCTTTTAAGGTTATGTGGGGTTTGATGACGTGGACCCTACTTGCCTCACTGTGCCACCTATTGATTCTCTCTGCTGCACAAAAACTATTGTCCTGATGCAAACTTGGGAGCACAAAGGGGAAACCTATTGTTCATGCAGCAGAGAGAGAGAGAGTAGTATCTAAATTGCTGTGTCTAATACAGACACTAGCACATAGTGGGTACTAAATGTATATTCATATCTGTATGAATAAAGGCCTGGACTCTTTATGAATGGCGGTTCTTTCTTGCTCATAGACTTTAAAACAGTCCTCAATGTGTTGATTGGAATCAGCATGTTTCACAACATAATTAAAATGTAAGAAATGTTTCTAGCACATCAGTAAAATAGACACTTTCAAATAATGTCAGAGGAAATGCAAGATCAAACTTACAAATAGCCTTTTACGTAAACAACACTCAGAGGTGCATTTTCTCCTTAATGCATATACATAACTTCCATTAACGTTCTTTGCCTCAGTGTTTAGCTTTTATTTTTATGTCTGTTGTATAAATCTGAGTGTTGACACTTTAATGGAAATATCCTGGTTTGTGATGACATCATACCAAATGTAAAGTAGAGATAGTCAGATTGTTTGGAAAACTTTCCTCTGAGAATGTCTGTCTGTAATTCTGAAGAAAATTTGTTTTAATCCAGTGACATTCTGCTTCCCAAGGGAGCCTCACTAGTTCACAGGTCCTGTATGCTGCCTTCACTGCTTTAAATTATGGATGAATTCTTATGGATAGTCATAGGGAAATGACTTCACGTGGCCTAATCCCACTTAAAAGGCAAAGGGCTTAGGCTGGAGAGAAATCCTAGGAGTCATTATGCCTTCTGCAGAAAGGGGCTGAGGTGCCACAGGGATGGTGATGGGGAGGAACGGGTAATGGGAAAAGAACAGATGTGGCTCTTTTTTTTTTTTTTTGTTAGTGCAGTGTTTGGCACATAGTTGGTGTTCTAGAAACCACTCTGGTGAGGCTTTGTCCCATATCCTATAATTTTTATCTTTTTACAGTAAATTTAGGAGAAAATGAAAGGTTTCAATATACCAGGGTCTCTTGGGTTTCTTTATGTTGTTCTGGAATCCTGAAAAGATGGAAGTAGGCATAGATCTTTGATTCTTCTCACACCTCTCTGTTGGGCCACCCTGATGGGATGGAATCCTGCTTGTTATCAGTGGAACAGGAAGCCCAGCAGTCTCCCAGTTGTCATTAGCACAACTGACTGCCCTGAGGAATGATATGTGGCTTTGACCTTCATGCTGAATTGTCACCCCGACTTTTTATTCTTCTGTGTTGTTCACTGGATCAGACAGATGCTGAGGGTTTTAGTTCCAGGATAATACCTCTTCTCCAAACATGACCCACAGTGGATATTTCAAGGTTCATAGAATGTTGAGCTTCAATGGAGGCCATTGTCCTCCTATTAGGGAAGAGGAAATTGAGACTCACAGAACTGGAGTTACTTGCTCAAGACAGATTTAGTAACAGCAAGGACGGGAGCTCAGTTCCCAGAATTGAGTATGGGCCCTCCGTCCTTCGCTTCATTCAAAATTTCTCTCATTCTCTCTCTCCAATTCTTTCCATTCTTTTTCCCCCACTCTCTCTTCTTCCATTTTGTTTCTGCTATATGAGAACACTTTTACAATATAGAAGACACAGCAATCTTTATATCATGAAAGTCCTAACAATTGTCTCTTCAAAGACCACAATGTATTATTAAAGGGCATGAAAAGATAGACTTTATTTTTTGAAGATTTTATTCACTATTAACTTTCCCTAGATCAGAGAGATGAGTCTTGACAGTTTTGCTTTGAGACTGCTCAGTTAGTGATAGTAGGTCATTCTCTTTCTTGGCTCATTTTTGATAGCTGGACGCTTGTAAGGGCAACTCATTGTCTTGCTCTCAGCTCAGCCTGGTCATTAGTGTCATTTAATGTCACTTCACTCTGCTGAAAATCATACTCTAGCTGCAGTAATTATTTTTCTTTTTAATTTAAAAATATTTCAAGCATACAACTAAGAACAGGAGAAAGAGAAAAGATACCCACATTATCCACCATCCAGATTTAGTGCACATTAACATTTTGCCATAACTTCTTCAGATATTTTATCTTAAACGTTGCAAAATACATTAGAAGTTTCCTCAATCCTTCAGTCTCCTCAAGGATGAGCATTGTTTTAAAGTTAATGTATGCCCGTTTCTTTATATTATGTCTCCATAAAAAATGTGTTTTTAACAACTTACATATATAAAATCATTGTGTATGTATTCTTTTGCAGATTTCCTTTTTTTAAACTCAACATTAGTTTCTATAGATATATCTATACTTATATAGTAATTTATTTTTATTGATCTGTACATTATTCATTTGGACTGCCATGCATGATACCATTTAGTAAAAAATGCCATAATTTATCTTTTACTATTGATAGACATTGAAGTTGTATTCAGTTTTTTCTGATATTATAAACTACACTGCAGTGAACATCCTTGTATGCACTTTTTTAGTGCACTTATGTGGGAGCTACTCTAGGGCACCCATCTAAGAATAGAAATTTTGGTTCGTACGGTATGTTTAATTTTGCTACTACTTCTAGCGCTCTGCCTTCTAAGCACATGGTAGAATTATACTCTTCCAATCCCCTTGAAGTTAGGCGTAGCCATTTGATTTGTTTTGGGCAATGAAATATGAGCACAGCCTTCAGAGGCAGGGAGGAATTTACCACATTCCTTCTTTGCCTCTGCCTCAGTGAACTTTAACGATCCATACGATGACTTCATCAAATGGGGTCTCAGTGAGGATGAGATGGAGTAAAGTCTCCAGTTGACTTGCAATAAATATTAGGCATGAGCTATAAATAAATTATTGAGGTTTTATGTCAGGGGTTGGCAAACTATAGCCTACTGGCCAAATCTGGTCCATTACCTGTTTGTTTATATATCATTTAGGCAGAATTGAGTAGTTGAGACAGAAACCATGTAGCCTATAAAGTTGAAAATACCTACTATTTAGCCCTTTGATGAAAAACTTTGCTGACCGTTGTTTCAAACCGCTGAGATCCAGGGGACATTATGCAGTATAACATAACAAATCCTGACTAATATGCCCACCACCATATGGTATTGTCTGGCTGTAAGCTTTTGGCCAATCTGATAGATGTCTTAAAGTATCTTTTATCAGGGAAGCAAATCATTCTGTTTTTAAAACCATAGATACATCTTGTTGGCCCTTAGGGACCTAATGCCTCGTTCTTTATAAAGTTTTTTTGAACAGCTTTTTTTGAGGTATAATCGTATAGCATACAATTCTTTCTTTATAGGTATATAATTTCATATTTTTTAGTAAATTTAAAGAGCAATGCAACCATCACGGTATTCACTTTTAGAGCAAATCCCATCAATTTTAGAGCAATCTCCAAAAGTTCTTTCATCCTCACTTGCTGATAATCCTCATCCCCACCCTCAGCCCCAGGCAACCACTAATCTGCTTTCTGTTTCTATATATTCACCATTTCAATACATTTTATATAAGTGGAACCATACAATCTGTAGTTTTTCAAATCTGATTCATGGTTTTGAGCATGATGGTTTTGAGATTCATCAATGTTTTAGCACCAATCAGTTCCTTTTTATTGATGAATAGTATTTGATTATATGAATAATTCCACATTTTGTTTATCCATTCAGAAGTTGTTGAAAATTTGAATTGTTTCTACTTATTGGTTATTATGAATAATGCAGGTATAAATATTTGTATACATGCCTTTACAGAGGCATATGTTTTTATTTCTCTTGGATAAATTTCTAGAAGTGAAATTAATGAATTACATTTCCCTTTTTAAAGAAACTGCCACACTGTTTTCCCAAATAGCTGTTTCATTTAACATTCCCATTAGCAGTATATGAAGGTTTCATTTCTCCACATCCCCACCAACACTTAGTGTTGTCAGTCTTTTTGATTATAGCCATTCTAGTGGATCAACAGTGGCATCTCATTGTGGTTTTAATGATGACTTCTCTAACGACTAATGATATTGAGCAACTTTTCATTCATATATCTCATTTGTAAAATATATATTCAAATCTGCTCATTTTAATTTTGGGTTGTATTTTTATATTGAGTTGTTTTATATACTAGGTACAAATCCTTTACTGTATGTATAATTTGCAAATATTTTCTAGTCTTTGTTTTGGCTTTTCATTTTCTTATTTAAGTATTTTGATGCAAAATACTTTAATTTTTATTAAGTCCAGTTTATAAATTTTCTCTTTTGTAGATCATGATTTTGTTGCTGTTTTCTAAGAACTTTTTGTTTCTCATGAACCTAAGGTCGTGACAGTTTTCTTCTAAAAAACATATAGTTTTTCTTTTACGTTGAGGTCTTCTACATTTCGTGAGTCTTCTTTTTCTTCCCTTCTTCCCTCTCTTCTTCTTCTCTCTTCTCTACTTTCTTCTTCCTTTTCCCTTCTATCACCTCATGGCAGATAACATCAGTGCTGCATATGTTTCAATGAACACCTCTGTGTTCTGAGCCTGAATCACTTTCATTGTCACAAATATAAAAGTTAAATCAATTTTTGAGTTGATTTTGGTGTATAGTAAGCCTAGTGTCTCTTGTCTCATTCCTTTTGGGGTGACTAATGGTGGGAAGAATTATTAGAGATGAAAAACTGGTAGCTTGTTGAGTTTGGTGAAAAGAGAAGCCAGAGAACATATTTTTCATTAAGAACAACTTTTTAAATAGGAAAATGTGAAATTTTGAAAGTATGAAAATATCTTCCTTCTGTGAAAAACCCATTTTGAAACATTATCAATGTTTGCATTGTAAGCAAGTAATAATGAGAGCTACTTTTGCTCTTATGTGCATAAAGTTGTGGATATTTGAAAAGAAAAGAATTGGAGCTTATGAAACCTTATCTTTCCTTCTGGTTTTACAGACTTCAAGAGAGTTATGCAAGTCCAGAGAGACTTAAGTTTTCTTCAAAGATTTCAGGACGTAACTCAACTCAGCAAGGAACACTTTCATAATTCTTTCATAAAATGAGGGGAATGTGGATGTCTTTGAGTAGGACTAACACGGCTCTCTGTAGAGATTTAATTGTGCACACAGAGATAAGCCTTTTCTTCTTTCTAGCTGCAGCAACTTGGGAGCAGGGTGGGAAGTTACACTGCACTTATTTAGCTGCAGAATTATGCAGTTTTGTAGCAGTATTTCTAACCCAAGGGGACAGGCATCAGGGTTACAATAAAAGCAGCAACATCAAAGAATATCTTCATAATCTCTACCTATCAGTCAAATGTTGCATCTCCCATGGTCTGTATGTTGTGTCCCTCCTGGGAAGAGTCTCAGATGCTGTCCCTGTTGTTCATGCTATGGCTCTTGACTGTGTCCACTGCTGCTCGGCAAGCCAGGCCAGGCAGATTTCATTGTCAGATGTTATCTCCCAGGTTCCTCCACTCTCTGCCCACAGCATCTGTAGGCCTTGGAGTTAAATAGCCTTGGTTTGAATCTTGGCTTTGCTGGTGGCTCTGTGTCCATGAGCAAATCCTTTGCACTCTTTGATCCTCAGTTTCCTCACCTGTGTAAGTAAGAAAACAACATCTAACTTTTAGGATTGCTGTGTGAATTAAAGACAATATAAAGCACCTAACACAGTGCCTAACTCATCATAACACTTCTCAACATCTAAAAATGCCTTGCTGAGTATGCACTATAAATGGTAGCCATACAAAACTTGTTGTGATAGTAGTGCTGGTAGGTCTTCTCTTTCTCCACTTCTTCCCTCTCCTCTTCTTCTCTCTGCTCTCTTTTCTTCTTCTTTCTCCTTTCTATCACATCATGGCGGATGACATTAGTGCTGCAGGTGTTTCAATGAACACCTATGTGTTCTGAGCCAGAATCACTTTCATTGTCACAAAACTCCTCTCCTCTGTGGCTAGCCATCATTGTCATCCGTCCTTACCATCTCCCCTGTCAAACCAAATAGACTTGGTTTGAATCCTAAAGATGGGGCTATATGTGCCAGACCTAGCAATACCTTTCATTTCAGGGTAGTGTGAGCTGAAATGTTGCTAGTGTTGTACGGGGTAAGCCTTTTAGAGCAAAATGTGGGGGCAGGGGACCTTTTCTGCAGCCCAAGTTACTGAGCTGAAATGCAAAGCTTTGAGGGGCTGCTTGATCTGGGGAAACTCAGACACCTTTTCAAAATGGTCATCTGGCTGCAGTTTTCCCCTCTGCCTCTTTCACCCCCCTGAAGCTGGAGGGACATTTTTACATTCCTCCTTGACATGGGGTTGCAGTTCCTTCCCTACTTCTCCTCACACTTCATTCTGCAACTTGCATTCAGTGCATCAGTTAGTCTCGTGCTCCATTAAAAATGTATGCACTCTGATTCTTTTGACTTGTATTCTTTGCTATTGCCTACAAACCCTAACTCAAGCCACCATTCTCTCTTTTCTGGACAAGTCTTCTTATGCTGTTCCTGCTTCCACTTTTCAACCCCTGTAATGGATGCTACATTTTGAAGCCAGAGAGGTCTTAAAATATAAGTCAAATCATGCGTTATCCTACGTAAAACCCTCTAATTGCTTCTCTTAGCTCTTAGCACAAAATCCAAACACTTTATCATGCTTTTACAAAGTCCTATATATCCTAGCCCCACTAATGTTTCTGTCATTATCCACTAATTTCCTTTGCTGTGCTCCAGCCACACTGAATGTCTTTCTGTTTGTTAACCTAGTCAAATTAATATACTCAGCAGACTCTATATATCCTTTGCCATCTCCTTTGCCTAGAATCCTTTTATCCTATATTCCCCCCATGACTATCTTTTTAAAAAAATAAAAAAATTTTTTTGTGGATACTGTGATGGTTAATACTGAGGGTTAACTTGATTGGATTGAAGGATACAAAGTATTAATCCTGGGTGTGTCTGTTTGGGTGTTACCAAAAGAGATTAACATTTGAGTCAGTGGGCTGGGGAAGGCAGATCCACCCTTGATCTGGTGGGTACAATCTCATCAGCTTCCAGTGAATTAAAAGGAGGCAGAAAATTGTGAAAAAGGAGAGACAGGCCTAGCCTTCCAGCCTACATCCTTCTCCCATGCTGGATGCTTCCTGCCTTCAAACATCGGACTCCAAGTTCTTCAGTTTTGGCACTCAGAGTGGCTCTCCTTGTGCCTCAGCTTGTAGACAGCCTGTTGTGGGACCTTGTGATAATATAAGTTAATAAATTCTCTGTCCCTCTAAGAGAACCCTGACTAATACAGATTTTAGTACCAGGAGTGGTTCTAGAGAGACAGAATATTAAGGGTGGAGTTTTTTTTGTTTGTTTTGGGGCTTCTGGAGTTGTCTACTTAATATGATTCAACCCAAAATTGCTAAGGACTCTACTTCTAATAGTATGGAGAACACTGATAGTTCTTGGCATGAACTGTTTAGAGAGTTAGGCAAAATAAATGCATTTGATACTCCTGATTCACCACTCATGATAGGCAAGGAGTTTAGTGACTCTATACATAATACCTTTGACCATATGTGGAGAACCAAGGAACATAATGAAGCTGGTTGGTTTCTCCTAAGTTCAGTGGATAAAGTGATGACAGAAAATGATGAATTCAGGGATTCTATCTCCAGGCTTCAGAAGCAGATACTGAGTCTCAAATCTGCTAAGATTGCCCTGAGTGAGAGTCTTATCTCCTGTAGAGAAACAGCTGAAATTGAGGAAAAACAGACACAAGCTCTTATCATGGGAATGGCTGACCTGCAAGGAAAGATGCATGCCCAGCCTTGCCAGGTGTCTATTGTTAAAGTGAGGGCTTTGATTGGAAAAGAATGAGACCCTGAAACTTGGAATAAGGACATGTGGGAGGACCCTGATGAAGCTGGGGACACTGAGCTTGTAAGATCTGATGAACCTTTTTTGCCAGAAGGAGCAGCTTCCCCACCCCCAGTAGTGGCAACATCGCCTCCCCAACTCATGCTGTCATCAGCCTTTCCACCTTTGTCTGAGGAGATAAACCCTGCACTGCCTGAGGCAACAGTAATGGTCTCCCCTGAGGCAGTTTCCAGGCAAAATAATGTTGATTCTCCTCAGGAGCCACCCCCAATACCCCTGTTTGCTTTTAGACCTATAACTAAAGCACTGGTGGGTCCCTGGAGGTGAGCTTGAGAGTGTGACCCATGAGGAGGTGCACTACACTCGAAAAGAACTTTTTGAGTTCTCTAATTTATATAAACACCGATCTGGAGAACAGGCATGGGAATGGATATTAAGGTATGGGAATAATGGTGGAAGGGACATAGAATTGGATCAGGCTGAATTTATTGATTTGGGCCCACTGAGTAGGGACTCTGCTTTTAATGTTGTAGCTCAGGGAGTTAAAAAAGGTTCTAATACTTTATTTGCTTGGTTAGCTGAAATATGGATTAAAAGGTGCCCCACTGTGAGTGAGCTGGAAATGCCTGACCTCCCTTAGTTTAATGTAGAGGAATGGATCCAAAGGCTTAGAGAGGTTAGGATGGTGGAGTGGATTAGTCACTTTAAAACTACACATCCCAGCTGGGAAGGTCCAGAAGATATACCATTGACCAATGCCTTATGAAATAAATTTGTAAAGGCAACACCTGCATCTTTGAAGAGCCTTGTAATTGCTCTTCTCTGTATATGTCAGATCTAACAGTGGGAACTGCAGTCACTCAACTACAAAATTTAAATACGATGGGACTAATTAGATCCCAAGGTGGCAGGGGCCAAGTGGCAGCACTCAACCATCAAAGGCAAGGTGGACATAGCAACCATAATGGACAGCAGAAGCAAAGCTGCAATCAGAATAGTCTGACTTGTGTATACAGAGCCCTGGCATTGGCTAATTAATTGCAGTGTTCCTAGAAGTGATATTGACAGAAAACCTACCGCAATCCTACTTAATTATACAAATAGAAAACCCCTAGGTCAAATGGACAAGAGACTAATTTGAATGATAAAAACAGAATTGCTGGGCATGGTGGCTAATGCTTGTAATCCCAGCACTTTGGGAGGCTGAGACAGGTGGATCACCTGAGGTCAAGAGTTTGAGATCCGCCTGGCCAACATGGTGAAACCCTGTCTCTACTAACATATACAAAAAATTAGCCTGGTGTGGTCGTGGGTGCCTGTAATCCCAGCTACTCTGGACACTGAGGCAGGAGAATCGCTTGAACCAGGGAGGCGGAGGTTGCAGTGAGCTGAGATTGCACCATTGCACTCCAACTTGGGCAATAAGAGTGAAATTCCAGGGGCGCCTCTGCCCGGCCGCCCCTACTGGGAAGTGAGGAGCCCCTCTGCCTGGCCAGCCGCCCCGTCCGGGAGGGAGGTGGGGGGGTCAGCCCCCCGCCCGGCCAGCCGCCCCATCCGGGAGGTGAGGGGCGCCTCTGCCTGGCCGCCCCTACTGGGAAGTGAGGAGCCCCTCTGCCCGGCCACCACCCCAGCTGGGAGGTGTGCCCAACAGCTCATTGAGAACGGGCCACGATGACAATGGCGGCTTTGTGGAATAGAAAGGGGGGAAAGGTGGGGAAAAGATTGAGAAATCGGATGGTTGCCGTGTCTGTGTAGAAAGAAGTAGACATGGGAGACTTTTCATTTTGTTCTGTACTAAGAAAAATTCTTCTGCCTTGGGATCCTGTTGATCTGTGACCTTGCCCCCAACCCTGTGCTCTCTGAAACATGTGCTGTGTCCACTCAGAGTTAAATGGATTAAGGGCGGTGCAAGATGTGCTTTGTTAAACAGATGCTTGAAGGCAGCATGCTCATTAAGAGTCATCACCACTCCCTAATCTCAAGTACCCAGGGACACAAACGCTGCGGAAGGCCGCAGGGTCCTCTGCCTAGGAAAACCAGAGACCTTTGTTCACTTGTTTATCTGCTGACCTTCCCTCCACTATTGTCCTATGACCCTGCCAAATCCCCCTCTGTGAGAAACACCCAAGAATGATCAATTAAAAAAAAAAAAAAAAAAAAAAAAAAGAGTGAAATTCCATCTCAAAAAAAAAAAAAACAAAAAAAACAAAAAAACAACAACAGAGAATTATGGCCCCTTAATCAATTTCCAGACTTGAGCCAGTTTACAGACCCAGACCCCCTTGAATGAAGGGGCAGCTGAGTCCCATTGAAGAAGGACCCCATTACATTACCCACAATTTATGCAGTGAATCTTTCTTCCATCCTTCCCCAAGGAGACCTCTGGCCTTTTACCAGAGTAAGTGTGCACTGGGGAAAGGGAAATGATCAGACATTCTGGGGGCTACTGGACACTGGCTCTCAGATGACATTGATTCCAGGGGACCCAAAAAGTCATTGTGGTCCTCCAGTTAAAGTAGAGGCTTATGGAGGTCAAGTAATTAATGGAATTTTAGCTCAGATCCGACTTATAGTGGGTCCAGTGGGTCCCTGGACTCATCCTGTGGTCATTTCCCGATACCAGAATGCGTAATAGGCATAGACATACTTAGAAGCTGACAGAACCCCCATATTGGCTCCCTGACTGGTAGGGTGAGGGCTAGTATGGTGGGAAAGGCCAAATAGAAGCCATTAGGGTTACCTCTGCCTGGAAAATAGTAAATCAAAAACAATATCGCACCCCTGGAGGAATTGCAGAGATTAGTGCCACCATCAAGGACTTGAAAGATGCAGGGGTGGTGATTCCCACCACATCCCCTTTCAAATCTCCCATTTGGCCTGTGCAGAAAATGGATGGATCTTGAAGAATGACAGCATCTTATTGTAAGCTTAACCAAGTGGTGACTCCAAACGCAGCTGCTGTACCAGATGTGGTTTCATTGCTTGAGCAAATTGACACTGGTACCTGGTACATAGCTATTGACTTGGCAAATGCCTTTTTCTCCCTTCCTGTCCATAAGACCCACCAGAAGCAATTTGACTTCAACTGGCAAAGCCAGCAATATACCTTTACTGTCCTACCTCAGGGGTATTTCAACTCTCTGGCTTTGTGTCATAATCTTATTTGGAGAGAACTTCATTGCATTTTGCTTCCACCAAATATCAAACTGGTCCGTTACACTGATGATGTTATGCTAATTGGATCCAGTGTGCAAGCAGTAGCAAACACACTGGAGTTATTGGTGAGACATTTGTGTGCCAGAGGATGGGAAACAAATCTGACTAAAATTCAGGGATCTTCTACCTCAGTAAAATTTCTAGGGGTCCAGTGATGTGGGGCCTGTTGAGATATTCCTTCTAAGGTAAAGGATAAATTGCTGCATTAGGCCCCTCCTACAAGCAAGAAAGAGGCACAGTGCCTAGTGGGCATATTTGGATTTTGGAGGCAACACATTCCTCATTTGGGTGTGTTACTCCAGCCCATTTATCGAGTGACCCAAAAGACTGCCTGTTTTGAACGCAGTTTAGAAAAGGAGAAGGCTCTGCAACAGGTCCAGGCTGCTGTGCAAGCTGCTCTGCCACTTGGGCTGTGTGACTCAGCAGATCCAGTGGTGCTTGAGGTGTCAGTGGCAGACAGGATGTTGTTTGGAGTCTTTGGCAGGCCCCCATAGGTGAATCACAGTGGAGGCCCCTTGTATTTTAAAGCAAGGTCCTGCCATCTTCTGCAGAAAACTACTCTCCTTTTGAGAGACAGATCTTGGCCTGTTACTGGGCTTTGGTGGAAACCGAACATTTGACTATGGGTCATCAAGTCACCATGTGACCTGAACTGCCTATCATGAACTGGGTGCTTTCTGACCCATCTAGCATAAAGTGGATCATGCACAGCAGCATTTCATCATCAAATGGAAGTGGTATACATGTGATCAGGCTCGAGCAGGTCCTGAAGGCATAAGTAAGTTACATGAGGAAGTGGCTCAAATGCCCATGGTCTCCACTCCTGCCACCCTGCCTTCTGTTCCCCAGCCTGCATTGATGGTCTCATGGGGGAGTTCCCTATAATCAGCTGACAGAGGAAGAGAAGACTGGGGTCTGGTTCACATATGGTTCTGCACGATGTGCAGGCACCACTCGAAAGTGGACAGCTGCAGCACTATAGCCCCTTTCTAGGACATCCCTGAAGGACAGCAGTGAAGGGAAATCTTCCCAGCAGGCAGAACTTCGAGCAGTTTGCCTGGTTGTATACTTTGCATGGAAGCAGAAATGGCCAGATATGCAATTATATACTGATTCATGGGCTGTAGCCAATGTTTTGGCTGGATGGTCAGGGACTTGGAAGAAGCATGGTTGGAAAATTGGTGACAAAGAAATTTTGGGAAGAAGTATATGGATGGACCTCTCTGAGTGGTCAAAAACTGTGAAGATATTTGTAACCCATGTGAGTGCTCACCAGTGGGTGACCTCAGTGGAAGACGAGTTTAATAATCAAGTGGATAGGATGACCCATTCTGTGGACACTCCTCAGCCTCTTTCCCCAGCCATCCCTGTCATTGCCCAATGGACCCATGAACAAAATGGCCATGGCCATGGTGGCAGGCAGGGATGGAGGTTATGCATGGGCTCAGCAACATGGACATCCACTCACCAAGGCTGACCTGGCTATGGCCACTGCTAAGTGCCCAATTTGCCAGCAGCAGAGACCAACACTGAGCCCTTAATATGGCACCATTCCTTGGGGTGATCAGCCAGCTACCTGGTGGCAGGTTGATTATATTGGACCTTTTCCATCATGGAAAGGGCAGAGGTTTGTCCTCACTGTAACAGAGCACTTGCACTGGATATGGGTTTTCCTATCCTGCATGCAATGCTTCTGCCAAGACTACCATCCGTGGACTCACAGAATGCCTTATCCGCCATCATGATATTCCACACAGCATTGCATTTGACCAAGGCACTCACTTCATGGCTAAAGAAGTAGAGCAGTGGGCTCATGCTCATGGAATTTGCTGGTCTTACCGTGTTCCCCTATCATCCTGAAGCAGCTGCACTGATAGAACAGCAGAATGGCCTTTTGAAGTCGCAATTACAATGCCAACTAGGTGACAATACTTTGCAGGGCTGGGGCAAAGTTCTCCAGAAGGCCATATGTGCTCTGAATCAGCATCCAATATATGGTATTGTTTCTCCTATAGGCAGGATTCCTGGGTCCAGGAATCAAGGGGTGGAAGTGGAAATAGTACCACTCACCATCACCCCTAGTGATCCACTAGCAAAATTTGTGCTTCCTGTTCTCACGACATCATGTTCTGCTGGCCTAGAGGTCTTAGTTCCAGATGGAGGAACACTGCCACCAGGAGACACAACAATGATTCCATTAAACTGAAAGTTAAGATTGCCACCTGGATACTTTGACCTCCTCCTACCTTTAAGTCAACAGGCTAAGAAGGGAGTTACAGTGTTGGCTGGGGTGATTGACCCAGACTATCAAGATGAAATCAGTCTATCACTCCACATGGAGGTAAGGAAGAGTACACATGGAATTCAGGAGATCCATTAGGGCGTCTCTTAGTATTACCATGCCCCGTGATTAAGATCAATGGGAAACTACAACAGCCAATCCAGGCAGGACTACAAATGACCCAGACCCTTCAGGAATGAAGGTTTTGGTCACTCTGTCAGAAAAAAAGCCATGACTGCTGAGGTGCTTGCTGAAGGCAAAGGGAATACAGAATAGGTAGTAGAAGAAGGTAGTCATCAATACTAACTATAACCATGTGACCAGCTGCAGAAATGAGGACTCTGTCATGAGTATTTCTTCCTTCTTTTGTTAAAAACATGTTTGTGCATGTATACACCTGTACTAAGAAAATATCTTCATTTTATCTCCTTTTCCTTTATCATATGGCATAAGATTTATTGACTTCATATCAGCATTTAAGTATTGTTAATTTTATGTAATAGTATTTGGGTTGGGGATTGGTGTGTTTCCGGTTGTACAAAGGATAGTTGTATTATGTTTGGCATAATTATGACCTCATTACTGTCTTTATTTAAAGATTATGTATTATCTCAGGAGGTGTGTATGGGTTCAAGTTGACAAGGGGTGGACTTGTGATGGTTAATACTGAGTGTCAACTTGCTTGGATTGAGGGATACAAACTATTGGTCTTGGGTGTATCTGTGTGGGTGTTGCCAAAAGAGATTAACATTTGAGTCAGTGGGTTGAAAAAGGCAGATCCACCCTTAATCTGGTGGGCACAATCTAATCAGCTTCCAGCGAATATAAAGGAGGCAGAAAAACGTGAAAAAGGAGAGACGGGCCTAACCTGTCCGCCTGCATCTTTCTCCCATGCTGGATGCTACCTGCCCTCAAACATCGGACTCCAAGTTCTTCAGTTTTGAGACTCGGACTGGCTCTCCTTACTCCTCAAGCTTGCAGACAGCCTATTGTGGGACCTTGTGATCATGTAAGTTAATACTTAATAAACTGCTATATAGATAATATAATATATATAAATATATATATTTATGGGCTACATGAGATGTTTTGATATAGGCTTGTAATGTGCAATAATCACATCATGGAAAATTGGGTAACCATCTCCTTAAGCATTTATTCTTTGTGTTACAAACCATCCAATTATACTCTTTTTGTTATTTAAAAATGTACAATTAAATTATTATTGACTATAATCACCCTGGTTTTGCTATCAAATACTATATGTTATTCATCCTTTTTATTCTTTTGCATCCATTAACAATCCCCCCTCCCCACTCCACCCTTCCTAACCTCTGGCAACCATCCTTCTACTCTCTTTCCATGAGTTCAGTTGTTTAGATTTTTAGATCCCACAAGTGGGAACACGTGATGTTTCTTTCTGTGCCTGTTTTATTTCGCTTAACAC
Source organism: Homo sapiens (assembly GCF_000001405.40). Classification (NCBI taxonomy): domain Eukaryota; kingdom Metazoa; phylum Chordata; class Mammalia; order Primates; family Hominidae; genus Homo; species Homo sapiens. The sequence goes on from NC_000007.14 coordinate 108,677,192, forward strand.
AATGACCTCCAGTCTATCCATGTGGTTGCAAATGACAGGATCTCATTCTTTTCTATGGCTGAGTAGTACTCCATTGAGTATATGTACCACATTTTCTTTATCCATCATTGAGTATATGTACCATATTTTCTTTATCCATTCATCTGTTGTTGAACACTTAGGCTGCTTCCAAATCTTGGCTGTTGTGAACAGTGCTGCAACAAACATGGGAATACAGATATCTCTTCAATATACTGATTTCCTTTCTTTTGAGTATATACCCAGCAGTGGAATTGCTAGATTATATAGTATCTCAATTTTTAGTTTTTTGAGGAACTTCCAAACTGTTCTCCATAGTGGTTATACTAGTTTATATTTCCATCACAGTGTACAAGGATTCTCTTTTCTCCACATCCTTGCCAGCATTTGTTATTGCCTGTCTTTTGGATATAAGCCATTTTAACTGGGGTGAGATGATATCTCATTGTAGTTTTGATTTGTATGTCTCTGATCAGTGATGTTGTGTACCTTTTCATATGCCTGTCTGCCATTTGTATGTCTTCTTTTGAGAAATATCTATTTATATCTTTTGTCCATTTCTAAATTTGATTATTCATTTTTTTCTATAGAATTGTTGGACCTTTATATATATTCTGGTTATTAATCCTTTGTCAGATGAGTAGTTTACAAATATTTTCTCCCATTCTGTGAGTTGTCTCTTCACTTTGTTGATTACTATCTTTTTCATCACATTTAGATTAAGCCCAGATGTTATATCACCAGAGGCCTTTCCTGACTGTCCAATACAATGAGGTGCCTTCACTCCCCTGGTGGTTTACTTTGCACTCTCATGGTTTTAGTTATGCATTTATGTATGCAGTACTTTTTTTTGTTTGTTTGGTGTCTGCCTCCCCCAAGTAGTATACTAGCTCCAGGAGAAAAGAAACATTCTCTGATTTGGTCACTCCTTTATCCTTAGTGTATAGAACAGTGCCTAGCACACAAAAGACTCAATAAATATTTGTGCGACAACTGAACAGATAGTTCAACGTCCAGGGATAACTCCCACTTCCAAAAGCACTGCTGAGCACTTTCTACTGCTCAGATGATCCACTCCATGATTTCTGTTTCCTCTTCTGAGGAACGTTCCATCAGACTTCTTGCGGGGGAGCTCCTGGTGAGGAGTGGGTCTGGCCAGTTGCTCCTTCAGGATCTGCAGTAGGACAATTGTTCCTTCAGGATCCTGGGGTAAGATTCCAGCCTGGGGACTTCCTTTCCCTAGTCTGGGTTCCTCTAAATGGTGACTGGCTTTAGGAAAGTGTTGGTATCAAAAAGATAAGATTGCAGATCAAAACAAGCTATCAATCAATTTTATTTGTCAGGAAAGCGTAGCTGAAGCATGGAGTAAAATTGGGACTTAAAACTGTGGCTGGTGGGAAGCTGTGTTGAAGAGATCAATGATATAGGGTAGCCCAGTGAGAATAGTATGGGTGAATTTTAGAGTTGAAATATGGATTTTTGAGGCCATTTATTATGGAAGCACAGCAGGTATTTAATGTGGTTGAGCTAGGTTGGTTTAAAGAATTGTAATGCCAAAAGCTTGTCAAAGCATGAGGTTTGGGACCTGCCTCAGCCAGGTTTTTCATGTTCCTTCTACATCACACACACACACACACACACACACACACACACACACGAATCAATCAGCAAATAAATTATGCTGTGTGTGTATACATCTGTACATTATGTATGTAATTATGTATACACACACCATAATTTCTTTGTTCATTCATCAGTTTTCAGGCTCTTCGGTTATTTTCATATTTGGCTATTGTAAATAATGCTGCAAAGAACATGGGAGTGCAGATATCTCTTTGGGATACAATTTCATTGTCTTTGATATATGTTCAGAAGTGGGATTACATGTTTTCTCTAAAGTATCCTCCCATTTATTTGTCCTTAGAACAATGAAGAAATGTACTGTTTTGTAATCAGATTTTCAAGAGTGAGCCTTGGACACATTTTCAGACATGTTTAATCTTTTACACCAAACACTGCTTGTTTCTGAGAGGATATCTGTGCCTGTCATATACAGAATGTAATTGTTGAGATGATATACAGAGAAAATTGCCTTCAGAAAGTCTGTACACACACATCTGAGCTTGCTGAACTCTAACATATACACTAGAGCTCATTATTTTATGAAACAATACATAATAGATATTATTAATGATTCAAAATAATATTTAACTTGAAGAATAAGATTGCCACATACATTGTACCATAAAGAAAAGAAAATATATGCAAAAAGCCACCACCTCTCCTAAAGCATTAGAGTATTTGTGAGCTTTTCTCAACTCTGCCATATATAGGGAGTATAAATTCTGGTTGAATTCATTACTTGGCAAAGTGATTGTTTGCTCAAGGCAGCACTAGAGTCAAAAGTTTCCCTCAGTTTCACATCTAAAAGCATCACCCAGAAGTAACAACTCCAAAAGCTGCCTTCTCTGCACCAGGCTTTTCATTTGTGCCTCACAATAACCATGGTAGGTGCTATTATCCTTGTTTTACAGATGGAGAAATGGACAGAAGAAGTGATTTCTTGCAAATGTGGTTGAAGCTTTACAAATTAAGTCTTACTTTCTGAATTATGGTGGTACCTCTTACTTCAAATCAGAATCCCAGCAGGTTTTTAACTTCACCAATTTTCTCAGCAAGAAGGGAGCTAAAAAATGATGTGTCTGTAAAAGTATGAACAAGACCTGTTACCCTAGAGTTTTGCAGAAATGGAAAGATGCAAAAAAGTGATTCTTTTTTGTTCTTGACATGTTGGGAAGGTCTATAGACAATTTGGGGTGTGAAAGAAGTTAACTAAGAAGTGTGAATTTACCGTGCTGTTCTGGTCTTAGAAACATGCGTGTACTTCATTTTAACCTCTCTCTCTCTGTTTATCTCTATCTCTCTCTCTCGTATTTTATGACTTTGTTTTTCTGACTATGAATTCTTTGGTTGAAATTCTCCAGCATGACTATATCAGAATAATATTAGTTATAAAAAAGAAAGCAAAAAAAAAAAACACTCAGAAAAAAGACTAAAATAGAATTTCCTTAATTACTGTTAATGATCTAATAGAGATTTGTATTAATTCAGATGAAAATTCTTACAGGATTTGAAAATGTCCACTGAAAAGAAAGATTATTTTTAGAATGTAGAATGTATTCACTTAAGCCTCCTGAATTACTTAAATATTTGATGAAAATTGAAATATCTATTTTCCTTGAAGCGATAGCTCAAAAATATGTTTTAATAAATATATCTAATCATACCCTGCACAACTGATTTCTGTAAAAAATGTTGAATACATTTGAAAACTTTCTGAAACCATCAATATTTCTTATATTTACAAGTGTAGAGGAGAAATGGATGTTGGTTTCTTCCTTGGAATCAACCTAGGACATTAAGCACATTCGATTCATGTATACTGAGGAGATAGGATTAACGGGTGTTGGAAATTGGAAATAAGGAGATCAAGTTTAAGATTACATATCTTTGGTTTGAGGATCAAGTAGAGAAAAGATTGAAGGGGTGTTGCCATTAGTTTATGATGTGTTTGGTAGATGCCAAGTATTGGAGTAGGGAAGAGAACAAGCAGAACTTCTTGGGTATGAGTACTAATTGTGCCTGTTAAAGTGAGGTCCTCAATGGAAGAAATGCAAACCAAAGTGATCAAGGTCAGTGGTAACTCTTGAGTGGGCATCAGAGTTAATAGCGGAAAAGAGCATCCAACCAGAGAGTTGAATAGTCAGAATGATCTGAAGGTAAACTCAGTCTCTCAGCACGATTTTAACCTAGGCAGTAGGCTAAGGATAGAAGTTGGAACCTAGAGTATGAACTTATGAGTGTAGCTCCTCTGAATACATTTCTTAGTTGAGGTTTGGATGAATCCTGCTGTATTAGTTCATTTTCATACCACTATAAAGAACTGCTTGAGACTGGATAATTTATAATGAAAAGAAGTTTAATTGACTCACAGTTCCACATGGCTGGGGTAGTTTCAGGAAACTTACAATCATGGTGGAAGGTGAAGAGTAAGCAAGGCATGTCTTACATGGAGGCAGGAGAGTGAGAATGAGAGAGAGAGGAACTGCACCACACACAAACAGTCAGATCTTGTGAGAACTCACGCACTATCACGAGAATAGCATGGGAGAAACCACCTTCACGATACAATTACCTCCCACCAGGTTCCTCCCTTGACATGTGGGGATTACTATTCGAGATAAGATTTGGATAGAGACACAGAGCCAAATTGTGTTACATGCTAAACTTCCAGAGATGCTGTGAGTTGTAACTATGCTTGAATATAAAATGACAAAAAGTCAAGTGTCACCTACAAGTTAATTCTAATACAACATTAAGTGTATATGATGTCTAAATCTCTGTTTTCACTTAAAAAAAATGAACCAAGGCTTCAATTCCACCCAGTAGATGAGCTAAAATAACTAATTTACTTTTAAATTTCAGTGATTAGAAATTATATTTCCATCCTTTTTATATTTCAGAAGCAATACTCATAGATGCTATCTAGGTAAGTTATGATATTTTTTTCTTATTTGAATTTTTCAAAATCAAAGTATTGACTTCATCTTTTAACAGTAACTTTTTTTTTTGAAATGAAAAAGAGATTAATCATGAAATAGCATAAATAACTGTGATTCCGAAGCCAATCTGATCTGGAGTGTTGGGATAGCACTACAGTGAGAAGAATTCCTTTACAAATAATAGTTGGAAGAAGGAAAGAAGGGAGCCCTACTCACTATCCAACTGACTTTCTAAGAGGAAGCAAAGGCAAATAAATAAGCTCTTGTTGAGTTAAATAATATATATATGTGTGTATGTGTAATACTTGTATATATATATTCACACATAACATTCAAATGTCCAAATAATAATTGATAATGATTGTTTTATGCTCAAAATTTTGATAGAGAAAGAAGAAGGTATAAACAAATGAATACAGGTTGAATATCTCCAATCTGAAAATTCAAAATTCAAAATGCTCCAAAATCCAACCTTTCTGAGTGCTGACATGACACTCAAAGGAAATGGTCATTGGAGCATTTTGAACTGTAGATTTTCAGATTTGGACTGCTCAAGCAGTAAATATAATAAAGAAATCCAAAGTCCAAAAGATTTCTGGCCCCAAGCATTTTGGATAAAGGATACTCAACCTGTGCACAGTACATCATGTTTATTGTCCTTACCAGATCTGTACAAACTGACTTCTCATTACTGCTGAATATGTCCCCTCGGCTTCAATTCTCTGCCTTCTCATTCCCAATCCTCTCTTAGAGGTAGCAAAAACTCAGAATCTAAGTTTTCTTCAGATATCTGAGACTTAGAAAAATAAAATCAAAATATAATGATTAGAGATATTATATTTCCAGGTCCAAATCTGGAAGAATAAATCAAGCTTAATTGTAATATAATCTATGGCATTAACATTGGTAAAGGAAGGAGATACCAATGGAAGCAGGCAGTAGCATGAAAGCAGAGACAAACGAGGAGTAAGGGCACCATCTTAGAGAAAAATTGCTCTGAAATTGCTTGAGTATCTGGTCCATGAATCAGGAATGTGTATGTAGTGGAGGTGGAAGCCTCCTGCTCTCCATACTTGCTGTATTAGGTACTGAAACCATACAATTAGTTGCCCTTGTTCTGATTCTTTACACTACCTTCTGATTATAATTTGGCTTCCCATATAGCTTTGCCCCAGTGTCAATATGACATACAATCCACTGGACTGTTAGGTCAGTTATTACAAAGGCATGCTTTGGCATTCTGACTCATACCTTAATACTTTGTGAGTCCAATTATTGAGAAAATTTCTGAGAGGCTGATCATCTGTTAATTGATATTCTCAATGTGTATACTGAAGTCTGTGCTCTGAGCTGTTGGGCCCTCACTAAGTAAATGCCATTATAGAATGCTCTGGTTGAGATACAGGGTGGCTTGAGCTTTTGCCAACAGTATTTCCTTCTCAGCTCATCCCTCCTTTGAATGACGGTGCCTGATTTTACATTACCCATTCTCTTTTCTTGATGCACTTTCTTCTACTCATTCCAGTCCTGTCTGAGAGACAGTTTCACAGCTTGTATCAGTTAGAGCAGTGGTTCTCAACTTTGGCTGCATATTACAATTATCTGGGGAGTTAAGATAGTTCCAATGCCAAGCCCACAACTAAGACCAAATAAATCAGAACCTAAATAAATAGAACCCAAGGTAATTCTGATGTGTAGCCAAGATTGAGAATCACTGCTTTAAAAATTCTCTGTTAATTTATCCAGCTCACCTGAATTGTCTCTTTGCCAAATTCCTTTTGCATTCAATCTATTTTCACGTCTTTGTATTTTCTGTCTTTCTAAATTGAAAGTATACTCCATGTGCTTATGGGGGTATTTTGTCAATGAGTTTTTAAATATAATTTATTAAATTACCTCTGATATACATAAATATTTTAGATAAATAGTAGTTTACCAGTTTACCATACTTGTAAGGAGCCATTCTTCTCCTAGATTGCTTAAACATATTTCAACATTGGTAGGATATAATCCATATTGTTTACGATTTGGTAATCCTAATCTGTTATTTTTGGTAGAAGGTGTATTGGAGAATGTGGACCTATGTGTGTGTATGTTCATGAGTATGTGTGTGTGTGTGCATAAATATATACATAATTTGAATTTGCTGAAATTCCAAAGCAGCATATTAAATAGTAGAGAGAAAGTTGATTTAATTAACTCATGTTATTGGTAGCCATTTTTCATGAATTTATTTTTTCACTCAGGATGATCAGAGGCTTATGCTTTTATTAAAATTTATTAATGTGTATCATCAATGTGTATCTTTTATTTTTTATTATTTTTGAGACAGAGTTTCGCTTTTGTCACCCAGGCTGGAGTGCAGTGGCGCGATCTCGGCTCAGTGCAACCTCTGCCTCCCAGGTTCAAGCGATTCTCCTGCCTCAGCCTCTGGAGCAGCTGGGACTACAGGTGTGTGCCACCACGCATGACTAATTTTTGTATTTTTAGTAGAGACAGGGTTTCACCGTGTTGGCTGGGCTAGTCTCGAACTCCTGACCTCAGATGTTCTGCCCGCCTCCACCTCCCAAAGTGCTGGGATTATAGGTGTCAGCCATTGTGCCTGGCCAATGTGTATCTTTTAATTGCTAGAGTGATATCCTAGGTTAGCTAGGCTGGTGATTTTACTATATGATAGTAAGTTCTTATATCCCAAAATTGAAAGCCAAGATTATGACACTCTGAGTTCATAAGTGGACAAAATGAGACTGTAGCCTTTTAGTGAAAATAATTGTCTGCAGAATTTCAGCTGAGCTTAAATGAATTCAAATGATGACTTGGACCATAGGATTCCTGGTGTAAGAGAAAAAGTTTAACAAACCTTTGTTGAATCGTTTCTCACTTTTAATTTTTGCTCTGCATACAGAATTAAGCTTTTAGGGATATGACTGCAGAGATATTAAAAAAGCCTAATGAATAACCAAGGTGTTGAATGAGAAAATACAGCTCAACATAGTGTTTTCTTTCCCCCTTTCTTTTCCTTTATTTCCCCCTCCTTCACCATGATTCATGGTGAGTCATAGTTGTTTGGAAAACTACAGGATTAACTATTTATAGTTTGCATTATAGAGGCTGGATATATTTATCACTTTTCTGGGATGGAAGCCCTAATAAAATAATGAGTTAAGGCTGGGCACAATGGCTCATGCCTGTAACCCCAGCGCTTTTGGGGGCCGAGGCAGTTGAATCACAAGGTCAGGAGATCGAGACCATCCTGGCCAACATGGTAAAATCCCGTCTCTACTAAAAATACACAAAATTCGCTGGGCATGGTGGGCACCTGTAGTCCCAGCTACTTGGGAGGCTGAGGCAGGAGAATCGCTTGAACCCAGGAGGTGGAGCTTGCAGTTAGCTAAGATCCTCCCACTGCACTCCAGCCTGGCAACAAAGCGAGAGACTCCATCTCAAAAAAAAAAAAAAAAAAATCAGTTAAGACTTCTGAAAATTAGTTGGACTGGAAGATTATATTTATTCCTTCTAAAATTTTGTCAGGGGAGCTGGTACTGCCTCTATTTCAAATGTCTACTGTGAGCTACTTAGTTGCTGTAAAATAATATCAGAGCGTGTTTTTAAGGAAAACATCCTTTCAGAATGCAAGAGTTAAAAACTTTCAATTATTACATGTTACTGTGACAAATCCCTTTCACCTTTAGATATTTTGTAATGCTTCTGACTCACTAAAAAGTAGCTAAGCCGAGGCTTATCTCAGAAAGGACTCCATGTTACTCCTGAAAGAAGTAATTACATGTGAAACGCTTTTAAACTTAACAATTATGAATATTATCATTAGATGTCAGGCAGTACCTAGAACATCTGGATTCCTTTTATGATGGAATCTGTCATTTCATGCTAGAACTCAGAGCGTACCTTTTCTTAAAATCAGCTCGACTTAGGAGTCACTTCTTTGGCTCATTCCAAGAGAGGGCACCTTGAGGAACATTTTGTTCTTTCCCATTTGTATACCTCATGCAACAGCACTTTTGTTGATTAATTTAACAAATGGGAGTTAAAGAAGGATTATTAAAACAGCTAGCAAAAGTGCAGCCTCAGAAATTCTGGAAACCTACAGAAATGACTTTTAAATGCATTCTTTAATAATTTATATTCGACATTTTAGATTCTGAGCTGCTGAATGAGAAGGGAATTGGAATAGAGATAGTGTGTTGCCTAAGATTTTACTTAGCTAGGTAAAATAGATAATTAGAGTCAATTTGGGGGTTTTTATAGCAATGGGGGCCTGTAGGCGGGAGAGACATTGTATACTAATAGAAATTGCACTGTTATCCTGTTTAGGTGTTGAGGTCCTTTGATTTAAAGATACAAGTGTTTTTAAAATTATATTATTAGTCAAGATTATTTTTGTTGCAAGAAACAGACCCTTCTCAATTGTGTGGACCATAAGATAACTCTCTTCTAAGATTAGGAGTCAAAAGAGGTCTGGGTTTCACAGGTGTGGTGGTTCTGGATTCAAGGCCACCCTTGAATCTTAGTATCAGGAGCTCATGCATCTTTCCTCTTGTGTTGAACCATTCCTGAGACTCAGCTGCACCACAAATGCCTGCATCTTTCTGTCTCCTGCTCCAACCAACTGTGGGGCAGAGAGAACCAGTGGCCTACCATCCACACAGCAAGGGCTGTGGATAAAAGATGACTCCTTGGTAGTCTGGCTCAGATATTATCCCCAAAGACATTGTTACCACAAGTATTACTGGGAACCAAGGAGGAATGAATCTGGAGAGCTTCTATTGTCTTAGGAGGAGAAGATGTTATATTCAGGTTTGCTTGTATTAAACAGAGATAACTAGATATTCAGGTGAATATATCTAGAAGACATTTGGTTAATTGCATCTGAAGGTCAGGGCAGAGGGCAGGGCTGTGGAACTTGCTTTGTTTGCCATTAGCACATAGGTGAGAGTTCAAATCATTAGCTCAAATGATATAACCTGAGAAAAATACATACAGAGAAGAGCAATGTGCAGAAAAAGTGAGGAGAAAATAAAACCCTGTAGAACACCAGCATTCAAGAGACAGGCGGAGGAGAAGCAAAAATAGTCATGCAGTAGAGATAGCAGTAGAACAGTCAGAGTAGAGGTAAACCCAGGAGAGAATAATCCCATGGAAACCAATGATATACAATTTTAGAAAGAAGTGAGCCTCTAGCATTCCCAAGTAGAACAGAGGGGACCAACACTGTAAGAACAGACAATGAGCAGATTTGACATATGAAGATAGGTGGTGCCATTTGCAGAGCAATTTTTAGAGTTGAAGCAAGTGTGTGGTGGGTAGGTGGGAGGTGAAAACCAGCTTTTCATGGTTGGTGGAGAGTGGAAAATGGGAAGTGAGGATGTAGAATTAACTAGAGTAGAATATTCTTCCAAAGCAGCTGAACAAAGAAGGAAGTTAAGCACAGAGTTAAAGATAGGGCCTGGGCCAATGAAAGGGATATTCTTTCAGGATAGAAGAAATTTAAGTATATTTAATAGCTCAGGGTAAAAGACTGGAGGGTACAAGAAGACCAAAGGATTAAAAGTTATGGTATAAACAAAGCCAAGGGAAAGATGATGTGGAGGAAGATTCCACATTGATAGGTAGCTGCTGGCCTATTACAGTTAAACTGTGCTGGCTGCCAGAAGTAACTATGAAGTATCTATGTATGTAAGGTATAATGTTTAATTAATTTTTAAATTAATGTATTAAACCATTGACATATGTACTCAAGTCTTTCTGTCTCTGATCTCTTATTACAGGTGATATAATATATAGGCGATATATTCCTTTTCTTTTTCTTGGCTATTATGGTGTTTAGAAATAGCAGAAACAACTAAAATCCTTGAAAAATTCATTATAAACTATTTTTAACCTTTTAACCATTTTGATCTATTAATGACGTGCAAAACATAGTGTCATTGACTGATGTATGTTTTATTCTCCTTTCCTTTCCTTTCCTTTCCTACTTACTCCCATGAAAAATAATAGTTAGAAAAAAAAATTAACCAACACCACTCATATCTTCTAATGCCAATCAAGTGATGGAAGTGGCTTACTCAATGGGAAAATTAAAGTAAATTTTTATGATTAGGAGCTTTGTGCCATTTCAACAGTTGTAACTACTTCCTTATGGTACTGGTGATTCTAGACTTGCCTTTCAGATGCTAATGGAGCTTAGTCATACCAGGTCAGCAGGGCCAGAAATCAGAGATGGGGACTCAGAAAGACATAACATGGAACATTTTAATTTTACTTAAAAAATTTTTAATTCTTTTAGGTACACAATGTTACATATTTGTGTATGTGAGATGTTTTGATACTGGCATGTAATGTGAAATAAGCACATCATGGAGAATAGGGATTCATCCCTTCAAGCATTTATACTTTGAGTTACCAATAATTGAATTATACTCTTTAAGCTATTTTAAAATGTACAGTTAGTATTGACTATATTCATCCTGTTGTGCTATTAAATACTAGATCTTATTCATTCTTTCTATTTTTTATACTCATTAACCAACCCCACCTGCTCCCCAGCCCTCTACTACTCTTCCCAGCCTCTGATAACCATCTTTCTACTCTTTATGTCCGTTAAGTTCAATTGTTTTGATTTTTAGATCCTTCAAATAAGTGAGAAGATGTGATGTTTGTCTTTCTGTGCCTGGCTTATTTCACTTAACGTAATGATCTCCAGTCCATCCATGCTGTTGCAAATGATTGGATCTTATTCTTTTTTATGGCTGAATAGTACTCCATTGTGTATATGTACCACATTTTCATCATCCATTTATCTGCTGGTGGACACTTAGGTTGTTTCTAAATCTTAGCTATTGTAAACAGTGCTGCAACAAATATAAGAGGGCAGATATCACTTCAATATACTGATTTCTTTTGGGTGTATACCCAGCAGTGGCATTGTTGGATGATATGGTAGCTCAATTTTTAGATTTTTGAGGAACCTCCAGACTGTTCTCCATAGTGGTTGTACTAATTTACATTCACACCAACAATGTAGAAGTGTTCCCTTTTCTCCACATCATCACCAGCATTTGTTACTGCCTGTCTTTTGGATATAAGCCATTTTAACTGGGGTGAGATGATATCTCATTGTAGTTTTGATTTGCCTGTCTCTGATGATCAATGATGTTTGGCACCTTTTCATATGCCTGTTTGCCATTTCTATGTCTTCTTTTGAGAAATGTCTATTCAAATCATTTGCCCATCTTTTGATTGGATTGATTTTTTCCTATAGAGTTGTTTGAATTCCTTACATATTCTGATTAATAATCCCTTGTCAGGTGGATAGTTCACAAATATTTTCTAATTTTTCATTTTGCAAGTATTCTGTGCATTCTCTCCTCACTTTTTTGATTGTATCCTTTGCTGTGCAAAAGCTTTTTAACTTAATGTGATCCCATTTGTCCATTTCTGCTTTGGTTGCCTGTGCTTGTGGGGTATTGCTCAAGAAATTTTGCCCAGGCCTATGTCCTGGAGATTTTCCTCAATGTTTTCTTGTAGTAGTTTCATAGTTTTAGGTCTTAAATTTAAGTCTTTAATCCATTTCGATTTGATTTTTGTATATGGTGAGAGATAGCAGTCTAGTTTCATTCTTCTGCATATGGATTTCCAGTTTTCCCAGCACCATTTATTGAAGAAACTGTTTTTTCCCAGTGTTTGTTCTTGGCATCTTTGTAAAAAACGAGTTCACTGTAGATGTGTGGACATGTTTCTGGGTTCTGTATTCTGTTCTATTGGTCTATGTGTCTGTTTTTATGCCAGTACCATGCTGTTTTTGTTATTATAGCACTGTAGTATAATTCGAAGTTAGATAGTGTGATTCTTTCAGTTTTGTTCTTTTTGCTTAGAATAACTTTGGCTATTCTGGGTCTTTTGTGGTTCCATATAAATTTTAGATTTTTTTTTAATTTCTGTGAAAAACATCATCAGTATTTTGAGAGGCATTGCACTGAATCTGTGGATTTTTTGGTAGTATGGACATTTTAACAACTCTGGCTATAACTTCCAGTACTATGTTGAATAACGGTAGTGACAATGGGCATCCTTGTCCTCTTTCAGATCTTATAGGAAAGACTTATCAGTTTTTCCCCATCAGTATGATACTAGCTGTGGGTCTGTCATATATGGCTTTTATTATATGGAGGTATGTTTCTGCCATCTCCAGCTTTTTAAGGGTTTTTTTAAATCATGAAGGGATGTTTAATTTTATCAAATTATTTTTCAACATCAATTGAAATGATCATATGGTTTTTGTCCTTCATTCTGTTGATATGATGCATCACAATGATTGATTTGCATATGGTGAACTATCCTTGCATCCCAGGAATAAATCCCACTTGGTCATGATGAATGATTTTTCTAATGTATTGTTGAATTTGGTTTGCTAGTATTTTGTTGAGGATTTTTGCATCAATATTCATCAGAGTTATTGGCCTGTAGTTTTTTTTTTTGATATGTCTTTGGTTTTGATATCAGGGTAATATTGGTCTCATAGAATTAGTTTGGGAGTCTTCCCTCCTCTTCTTTTTTTTTGGAGTAGTTTGAGTAGAATTAGTATTAGTTCTTTAAATGTGTGGTCGAATTCTGCAGTGAAGCCATCAGGTCCCGGGTTTTCTTTACTGGAAGATTTTTTATTATGGCTTTAATCTGGTTATTTTTTGTTGGACTGTTCAGGTTTTGGATTTCTTCAATCTTGGTAGGTTGTATGTAACTAGGAATTTGTACATTTCCTCTAGATTTTGCAATTTATTGGCACATAGTTGCTCATAGTAGCCATTAATAATCTTCTGAATTTCTGCAGTATTAGTTGTAACATCTCATTTTCATCTCTGATTTTATTTATTTGGATCTTCCCTCATTTTTTTCTTAGTCTGGCTAAAGGTTTGTCAATTTTTTCTAACTTTTCAAAAAGTCAATCATTTGGTTCATTGATCTTTTGTATTTTTTTTTACTTCAATTTCATTTCTGCTATGATTATTATTTCTTCTACTAATTTTGGGTTTGGTTTGCTCTTGTTTTCCTAGTTCTTTAAGATGCATCATTAGATTGTTTATTTGAAGTTTTTCCTCTTTTCTGATGTAGGCATTTATAGCTATAAACTTCCTTCTGAGTACTGCTTTTGTTGTATCTCATAGGTTTTGGTATATTGTGTTTCCATTATCATTTGTTTAAAAAAATTTTCAGTTCCCTTCTTAATTTCTTCATTGACCCAGTGGTCATTCAGGAACATATTGTTTAATTTCCATGTATTTATACAGTTTCCAAAATTCCTCTGGTTACTTATTTCTAGTTTTATTTTATTGTGGTCATTTTGGTCATTGATATTACTTCAATTTTTTCAAATATTTTAAGTCTTGTTTTGTGGCTTAACATATGGTCTATACTTGAGAATAATCCATGTGCTGAGGAAAATAATGTGTATTCTGCAGGTCTTAGGTAAAATGTTCTGTAAATACCTATTAGATCCATTTTGTCTATAGTGCAGATTAAGTCTGATGTTTCTTTGTTTATTTTCTGTCTGGAGATCTGTCCATTGCTGAAGTGGGGTGCTGAAGTCTCCAGTTATTATTGTATTTCAGCCTGCCTTTCTCTTTATCTCTAATAATACTTGTTGTATATATCTGGGTGCTCCAGTGTTAGGTGACTATATTTTTAAAATTGTTACATCCTCTTGCTGAATTGACCCCTTTATCATTATATAGTGACCTTCTTTGTCTCTTCTTATAGTTTTCTTTTTGAAATCTATTTTGTCTGATGTAAGTATAGTGACTCCTGCTCTTTTTTTGTTTCCAATGGCATGGAATATTTTTTTACATCCCTTTATTTTTATGCTATATATGTCCTTATAGGTGAAGTGTGTTTCTTGTAGGCAACAGATCAGTGGGTCTTTTTTCATGCATTTAGCCATTCTGTGTCTTTTTATTGGAAAGTTTAGTCCATTTATATTCAATGTTATTGTTGATAAGTGAGTCCTTACTCCTGTCACTTTGTTTTGTTTGTTTTCTGGTTGTCTTATGGTCTTCTTTCCTTTCTGTCTTCTATTAAGGGCAGTTTCCTCTGGTGATATGATTTAGTTTCTTGCTTTTCATTTTTTTGTTTACCCATTGTAGAGTTTTTGGTCTGAGGTTACCATGAGGCTTGCAAATACTAGCTTATAACCCATTATTTTAACCTGATAACAACTTAACACTCTGTGTATAAACAAGCAAAAGGAAAACTAATAAAAACTCTGTCTTAATTTTGTCCCCCTGCTTTTCAACTTTTGTTGTTTCTATTTATATCTTATTGTATTGTGTCTTGAAATGCTATTGTAGTTATTACTTTTGATTGGTTCATCATTTAGTCTTTCCACTTAAGAGTAGTTAACATACCACAGTTACATTGTTATAATATTCTGTGTACTATTATCAGTGAGTTTTGTACCTCCAGGTAAATATTTACGGTTACTAATGTACTTTTCTTTCTGATTGAAGTACTCCCCTTAGCATTTATTGTAGGACAGGTGTGGTATTGATGAAATCCCTCAGCTTTTCTTTGTCTGGGAGTCTTTATTTCTCTTTCATGTTTGAAGGATTTTTTTTTTTTTTTTTTTTTTACCAGTTATACTATTTTAGGGTAAAAGTTTTTTCCTTCAGCTCTTTAAAAATGTCATGCCATTCTCTCCTGGCCTGTAAGGTTTCCACTGAAAAGTTTGCTGCCAGATGTATTGGAGCTCCATTGTAGGCAGTTTCTTTTTTCTTGCTGCTTTTAAGATCCTCTCTTTCTCCTTGATCTTTGGGAGTTTGATTATTAAATGCCTTGAGGTATTCTTCTTTGGGTTGAATCTCCTTGGTGTTCTATAACCTTCTTGTACTTGAATATTGATATCTTTCTCTAGGCTTGAGAAGTTCTCTATTATTATCCCTTTGAATAAACTTTCTACCCCCATCTCTTTCTCTACGTCCTCTTAAAGGTCAATAACTCTTAGATTTGCCCTTTTGGGCTATTATCTAGATCCTGTAGGTCTGCTTCCTTGTTTTTTATTCTCTTTTCTTTTGTCTCCTCTGTGTATTTTTTAAAAAGGTATCTTCAACCTCAACAATTCTTTCTTCTGCTTGATACATTCTGCTATTAAAGGACCCTGAAGCATTCTTCAGTATACCAATTGCATTTATCAGCTCTAGAATTTGTTTGATTCTTTTTAATTACTTCAATCTCTTTGTTAAATTTATCTGACAGAATTCTGTTTTCCTTCTTCGTGTTATCCCCTGAATTTCTTTGAGTTTCCTCAACACATTTATTTTGAATTCTCTGTCTAAAAGGTCACATATTTCTGTTTCTCCAGGATTGGTCCCTGGTGCCTCATTTAGTTCATTTGGTGAGGTCATGGTTTCCTGCATGGTGTTGGTGCTAATAGATATTCTTCAGCATCTGGGCATTGAAGTGTTAGGTATTTATTATATAGTCTGTACTGTCTGGGCTTATTTGTGGCCATTCTTCTTGGGAAGGCTTTCCAGATATTTGAAAGGACTTTGAGTGTTGTGATCTCAACTATATCTGCTTTAGGGGCACCCCAAGCCCAGGAATGCTGTGGTTCTTGCAGGCTCTTAGAGGTATACCACTTTGATGGTCTTGGACAAGATTTGGGAGAATTCTCTGGGTTACCAGCCAGAAACTCTTGTTCTCTTCCCTTGCTTTCTCCAAAACATACAGAGTATCTTTCTCTCTATTCTGAGCTACCTAAAGCTGCAGCTGGAGTGACATGTGTGACCTGTTGCCACCACCACTGTGATGTACTGCATTAGACCTGAAGCCAGCATGGCGCTGGGTCTCACCCAAGGCTGGCTGGAACTACTCCCTGTTGACCACTTATGTTCACTCAAGGCCCCAGGGCTCTACAATATGCAGGTTGCAAGGCCATTTAGGCCTGCATCCTTCCCTTCAGGGAATGGATGATGGGGCCCTGGGTGGGTCCAGAAGTGCTGTCTGGAATTCAGGTACTAGCGTCAAAAACCTTAGAAGTCTATCTGGTGCTCTCTTGTATTGCAGCTTAGCTGAAACTCCAACCACATGATTCAGTCCTTTCCATTCTTCTCTCCCCTTTCCAAAGGCATAGGAGCCTCATCCTGTAGTCACTGCCATCCCAGGCCATGCGGAGTATTGCCAGACTACTGCTGATGTTCCCTTAAGGCCTAGGGTCTCTTAAGTCAGCTTTTGAATGCTGCCTGTCCTGGGACTTACCCTTCAGGGAAGTGGGCTCCCTTGTGGCCAGGGGAGGTCCAGAAATGCCATCCACAAATCAAGTCCTGGAATCAGTGCCCTCAAAAGCTCACTTGGTGCTCTATCTACCTGTGGCTGTGCAAGACAAAGTCTCCTTTACTTTTCCCTCTAATTTTCTCAAGTGGAAGAAGTTTTGCCCCACAGTCACCACAGCTGGTAATGTGTTGAGTCTTACCTGAAGCCTGCAAGTCTCAGAGGCTCTCCCAAGGCTCTTGATGTAGTACCTGGGTATCACTGCTAGTTGTTCAAGGCCCAAGGGCTCTTCAGTTAGCAGGTAATAAATGCTGCCAGAACTGGGTCCTTTCCTTCAAGGCAGTAGGTTCCCTTCTGGCTCAGGGCATGTCTAGAAATGTAATCTGGGAACTAGAGCCTTGAATGGGAGTCTTGTGGCTCTGACTGGTGCCCTATCCTGCTATGGCTGAGCTGGTGGTATCCTAGATGTAAGACAAAGTACTCCCCACTCTTCCCTATCCTTGCCTCAAGAGGAAGGAAGGTGTCTCTTTTGGAGCTGCAAGCTGTGCCACCTGGGGTTAGGGGAAGGTGATGCCAGCACTCCCTTGGCTGCTTCAGCTGGTGTCTCAGTATGTCTCATGTCACACCCCCCAAGTCTACTGTCTTGGGCCTAGTTCAGCACTAGGACTCACCTGAGTTTCAGTCCTTATGGTCCAGACTGTCTTTCAAGTTTACTTGGAGACACAGAATGTTGTAGCCCTTGGTGGCGAGGTTTGCAGGCACTCAAGTTTGGACCACTGGGACCAACGATTCTCCTCTGGCTGGGGTTGGTTTAAATGCTCCCTCGTGGGTAGGCATCAGCTGAGTTTGGACTGGTTTTCCTTTCTGCTCTAACAAGACAGCACTGAGTTCAAAGCCTAACAATTGCAGTCTTCTCCCTCCCCCAGCACTGGAGCTGCTGTTAGCACCATGCAGCCAATGTGGGATGGGGGTGGCATTGGAGATTCAGGACTGTTTTGCCTATCTTTTCAGTTCAGTGGCTCTTTCAGTGATATGAAGTTAAACCAGGTACTATGAGTGCTCACCTGATTTTTGTTTTTTATGAAGGTGTTTTCTTGTGTAGATTGTTGTTAACTTGGTGTTCTTGTGAAGGGGAAGATCCATGGCACTTTCTATTCTGCCATCTTGCTCTGCCCCTTCCCAGTGTGGGGCATTTATACAGAATGAATTAAGGAAATGTAACCATGTGCCATCTGCTGCAAAATAATTTAGAGTTTCAACACAAGTTCTTGATATCACATCTTGAATTCCTTGAGACATGAAGTCAGATATAACAGTTAATTATTTTTTGAAGTGTTTGTCATTAACAGCCTCAGTCAGCTATGCATGTTGTGATCAAAGCTCTAAGGATATCTGTGGACTTAGAGCAGCCAACATTTTCCTCGTTCTGTTAAAGCAGGAAAAAGGACTTTGTAGCTCTACCTGGCATTCTGGGAAGACCCAGAATGTTTCACATCGACTTCATTTGGTGCTTCCGACTTGAAAAATTGAACAATTATACATGCATTGTTACCACTAAGAAACTTATACAGGTTCTCTGTTTTACACATAGACTACTCAGAATTAAAATTTTAAACTAGGAAAGGTAAGAACCTAAAGTAGTAGCAGAGAGAGAAAGCAAAATCTACTGAGGGTAAGAGAAGCAAATAATAAGACCATGAAAAATTCCTGCAATTTTCTAAAGAAGAGGAGAGATTAAAAGTAGGTTCTTGAGGGCAAGATGTGATGGCTCATGCCTGTAATCCTAGAACTTTGGAAGGCCAAAGCAAGAGGATTACTTTAGCTCAGGAGTTAGAGACCAGCCTGGGCAACAAAGCAAGACCCTGTCTCTTAAAAAAAAGTAGGTTTTTGAATAAGACAAATGGATTGGAATCAGGCAGTGAGGTTTGAATCTAGGTTTAGGCCCTTAGCCCTGTGATGTTGCATAAGTTATACATGTCTACAAACCCCTGTAAATGGGTTGCTGTGAATTTTAAATAAAACATAGAGTGAAAAGCTTGATGCTTTTCTCCATGTGCTGGGGCACAGGAGAGATAGTTAATAAATGTCAGTCATTATAATTAAAAAGGCACAATTAAGGGATGTATGAAATGGAAAGTGGGTCTGACAAATGTACTGAAAGTTGTTTATGTTAGAAACAATCTGGGAACGTTGAATAGACTGTAGGGAACACAGATGTGCTCTGAGTGGGGGCAGCTAATCACTGGCATTAGTGAGGAGTGAGCATCCTCACCTCTCTGCAATAAACGATGCATCTGTTTAGATTAGCCCAAGGAGTAAGGACAATGACTCCTTGAAGAGTTGTAAAAAAAATATGTATTTCCATGATGCCTAATGTCTTTCCCTCTGCCCAACTTAATTGTTAATAAATAGGACTGGTTAGTGTCTTGAAATCTGTGCATTCAAAGTGATCTTCAGCGGGTCTGATGATGGGAACCACTGGGTTAGGGAATGGTGCCTAGAAGGGCAGAGCTACCTAAAAAAAGTACCCTACTGCTGGGCCTGGTGGCTCACGCCTGTAATCCCAGCACTTTGGGAGGCCGAGGTGGGTGGATCACGAGGTCAGGAGATCGAGACCATCCTGGCTAACATGGTGAAACCCCGTCTCTACTAAAAATACAAAAAAACAAAAAAAAGCAACAAAAAAATTAACCTTAGCCTGACGTGGTGGCGGGCGCTTGTAGTCCCAGCTACTCAGGAGGCTGAGGCAGGAGAACTGCTTGAACCTGGGAGGCAGAGGAGGTTGTAGTCAGCCAAGATCGTGCCACTGCACTCCAGCCTGGCGACAGCGAGACTGTGTCTCAAAACAAACAAACAAACAAACAAAAAACAAACCAAAAAAACCCTACTATGGCGATGATTTTTTAAGAAAATGTTTGGTGGGTCTTAAAGCTCTCTGAAAATCTTATGTGGAAGCTATGGATCCTTTAAGAATGCAGTGCGTACCTATTCATAAAAATTTCCTTACATTTCAAAGTGTTCTCTTAACGTTGAAAGCTTGGCCACACTAGGCTAAAGAAAACCCTCTGTAAGTGATTATTTATGCAAATAGAACTGTTTGTGGCACTGATAACAACTAGCCAAGTAAAGGGATTCTTCCTACTGGCTCCTAGTGAGTTGTAACACAGAGAGCTAGCTCTTCATCAAAAACTTATGCCTTTCTTATTATAGCATAGAACTCTTGCTGGGAAATAACTATTTTCCCAGCCTCCCTTACGTTTAGGCGTGGCTATGCTAATAGCTTTGTCAGTAAAATGTGAGCAGTGGTTATTTATGTGTCACTTGCAGGAAGAGAGGGTCAAGAATGAGACACACCTTCTCCATCCTCTCTTTTTCTCACTGGCTGTCTGGATGAACATCCCCGGGGTAACCTTGGAAACCACACATTGAAAACAGAAAAACAGTAAATTGAATGGAGGCTGGATCTTGAATTAATGCTCAGAGGAGAACTGGCAGCAGATCAGGAACACTCATTTTTCTTTATATGCATGAGAGGTACATTTATTATATGGTAAGCCACTGAGATTTCAGGATTTCTCACGAGCAGCTGATGTTATCTTAAATAACCACTGTACATTTTGATAACTATGGTAGAGGGTTTAGCCACAGACCACTACTTGAGAAATAAGCAGTAAGTGTATAGTTTTCTGACATAAGTCAATAGGATAAATGTCTCCTGTAGACGGCGGTGAATTTCATAGATGGTGTGCTGGGAAATAAAGCAACGAATGAAGCCAGTGTTGTTCTCTGAGCCAGTGGTGGAGCTAGGTCTTATTTCTACAGACTCCTCTCCCTAGCATAATCAGGATAGTTTGGAACACTTAATATAAGACTTAGGCCTAAGAGAGGGGAGAGGTCTCTCCTGTCAGCACATTGTGCTTTTAGCATTCCCATTTAGAAAATGGGGATGACTCTTTCTTCCTGTGTCCTAGGTATGTGTTTTGGGAATCAAAAGAAAGAAAGGTTCAATGCCATTGTGACAGAGCTGCTAGATAGTCCCCAAATCCCTGTCCTTTCCTACATGAGCACACATCTAGACTTTCTTCCCATTCTCAGTTGCAGTTTGGTAGCTAGGTAACTGAGTTTTAGCTCACGGAATGTGAGTAGAAGTGATATATGTCACATTTTCCTGGCCTTGAAAAATCTTCTAGATGTGGTCTTCCAAGTTAATTTCCCATTAGGGCTGGCTGGGAGGGTAATGACCATCATGGCCTTGGTCCCTACATATTGAAGGTGGCAACCCCTCTGTCACTTTAGGTCTTTGAATGACTGTAAGGAGGACAGCTCTACTGAGCTGATCACCTTCCCAGTGAGAAATAAAATCCCATTGAGTTTGAGGCAAAATACATTTTGGGTTTATTTGTTACAGAAGCTAGTGTTACTTTAACCACTCTAGCCAGCAACTAAACTTTGGACCATACACCCTAATAAAGATCCTTAAAAATTTTATAAATACATAAGCATATATGTAATACACATTATCTAGATCTTAACATATATGTTTAATATATATAATGTGTCTGTGCATGCGTGTGTGTGTAAAAGGAAATCATTGATGTTTTATTAGAATGACTGTAATATGACAGTAAGAACAATCGGAAGGTACTGTAGGACCTAAGTTGAGGAGCAAAGTATTTGATAGTCAGGAAATTTCTTACTTAGATAGAACTCCATTAGTTAATGGGAAGTAAATAAATGGCTTTGAATCAGAAATGGCTTTTATATTTTTCTTTTGTTTTTATCTAACAATGACTTATTTATTCAAATTAAACATTTGGGGATTAGCATCAGAATTGCTTCTCTTGAAATAAGAGTGGTGGGTGAAGGGCTGACTCCTATCAGACTAATGAATCCTCTGTAGAATCATTGTAGAGACCCCAGGACCACTCACAGCACAATCTGGAACATCTTGGATTAGGTGAGCTCTAAAGTTTCTTTGGGATATAGCATACCCTCATCTTGGAAAGAAAATAAGTTTTTCCATATTTTGTTTCCAACTGTGTGTGGTTGACAACACTAAATTCTATTTCCACTTTCTTTTTTTGATTAATAGTGACCCAACTAGACTGAATGAATGGGAATCCAATGATATTTTATCTTGTTTTTCAAGTGCATTTGAAAACCCCAACTTCCCAGGAGTCTGACCGAAGTGCAATCTAGTATTCATGTCAAAACATTTGTAAACACTTTTGTAGAAGAACCTTGCTATCTACTTTGAATACTAGAAACACTGTTACTTCCCTTTTTTAGTTAAATTTTATTCCTAACTCTGTCTGTGTATATGTGTGTGTGTGTGTGTGTGTGTGTGTGTGTGTATAATGATGAATATCTATAGCAATCATCAGTAAAATATTTGATTAGGGTCCTCTTTTAGCTCTATGGTAAAATCTATTAATTTGTTAGCTTCTGGTCTTAAGCCTAATTCTCAATCGTTAGTAAAAGGAAATGTTGACTGTTTTTTTTCAGTCGGGGTGAAACAGATGGGATACTCAAACTGAGTAATAAATACACAGGGTAGTAAATAAGGACAGGGTACGTGGAGTCATACCAGCAAAGCCATAGCACAGTAAGGACCTGGGAATTAGTAATAGTGGGGCACCATCATGAGCTGTAGGCTCAAAGAGGCAAAAATGGAGGAGTAGTTACCAGAAGCATGAAACAGAAAGGGCATTTGGAGAGGGCTGTGGGAAAGGAACTGTGGCCTGTGGTTGAGGGAAATTGGTAGCCCACAGTGGCCTTGGAGATAAATAATCCAACTTCATTACTCTCTTCCATCTTTCTGCAGGAAACTCGCAGAAACCAACCCCAAAATAGAAGCTAGAGGTCAAGGGAGTCCATTTTCTTAATCTATACATGTCAGCCTAAGGGGCCTTGAGTAGTGAAGACAGTCTTGATCTAGATGGGCAACAAAATATCCAGCCTACTGATCATGGATCTCTGTTATAAAATTTAAGAGTGATTTGGTTTGGATGTTTGTTTCCTCCAAATCTCATGTTGAAATGTGATTTCCATTGTGATGGGGCCTGGGGGGAGGTGGTTGGATCATAGGGGTGGATCCCTCATGAATGGTTTAGCACTGTCTCCTTAGTGATAGTGAATTCTCACTCAGTTAGTTTACAGGAGATCTGGTTGTTTAAAAGTCTGGGACCTCCCCTTCTCTCTCTCTCTTACTCCCTCTCTTGCTACCTGACATTGCCTTCTCTCTTTTGACATTTTGCCGTGATTGGAAGCTGCCTGAGGCCTCACCAGAAGCAGATGCTGGAGCCATGCTTGTATAGTCTGTGGAACTGTAAGGCAGTTGAACCTCTTTTCTTTATAAATTACCCAGTCTGAGGTGTTTCTTCATAGCAATGCAAGAACAGACTAATACAAAGAGTATTTGTAAAAATTAAAGTAGGCCAGGCACAGTGGCTCATGCCTATAATCCCAGAGTTTTGGGTGATTGTGGTGGGAGGATCACCTGAGGCCAGGAGTTTGAGACCAGCTGGGCAACATAATAACACCCCCATCTCCACAAAGAGTTAAAAAAAAAAAATTAGCTAGGTGCAGTCATGCACACCTGTAGTCCTAGCTACTTGGGAGGCTGAGGCACGAGGATCACTTGAGCCCAAGAGATTGAGGCTGCAGTGAATGAGGCTGCAGTGAATTGTGATTATGAATGCACCACTGCACTCCCTCCTTGGTAATAAGTAAGTGTGAGATGTTGTCTCAAAAAAAAATTAGAGTAATTAATGTTCATGTTCATGTTTAAAGATCTAATCATTTATTTAAGGTGCTCTTTCATATGTAAGACTATCCTTAATTGCAAAAATATAAGCATTTGAATTTGTCTCTGTCCAGTATGGTACATGTGACCATTTAAATTAAGATATATACAAATTAAATAAAATTATATATTTAGTTCCTTAGTGCTCACTCACTTCATGAGGCTAGTAGCTGCTGTACTGGGCAGCAGAAATAGAGGACATTGACATCATTACAGATAATTCTGTTGGCTAGTGCTACTCTAGTTATTTAATTGTTAATTGCTTAACTTCTTTCCTTTCTTTTGACTCAAAGTGTAAGTGAAATGACTTTTGTGATGATTCGTTTTTTTCTTGAAATCCTGGACCCCAAAAATATTAGATTAGTATACGAAATTATCTTATTCTGAATGAGTTAGAGTTATTTGGATATACGCAAAAGAAAGCACTGGCTAACTCAAACAAAAATGGAATGTATTGAAGAGATCTGTTAACACTTTGGTTTTAGCCCAGTCAGCCTGATTTTGGGCTTCTGACCTCCAGAATTATAAGAGAAAAAAATTATGCCTTAAGATGCTAGACTGTGGTAATTTGTTCTAGCAGGAATAGGAAACAAATACAGTATTTCAAAGGTCTGTGGTCCTCCAAAGTTTAACTCTACATGACAAAAATCTTCATTAGGGAGATTTGAATTGAATTGGATTTTTCTTTCTGGGGAAGGTAACAATAAAAGGTTGAGAAACCCTGATATGGAGTTTCACAAATATTTCTACCTCTTACGTTATCTACAACCAACCTAAACTATACTCACCCCTTTCCCAAATGGAAATAGACTGAAATTGTGATGGGTTCCTGCATCTTGCACCAAGTATGGGGATATCTGGGCAATGTTCATTCCTTGTGTGGTTTCGTTGAGATCAATTTTTTCCTCATAATACTCACATTATGGGCTAAATGGCAAGGTTAATAACCATCACTAAACGCCATTTTCAATATTGGTGGAGGGCAATGTGAAAGAGAAAGGAAATTACTAAAAGAAAAATGACTCAGCAATGAAGGGAATATGAACAGGGTTAGAGTTTCATCTCTCGCATTTATGATTTCTTCTGCATTACCTTTTCCAGTTCCCTTTGCCCTTGGTAGGGGTTGTTTGCCCAGTGATACGCTCCAAATATTCATTCTTTAAATATCTGAAACCCTACTGGTCCTTCTTTAGTTTTTACTACATGTTTGTTTTTAACCATATGTTTTAAGCATAGTTGTAAAAGAAGGAGTCCAGGGAATTACCTGAATTCCAGCCATTCTCCCTGATCCTATATAATGGCGGCAGCTCCTTCAACATAGTGGTCAACACTGTAACACCTCCTTTTGCCTATTTTCCCAGTGGTATAAAGATCTCTAAACAGTCAAGTAGTACTCATAGCTTTCATTTCAGCAGATAATTGGGGTGCTCTGTTGGAGAAATTCCTTCCACTCCTGTGTGTGTTTCAAAACTCCCAAACAACTCAGATATATAGATTTGGGAGATAAAGTGCATCATAAGTAGAAAATTGTGTTATTGGGAAGAAGTTGAATTGAGCTCAACTTTTGAAAGGCCATGAAATATTTTAAGCAATGGGGTGACATGGTTCAGTTTTGTATTCAGAAAATAGTACTGCATTAAATTTACTTTCTGAATTATTCTTTGTTTAATTAGTTGATGATCAATACACCTCAAAGTAAGATTTGCATTTACTCTGCCAGTTCTCTGAGGCTGCTACCAATCTGGAACCACCATAAATTAAAATTTCCTCTTAAGGTTTTTTTTTTTTTTTCTTCTTCAAATCACACAAATAGTATGGCTTCAGGTTGCAAACATGCTGTAAGAATGGCTTATGGCTCTAAATTACCAGAGTAAATATAAATTTTTTCCTCTTCAAGGGAATATAGATGAAATAGGTGAGTTTCTTTTCTGTTCCATTCTGTGCAATGGAACCTATGTCTCACCCACACCTCATCGTGGGTGTAGCAGGAATCACTTAGATTACACATCCTTGAGGAGGCCTGGGATTTATGTCACATTCCCTACCTTCTGAGCAGGTGTCAGAGTGGAAGCTCAAGGCCTTCCAACTTTAGTAATCGTCTTCAGGTCAAAAGTCAGCCTTGGCACTCTTTTATCTCCTAGACTTTCCAGGTTACTTTACTTTTGAAGCTTGATGTCTTCATTGCTTTTGTGTTAGCTCAGTGATTCATTTAAAAAATACTTTAAAAAATTTTACCTGACATCTTATTCAAAGGATTGTTCAGGGTATCTAATCTGCCATACTGTCAAGTACAGAAATCCTTCCACTTTTATTTCAAAGGTAAGAAAACAGACTCAGAGTTAACATGACTTTCCCAGGATCACACGGTTGTTTTGAACAATGACATATGCTCAGTAGATACTAATTTTAAGACAAGATGAGAGTCAGGCTTTCTGACAATGCCTGGCACCTTGTTTTTACCTCTGTACTTAAAAGAAATCAATGTCTTGATCAAAGATGACTTGACTATAACAAATAAAGCCTATTAAAAATATACTGAGCCAAAAAGAAGATTTGGGTTATAGAATCCAAAGGCAGGAGGTGCAGTTTAACCACAGGAGGCATTGCCATCAGTTGTAAAAAAATCATCCAAATTCAAGGCAGTCACTCTCTCTGCCTCTCCTGTCCTCAAAGTCCCCATCTCTGCAATTCTCTTGCATTTGCTTCATTCTTTTACTTTTTCTGTTAACTGACTTTCTTGTCATTTTGCATAAGGTGAATAATGACCATTCTAGTTCCCTTTAAATTACCTCAAAGCCCAAATACTTAGTGATCGAGTTCTCTCAGTGAACTCTAATACAATCAGTGTGAGACAATATAATTGGTTCAGCTAGAAAATTTTCTTCTAGTTAGCTTTGGCCAAGGTGTCAGTTTGGGATGTGACAGTACACTCTATGGGAATGGGGCATGGATATATTATTTAAAAAGAGAGAATACAATAAACTAGGTATTGAAGGAATATACCTCAAGATAATAAGAGCCATGTATGACAGACCGATGGGCAACATCATACTGAATGGGCAAAAGCTGGAAGCATTCCCCTTGAAAATCAGCATAAGACAAGGATGCCCTCTCTCACCATTCCTATTCAATGTAGTATTGGAAGTCCTGGCCAGAGCAACTAGGCAAGAGAAAGAAATAAAGAACATCCAAATAGGAAGAGAGGAAGTCAAACTATCCCTGTTTGCAGATGACATGATTCTATATATAGATAACTCCATAGTCTCTGCCCAAAAGCTCCTTAAGCTGATAAAAAACTTCAGCAGAGTTTCAGGATACAAAATCAGTATACAACAATCACTAGCATTTCTATACAACTGCCGAAGCCAAGAGCCAAATCAGGAATGCAATCCCATTCACAATTGCCACAGAAAGAATGAAATACTTAGGAATACAGATAACCAGGGAGGTGAAAGATCTCTCCAGTGAGAATTACAAAACATTGCTCAAAGAAATCAGAGATGACACAAACAAATGGAAAAATATCCCATACAGATGGACAGGAAGAATCGATATCATTAAAATGGCCAACCTGCTCAAAGCAATTACAGATTCAATCTTATTCCTATCTAACTACCAATGACATTATTCACAGAACTAGAAAAAAGTATTTAAAAAATCTCATGGAACCAAAAAAGAGCCCAAATAGCCAAGGCAATCCTAAGCAAAAAGAACAAAGCTGGAGGTGTCACATACCCATCTTCAAACTATACTACAGGGTTACAGTGACCAAAACAGTATTGTACTGTTACAAGAACAGACACATAGACCAATGGAACAGGATAGAGAGATCAGAAATAAAGCTGCACACCTGCAACCACTTGATCTTTGACAAAGCTGATACAAACAAGCAATGGGGAAAGGACTCCCTATTCAATAAATGGTGCTGGGATAATTGACTAGTCGTATGCAGAAGATTGAAACTGGACCCCTTTGTTACATCACATACAAAAATAAACTCAAGGTGCATTAAAGACTTCAATGTAAAACCCCAAACTAAAAAAACCCTGGAAGACAACCTAGGCAATACCATTCTGGATGTAGGAAGGGGCAAAGATTTCACGACAAAAATGCCAAAAGCATTTGCAACAAAAGCAAAAATTGACCAATGGGATCTATAAAGAGCTTCTGCAAAGCAAAATAAACTATTACCAGAGTGAACAGATAACCTACAGAATGGGAGAAAATGTTTGCAAGCTACGTCTCTCACAAAGGCCTAAAATCCAGCATCTATAAGGAACTTAAACAAATTTACAAGAAAAACAAAAGACCTCCTTAAAAAGTGGGCAAAGGACATGAACCGACACTTCTCAAAAGAAGACATACATGTGGCCAACAAGCATATGAAAAAGAGCTCAATAGCACTAATCATTAGAGAAATGCAAATTGAAACCACAATGAGCTACTGTCTCACACCAGTCAGGATGGCTACTATTAAAAAGTAAGAAAATAACAGATGCTGGTGAAGTTGTGGAGAAAAGGGAACACCTATGCACTGTTAGTGGGAGTGTAAATTAGTTCAACCATTCTGGAAGCAGGTTGGTGATTCCTCAAAGAGATAAAAAAGAACTACCATTTGATCCAGCAATCCCATTACAGGGAATATACCTAAACAAATATAAATTGTTCTATCATAAAGACACATGCATGCATATGTTAATTGCAGCACTATTCACAGTAGCAGAGACATGGAATCAACGTAAATGTCCATCAATGATAGACTGGATAAAGAAAATGTGGTGCATATACACCACTGAATACTATGCAGCCGTAAAAATGAATGAGATCATGTTCTTTTCAGGAATATAAAGGGAGAAAAGAACATTTATATTCTTTTCAGGAATATAAAGGGAGCTGGAGACCATTATCCTTAGCAAACTAACTCAGGAACAGAAAACCAAAAACCACATGTTCTCACTACTAAGTGGGAGCTAAATAATGAGAACACATGGACATACAGAAGGGAACATCAGACACTGGCACTTACCTGAAGGTAGAAGGCACCTGAAGGTAGAAGATGAGAGGAGGGAGAGGATCAGAAAAAACAAACAAACAAATAAACAAACAAAAAAAAACTATTGGGTACTAGGCTTAGTACAGTGATGAAATAATCTATACAACTACCCCTGTGACATGAGTTTACCTATATAACCTGCAAATGAACATAAAATGAAAGTTAAAAAAAGTAATATAGGAAGGAAAAGACTAAAAGAGAATATCCATCTCTAGTACTGCTAGAAATATATATATTCATATATATGTATATATATGTATATACATGCCTCTCTCTCTCTCTCTCTCTCTGTGTGTGTGTGTGTGTGTTTGTGTGTACGTATTTTTTTTTTTTTTACTAGGCCATGAATTACTATGGAATTTTGGGTCACACCAACAACTTAGGTCCTAAAACACAATAATGGCATTGTTTATTTCTCTTTTTGTAAAACGAAAGTCGACTCAAAAAAACCTTTGTCTTCATATTAACCTTTTGTTTATGTAATATGCTAGAGTAGCATTTGCTTTCTTTCCATGGTCTGTACGAAAGAGTGACTAAATGTGGTTTAATGCTTTGTTCCAGCCAGTGTGTGCCAAATATAAGATGCAAGAAAAAAAAATGACCTTTTAAAGTCTGACTCCTTGTAGATGATGGTTGCCAAAAAGAAGCCAGCTTATAGGTTGATTTAATGAATGGACCAATCCGTTATGAATAGGACAAGACCTACTTGAGACTGCTACTGACTATAAGCCTGTTTCAGATGTTTTATCCAACTAAGTGTCTGTAGAGTCTGTTTTTGTCCTTGGTTTATCTTATTTTGGCAATCTATGTTGTATCTTTAATTCAGATTCTTTTGACTACTACGTAGAGGAAGAGAAGACAAATAAATGCAAGTGTGTGTGTGTGTGTGTGTGTGTGTGTGTGTGTGTGTATGTGTGTAGGAGGAGAAGGAAAACAGTTCGAGGAATTAAGGGTAATGTCTTCTCAGGACTAGAAAACTAGAATCTGATGAAATAATTTGAGAATACCCCCATTTCCCAGAAAAAACAGAAACAAGTCACGTATTTGGAAGCTCTTTTGAGATCCAGAACAATTTGTAGAGGATCTCTGTGGGAGTTGTTGAAAATCTAAGGGCAATGGTACACCTAGACACGGTTTGAGAAGGGAGAAGAAAACCTGTGATGAATTATTATCTTCCTATATATAAAGGGAATGGCAAGAGTGGTGTAGGGAATAGGAATAGAAAGAAACATCTAAAATATGTTGCGTTTTTTGTTGGGAAGATGCTCTACCCCTTTAATACTGCTCAACTTCCTAATGCTTGTCACTTTTGTATTTGTCACACAAATTGATTGTGAATTCTCTAGTTCTTGAACCATATCGTGATAACTATCAAAATATATAATAAGATCATTTTGAATTGAACTATAGATAGGGTTCTTCTGTGTAATCTTCTTCGGGTGTTTATGTTATGTCATGTGATGTGACTTCATTTAAAGGAACTTCACTTAGGATAATTTACATCCTGAGAAATAGCTCTGACTTCTAGAGTTTCTTTTTCCCCCCTTAGACATCATTTTAAGAGTTTCTCAACTAGTGTGTTTTTGGGAGTTCACAGACTCATAAAGAAATGTGATAAGGCTGGGTGTGATGGCACATGCCTGTAATCCCAGCACTTTGGGAGGCTGAGGTGGGAGAGTTGCTTGAGGCCAGGAGTTCAAGACCAGCCTGGGCAGCATAGTGAGACCCTCTCTCTCTCACTGCCCTCTGCTCTCTCTCTCTCTATATATATATAAAAGAAATGTGGCACAAATATACTATGACATGGAAAAATATGTTTCTAAGAAGTAAGAGATTGTATTACTTACCAATGTAGATACCATTCCTAACTAATGCAGTGCCTGGAACAATATATGTGCTCAATTATTTGTTGGCTGAGTAGACAAGGTACATGTTCTGTTAGTTCCAAGCAGAATAAATGACATGATACGCTGTCTTGGACTTTTTCTTTTACTTTTCAGGGTATAATCAGGTGAGTAAAATAAAAATAATTGTGATACCAAATTGATTTGTAATTCAGACTTGGAAACTCAGGAGTTTCTGGGTCATTAAATGATGGTCAGGGCTGAATCTACATAATCTACATTAACTGCTAGTTTGACCCTGAAAACCTGTCCAGAATGCACTGACATTAAAGAGGCAAGGAATTATGAACTGCAGCCTTCCTGGATACATAATTTATTTCCTTTCGTATAACATTTACCTTGAATAGTGATAAGTGTATTAGATTATCATAAATAATAAGTCAGATAAGCCTGTTTTATTTTGGAATTTTAAAATTAAAAACTTAAGAGAGAGTACAATAGAAGAAAGGGAATGAATTGGATTATGAAGTAACATATTTTATAATAGTAAAATTAAAATAAAATTTTAATTATGATCTTCATATTTTCTCATATAATTAGAACTGGGGAAGTTGTCAGTTGATGATCTGGGGTATTTTACTCTTGATAATCTGCTAGATTAAGTTTCTAAAGGGTAGGGATAATGTGTTACCCAAACAACCTTTTATTTTAAAAATTTTTTGAGGTAAAAATATACATACATAATTTGCTATGTGTAGAGTTTAAATACATTTATATTATTCCCCCAACCACTTCATTCCCATGATCCCAACCTCTGGATTCTGGTACTGAGAACTCTACTTTCTATCTTCATGAGACTCACTTTTTTAGCTCCTGCACATGAGTGAGAACATGTGATATCTGTCTTTATGTGGCATTCTTCTTTGAATTCCTAAGTCCCTTTTTTTCAATGTTTATTTTAGATTCGGGGGGTACATATGCAGGTTTGTTACCTGGGTATATTGCTTGATGCTGAGGTTTGGGGCACAAATGATCCCATCACTCACGTACTAAGCACAGTACCCAATAGTTAGTTTTTCAACCAATTTCCCCCCCTCTCCCTCCCCGCCCAGGAGTCCCCAGTTTCTGTTGTTACCATCTTTATGTCCAAGAGTACTCAATAGTTAGTTCTCACTTATAAGTGAGAACATGTGGTTTTCTGTTCTTGCATTAATTCTCTTAGGATAATGGCCCCCAGATGCATCCATGTTGGTGCAAAAATATGATTTCGTTCATTTTTATGGCTGCATAGTATTCCATAGTTTATATGTACAACATTTTCTTCATCCAATCCACCACTGACATGCACCTAGGTTGATTTTGTGTCTTTGCTAGTGTGAATAGCGCTGCAATAAATATGTGAGTGCATCTGTCTTTGGTAGAACACTGTTTTCTTTCAGATATAGATCCAGTAATGGAATTGCTAGGTCAAATGGTATTTCTGTTTTAAGTTCTTTGAGAAATCTCTAAACTGGTTTTCACAGTGGCTGAATAATTTACATTCTCACCAACAGTGTATAACCTTTTCCCTTTTCTCTGCAGCCTCACCAGCATTTGTTGTTTTGACTTTTTAAGAATAGCCATTCTGACTAGTATGAAGTAGTATCTCTTTGTGGTTTTGATTTGCACTTCTCTGATGATTAGCTATGTGGAGCATTTTTTTCATATGTTAGTTGGCTGCTTGTATGTCTTCTTTTGAGAAGAGTCTGTTCATGTTTTTTGCCCACTTTTTGATGAGGTTATTTGTTTTTTGTTTGTTGAATTATTTAAGTTCCTTAGGAATTCTGAATATTAGACCTTTGTTGGATGCATAGTTTGTAAATATTTTCTCCCATTCTGTAGATTGTCTGTTTACTCTGTTGATAGTTTATTTTTCTGTGCAAAAGCTCTTTAGTTTATTAGGTCCCACTTGTCAATTTTTGTTTTTGTTGCAATTGCTTTTGAGAGATTAGTCATAAATTACTTCTCAATGCCAGTGTCCGGAATGGTGTTTCCTAGGTTTTCATCTAGGATTTTTATATTTTGAGGTCTTACATTTAAGTCTTTAATTCATCTTGAGTTTATTGTTGTATATGGTGAAAGGTAGGGGCTTAACACAAAGTATGGCCTCATTCTCTCTTCACAGGAAAGTGTAACTAATAATAGTTAAACCTTTGTTAATCAGATAACCTAGTTTTTTTGGCTAAGAACCCACCCATTAAGATCTTTGTGATTGAGTGGAAGCACTTCAGATTTCTTCAGAAATCCATTTCAGATATCATTCCCTTCCCTTAATAAGCTGTTATAGTGCAATGTTGCTTTAAAAAATGTTTGGGCCATTTGAATGGCAAGAATGTCACCAAAAATATTATATAAAAATTTCATTTTCCATGGGGGCAAAAGGACAAAGTGCTAAAGACAGAGACTTAAATTTCTGTTTTGAATTAAATGTATCTTGAAACAAGAGGCAATACATCCTTGGTCGACTAAGGCAATGTGTAAGATAAAATACCTTTTACAGAATCCATCTTGAAAAGTATAAGCCAATGACAGGCAATCAGTTGTTTCTCAAGAAGAGATAAGGACATAGTTAAAAGCCTTAATGTTGATAAGAAATGGGCCTGCTGGTACTTTAGGGGATGAAATGGGTTTTCTGTAGAAAAAGAGGTTTAAGTTTTCAAGAAAATTGTAAGTGCAATAAGATGTCATTGAAATGAAGTATTAGGGAATGTAAATCTTGGGTCAGAGCAATAGGCCCAAAAATCATTTTCTCGGGTTCATCTTTGCTAGATTAAGTGAGCTCAGTTTTATACTTATCACTTTCCATAACTTTTATGCTTTAATTTCCTATATCTGCCATTGATCTCTGTATTCAGCCTTGATTTTCCCTCTAACCTTGAGAATCATAGGTACACATTCCTGTTGAACATCTTCACATGGATGTCCTACATGATCTTAAATTAATATTCCACTCTTCTTCCTTTCCACCACTGCTACCCAAGAACATTCTTTTGTCCCAGTATCCAGTCACTGTTAATGACATCACCATTCATTCACTTGCTCAAGATAGAAAACTGGGAGTTTTCCTGGACAGGGCTGCTGCTTGCCCTTGTAGTGCTTTTGTGGAAGTTAGAAAGAGTTGACCTTTTGGTCATACAGATCCTACCTGATAAGCAAAGCTAAGGTTGAATTTTAGTCCTCACTTCCCCTCCTCTGCTGATCCTTGTTCAGCACGTGACATGCATAACTATGGAACAATCTTCATTCTGGATTATTCTACTTTCTAACTCACATATGATCAATTTTCAACACACAAATATCCTGTAATCTGCAACACCTTTTTCTTCTCTGCTTAATTGTCCTTTAAATTAGTTAATACAGAAAAAGTATATATGTTATTTATGTGTGCTTGTTATAATGATATAGTGAACACAAGTAAACCTAGAACTTTTCCAAGAGCCAGAACATTATTAGCATTTTGCCATCCTTTTTGGCCCTTCTTATCCCTGCCCTAGTTCATGCCCCCATTGTATCTCACTTTATTGCTATAGCCTTGTGATAGACTTCAGTGCCCCCATTGTATCTCACTTTATTGCTATAACCTTGTGATAGACTTCAGTGCCCCAGTATGTCCATGTTAATCCACAAAGCATGTTACCACAAATTTACTGTTTCACTCCCTTGCATAAAACTCTTTGTAGATTTTCATTCCTTAGAAAAGAGCTCCTCTAAGTTGCTCAGCATACCAGGGAATGCTGTCTGAGTTCTGTCACCCACATGTGTGCCAAGCCCAATCTTGCCACTTCACAGTTTAGGCGGAACCAAACTGTGGTTCCCCAAACAGCACACTCAGCTGCTGGCTCTGCATGAGCCCAGCTGCATGTGCATTGTCCTGCCCAGCCAATCATTTCCTGTTTTCTGGAGCATCTCCCTCTATGTTTCTCTCTTAGTAGACTGCTAGCTCTTTGAAGACAGCAAATACATCTTATTTATTTTTGTTTCTAATCCAATTTCTGGAGCATATCAGGGCTTCAAATGTTTGAATTGAAATGGTGAGGAAAGAAGTTTATCTAAATGTCTTCTTGAGTGATGCCAAATGTTCATTCTAATGTTGGTTTTAGATTCAACTGGTCATTTAGACATTTGTTCTGGAGGCCTTTTAATATATATTTAATGTATATGTTTTTGTCATCATGTAAACACAATCTGTGGGTTATTTTGGGGGAAGTTTCTTAATGTGAATCTATACAGGGAATATGACAGTTAAAACAGAAAATAGTGTTGATTCCCTGCCCCCGCTACTTTTAACATAATTAAATGAACTCATAGGACTTGCTTGGTATCATGTAAACTCAGCTTACATGCAGCATTGTTCTAGGGCACTCTTAGATAAAGTTTTAGAAATTCCATTAGCACCCAGTGTATCTTCTCTTTTGTTCGCCTTTCATCTCTGGCTTTTTTTTTTCTCTTCCCCCTACCACTCAGATTCCTAATACTCTACAGCTGCTGTTAGGGTCCGCTGAGGCTCCGAGCACTCTGTGCTCCCCGGCAATTTCACTTGTTACAAGGTTTCCTCTCTATACTCTGACTTTCAGTCCACCCTTCTTACAGGGCCACCGTTTATTACTGACTATCAAGAGGAAAGAGGCCGGGCGCGGTGGCTCACGCCTGTAATCCCAGCACTTTGGGAGGCCGAGGCGGGTGGATCATGAGGTCAGGAGATCGAGACCATCCTGGCTAACAAGGTGAAACCCCGTCTCTACTAAAAATACAAAAAATTAGCCGGGCGCGGTGGCGGGCGCCTGTAGCCCCAGCTACTCGGGAGGCTGAGGCAGGAGAATGGCGTGAACCCGGGAAGCGGAGCTTGCAGTGAGCCGAGATTGCGCCACTGCAGTCCGCAGTCCGACCTGGGCGACAGAGCGAGACTCCGTCTCAAAAAAAAAAAAAAAAAAAAAAAAAAAAGAGGAAAGAAATCTCATTACATTAATTTAATTAGTATATGAATACTGTTATTTAACTTAATCTGTTAACGGTCTCAAGAGTATCTAAATTTTATAAGAGGATACTTATTACGCTAAAGGAATGAAGCTTGAATGATGCATTGCGTTTAGTGGGTAGTGCATCTTGATATTTTTCTAATCATCAAATAATGCGCATGCCAATTCCCTTTCCCACAAATCAGCCTTGCTTGAATGTCTAACTGTTCAAGTTGATCTATTTGTAAAAGAAGCAATAAACTTTATAAATATTATTTACCGGCAAAGTGAAAGATGTACAAATCATTTCAAAATCAAGTAGGGTGATTCTTATCTGTGGAGGTCAGGCATAAGGGCAAAATCTCAGCTCTTTATGCATAGTTGAACTTACAAGAAGCTGGTTTGCATTTTGACCTCCCTTTCTACCTTCACAACAATCTCATACTATGAGAAAACTTGGTTAGTAATGTGGGTTATTACCTTTTCTCCAGCCTTAATGCATACTATGGTGGTAACGGATGTTTGAAAACTTTAGTACCTCTTTCAAAGTGACAAATATTTGTTAAAAATATAGTATTTTCAGGGCAGTGTACAATGAATAAGACATGATTCCTGTCCTCACATAGCTTATTAGAAGCTCTCATTCCACCCAGAAAGCAGGATGTGATAAATGTTACATAGGAGGTACAAATAGCCTCCCTAAGTTCCAAGGAGAAGATTAGTTCTATATGGCAAAGGCTGAAAATACTTTACAGAAGGGTAGCAGTGTAGCATCTGAAGAATAGCTGTAACTTCAAAATGTGGAGATGTTGGGCAAGGGTGTTCTGGATAAAAGAGGAGTGAGAGCCAGAATACAGAGGCAGGAAAGGAGAGGATGAGCGAGGGTGTGGGTGGAAGAAGTGGGTACCAGATGAGGAGGGTCTGGGTGGAAGAAAGGTCGAGGGCTAGACTATAGTAGTGCTATACACTGTTAGTGTATAGTAAATACACTATAGAGTGTATTTACTAGACTGTAAATACACTTGAGTGTTTGACCGAGAAACACTCTTAGCACATAGCGACTCGTTTATTTTTGGAAAAATAATTCAAGCATGTTTTGTTGCCACTTCATATATTTACATTTTAATTGTTTTAATTTTCAATGGGTCTTACTTTAGACAATATAACAACCCCAGTTTCTATCAATGAAGATAAAAATTTAGGAAATTGTCCCCTATTTTAACATTTAAATATTACATCTTAAAGTCTCATATTGTCTAATGAATTTTAAATTTTCTATAGTTTTAGATTGCATCAGACACGCCAATAAGTTTTAACAAGTGATCATTGAGTTCCAACTATATACCAAATGTCATTTCGAGTGCTATAAATGTGACAATGTCTCTGCCCCTCATGCAGCGTAAGTTCCAGTGAGGGAGATAGACATTTACCCAATAAACAAATCAGTAAATGATCCTTAGATGGATAAATGATCTGTGCTTTTGCTATGGCAACAAAGAACAGCAAATTCTCAGTGGCTTAAAGGAACAAGATTGATTTCCTGCATGCAGTTCTGGGATCAGCTGGGGTTAATCTATTTGATGCTTTGGGTGGGCTCTGACCTGTGCCATGTGCTTGCGATTCCAGCAGCTCTGTTGAAGGGGCAGTGGTTACCTCAGACAAACTCTTCTCATTGTGGGGGAAGGATTTCAGGAGCACAAGAGAGCTGGTGAGACTTACCATGCCCATTGAGGTTCATTGTCACTTCCAACCATATTTTGCTGGCCAAAGCAAGTCACATGGCCAAGTCTCAAGGGACTGGGGAAGTACACACTTCCCATTGGGAGTGCTGTGGGAAAGACTGATTCTTTGCTGAATATCACTCAGTCTACCTCAAAAAATAAACAAAAGTATGTAGGAGTAGGATCTTCAAGAGTAATGTGTATTGAAAGAAAATAAAGCCAGGTAATGGGATAGAGTACCTGGGGATAGAGCACGAAACTTCTTTAGATAAAGTGATTAGGGAAGAGGTGATGTGACTTTGGACTTGAGATCTAAATGGTGAGCAAGAGCAAGTCATGATGAGGCCCAGGGAATAGGCATTCTGGACCTCAGCAGCAATAAGGGCAAGGACCCTGTGGTGTGAATGTGGTTGGCTTACTCCCAGGCTGGAAAGTAGACCAAAGTGGCTGAAGCCTGGCAAATAGTGGTGACTGGAGAGGAGTTCAGAGCAGCAGGCAGGAGCCAGATCACAGAGGGGAGTGTACGCCAGGCAAGGAGTCTGGATCTTACTGCAATGGGAAAACACTGGGCTTTCAAGTTAGGGTAGTGACACAATCTAAGTTTAAAATAATATCTTGTTGCTGTGTGGCTTCTGGGCCATGGGAGTAAGGGTAGGTGAGGGTGGAAGCAGGGAGATGAATTAAGGGGCTATTGGAGGAGTCCAGGAGAGAGAGGATGGTAATGGGGAATAGGGTAATAGGAATGGAGAAAGTGAGAAATCTCATAAGGGACATGTTTTGAAGTATAATTAAAGAAGGATTTATTTTTCTGTTATAAGAGATCATGTGCTTTTGAATAAACACAGTCTGAGCAAACACAAATGGCTGTGGTGGAAGGGAAAGAGCACTGGGCTTTGAGTCTGAAGATCTTTCTTTACCCAGGCTTTGCTTTAGGCTGTGTTTGACCTAGGGCAAGCTGTTAACTATTCTGAGCCTTAGTTTCCATAATTCCAACAAACAAACAAGTAAACAAACAAATAATAACCAGATAGGGAATGACAACTAAGTCATACAATTTTTAGGTGATGAAATGTGAAAGAAATGCATATAAAATACAAGTAGCCTGCATGAGTAAGGCTTAGATGTCTTTAACATGGTCATTTCTTGGCATTCTAAAAAAAAAGTGTTTCAGATATAGGCAATTCCATAAGTTGTGCATTCTAGAAGATGACACAGTGGTGGCAGTGCTGGCTTATAAGTGCCCCTAAATGATACGTAAAATATCAATGTTGTGTCTCCCAATCTTCAAGTGAGTGCAGTCACTGAGAAATGCAGGAAGTGCTGAAGCTGGACATTTCTCTAAGCACGGATTTATGATATACATTCTTGAGAGTCACCCTTTCATAGGTTGACCTATATGCTGCTGCCAGGGATAAAGGATAGTACGCCATAAGCCTTATCAGCTAATATAGCAATATTGCTTGTAATGGAGTGATTAAGCCATTGTTTTGGTTGAAAACACCTTAGCATTGAATTGAGCTGTCAGGGATTTGCAGGAATGTAGCAATTTTTCAGACAGGGTTCTGGTGTTTTCTGATAACATCGTGTTTTATATATAATTAATACTACTGCTATTTGGCTGGTGTTTCTGAGATGTGAACTGCAATGACTTCGTAAGTCCCAGATTAAGGAGAGAGGTGATACTTTCACATCTGAATTTATTTCTCTCGTATTTTTCTTCCTCACCTGAACGAGTCTTCATAGACCTACTGCTGGTACTTCTTATGATGAAAAGCACAGGCAATATCTCCCAAGTAAACTTAAAGCTATTTTCAGTTGGTGTTTCTAATAAAGATTCAGCTAATTACGGTTATGTATGTACCTTTGCAGCTTCAAGGTTGAACATTTGAGTCACCTTCACATAAATAATCAGCTTCCATATGTATGTGTCAGGCAGGTTCCAGGGGAAAAAAGTGAATCATTTAGTTGAAGAACCCCCCAGAGAGGATTAATATTAAGGAAACCAACAAGGGATGTGGAGGCATCCAGAAACTAGCAGCAAGGGAAGCCGTTACAGCCCCTAGGGTTGAAGGGAAAATAGCATTATTTAAGCCTGGTGAGAATTGGCGCTTTGGAGAAGGAGTTAGCTTAATATTAGTTGTAGTCCTGGAGGAATATAACTTGGCAGAAAGGTAGTCCAAAGCATAGAGTGCAAGGAGAAGAAATATGCCGATCTCCTTCTTTTCCCCAGCTCTGGCTTCCTTCTGATGATGCGCATTAGCCAAGTCCTACTTAAGCCAGGCTGCAGAGGAACTCAGATGATGTGAACCAGTTGGTCCAGTTTCCCAGCGATAAAGCAGAGAGGAGAAGAGCTGACAATAAATTTAGGCCACTAAATGAACAATAACTGCACAATCTATCATTCTCAGATGTTATACTGTACCCTGAAATTCTCCCAGTTATCTGAAAGAGTTTTAAAATTTTTCTAAAGAATGGTTTAAGTCATCTTGTGGGGGTAATGTCAAAAAAGCCACCAATAGTATTTCAGTTATCTTAGACAGGAAATCACTGGGTCATGAGAGCATCATTGTAACCACAAGTGAATCACAGATAACTTCTAGAATATTTACTTAAGAAAGGCAAATCCATAAAAAATGATGAGTTCATGTCCTTTGTAGGGACTTGGATGAAGCTGGAAACCATCATTCTCAGCAAACTCTTGCAAGGACAAAAAACCAAACACCGCATATTCTCACTCATAGGTGGGAATTGAACAATGAGAACACATAGACACAGGAAGGGGAACATCACACACCTGGGCCTGTTGTGGGGTGGGGGGAGGGGGGAGGGATAGCATTAGGAGATATACCTAGTGCTAAATGACGAGTTAATGGGTGCAGCACACCAACATGGCACATGTATACATATGTAATTAACCTGCATGTTGTGCACATGTACCCTAAAACTTAAAGTATAATAAAAAGATAAAAAAGATAAATTGAACTACTTCTGAGATAGATTTTTAAATTCAGATTAGTGAATTTTACACTAATTTAATTACATTAATTAAAATGCCTATTAGTTTATCCAAAACCAAAGAAAGAATGAAGAAATTTTAAAACAATCTAAGAAAATGTAAAATACCATAGAAACTGCTAGATTTTGTGAATTTAATATAAAAGGAAGTATCCATATTGATATTATTCTGAACTAGATGGAATTTCTATACCAATTCGGAAGTACATTTTTATATTATATATCATTTGGGTAGTATATTTTTTTATTGTTTTCTTATAACTACAGATCATTGTATAGGATTTTTGATTTCTTAGTTTCTAATAAAATATGAAAGTGTAAAAAAAAAAGAAAGGCAAATCCACAGCCAACAATTTAATAATAAAAGTCATGTATTTGTGAATGTAGTTTTACCACTGCTTAGGATTATCCATAATATCACACTTAAAGCAAACAAGGTTAGTTGCAAGTTGACATAAACACAGATGTCTTTTGTGTAAACAGTCTGTTATAGTCTTGTGATATGAAATTAAATGTATGCATTTGGAACCAATGAAAACATGAAGCATGAGGGATTGCTGGAATTCCAGTACTGCAGAATGGCAATATTTTTATGCTACTCTTACAACATATGCTTGCAAATCAGCATCTGTGGATGGTCAAAGATAACATTAGTGAATTCATTGGCTGCTTCCCCTGGGGTCTGTACCCTCAAAACAGAATTGAATCTTCATCTCTTGCTCTTCATGGGGCAAGGATTTATTTTCCTCTTAGATTGCTCTTCTCCCCCTTTTATGTCCCTTCCCATATCCAACTTCATATTCTTCTTTTAAATTCTATAATTTTGTCTAATTCTCCTTTTTTCCCAAGATCAGGCATAATTTGTCATGTAGTTGAGGTTGAAGGGTTTCAAGAGTTGGTCAAGGTGTAGCTTAAGAAAGCAAGTGGAATCAATGTGTTTGCTGATACAGGTAACTCAAAGCTAATGGAATTGCCTGTTAAGAGAGAAGTTGGCTTTAAAGCACATCAGTAAGTAGTAGACACAGGCAGGATTAGGAGTTTGGATTTCATTTTCATTGCAGTGAGGTCATTGAATGTTGGAAAGTGACATGATTAGTCTCACATTTCAAAAAGATAGTTCTGGTTGTTTGGTAGTAAATGGCTTTAGGGCATCATTAGTGGAGGCAGAGAAAACCAGTTCAGAGGCTATCATACATTTTGAAGGTGAGAGATAATAATGACTTGAATAATGTAGGTAGCAGTAAAGAAGGAGGCAGATAGATTTTGATGTGGTGGAAGCTGTGCTGTCCCACCCAGATTCCCCTCAGGACTGAGACACTCATTCCCTCAGCTCTGGGGAGAGTAGGCTGCCAACAACCCAGAGCTTAGTCCACCTCCAAGACTTGTCCTTTCCTAAGGGAAGTGCCTCATCCATCATGCCTCTGGGTTGGCCACCCCCATTAACTGCTCAATGAGAAGGAAGTACAAAGGCCCTTGCCTTAATTTAGGACAACCCTGAAAGACCTTCCTAGCTCCATAGCTTCCTGTGGAATCAGTTGAGGCCTGTGTCGCCACTGCGTTGCAGTTCAGCTGCTCCCGCTGTCATCCTGCTTTCCTATTCCCTTACATATATTCTCCTGAGTACACCCCCAGTAAACCTCTTGCATGCAAATCTCTCTGACTCTGTTTCCAATTTGAACCAAGATAATGGAAAATCAGTTTTGGAAGTAGAATTAATGGGGTTTGTGAACAGATCAGAGGGGGAAAGGTATGGCGCCCAAAATAAAGAAAAGGGAAGAATCTTCTGTCTCTAAGGTTTCTGACTTCCACATCTAGGAGGATGATTATGCTTTTCATGGAACTTGGGAAGACTGATGCTCATTATTAGGGTTTTGGATATGCTTTGTGTCAGAAGACACCAAGATTGACCTATTCAAGCAGGAGATGTCAAGTATGTAGTTAAATACATGAGTTATCCCTTTCTTCAGAGCCCCACTGCCACTTCTCTCATCCTGGTCATCTTCTCTCCTCTGGAGTTCTGCAGTAGCACTGACTCACCTTTCTGGTTCCAATCATGTTCCTCCTAAATTCACTCTCCATTCTTTAGTTAGGGCTACATTATAAAATGTCATAATTTAAATTTTATACTTAAAATGCTTTTGTTGGTTCTCTTTGCCTTGAGATAAAGTCAGGATCTTTTAATTTGGCATGGAAGGTCTGCCACCTGCACCCTGTCCAGATAGTTGACCTCATCTCTTTTCAGTCTCTCATGTTTATCACACTGAACTTTTTCATGCCTTGAATGTACTCTGTTTTATCTTATCTCAGGGCCTTTCCACATGGTGTTTCCTCTGCCTGGGATATTACCACTTTGCACTCTCTCTTCAAAAGACTAATTCCTCCTCATCTTTAGGACCTAGTTTAAATTTTATCTCTTCAGGGATGACTTTATGTCTTGGAAGGCCACCCTGTGATATATTTGCAGAGCTCACTATACTTTTCTTATCATAATTCTTATTCCACTTTTATTTTGACAGGGTTCCTGGCAACTTATTTCTACATTCAGGGAAAGAAAAGTCTGGTCTAAATTAATATAGAATTCTTTTATTTTTCCATACAGTCTTGTCTCTTCTCTTAGTCTTCTTTTATATTCAAATCAAAAAGTGCTCAAAACCACAGACAACTTCCCATCTGAGACCCGGGGGTATGAGTTTCCATTAAAATTGACCTCTAGGTCGGATAAAACTTAATGAGCTTGTCTTTTGACAACTCACCACTCCTCCTGTCACATCCCCTCCTGGCCACAGGTATGGTAAAGCCAAGAATCCTAATAGCAATAGCACATTTCTCTCCTTACTTGACTCAGGCATGCTAGGAAGATGGGGATTTTCTAGACTCTGCCTGCTTTGTCCTCCTTTGTTGAACTTTGCTCTGAATGAACCTGTTATCCCGGCTACAAGTTTTCCAAAGCCATCCCTAGTTTTGTTTTTAAGGCACACCACCTCTTCTGTATAGGGCCCTCTGGTTTTAATGTATTATATTACTTTATTTTTTACCACTCATTAGGAATTTCTTAATCAGAGGCTGCCCTGCCCAGACATCTGTCTCTGAAATGCTGGGAGGGTAAGAATGAGAGCAGAACATCAGAGATTTTGGCTATTGGAGTTGCACTTGGGCATGGATTTTAGCTTTAAATCCTTTATGAATTTCCCAAAGGTCTTTAGGGCTCTTTCTAGACAAAATTTATGGGTTATTAAGAGCTTAACATTCACAGATTGACTTTGAGCACTGAAAATGCCAGAGGCCACATGTTGCAATATTGAAACACATTCTTGATATTCACCTTCACTTTCTGGATGTCTGCATTTATTAAAGACATAGTCATCAGAGATGATTCTTAGATCCTACCCCTCAAACACTAGGGCCCAATCAGAAAGGGTTTTGTAGATGCCAGTCAACTTGGTAGCCTTCGCCACATGCATTCAATGATGACTTATGGCTTGTATCCAGCAAGAATTCCACTCTACAGGTGATTTTCTAGAGAGCTCTCCTTTGGAGATCTTGAAGACAATATTATTCTGAACTTCCCTGACTGAGAAGTAGAGAGTTGAGCCACCAATCCTGGAATTGCACTCACTGATTGCCTGGGTATAAGCAGTGACCAGCCTGGTTGGTCATATCTATACACAAAGACTTTGTTCGTGATCCCAGATCTCATCCATGGATTCCTATAAATAGTGGCTCAGTTAGTCCCCTTTCCTCAAAGGTGATGTTGTCAGGAAACTTGCAACAAAAGTCTGTAAAACTGTCAGAGGTTCTTGCCATTAGGGGATGATGCATAGAAGAAGATGAGTAGAGACAGATTTTATAGCCATTCTGTAGAATTCATCGGTTTCTCAGGGAACACTAGAGTCAATTGCAATCCAATTGCTTTTCTATTTGTTTCAGATTAGCTTTCCCTGTTGCTCTGAAACACTTAGGAGAGAGGCTGTGTTTAGTTATTTACTGCTAATCCCTAGTACCTGCAGGGTGTTGGCCCAGAGAAATCACTCAATAAATATTCATGTCACCAATAAAGTAATGATTTCAATAGGATACATCTCAATTTGTGCTTCATTTGAGGCTGGTTTTGAGATTGGGTAGTTTGTCTCAGCTGTTCCTTCTCCTTGCTCCCTTGAAGTCCTCTCCTTCCTAACCAATTCTGTCCCCCACCAGCTGGATGTCCTCTGTCTG
Organism: Homo sapiens; assembly: GCF_000001405.40. Taxonomy (NCBI): domain Eukaryota; kingdom Metazoa; phylum Chordata; class Mammalia; order Primates; family Hominidae; genus Homo; species Homo sapiens. The sequence continues at coordinate 108,721,692 of NC_000007.14, forward strand.
TGTCACTGCTGTCATGGCATGTGCTCTCTTTGGGATCTGTACTGAAGTCCACTCTCTGTAACTATCCATTGCTGTAGCTATTTTCAATGTCTTCCACAGAGATTATACTCCTCATGAAGGCAAGAATACCACCTTGGTATTTGCAGTACCTTGCTGAGTCCTGGTATACAGCAAGAGCAAAAGAAACCTTGAATCTCTGAAGAAACTGTACATTTCTGGCAAGCTAAGTAACTGAATGACCTTGGAGAAGGTCCTTTGCCACTCAAGACCTAAATTTTTCAATAAGAAAAATGAGAAGTTGAATTTTGATCTCTAGGATTTAATCTCAACCTTAGAATTAACCATTTTCCTTGCCTTGAGGTAAATCATTTTAGATTGCTTGATAGAGCTTTTTATGCCTTTCTAAGGTCTTTATTACTAATCAACAAGAATCAATGAAATAATGTGGAAGATGCTATGTGGGATGCCAAGTTACAAAAATGTACTTAACATCTCACTTCCTATGTCTTTTCTTCCTCATTTTTGCCTAAACGTTTGATAAAATGATGGCTGACTTTGTTTTGGGTGTTGGAATGTTAACTTTCATCTATTACTGAGTAATCCAGAATGTCTACTTTAGCTCTGCTGATAACCATGTTTGAAAAATTACTTGCACTCTACAGTTGCATGTAGAGTGTCAGATACATTTCTCTCAGCAACAGTCTGTTTTTTAATATGAATATTTGTTTTTGATGTAAAGTTCCATTGTGTCTTTTAATTATGAGTTTGGCTGAAAGCATTCCTAACCATTCTAGTTACTTTATTTTATTTGGGTGGCGAATTTATATGTTGGTCTGACTTCTCCTTCATTCATTGACTTTAAGTGGGTGAGCTCAAGAAACACATATTCAATATGACTATCCCTTCTTCTCTGGATTTAGCATGATCCTAAGCCTGGAAATTATCAGAAGGTAAAATACTCTTCCACATGTGATTAGCTATGTATAGTAGACTAGAAACATGTGGTAAACACTGGGTTTCTACTGAGATTTCCCTGTTCCCCTCACCTGCCATATTATATATGAAGGCAGTGGGATGACTAGAAGGACTTCTGAAATGACTCATGAAATCTTTGCTATTCTATGAGCTCAGTACAGGTAAATGACAGATAAGACAAAAGAAACCCAAGTACATTCAAGTGCATTATACCTTCGAGGTACTATATTTATGCATTTATTAGGGATTTCCATGCATATCTATTTTTTAGTGACTGCTCAGTACTTGATTTTGAAATTATTCTCCTTATTTCACAAATCTTCATTATCTACATAAAAGGTTTTTCAAAGCTATTTTTTTCTATATTTGTTTTATTTAAAAAGTATATCTATAGATAAATTGTCTTAAGATCATGCCCTAACAAGAACAAATTCTACTCTTCTTGTGAGTAGGTGCAAGAAAAGCCCAGGCAAAGAGTCTGTGTTCTTTTGGATTTATCATGTAAATTTTCTGATACAATATTACAATTCAAACACAGTCAAAAAAGTATGGAATATGAGAACTACAGTGGAAAGAAGCTGAGTTTTATTTAAGAAGCAGATAAGAAGGGTGTAAATAAAACAGAATCAGCAATGGGATGAGTTTGCTGTGTACACTACAAATGAGCAACAATACAGCCCAAGAAGATTCCTATCACTCAGTTGTGTGGTCATTCTTTGGGCTGGAAGATGCATTCCGTTATATGGAGCTCATTAGCATCACAGTCTTCAGCTGCTATCATAAAGCCCAACTACAGCTGTGAGTGCAGCCGTGGGCCTCTCAGCACCTGCCATGCATGGATCACTGATTAGAGCCAAGCTTTCAGTGCCTTTGAATTCCAACCCTTCAGTTCAGCTTGGGAAGGGAAGCAAAGTGCACAGAGGCAAAGACAGTAAATAGTGTTTGGAGGAAGTGCTGGATCAAAAATCCTGTCATCCTTTGTCTTGACAGAGCATGAATGACAAGGGCAGGCTCAGCTGTAGGGTTCCCTGAATCTTCCCATCCATGAGTGAGCTACATGTACAACCGGGAATGAATGGTGCTCCATCTGCAGAGCCTACCCTGTCACTCTGTGCTGTCAGCAATAACGCCAATTAGTGTCAGTTTTAATGATGGCTCTCGAGACCCGAGGAAGACCAGTGTTTTGGCTACTGAATAAGAATGTGCTTTTCTATTCGAATTATAAGAAAAATAAAAATTTTTCTTAGGTCTCCGATGTGGAAAGGAGGTGGTGAGTGAGTAAATCATTTGACTACCATAAACAATATTTTTGTTTAGGCACGACTGATTCTTTGGGGGAAGTGTTGTATAAACATGTCAGCCTTTGTGATCTGAACCTGAATATGAAATAAGAATGTCCCCAAGTACATTCCCTTCCTAGTTTGACAGAAATTATGGCGTATACCTGGAATATGTTTTCCAGGAGTGGTGCTGGATTGTGCTGAGCCATTGCCCCTCCTTTCAGACAGGTGACTTGCATTTTCACACTCTCTGAGCTGAGTGTATATGCAGCTTATAGTAATTGGGAAAGAGGTTTAGGGTTTGCATTTGTGAACTGTGTCTCAGAATGTGATTCTAAATTACTCAGCTGGCTGATGTGTTCTTAATACAGTCTAATCTTGGCAAGGAGGCACTTACTCTGGACATGTTTCATTCTTGTCTGCCTTCCTTTAATTATCCTTCTGTTTAGCAAAGGAACTGAACTGCTTAAGTGGCAGAAATGAAGAAGCATTATTTCTAGCCAGCACAAATTTCACGTCAATGCTGATAATCTGGTAGCACAGAGGCAGTTACAATTATGGTCTAACACAGAACAGTTTTGTAAGCAAATATTCAATCCTGGAGATGAGAACTAGTTCAAGCCATGAAACTGGCTTACAGTTGCAAGTCAAATTGATGTAGAAAACTGACGAGGCATGACAAGGTCCATGAGTTTTTTTTAGCACATAAAAAAGAACTCAGGATGTATTTGCCAAATTCTGGGTGATTCATCACCACACATTCTCTCTGTTTTTTAGTGATATTATATGCTGTCAACAATATGGTCTACTCTTTTGTTGTAGAAACAGCATGATGATTTTTTGAAATCTGTTTAAAGACCAAGTCTATCCAGACTTAAAAAGAAGTCAGATAACATTTCCATTTTGTCCTATGATGTGTTATTCTTCCTTATTCTTCCTTTCTGAACATGTGGCAGAGTATAAAAGGGTTTTTTGGGCTGTCTTGGAATGACATGCTTCCTCTGTTTTACTGATTTCAGTGTGAGCTTGGCATGCTTCTCAGGCTTCTGCTTTGGATTGTAATTTCGACTTAGGATAGACTTTTAGGACTTTAACTAAGAAACTTAAAGAAATCCACCCTAGAATGTGCTTGAAAAATATGTTTTTTTTCCCCACATCCTCATTCTTTGTAGAAGCCTCTGAGCAAGCGGTTCTTCTAAGTTACCCCTTAGAGTGACTCCCTTGACTTCCGAGTTTTAGTTCTGTGACTCTCAAACTTGAATGTGTATATTTTCACCTAGAGGATCTTAATAAGATGCAAATTCTAATTCAGAAGCACTGAGGCAGGGCCCAAGATTTTCTGCATTTCTAACAAGCTCCCAGGTGACGCTAATGCTACTGAGCTGTGAACCATATTTTGAGTAGGAAGGATATTCCTGGATTTCCCTAGCTGCTGCTTTCTGAGTTGTATTTTCCTGATTCTTTGCATGCTTGGTTACATTTGATTGGATGCCAGAGTGTTACCTTGTTGGATGCTGGATTTTGCATATTCTTATAAATATTCTTGAGCTTTGTTCTGGGATGCAGCTAAGCTGCTTGGAAATAATTCGAGCCTTTTGAGGCTTGTGTTTAAACTTTGTTAGGTAGGTCCAGAGCAGTGTTAATTTAGGACTTATTTTACTCCATTACTAAGGCAATTCTCTTTTGAGTACTCTACCAGAGACTCTAACCATTATGAATTTTTCAATCTGGCTGTTATCCTTGTCTTGTATGAGCTTCAGGATAAAGAAGATAAGGACTGAGAAAACAAGGTCAATACCTCATAAAAGCAAAACCAAGAAAGAACTCTTAAAAACTAAGGATATTATTTCAAAACTAACAACAAGAACATGGTAAATAGGTCAGATATTAAAGTCAAAGAGTAGAGCAGAAAATCTCCCAGAATAGAAAGAGCAAGATATAGAATATGAGCGAGAGAGAGAGAGAGAGAGAGAGAGAGAGAGAGAGAGAGAGAGAGAGGCATAGACGATCACTGTAGGAAGATGGTTCTTCTTTCTGCCTTTGGTAGTTTCTTCACACAAATGCATGGATCAGGACTCATTTGATGACCTGAGACAAATCCTCTGCAGATATCTGGATTTCTGTCTTTGTGCAGCAATCTCTTCCCCTCTACTCTGCCTTGCACACTCTAATTGCCCTCCCCGCCTTGGTTTCTCAACTCTATGTCCTTAACTTAAGGAGATTGTTGGGATCCCTCTGGGTTCTTCTCCATTCATCCTGGACACTTTTACAGGCCCTTTATTTCCCTTCTTGTGTAGAGCACTGTCTTATACCACCTGATGTCCAATGTCTAACAACCATTGTCTTCATATATTTTTTTCCCAGTGTTCTAGGCATGAAGATAAATTTGGCCCATTACTTCATCTTGGCCAGATGTTGAAATCCCTAGATATTATTTTCTATCCTGATTGTCTTTGGTTATTTAGCTTAGTGTCAAGAACCGTGCCCTGCTCGCAAACTAACGAGTAAGTCTGCCACAGTTACAGTGCTGGCAGAAGACATGAGACATCTAGATCAGAGAAAAAGGATATCTTGTTCATGGCACAGCAAAGAGCTTGAGCTTCATGTCCCATTTGTTCCTCTTGTCCTCCAAGTCCTATGAGGATATGTGGAGTGGCCTAGATGAATGGTGTGCACACAGTGGGTCTGCATCACAGCTGAGGATCCCTGGGCTCCAGTCTTATAAAGAAACTTCTGGCCAATTTGCCAAAACTTTGTTCTGAAAGGAGACTTAAAAAATTATTCTGGTCACTAAAAAACATTCTGCTCTCTGCCCCAGAGGGAGACACTATCTTTAACTTCCAATATGTTCACTATATAATCATTCTTGGGAAAGATAGTCTGGATGAAAACTGTCACAAGACATGTTGAACCTCTCTGGAGAATAGCTCCTCAACACTAAGCTTTAAAAATGAACTGGCTGAGGTCTTTTGGACTGTGGTTACTTCAACTACTTTATTTATTTATTTTATTTTATTATTATTATACTTTAAGTTTTAGGATACATGTGCAGAATGTGCAGGTTTGTTACATATGTATACATGTGCCATGTTGGTGTGCTGCACCCATTAACTCGTCATTTAGCATTACGTATATCTCCTAATGCTACCCCTCCCCCCTTTCCCCCACCCCACAACAGTCCCCAGAGTGTGATGTTCCCCTTCCTGTGTCCATATGTTCTCGTTGTTCAATTCCCACCTATGAGTGAGAACATGCGGTGTTTGGTTTTTTGTCCTCGCGATAGTTTGCTGAGAATGATGGTTTCCAGTTTCATCCATGTCCCTACAAAGGACATGAACTCATCATTTTTATGGCTGTATAGTATTCCATGGTGTATATGTGCCACATTTTCTTAATCCAGTCCATTGCTGTTGGACATTTGAGTTGGTTCCAAGTCTTTGCTATTGTGAATAGTGCCACAATAAACATACATGTGCATGTGTCATTATAGCAGCATGATTTATAGTCCTTTGGGTATATACCCAGTGATGGGATTGCTGGGTCAAATGGTATTTCTAGTTCTAGATCCCTGAGGAATCACCACACTGACTTCCACAATGGTTGAACTAGTTTACAGTCCCACCAACAGTGTAAAATTGTTCCTATTTCTCCACATCCTCTCCAGCAGCTGTTGTTTCCTGACTTTTTAATGATCGCCATTCTAACTGGTGTGAGATGGTATCTCATTGTGGTTTTGATTTGCATTTCTCTGATGGCCAGTGATGATGAGCATTTTTTCATGTGTTTTTTGGCTGCATAAATGTCTTCTTTTGAGAAGTGTCTGTTCATATCCTTCAACCACTTGTTGATGGGGTTGTTTGTTTTTTTCTTGTAAATTTGTTTGAGTTCATTGTAGATTCTGGATATTAGCCCTTTGTCAGATGAGTAGGTTGCGAAAATTTTCTCCCATTTTGTAGGTTGCCTGTTCACTCTGATGGTAGTTTCTTTTGCTGTGCAGATGCTCTTCAGTTTAATTAGATCCCATTTGTCAATTTTGGCTTTTGTTGCCATTGCTTTTGGTGTTTTAGACATGAAATCCTTGCCCATGCCTATGTCCTGAATGGTATTGCCTAGGTTTTCTTCTAGGATTTTTATGGTTTTAGGTCTAACATGTAAGTCTTTAATCCATCTTGAATTAATTTTTGTATAAGGTGCAAGGAAGGGATCCAGTTTCAGCTTCCTACGTATGGCTAGCCAGTTTTCCCAGCACCGTTTATTAAATAGGGAATCCTTTCCCCATTGCTTGTTTTTGTCAGGTTTGTCAAAGATCAGATGGTTGTAGATATGTGGCATTATTTCTGAGGGCTCTGTTCTGTTCCATTAACCTATATCTCTGTTTTGGTACCAGTACAATGCTGTTTTGGTTACTGTAGCCTTGTAGTATAGTTTGAAGTCAGGTAGCATGATGCCTCCAGCTTTATTCTTTTGGCTTAGGATTGACTTGGCAATGCGGGCTCTTTTTTGGTTCCATATGAACTTTAAAGTAGTTTTCTCCAATTCTGTGAAGAAAGTCATTCGTAGCTTGATGGGGATGGCATTGAATCTATAAATTACCTTGGGCAGTATGGCCATTTTCACGATATTGATTCTTCCTACCCATGAGCATGGAATGTTCTTCCATTTGTTTGTATCCTCTTTTATTTCCTTGAGCAGTGGTTTGTAGTTCTCCTTGAAGAAGTCCTTCACATCCCTTGTAAGATGGATTCCTAGGTATTTGATTCTCTTTGAAGCAATTGTGAATGGGAGTTCACTCATGATTTGGCTCTCTGTTTGTCTATTAGGTATATAAGAATGCTTGTGATTTTTGTACATTGATTTTGTATCCTGAGACTTTGCTGAAGTTGCTTATCAGCTTAAGGAGATTTTGGGCTGAGACAAGGGGTTTTCTAGATATACAATCATGTCATCTGCAAACAGGGACAATTTGACTTTCTCTTTTCCTAATTGAATACCCTTTATTTCCTTCTCCTGCCTAATTGCCCTGTCCAGAACTTCCAACACTATGTTGACTAGGAGTGATGAGAGAGGGCATCCCTGTCTTGTGCCAGTTTTCAAAGGGAATGCTTCCCGTTTTTGCCCATTCAGTATGATATTGGCTGTGGGTTTGTCATAGATAGCACTTATTCTTTTGAGATACGTCCCATCAATACCTAATTTATTGAGAGTTTTTAGCATGAAGGGTTGTTGAATTTTGTCAAAGGCCTTTTCTGCATCTATTGAGATAATGATGTGGTTTTTGTCTTTGGTTCTGTTTATATACTGGATTACATTTATTGATTTGTGTATGTTGAACCAGACTTGCATCCTAGGGATGAAGCCCACTCGATTATGGTGGATAAGCTTTTTGATGTGCTGCTGGATTCAAATGCTGAGAGATTTTGTCACCACCAGGCCTGCCCTAAAAGAGCTCCTGAAGGAAGCACTAAACATGGAAAGGAACAACCGGTACCAGCCACTGCAAAAACATGACAAAATGTAAAGACCATCAAGGCTAGGAAGATACTGCATCAACTAACGAGCAAAATAACCAGCTAACATCATAATGACAGGACCAAATTCACACATAATATATTAACTTTAAATGTAAATGGGCTAAATGCTCCAATTAAAAGACACAGACTGGCAAATTGGATAAAGAATCAAGACCCATCAGTGTGCTGTATTCAGATACCCATCTCACATGCAAAGAAACACATAGGCTCAAAATAAAGGGATGCAGGAAGATCTACCAAGCAAATGGAAAACAAAAAAAGGCAGGGGTTTCAATCCTAGTCTCTGATAAAACAGACTTTAAACCAACAAAGATCAAAAGAGACAAGGCTATTACATACTGGTAAAGGGATCAATTCAACAAGAAGAGCTAACTATCCTAAATATATATGCACCCAATACAGGAGCACCCAGATTCATAAAGCAAGTCCTGAGTGACCTACAGAAAGACTTAGACTCCCACACAATAATAATGGGAGACTTTAACACCCCACTGTCAACATTAGACAGATCAACGAGACAGAAAGTTAACAAGGATACCCAGGAATTGAACTCAGCTCTGCACCAAGCGGACCTAATAGACATCTACAGAACTCTCCACCCCAAATCAACAGAATATACATTTTTTTCAGCACCACACCACACCTATTCCAAAATTGACCACATAGTTGGAAGTAAAGCGCTCCTCAGCAAATGTAAAAGAACAAAAATTATAACAAACTGTCTCTCAGACCACAGTGCAATCAAACTAGAACTCAGGATTAAGAAACTCACTCAAAACTGCTCCACTACATGGAAACTGAACAACCTGCTCCTGAATGACTACTGGGTATGTAACGAAATGAAGGCAGAAATAAAGATGTTCTTTGAAACCAACGAGAACAAAGACAAAACATACCAGAATCTCTGGGACACATTCAAAGCAGTGTGTAGAGGGAAATTTATAGCACTAAATGCCCACAAGAGAAAGCAGGAAAGATCCAAAATTGACACCCTAACATCACAATTAAAAGAACTAGAAAAGCAAGAGCAAACACATTCAAAAGCTAGCAGAAGGCAAGAAATAACTAAAATCAGAGCAGAACTGAAGGAAATGGAGACACAAAAAACCCTTCAAAAAATTAATGAATCCAGGAGCTGGTTTTTTGAAAAGATCAACAAAATTGATAGACCGCTAGCAAGACTAATAAAGAAGAAAAGAGAGAAGAATCAAATAGATGCAATAAAAAATAATAAAGGGGATATTACCACTGATCCCACAGAAATAGAAACTACCATCAGAGAATACTACAAGCACCTCTACACAAATAAACTAGAAAATCTAGAAGAAATGGATAAATTCCTTGACACATACACCCTCCCAAGACTAAACCAGGAAGAAGTTGAATCTCTGAATAGACCAATAACAGGCTCTGAAGTTGTGGCAATAATCAATAGCTTACCAACCAAAAAAAGTCCAGGACCAGATGGATTCACAGCCGAATTCCATCAGAGGTACAAGGAGAAGCTGGTACCATTCCTTCTGAAACTATTCCAATCAATAGAAAAAGAGGGAATCCTCCCTAACTCATTTTATGAGGCCAGCATCATCCTGATATCAAAGCTGGGCAGAGACACAACCAAAAAAGATAATTTTAGACCAATATCCTTGATGAACATGGATGCAAAAATCCTCAATAAAATACTGGCAAATCAACTACTTTTTTAAAATCAGGTATCGAGGGATGCAATTACTTATGCAGGATATCTTTAAATAAGGGCCAGACTCAGTTTGACAATGAACAGCATTTAGAACACACACATTGATTACTTACCATTTATTCAATTTTAACAAATAGGATGCATTATAACCATTGGAAAGCACTAAAGTTACTTACTTTTTCAAGGTAAATGACCAAGCAAAGTAGGATTCTGCTTTTTGAAGTTAATCTCAACTTCAATATAGGCAAATATTCACAGTGTAGATTCACATATGGTAAGTTATTGAAATTCAGTAAGGTATATTGATACTGTTGAGCACAAAAAAATGATCATTTCCAATTTAAATGTTATGTGTCTTGTCATCAGGCCGGGCCTGTGCTAAAATTGAGAGGTAAGGCTGGGAGAGAGAAGGCTGCCAAAGTGCAGTGAGAATCTTGTCCTTTCATTGGAGAATTTCTTGGGCTTTGATAACATTTCTCATGTGTTGTCTGAAAGAAGCAATTCTAATTATGTGTAACAAAAAGTAGATATGTCATAGTTAGATTTGATTAAAGAAACAAAGCTGATAATATTGACTTCATTATTTGGCAAAGTCCCATAGGAAACTAGAACTATTAGGCAAAACTATCTGGAAATGTCATAAGCATGTCAATAGAAGTCATTCAAAGGCTTAGTCAGCTCATATAACTGTTTAGACACATTGCATTCTCTGAGGTGGGTCTTATCAGGTATTCAAGAAAGGCTCAGGACAGATGTGGAGATATCTTGCCTGTTGTATGGTTTTGTGCTAGAAAGAATGAGAAGGGCTAATATTTGCAAATGACTTTGAGAGTAAGTTTCTGTCTCACCTGTAAATGTCTCTAAAGCTTTTTCTGGATGTCCTGGAAAAGTTTGTAAGTTCCCATCAGCCAGGGCTTCTTGCATTGGGGAATGCAGACACAACAGGACACATCAGGAAGCCTGTGAATCTGTAAAATTTGGTGTGGTTGGATGTGTTGCATTTTTGAGGAGAGACTCAATAACTTTTATCAGATTCTTGACGGATCAATTGAGATTAAGAACAATGTTTCAAAGTTTAAATAAACTAAAGAAGAACTCAGAGACATTTAGTTGGGTACTTTTGCACTCTCACAGTTTGTTTGAATGAAAATTGTTCACTCCAATGTTAGAAAGTTAGTTGTAGACTGAGTCAAATGACAAAGGTAAAAATAGAATTTAAAGAGAGGGGCTGAAGGGGATTTAAAAAACTATAGTTAATTTGAGATTAGAAAATCTTATTAGTATATTTATTGGATGAAGTATAATAAATCTTATTAGCATATTTTTTGGTCTACCTCCTAGTAGAAAAGTCAGTCTGGAAATTTTTCCCTTGAGATGGCAAACTAGGGTGCCAGAGGAAACAGTTTTAGTTATCGATAAATTCTCTAGAAAGCCTGGAGAGCTTTGCTGAGAAATGTACATGACAGGCTTTGTCTCTTTACATAGCCGCCCATCAGCACCTCCAGCATAGTTAGCCAAGTTCAGCCTCATTTCCCTGAGTTTCTCACAGGTCAAACTGAGCAAAACTCCAAGGGAAGATCTCACTGCAGAAAAGCCACACAATGTTTTTCTTGGGCGGTACACCATGATCTTGTCAAGTTATTAACATGAATTAATTCTCTTTTTATGCCTCTCTCATGATGGTTATCCTTTTATTACTTCCAAATTATGGCCAAAGTTTGAAAGACACATTTCAAACTCTATTAGCTTAGAGACAATTGAATCATCATTTTCCCAAATTATGTTTTATATGAGAAGAAGGATTCAAGAGTACAAGTTTTTTATTATTGGTCAATGCACAAAGCAATTTCATTTTATTATAAAAGTGGCCAAGGATAATTACAGGCTATTTAATGATTAGTTGGCCTATCAGAATCCTTTTCTTCAACATTCAGGACCTATATATTGGCCTAATTGTGCCCAGGAAATTGGTCCAAACTACCTACTTCTTCAGTCTGTTTTGAAACGTTGCTGTCAAAACCCAATTAAAGAGAGGAAGAATATAAAACTATATGGCATTCTATTTTTTACTCTGGTTTATTCCTTGACATTTCTTTGTAATATCCTGCCTCAGGACCTTGGGGCATGCTGTTATGTCTGCCTGGCATGCTCTTTCCCTAGATATTTACATTCAGATTGTTGCTCCAAAGTCTTTTCCTAAAGATGCTTTCTCTAATTATCCTGGAAAATATTAATCTAAATTTTCTAAAATGGAAAATTACCTGCATCTCTCTCCTCTCCATGTTGCTTTATTTTGCTTCAGAGCACTTACCCTTATATTGCATAGCCCCTCCTTCTGTCTATATTCTCCACCAGAATGAAAGGAAGTGCCACACAAGTCGCTTTCAACTGACCCTCCTGCTTCAAGAATGGTGCTTAGAACGCTGAAGTTCTCTACTGAGTATTATTGAGAGAATGAATATATGGATCTTTATCTAAATATTCTGGAATATTGTCTTTAGATGGAATGCATAGGTGTTCTTCAGCTGTAGAAAAATGATGCCAACTTCTTTGTGCTCAATACAGGGCATGTTGTCTTTCTCTGGGAGCAGTTTCTAAGAAGTTAATTTTAATGGCTAGAATTATTCTGGAACAGCTAAACCTTAATAGCACAGTGATAGCACAACTTGAGTTGTCTACTACATATTTACACAATATAATTGTCACTTCTGAACTTATTCAATAGTTTAAACTTCTAACTTTTGGTGTTTAAACGGTCTCTTTTCTATTATCTTGCATAGAGATGTGACAGCCTATCACATTACACTAGTGATGTGATCCCTATCAGTAGTAAAAAAAATTCAAGATCAAAGGTCTAAATTATCCACTTATTATTATTATCCTCACAATTCCAAAAGCAAGATGAGAAAACGAGTAATTGAAGCAGTAAGGAAAACTTAGGATCCATGCAAAATACGAGTAAAAGGATGATGTGAGCAGCTAAAATGACAATTATTGCAATTGTCTATTATTTTTTTCTTTGATTCCAGAAACATAAGAGCTAAATTTAGGATTCAAGACATTTAATCAACTCAACTCAGGAGCTTAAAAGTCATATTTCTTCTGCTTGCTTTAGATGGTCTATATGACTTTTATTCTTAAATATCATGCTTCACATTCTGTGATATCTTTAAAGATCTTCAGAATTTATTTGAAACAAATAGGACATGGTGTTAATTAAAACAAAACTCTGTGAGTCACATTTCAGAATTGCTGCATGTGTAATTTCGTATTGCATACTTTAATGTTCATGGTGATAAACTGTAGACTAATTTATGAACATCTCAATGTAGCAGATGAACCAATATCCTTACAATATAGAGTCATAATAATTTTATTGCTATTTTAATCTAAAAATCTCAGCTTTGAGCAAAGATTTCAAAAAATAATCAACCTTTGTCCTTTTTTTTGACGAAATGGAGTAAAACTTGAAAAAAAAATTGAGGAAACAGTTAAAAATGACTTAGTTGTACTGATCCAAATGTTCTTAGCATGCTATAAATATTTGCTGCTGAAATTTTTTCCATTACCTGTCATCAAGAAGAGGTTAAATATGGTTCCTATAAATTATGTTGCAGACCAATTTCAGTAGAAAAATGGCAGCCATTATTTTATCAAATTACTTTTTATCTGCAAGACTGCTCTGCTTGCTGCCATGGTATTGTAAATTAGGAGCTAATGTTTGAAAAGGGGAGTTTGTTACTACTTTCTAATCTCTATTTCTATTGCTGACAAAGTAACTTTATCTTTTAAGTAAATCCAGTAAGACCCCATTGAGTACTTTGCAGTCTGGGCTACTGCACATGTTTGATGCTATTAAATTCTCATGATAAAAATCAATAAAAGGAAGGTTTCATTTCATTAGTATTATGGGACTATGAGTTAGCCAAGAAGTATTATTAGCTAACAATAATTGTTAATTTGGCATAGAGTATCTAAATCTCTTGATATTGCAACTTCCAACAAAATTTACTTCATTGAGTTAAAATTGTAAATTTCGGTGTAGGCTTCTATATGTCTCAGAGTATTTCATAAATATTATTTGGCTATGGAAAGAGGTGTGGGCTTGGGAAAAAACCCAGTGCTTGTTCAGGGCCTATGATGTGTTAGGTGTTTTATCTCTTCAATGCTCACAACTCCATACCTTATAGGTGTCCAGTACCTTTGAGTAGTATCATACCCATTTTTTAGATAAGCGAACTTTTGCCAATGCCAAATCATACAGCATTAAAGAAGCAGACTCAAGACCTCTCAGACTGTAAAGCTATGTTTTTATACTATCAGTCTGTATCAGTTCAGACTGCTATAATAAATTACCACAGACTGAGAGGCTTAAACAACAGAAATTTATTTCTCACAGTTTTGGAGTATTCAAGCCTGAGATCAGGGTGTGAACATAGTCGGGTTCTGGTGAGGCCCCTTTTTGGGGAGGCAGACTACTTTCTTCTCATCATGTCATCACATGGTGGAAAGACAGCAAGGTAGCTCTCTGGGGTCCATTTTATAAGGGTGCTAATTCCACTTATGAGGCCTCAACCCTCATGACCCAATAACCTCTCAAAGGCCTCACCTCCTAATACTACAAAAGTCGGGGTTAGGGTTTCAACCTATGACTTTTAGGGGGACACATTCAGTCTATTGTACCTCTTCATGTCATTCCCACACATTTTGCATATGGGGAACTATGGGAAAGGTAAGGGCAATTGTGCTTATTTAGTCTGAAGAGGAGAGAACTGAACATGCCTTTAAGAAGGTGTAATGTTTAGGGGGGAAGGAGATGCATGAAAATAGTTTTGAAACTGAATTTGAGAAACCCAAGTCCTTGTTTTAGTCACTGAATAACTCTATATGGTAAATAAACAACTTAACTACAAAGAGTCCCATTTGTTTCTTGGTAAAATGGAGGAGTTGGTTTCAATATTTCAAGCTCTTTTCTAAGTCTGAATTACTTTAATTCTATGATGTTGAAAGATTATTATTGACTTAGCTATCTTGAGTTTAGATGAAAAGAGAAAATGCCTTAGAATGAATGTGTGAAAGGTACAAAGAAAATTCTTGCTTACTTAAAGGTAGAGTTATGATTGGAGGCCATGGAACTATCTAAAAATCTGAAGGACCCACTCTCTTGGAGTGCTTTGAGGGTGGAAAAATCATACATCAAGAACTTGTCATTCATTCAAAAAATACAATTTGGAGTCCTTTCTGTGTACACAGCACTATAGAAATGTGTGAGACATAACCCCACTATCTTCAAGGAGACTTTGATGTAGTACAAGAATAGATGTGTAAACACTAATAGAATATAGTATTTGTACAATAATGGATCTAATCTTATTGAAGTGGGCAAAGGAACAATTTAGAAACCCCAAAGTAATTCAGAATAGCTCTCTTACTTATTTGCTTAACCACATGAAAGGCGTAATATAATCTAAAGTAATACTTTAAACACATCCTTTCTCTCTCATCCATTTTCCTCACACACTCCCAAATCTGGTGCCTCTCTCTTCAAAATTCCCCATGTCACACTACTGTACATTCTGTGTCTCTCTTCCTTCTTCCTCCCCACCCTCTCTTGTGTTCTAATTCTGTAAAACAAAATCTGAAAGAACTAGGAGAAAATCAATGTCTGAGTACAGAAGAGAAAAAGACTCGAAGCCAGCAAAGATAAAAGTTTCCTTCAGGGGCCGGGCACTGTGGCTCACGCCTGTAATCCCAGCACTTTGGGAGGCCGAGGCGGGCGGATCACGAGGTCAGGAGATCGAGACCATCCTGGCAAACATGGTGAGACCCCATCTCTACTAAAAATACAAAAAATTAGCCGGGTGTGGTGGCGGGCGCCTGTAGTCCCAGCTACTCGGGAGGCTGAGGCAGGAGAATGGCGTGAACCTGGGAGGTGGAGCTTGCAGTGAGCCGAGATCGTGCCACTGCACTCCAGCCTGGGCAACGGGATGAGACTCTGTCTCAAAAAAAAAAAAAAAAAAAAAAAAAAAAAAGCTGCTTTCAGGGATCTGTGATAGCTGTAGTGTGGTTTTCCTCACTGTTTCCCTTCACTTTTATTCACTATAGAGCTTCTTCTTAGGGGGAACATGTTCAGGTGGTTTTAGGAACTTATTTCACCCTCCACCCGTCACAGAGATAGAGATACTTCAGGACTGGCCATCAGACTTCTTCATTCTCCTGGCCAAGGTGACTAGTTCAATGACATGCTGATGTCCTAAACTGGGTCAATCCGAGGGTCTCCAGGAGATTGGATATATGGACTCCAGGAAAGAGTGAACCTCTTTCTTCCTTTGTCTATCACAAGCTGTAAGGATCACACAGTATGGAACTACCAGAATCCATTTCCTTGGTTGGATGCAACAAGCTGTCAGCAGAATAAAGTTGCTAAAAGAGGAGAACATAACTAGAAAATGGAGAAACCAGTAAACAGTGGACAATATGAGTCTGTAGGTCCAACGGTGTTGAAAGTTGATGTCCCTCTATATTCATCCAAGTGCATGAACTAATAAATCCCATCTTTTTTTTCTTCAGCTAGTTTAGGTTGATCTTTTGCCTTTTAAAAAGGAAAGAGTCCTGTAGAATGCACATCCTTAGCTGTGGTTATGGGAATTTTCATGTGTTAATAATTGTCCAGTTTCACTCATGCTGGGTCAGTCTTTATAAAGGTTGCAAAATATTAGTCCAGAATACCTAAATTTCTTCGTATCTCAAGTTCCCAGCCTACCTGCTCTATTAGTAGAGCTCTGTTTACAGTTCAGTGTCTCCACTCTTTTATTTCCTATTGGGCATGTATACATCTTCTAGGTTCCTCTGTAGGTGCTGCAAAGTAGACCTTATGTGAATTCTTGCCGTCCCTTCTTGAAAACCTTGAGGTTGAGGACTGATTAGCGTCTCAAAGAGCAAATGTGCATTTTAGGCATTTGGTTTCCTTTCCAGTGTTTTAACTCTGGAAAAGAGAAAGGAGCTTGGGAAAACCTCTTTGACACAGTAAAGCAAGAAACAAAGGCTGTCCTGACAAATATATCCCAACAATGCTGGATGTGCACACCTCCTGGGAAGGAATGGTGAAATAGCTACATTATTTCCACTTATGCCCCACTCCAATTTATAAATTAAGAGACACAATCTTCATCAAGGACTTCTGGATTGCTCTTGAGGGCTACCTGACCATGACGGCAGAAATCAGCCTTTTTCTACCTGCTGTTGGAATTTATCTTCAAGGGAAAGAGATACATCTCCTTTGCTTCCAGCTTTCCAAGACCACTGAGAGAGTGTTATATCTGAGTCTCATTAGTCTGTCTGGCCGGAGATCAGCCAGTTATCTCCTCAGTCCTTACTAGATTCAGTAGTGAGGAAAATTTGGGTAGCTTTTTGGGAAAGTAACAAAGTCTTTTTTTTTTTTTTTTTTTTGAGACGGAGTCTTGCTCTGTTGCCCAGGCTGGATGGAGTGCAGTGGTGCAGTCTTGGCTCACTGCAAGCTCCGTGTCCCGGGTTCATGCCATTCTCCTGCCTCAGCCTCCCGAGTAGCTGGGACTACAGGTGCCCGCCACCACACCTGGCTAATTTTTGTATTTTTAGTAGAATCGGGGTTTCACTGTGTTAGCCAGGATGGTCTCGACCTCCTGATCTTGTGATCCACCCGCCTCGGCCTCCCAAAGTGCTGGGATTACAGGGATGAGCCTCCGTGCCTGGCTGAAGTCTATTATTGATTATTAATGACAGACAATCTGTAGACCCCACTCAGATGATTATGGACTTTCAGGTCTCAGTTTGTAATTCCAAATGGATCACAAATTGTAGTCCTTTCTCAGATAATGTGAGATGACAAAATAAATGCTTCCCTGTTCATTGACATTTGGTGATAAATTTGGCATATAAGTTCAGTAACTTTTCATGGTAGCATAGCTTTGTTTTAGGGCAGTGGGATCCTGCTACATGGATATGTTTATTTTTATGGCTTTGAGTCTATCAACAGCTCTGGGGACAGAGAGTTGCAAACAGTCCTGTAAGTGAGGCATACCTCTCCTTCTTATCCATCCCAATGGTTTGTCTATAGTATTCTCTAACCATGATTTAAAGGTCTCTTTTTTGGGAAGTATCTGTCTCAGTGGTTCCAACACCTGTCTGATGTAGGTACAATAGCCACCATCAAGTCCTTTGGGATCGGGACTTTGTCCTTAGAGACATGCAGTGTTTTCAAGCAGACCAAGCTGATCTCTGTCTCCTCTCAGTGTCCAAAATTGACTTCATCTTACAAGAAACAACATGCCTAACTATGTTGGAGTAAAAATGAATTTGAAATTTGCTACTTTCTTAGTATGTAGATATCCTCTGTGCATTAGACTTACGAAGTTTGATTCTCTGGCTGGAAAAATTACTATTTTGTTTTATTTCATTTTTTAAGTTTAGGTCTTTTTAAAACTTTTATTTTAGGTTCAGGGGTACATGTGCAGGTTTGTTATATAGGTAAACTCGTCTCATGAAGATTTGTTTTACAGATTGTTTTGTCACCCAGGTAGTAAGCCTAGTACCAATTAGTTATTCTTTCTGATTCTCTCCCTCCACCCTCTGGTGGACCCCAGAGTCTGTTGTTCCTCTCTTTGCGTCCATATATTCTCATAATTTAGCTCCCACTTAAAAGTGAGAATATGTGGTATTTGTTTTTCTGTTCCGGCGTTAATTCGTGCAAATAATGGCCTCCAACTCCATCCGTGTTCCTGCAAAATACATGATCTCGTTCTCTCTTAGGGCTGCATAGTATTCCATGGTGTATATGTACCACATTTTTTTTAATCCAGTCTATAGTTGATGGGCATTTAGGTTGATTCCATGTCTTTGCTATTGTGAATAGTGCTTCATTGAACATTTGTATGCATGTGTCTTTATGGTAGAACGATTTATATTCCTTTTGGTATATTCCCAGTAATGGGATTGTTGGTTGAATGGTAGTTCTGTTTTTAGCTCTTTGAGGACTTGCCACACTGCTTTCCACAATCATTGAACTAAATTACACTCCCCAAAACAGTGTATAAGTGGTCTATTTTCTCCAGATCCTCACCAGTTATTTTTTAACTTTTTAATAATAGCTATTCTGATTGGTGTGTGATGGTATCTCATTGTGGTTTTTGATTTGCATTTCTCTAATGATTAGTGATATTGAGCTTTTTTTTTTCATATGCTTGTTGGCCACAAGTGTGTCTTCTTTTTAAAAGTGTCTGTTCACGTCTTTTGCCTACTTTTTAAGGGTTTTTTTTTTTTTTTGCTTTTATCTTGTAAATTTCTTTAAGATCCTTACAGATGCTGGATTTTAGACCTTTGTCAGAGGCGTAACTTGCAAATAGTTTCTCCCATTCTGTACTTGTCTGTTTACTCTGTTGATAGTTTCTTTTGCTGTGCAGAAGCATTTTTAGTTATTAGATCTCATTTGTCAATTTCTGCTTTTGTTGCAATTGCCTTTTGCCATCTTCATCATGAAATTTTTGCCTGTTCCTAAGTCCTGAATGCTATCGCCCAGAGTTTTTATTGCTTGGGGCATTACATTTAAGTTTTTAATCCATCTTGAGTTGATTTTTGTATATGGTGTAAGGAAAGGATTCAGTTTCAATTTTCTGCATATGGCTAGACAATTATCCTAGCACCATTTATAGAATAGGGAATCCTTTCCCCATTGCTTCTGTGTGTCTGCTTTTCTGAAGATCAGATGGTTTTAGGTATGTGGACTTATTTCTGGGCTCTCTGTTCTCTTCCATTGGTCTATGCGTCTGTTCTTGTAACAGTACACTGCTGTTTTGGTTACTACCGTAACCCTGTAGTATAGTTTGAAGATGGGTAATGTGATGCCTCCAGCTTTGTTCTTTCTGCTTTTGATTGCCTTGACTATTTAGGCTCTTTTTTGGTTCCATATGAATTTTAAAACACTTTTTTCCAATTTTGTGAAGAATGTCATTGGTAGTTTGATAGGAATAGAATTGAATCTGTAAATTGTTTTGGGCAGTTTGGCCATTTTAATGATACTGCTTTTGTTCCCATCCATGAGCATGGAATGTTTTTCTGTATGTTTGGGTCATCTCTGATTTCTCTGGACAGTGTTTTGTAGAGATATTTCACCTCCCTGGTTAGCTGTATTCCTAGGGATCTTATTCTTTTTGTGGAAATTGTGAATAAGATTGCCTTCCTGATTTGGCTCTCAGCTTGGCTGTTGTTGGTGTATAGAAATGCTAGTGATTTTTGTACATTAATTTTGTGTCCTGAAGCTTGCTGAAGTTGTTTATCAGCTGAAGGAACTTTTGGGCTGAGACTCTAGGGTTTTCTAGGTATAGAATCATGTTGTCTACAAACAGGAAGAGTTTGACTTTCTCTCTTCCTATTTGGATTTCCTTTATTTCTTTCTCTTCTTGATTGCTCTGGCCAGGACTTCCAATACTACATTGAATAGGAGTGGTGAGAGAGGACATCTTTGTCTTATGCTAGTTTTCAAGGGGAATGCTTCCAGCTTTTGCCCATTCAGTATGATGTTGGCTATGGGTTTGTCATAGATGGCTTTTATTATTTTGAGGTATGTTCCTTCGATACCTCGATTATTGAGAGTTTTTAATATGAAGAGATGTTGAATTTTATCAAAAGCCTTTTCTGCATCTATTGAGATAATCATGTGATTTTTGTTTTTAGTTCTATTTATGTGGTGAATCACATTTATTGATTTGTGTATATTAAACCAACTTTGCGTCCTGGGGATGAATCCCAATTGATGGTGGTGGATTAGTTTTTGATGTGCTATTAGATTTGGTTTGCAAGTATTTTGCTGAGAAGTTTTGCATCAGTGTTCATTGACTGAAGTTTTCTTTTGTGTGTGTGTGTGTCCCTGACAGGTTTTAGTATCAGAGTAATGCTGGCCTCATAGAATGTGTTGGAGAGGAATCATTACTCCTATTTTTTTTTTTGAATAGTTTCAGTAGGAATACTACCAGCTCTTCTTTGTACATCTGGCAGAATTTGGCTGTGAATCCATTTGGTCCTAGCTTTTTTAGTTGGTAGGCTATTTATTATTGATTCCAATTTTGGAGCTTGTTATTGGTCTGTTTAGGGAATTAATTTATTCCACGTTCAGTACTGGGAGAGTGTGTGTGTCCAGGAATTTATCCATCTCTTCTAGGTTTTCTTGTTTGTGTGCATAGAGGTGTTTGCAGTAGTTTCTGATGATTATTTTTATTTCTGTGGGGTCGGTTGTAACATTCCTTTTGTCTTTTCTACTTGTATTAATTGGATATTCTCTGTTCTTTGTTAGTCTAGCTAGTAGCCTATCTTATTATATTTTTCAAAAAACAAACCCCTGGATTTATTGATCTTTTGAATGGTTTTTCATGTCTTGATCTTCAGTTCAGCTCTGATTTTGGTTATTTCTCATCTTCTGCTAGCTTTGGTGTTGGTTTGCTCTTGCTTCTCTAGTTCTTTCAGTTGTGTTGTTAAGTTGTTAATTTGAGATCTTTCTAACTTTTTGATGTGGGTGTTTATGGCTACAAATTTCTCTCTTAACACTGCCTTAACTGTGTCCCAGAGATTCTGGTATGTTGCATCTTTGTTCTCTTTAGTTTCAAAGAACTTCTCAATTTCTGCCTTAATTTCATTATTTCCTTAAAAGTCATTCAGCACATTGTTTAATTTCCATGTAATTGTATGGTTTCTATGTAATTATGTGGTTTTATTGACCTGGGGTCTGAGAGTTGTGTTTGGGATGATTTTGATTCTTTTGCATTTGCTGAGGATTGTTTTATGTTTGATTGTGTGCTTGGTTTTAGAGTATGTGCCATGTGGCAATAAGGAGAATTGTATATTCTGTTGTTTTCTCCTTTGCTTATGAAGCTTATCCAGTTTTGTTGGATAGAAAATTCTTGGTTGAAGATTTTTTCTTTAAGAATGTTGAATATAGGCCCCCCAATCTCTTCTGGCTTATAGGGTTACTGCTAGCATGTCTACTGTTAGCTTGATAGGGTTCTTTTTGTAGGTGACCTGCCCTTTCTGTATAGCTGCCTTTAATATTCTTTCATTTCAACCTTTGAAAATCTGATGATTATGTGTCTTGGGGATTATCTTCTTGTGTAGAATCTTTCAGGGGTCCTTTGTATTTCCTGAATTTGACTGTTGGCCTCTCTAGCAAGGTTGGGGAAGTTTTCATGGATGACACCCTGAAATATGTTTTGCAAGTTGTTTGCTTTCACCCTATCCCTTTTAGGGATGCCAGTCGTTTGTAGATTTGGCCTCTTTACATAGTCCCATATTTCTCGGAGGTTTTGTTCATTCCATTGTATTCTTTTTAAATAATTTTGTTTGACTGTCTTATTTCAGGGAGGCAGTCTTCAGGTTCTGAGAGTCTTTCCTCAGCTTGGTCTATTCTGCTGTTAACAGTTGTAATTGCATTACAAAACCTTGTGGTATGTTTTTCAGCTCTATCAGATCAGTTAGGTTCTTTTTCATTCTGGCTATTTTATCTGTTGCTCCTGTGTCATTTTATTGTGATTCTTAGTGTCCTTGGATTGGGTTTTGGCATTCTCTTGAATCTCAATGATCTTCATTCCTATCCATATTCTGAATTCTATTTCTGTCATTTCAGCAAACTTAGCCTGCAAGAACTCTTGTTGAAGAACTAGTGCAGTTGTTTGGAGGACAGATGACACTGGTCATTTGAGTTGATGGAGTTCTTGCATTGGTTCTTTCTCATCTCTGCATGTGGGTGTTCCTTTAACTGTGATGTAGATTGAGTACAGTAAGTAGACTCCTTTTCTGGGTGTTTTCACAAGGCCCAGGTTTTATGCAGTATCTTTATTTGAAGGTGACTTCTTGTTTCTGGTTTCAGAGGTGGGTATGTTAGTGAGGTGTTTTGGATGTTGAAGCTTTGGGGTGTGATCCAGTAGGTAGTGCTTAGGCATAGTAGGCAGACTCTTGCTTAGTCATGTAGCTTCCCTGTATTTCCTCACAGTTGCAGCTGTCCACCCTCTCAATGCTCTGGTAGTGTGGGTTCCTCTCCTGCTTGAGTTCTGGCTGTAGACTGCAACTTGGCAGTCCCAGGCTGCCCACCATAGCTCTGGGGTGATCTTGGGTTTTATGTTTCCTCCCCAACTTGGAGGCAGCAGAAGGGACCTTACTAATGGTTGTGGCCGACGGTCTTTTGCTTGCTTCCTAGGGGCTCCACCCTAGAAAGATGCAGGTCAACTATCACTAAGTGCAATCAGCCTGGGATAAGGGGTCTGTGCTGTGGGTCCAAGCTGGGGGTTCCCTGCCTGGTGATGAAAAGGAGGGATGAGTCGGACCTATGGGAGATGAACTGGCCTCCTCTTGGGTTGATTATAGCTTATTGGAGGTGTGGAGAAGGTACTTAGGGTCTTTGTTCCTTTGTTAGTTCAAGGGTAGCAGGGGTAGTACCATTGCAGAGGCAGTGGTAGAGAGAGCCCTGGGGCTCCACCTCCAAGAAACACAGAGCCACTCTTACTGGGAGTGTTCAGCCAGTGGGGTGGGGAAGTTGCAGTGCTGGTATGAGCTTGGGGTTCCACTTATTGAGGGGTAGGGGATTGAGGGCTCACTGGGAGGAGAGACTGGTGTCCTCTCTGTATGGTGACTGTGGCATGCTGTAAGCTTAAGTGTACCCTTCAGGCTCTTTGTTTCTTCAGCAGACTGAGGGCAGCAGTGGGGATGGGGGTTCCCATGGAAGAGGGGATCAACTCCTTTCTGTATGGTGTGCTGGAGATGCCAGTGTAATGAAGGGGTCTTTGTTCCTTCCCCAGCCCAAGGACTATTAGGGTAGTACCACTACAATTGTAGTGGCAGAGGGGTTGTGGGTTGATTTTGGGATTTGGAGAATCCCAGAGAATTGCTGGAGATTGGAGAAATGCTGGGCTGTCTCTGATTCTGGTGACCAGGCATGGGCAGGGTGGTTGTGCTGGAGTCCCAGGTTGGGTGGCCCTGCCCAGTGAGGAGAAGTGAGGACCAGAATCTGTGTGGACAACAGTCTGGCCACTTTTCTGTGAGATAGTTGCTCTGTGTTTGGGCTCTGGAGCAGCCTCTGGTCCCATAGGGTCTCCAGAGCCTGGAGACAGATAGGGCAAGGGCTGGGAGACAGCAAAGATGACAACCCATCCTTCCCACTGGGAGCTCTGTCCAGGGAGTAGCATAGCTGCTGCTGGCTCAGTAGCCCTGGTTGGGGGTGGCTGGAGACCCAGGCCTGGAGGACTCATCCAGTGAGAAGATATGAGATCAGGGACACATGTAACTGTCTGGCCACTTTTCTATGGGGCTGCTGCAGTACGCTGGGGGTCTGCTGTAGTCCCTAGTCATCTTGGATTTTCCATTACCTGAAGGTACCAGTGAAGGCTGTGAAACAGCAAAGATGGCAGCCTATCCTTCCTTCTTGGAGCACTGTCCCAGGGAGGTATGGACCTGAGCTGATCTGAATGCACCTGCAGAAGGTGGTTGGAGATCCCAAGTGGGAGATCCTGCCCAGTGAGGAGGAACGGGATCAGGGACCTATGTGAAAAAGCAGTCTAGCCACTTTTTCATAGAGCAGCTGTGCTGTGCTGGGGGTTTGCTCCAGCCCCCAGTTGCCTCGGGCTCTCCAGAGCCTAGAGGAAAGAATGGCTAAGGCTGCTAAACAGCAAAGACGGCAGGTCGCCTCTCCCCCTGGGAGCTCCGTCCCAGGGAGGTTTGAAACCTCTGTTGGCTGGAGCACACTGGCAGAAGTGGCTGGAGATCCTGGTCAGGAGATCCTGCCCAGAAGAAATGGGAATGAGGACGCATTTACAAAAATAGTCTGGCTACTTTTTGAAGAGCAGCTGTGCTGTGCTTGGGGTCTGCTCCAGCCCCCAGTCGCCTCAGGCTTTCCAAAGCCTGAAGGCAAGGATGGCTAAGACTGCCAAACAGCAAAGAAGATGGCCCACCACTCTGTGGAAGCCGCGTCCCAGGGAGGCATAAAACCTCCGTTGGCTGGAAAATACTAGCATGGGTGACAGGAGATCCCAGGTGGAGATTCAAGAGAAATGGGATTTGGGATCTGTGTGAATAAGCAGTCTTACTGCTTCTCCATAGAGCTGCTGGACTGTGCTGGGGTATCGCCCCAGTACCTAGTTGCCTTGAACTACTACTTCCCTGGGTGGAGGAGGTTCCCCTGGCTCTGTGTTGCTCCTGGGAGGGCAGTTGTCCTGCCTGCTTTTCTCCGTTCTCCATGGGTCAAGTTGTTTCCTTGGTGAGTCCCAATGCGAGTACCTGGATGTTTCTGTTGAAGGTGCTGTATTTACTTATCCCTTCCATTTCTCTCTGTAAGAGCAGTGCAGACTAGTTGCTTTTAGTTGGCCATCTTGGCCAACCCCCTGGCAAAATTAGTTTTGAACAGTGCTTTTGTCCATGATTTGCAACTCTGATTTTAGTGTCACCTCTCTAATGACCCTTGAAATTTTAAAGATGTTGTTATATTTATGCCTGAAATATAATTGAAATTTTTTTGGCACCATAATTCCAACAATTTAAGTTTTGTAGGTGAAAGTGTCCTTTTGTGTCAGATCTGGAATGACTCTTTTAATCCAGTGGATCATGTGTCCTAAGCGTGTCCAAGGTCTTTATTGGCATTGCCACAAAACATAACCTTAAAAAACTGTTTAACCACATTCCACTCCTTTTACACTTTTTATTTCTTAATTTCAAATTATGTTTTGTCTGTTGTCCATTCACTTGGGAGTCTGATTCTGGCACCTAATATATTAACTGTCCACCCCAGGTTCATGATACCCACAGCAGTACCCATGAAAGAATTGTGTGTGTAGCTTGATAAACTTCCTCTATTGGGTAGCTCCATACTCTGTTTTAATAGATCTTTTTTCTTGACTACTACTAATAACTTCATCAGCATGGTGTATACCATAAGTTCTCAGCATTTTCTGCAACCCTTCAATCATCCCCTTACCTTCTCCAAAAAAAAAGCCCATGTGCTATATGGCACATATTGTATGTCCTATGTGACATGAATGATAATGAGCTTAATTAGGAAAAACATATCTCTGCTATTGCTTTAACTAGGTAAATGCATTTTCTCTTAATAAACTCCTTAGGGAGACTCAATTCTTAATGCTACAAGAATCTATGCTATAGGAAAGCTGTAGAGGAATACATTTTTAGAAAGGAGAGCATTTTCTAGACATTTATGTTAGAGTCACATGTTGATCTGGCCTCTATATCCTCCTTTTCAGACCCGGGAGGTGAATTCATTCATTCATTTATTCAGTAAATATTTATGGAGGATCTGCTCTGTGTTAGAAAATGTTCTTGACACTGGTTATTTGTTAATAACAAAGACTCCATCCTCATGGGTTTACATTCTAGTGGAAGAGACAGGCTATGAACAGATAAATGTTATATATCAGGAGATAATACATGCAATGAAGAAACATAAAGAAGGTAAGAAGGAAAGGAAGTTCTGGATTCAGGGCTTACTATTTTATATAGGATAGGGAAGGCTGCTATATAAGATGATATTTGTACAGACATCTAAAAGATGTGAAAGAATAAGCTACATGGATATTACTGGAAAAAGTTTTCTGGGCAGAAGAGAAACATATACAAAGAACTTGAGCTTGGGACAGGCTTGGTACATTTAAGCCTTTTTAGCTGGAGCTGAGCAAAGTAGGCAAAAGGGAAAATAGAAGGAGATGAGTCAGAGAGGTAGTGAGAGGTAGGATGTACGGTCCTCTAAGGCATTGGTCTTCAAACGTTAGCCCTCATTTGAGTCATCTGAAGGGCTTGTTTATAATTCGGTAGATGGGGAGTAGGGCCTGAGAACATTTCTAGCAAACTCTTAGGTGTTATGGATGATGCAGTTGTAGGGCATTTGAGGTCATGGGAAATACTTGGGCTTTTATTGACCAATATGAGAACCAAGGGATGGGAGAGAGTGAAGGAGTGACTTGCATTTTAAAAGCACAACTGTGGTTATTGTATGGCAAATAGAAGTAGGAGACCAGGGTAGAAGGAGGGTGTCCAAGTAGTAAGCTGTCATAATAATCAGATGAGAAGAGATAGTGGCTTTGTCCAGGATGGCAGCTATAGAAATTGGGAAAATAAATGTGGTTGAATTTTGGAAACATTTGAAATAAAACCCACTCCATTTGAAGAAAATGGGGTTTTCTTTACATCCCTTGGTGAATATAATTAAGTAATGGCATGAAGAGCCTTTGCTCTACTGTCCCTGGTGATTGGCTCATATTTGGCCCTTACTACATGACTGAAGTTGAAATCTTAATTTTGTGCATATTTTACATACACTAATATATGTGAACAGAATGTCTCAGAATAATTGAACTCCTGTGATAGGTTGTAAGTATGTACTTTTAAAATGCCAGGCATAGGTTCTAGATTTTTATTATGTTTCACCTTTGTTAAATTGATTTAATGTATGTCACATTATGAGATTATTACTGTCAACTCCAAATTTCATTAAATCACTCATATCACAATAGAAGACATTGACAAAAGGCTGGTTGTGCTTTCTGTCTTTTATAGGATTCCTGGAAAATGTCATTATAGTTATGTCTTTTTGCTAAATGGTATTTGTAAGAACTGCTTAACATTTATAGGTGAGACATCAACCCCCTCCCATCCCATGCTTGTCAATCCTGATGCTTTTGCTCCAGAAATCCTCATTTCTACACTGTGATCTCAGACTTTGTTTTCCTATCGGCATATCCTGGTGAGACAATGTCAGCTTGTCTTGTGCCACACTTTGAACCACAGCTATTGTTGTCTTTAAATGGTAACCCAGAGTGAGAGGTCATTCCATCGTACTTTGCCACCAACTCAAATGCTTAGTGCATTTCAAATCATGGCTTGTTAGAGCCAAAAACCTTTATAAATTGCCTTGTTTATTATCTCATCTTACAGATACGGAAAATGAGCCTAGAATAGCTTTAAAAAACTTATTTTTGTATTTTTGTTTTTTTTACTATTATGAGAGACAAGAATGTGTGCTTTAAAAAAGTCTTTACCAGGGGTTGAATAGTAGATACTTTAACAAGACATTTTATCAAAATATCATGGTCGTCATTCTGAGGTCAAAGTTATAGTGTTAACAATATGGTGTGAAATGATCTTGGGAGCAATAATGTGAAGGGGGCAGCTAAGAGATGTGTCTCTTGCAAGTGGATGTGCCTCCATCTTAACCTGAACAGCAGGCATACTGAAAAGAGGAGAAAATGGTTCCTTGTTTCCTCTTGGAGGTCATATCAGTCTTTTGGCTACTCAGAATTGTTTTTGAAGGGCTATCCTATTAATAACTGTGATAAATCTCTGGCGGGATAAAAACAGATTAGTAACTCTATAACGTAAAGCAAAAAATCATGTGTAACTATGTATTTCTCCAGCGAGCCACTGACCCTTAAGCTCACATCATGCCTTAAAGCAGTTGATACACGCTCTTTTTTTAGTCCCCAGCCAAGCACTGATTTCATTTTGTCATATGTTTCTAAGCCTCCAGAGGTGCCTGCTTAAAAGGCAATCCAGGGGATGCTCCTAGAACAAGGTGAAAATTGGTTCTGGGAGAGAAAACCACAGATATTCTCTACAATGGAGGAGTGAGGAGAGCAAAGGGATTCTCTGAGGGCTTCTTGAAGATGGAATCCAAGTTTGCTTTCCAAACTGAGATATTAGAAGAGAGGTGAGGTAGAATGATAATTTTTTTCAGTATCTGAGACCTCAATTCCTGGCTTTTTATTTCATAAACCCACATTTCTTGGTAAAGGTTTAACTTCCTTTCTAGAATAATCCTTTCCACATTTCCAGCTGCTTATTGTCTTGGCAATGTGGACCTCTGCTGTGCACTTCATAGGACCCTTACGGGCTTGCTTCACTTCTAGGTAGGGATGTCTGAGGCAATCTCTACCATTTGGCCTTGAAGTTTGTGAACAATTTTGCATGTTTTCATGTGAGTTATTTATGAGAAATGTTGCTTAAGGAAAAGTATGTCACTATATAATATACTTGGGAGAATATTTTTTAAAAAATCAAATTTTCTGTACTCCGGAAGAATTAGTTTAAGGGGGTGGAGTCCAGGGGTATGAACGGATAATTCTGGACAATGGACATCTAACTACAATGGAGAGAAGAGGTTAGTTAGGGCTTCTTCTGACAAATAACCCTAGTCGCATTGGAGTATTTACTATTCTCTGAACATATGTGCAGTCTCTCTCCTGTCCCACTAAACCCATCAACTGCCCCATATCTCTACATCTTAACAATAACTTTTCTTAAAGGCTCTATAAAAATTGCTCCTTGAAATCTGTCCTTTTTCATTTAAAATGCTATTTCTTTTATGCAGTGGCAGAAATGTACTTAGGCCTCTATTTACAGCCTTTATTTCATTCTGCCCTTTGTAATGCTTAGTTGTTTACATGCTTGTCTGCACCACTGGGTTATAGGCTTGTTGAACCCAAATACATTCTCTCCTATCTCCCTACCATGTGACACCTGATACAGTGACTACTAACACTGGTCCCTTCATTACCTGTTTGCTAAATAAATGAATGTAGTGGGTGAGAGTTTCCTCCTGATTATCAGTAGAGAAGCATGAATGAAGCACACAGCTTGAATGAAGCTTGTATCTTATCCAGGTTTCCAGGTTTACATATCTAGGATCAAAGATGGGCACAAAATGAAACAATCTTGTTTTCATTTAAATACTATTTTGATATTTTCAGTTTGCATATCTGTTTTGTTTTAGTACATCTAAAAACACATGGTTTGGTCTTGTTTCTATGTGGGGTTTTAAAAGAAAAAAAGGCCCAACGAAAAAGAAAGTTTACTTACAGCCCCTACCCCCAACACCCCCAACACACACACACACACACACACACACACACTCACACTTACATCACCACCATCAAATAATAATCATGGTGCAGTGAACAAAGGCAGTTTCTGGTTTTGGAATATGACTGAGGCATCTGGATAAAAGTCCGAATTTAATAGCAACCGTGCATATTATGTTATATTTTATAAATTTGTAAGTATATAAATAAGCAAGAAATTATTTATAATCACAAGGTTTTGAAATTCTTTATTCTTCTCTAAAGGATCCAATTTCTTCTTCTCCCCTCTCTCCTCCTCCCATTCCTCCTTCCTGTCCTCCTCATACTCCTTCTTTTTGTTAGTCAGTTTCATTGCCTTCCTTCTCTTCTTTGTCGTATTTTCTTTCTCCTCTTCCACCTCCTCACTTAGCAGTCTGTCAACTTGGTATAGATTTTTTTGCCCTTTTCACTGAAGTTATGAAGTCCCTAGTAACTAAAAAGTAAAGTTTCTTAGGGTAAAAGATAGGTTAGCAAGAGGGACATTTTTAAGACAGAATAAATGTATTCTGTTAATAACAGCACATCAAAATAAATAACTCAGAGGACAAAATGTTAAATACTAAAAATTTTCCAGATTTATGTCCTACTGATAATGTAGGGGTTAATTTTATATGTTAACTGGGCTAGTCTATAGTACCCACTAATTTAATCAAACATTAGTCTAGGTATTGCCGTGAAGATATTTTGTAGATGTGGTTAACACTTTCAGTCAGTTGGCTTTTAAAAAACGAGGTTACACTTGATAGTGTGAATGGGCCTCATTTAGTCATTTGAAGGCCATAAAAGTAAAGACCAAAGTATTCAAAAGAGAAAGACATTTTGCCTTAAGACTGCAATACCAACATTTGCCTGAGTTTCCAGGCTGCTGGCTTGCTCTATGAGTTTTGGACTTGCCAGGCCCCATAATTGCTTGAGCCAATTCTTTAAAATAAATCTCCTTACGTATGTATATCCTATGTGTTCTGTTTCTCTGGAGAACGCTGACTGATACAGAAAGGAATACTTATTACACTAATAAATGGTGAAAGCAATACTTGCTGAAATGTTCTTAAAGTCACTTTAAGGATGCTTTATTTGGTAGTTAATAGACATCAATTGCTGTATCTATCAATGGCTGGGAGAAAAGTAGACAGTACCTGTGTTGTTCAAATAGATTGTGGCTGCCTTCGCAGTTACTTGCTAGCCTACCATAATGGTTTATAAAGTCTAAATAAGAATGAACTGTTCTGGCTGGGCGCCTTGCCTCACGCCTGTAATCCCAGCACTTTGGGAGGCCGAGGCAGTTGGATCACTTGAGGTCAGGAGTTTGAGACCAGCCTGGCCAATATGGTGAAACCCTGTCTCCCTGTAATCACAGCTACTCAGGAGGCTGTGGTAGGAGAATCAGTTGAACCCAGGTGGTGGAGGTTGCAGTGAGCTGAGATTGTGCCACTGCACTCCAGCTTAGGTGACAGAGCGACTCTGTCTCAAAAAAAAAAAAAAAAAAAAAAAAAAGAAAAAAAAAAACTGTTCTGGAATGGATTACATTCCTCTTAAGAGTAATATATATTATAAATACCATTTTTATATGCTAAGAGAATCCAGTAACCATAACCAAATAAATGAGCATATTCAGAAGGAAATCTTCATTTTATGGAAAATTGTGTTTAGACATATGATGTTGAGTTGCAATTTAAAGCACATTCTTTCACCTTCATAGAAATCATGTTGTGTATTAGGTTAAAAACAACCAAAATTTATTATATAAGCTGCCCAAAATATACTCTGGGAAAGCTATTTTAGAAATTATGATTTCTGTGTAATGATATATTTTTAATGAAACAACAAATTTCTACTTTGGAATACCAGGGATATATTTTTCCTGCTGCAGCTCTAGCAGAAGGATCTAGGAATTATTCACTTTGACTGGCTTGGCAGCCAAAGGGAGAAATAATTTTTCCAGTTTAAGTCACTAGTGATGAGGCCTGGATCAGAGACCCCAGCATCTTGTGTTTATAGTTTTTATTTGAAACTTATTTGTATGATGTGTATATAGATCTTAATTGATTATAGAGTACTTACTTTAAGCCAAGCATTGTGAGACACTGAAGGTAAAAAGGTAAGAAAGACTTAAAATGTCTAGTAGTTTTCTAGTCAAACATACCATTGCTCCTTCCCTCAAAGAAATAGAATTCAATGTGGTAAGCATTAAAGAGGAGATACAGATAAGGTGCAATGGAGATATAGCAGCAAGAGCTCTTAAACCAGCATGACTGGAACACAGAGTTGCATTAAGGACAATGGCAAGGACAAGATTATGAAGGGTCTCTCATGCTCCATAGAGGAGTTAAAACTTTAATAAGAAACTGATGCTTTGCTTGTCCAATACCCTTTATTCTCCTCAGAGATATACTTACCTCCTTTCAGAGAATTATTCCTCTTGCATCTTTAGCCATGGGCATTCAATGGGATGACATCCTTCTGACTACAGGGACTGGTGGATGAGTAGACTTTTGTTATGAGCTGGGGCAATCATTTTCCCAGCTCCTCTTTTATAGTGATTTTTCCAAGGATGGGATTATGGTCCAGACTAGAATTTTTCTAATTATATTTTGATGATGAATATTCTTTCCTTGTTAGTCAGAGGCTGTTAGGATGTGAGCCAGGATTTTTAGCTACCAGTCAATTGCCTTTAGGAAAAGCTTGTTTTAGAGAAGGAAGTGACCTAAAGAGAGAAGTGGAAACAAGAGATGGAAAAATAATGTTTTGACAGTGTTTGAGAGCTTTCTTTTTGGTATCTAAAAACAAACTCTATCCTTCTGCCCCATAGTTTATTTACAAACTCATGTGTGGTTATTTTTTAAGCTAATTTGAGTTGGGTTTCTCCTATTTGCAACTGAAGACTCTGGATTAACATAAGTACCTTGAAAGAATTTGGAACTGGACTCTGATGTGACCTCTGAATGTACTAGGAGATTAGGTTGTGACCAGTGGGACAATGGAATGAAAAGGGATAATCAGAGGCAGGGAGACAAGACAGTTCAGTGTTTCCCAAAGTGTGGTTGAATGGGTCACCAGGACTGGAATCTCCTGCAAATAGTGAAATAGTTTGTTAATAATGAAGATTCCAGGTAACTGAAAAACATTTCTGAGGATGGGACCTGATAAATCTTCATTTTAAACATGCACATAATGTAATTCTTATGTAAACAAACTTTTAGAACCACTAAGTTTGGAAGCTACTGTCGCTATGAGGTGAGAATTGAGGTCTCAATTCTAAACCAGGGGAGGGGGATCATAGAAAAGAGAGGTTAGAGAGATATTTGGTTGGCAAAATACACAGAATTGGAAGGTTGTGCAGCAGGGCCATGGGAGTGAGAAGAGGCTAGGTTAATTCTCAGGTGTCTGGTTGCTTGGTAGATAATAGTAGCATTACGTTAATAAATTGAAACCTAAAGAAAGGAGTGGATTTGAATATGGAAGAGAAGATTTGGATTTGGGCTTTTATTATGAGTTTAAAGTGTTTGTGAGGCATTTTAATAGTTTTCCAGCAGAGCTAACTATACAGTCTGATAGTTTAGGGGACAATTCTGGGTTAGAAAGACATATTTAGTAGTTATCAGAATATGAGAGGAAGGTACATCTATGGGCATGTCTGAATTACCCAAAGAATAATGAGTCAAGAGAAAAAGTCTGTGGTGGAGTCAAGGCCTGAAGACCACTGCTGTTAAAGACAGTGAGACCAGGGAGTAGGCTGTTGGAATACCTTATTTCAGAGGTATGAGGTTTCTGACTGATGATAAGGTTCACATTACAGTCTTGAAAGTGGAATATACAAGAGGAATGAAGGTAAAGGTACTGGCAGTTGAGCAGTTGAAGAGATTATGAGGATCTTCATTAATATTGATGTCCTTCTGGATAAAGGCTGGAAGTAATCTGGGTGATCCAGATGCCAACATCTGCAATGAATGTACAATAAATTTGAAATTATGGGGGAGAGGGAAAGATGGCTGACTAAATGCAGACAAATGGAACAGCTCCCACGGAGGGACTGAGAGGACTGGCATGCTATTAACAGATCTTCAGAAGGAAGGCACTGAGAGTAAACAGAGGGAAGACACAGAAGCTGGGCTATAGGGAAAGAAAACTGGGAACCCTGCATGGGGCTACCATGCACCGGGATTCATTTTTGGATCACAACATCTCCAGGAGAATGGGTGACTTTGGGTGACCTGTACTGGCAAGGAGCAACCTGCTATCATCATAGGCCTCTGGAACCCTGACAGGAGGTGACCCCTCAGCCACCACGGACACTCGAGGTATCAGGAAGGGCTGCTTAGAGAAGTGGTAGGGGCACTAAAGTTGCCTCCCTGTGGGAGAGGCACCTACACCTCTCCTTAAAATCACTTTTAGGATGCTTTATTTAGTAGTTAATAGGCATCAATTGGCTTTATCTATCAATGGCTAGAAGAAAAGTAGACAGTACCTGGGTTTTTCAAATAGATTGTGGCTGCCTCCTTAGCAGTTACTCCTATCATACCATAATGGTTTATAAAGTCTAAATAAGGATGAACTGTTTTGGATGGAATGGATTACATTCCTTCACATCAGCAAACCAGCTGATGTGGAGCCTAAAGGATCTGGTGCAGGAGCATCTGCAGCACAGCATGGCCAGAGACAGCAATCCTCCTAGGCTCAACTTGCTCCCATAAGATAATTTAGCTCTAGGGGAACTGTTGGACCTGAGATTTGCAAGGTTGAACCATGGCTGGTTCAACCTGAGTACCCCTTGGTCTGCTGGCCTCTCCTGGGGCCCCAGCCTGGCCATGCCTGCTTGCAGGGCAGTCTCAGGTGCCTGGGGGCCCACACCATAGCTTCTGTGATGGCAGATTATGCCTGACCAGTGGAGAGCTCCAACAATGCAGTCCCTACAGCCACATACCAGGCCGTACCCTCCCTCCCCATACTGCAGCTTCCCCCCAAGTCCACAGGCGACTCCCCGCATCACTTTGCTGGCACATGTCTGCACAGGTGGGTTTTTCTTTACTTGCCCTACCAGTATGCAGAGTGCAGTCCACACCCACCCCCTTCCCCTGCTGACCACCATTGCAGATACAGCCTTAGCAGGCACAGAGCGAGCAAACCCTGCCCCTGCCAGTGCCCTACCCTTGTGCTAACACTGGCTAGAGAACATGGGATCCTCCCATACCCTGAGCAATCATTCCTGCTTACAGGGTACAGAGAAGGCACTCAGACCTGCATCTACCAGCACCCCACACCCCCGCCAACACCATCTCCAGCACAACCACACACAAAGTCTTCAGCAGGGGCCCCCTGACCCCTGACCAGCTGCGTTGCCTCCACCACCTTAGTGAATGCCCACAGGGAGGCAGGCACTCCAGCACCCACTAACACTCTGCTGCAGGTGGCATGCCTTAGCCCTCACAACAGCAGTGGATTCCATACCTGGAGGAGTCAGAGAACAAAGTCAGGGCCCAATACAAGTCCCACAGAGTTATAGCAGGCAGGCCAGGAGTTGGAAGCTCAGTGCTGGTCCCCTAAAATCTCCCAGAAATGAAGCCAGTTGGCTGAATTGGCCTTATACCACAATCAAACCCTCAAAGTCATCAAACAGGATAGAAGAAAAAAAAATCTGAAGGTCAGCAACCTCAAAGATTGTAGGTAGATAAGGTTACAAAGATGGGAAAGAA